>NC_000007.14:111256779-111881779 GCF_000001405.40 Homo sapiens
TCATATACTGTGAATTCACACCCTCTGAGAAAAAACATTTTCACAATACCTGAATTGTATTGACTCTAAAAGACAAAAAACGCAAAGGCAAGAAGCAGTTTCAGGTACTTGACTAAATAACATCTGGGTAGATAATCAACTCCAGAGATCTTTCTAAAGATGATGAGTCCATCATTTTTCTAAGTAAGCACCTTAAACTACCTACAATAAATAAAAGTAGAGTAGACCTACACAATTATATTCCAGCCAAATGCCACAGCCCAAGTTTTTCTCTTTCACATTTATCAGGTTATGATCTTAATATAATCTAACCAGAAGATAACAACAAGTTTTCTCAGATTCTAAAAGAGAAAAATCCAACAAAGGCTTAACTTGGTTGGTAGTGTTTCACACAGAACTCATAATAATTCCAACTGACAGCTGTCATACTAAAAGAGCCATCTTAATAAAAATGAATAATATGAAATAGTCCATATTACATATTAATAGGGGTGTTATTCAATTACTGTGTTTTAACTGAAAATTAGTCCAAAAGCCTATCATTCTGTAGGACAGACTGATTCAGGTCACCCGTTACTAAATTAAACATTTTCCGCTTTCAATGCATCTCATTAAACATGCAATTGCAAGTTTAAATAACTCCATGCTTTCATTTACACAATCACCCATTTTGTTATTGTTTATAGCAACCTAATTTGGCACATAATAATTCAGGCAGCATTGGATTTGTATTAGACTGAAGTATTAATTTTTAATATAATTGCATTCTTTAGTCCAACAAAAGCTAGTTCAGTAGGGATTTTACTCATGTGAGTCTTCCATTATTATACAAGGCAAATTCTTCCAAGATTTTGCACCTTTCTTTGCCCTACTGATTCGTTTCTCTATAAATTAAAAACTCATTATAAGCTTAAACTAGCTTATTTGCTTAAACAACACAGTGAATGATTACACTGGTACAAAATATACGGCCTATACATCTTTTAAACACCTTTTTCTTTTTCTTTTTTTTAATTACTATACTTTAAGTTCTAGGGTACATGTGCATAAAGTGCAGGTTTGTTACATAGGTATACATGTGCCAGTTGCTTTGCTGCACCCAGCAACTCGTAATTTACATTAGGTATTTCTCCTAACACTATCCCTCCCCCAGCCCCCCAGCCCCCAACAGGCCTCGGTGTGTGATGTTCCCCTCCCTGTGTCTATGTGTTTTCATTGTTCAACTCCACTTATGAGTGAGAACACATGGTTAAAACACCTTTCTCTAAAGGATATTTGATTTAATAATTAAGCAAGGCATGTTTTCCTAGCACAATGATATGTAATTACTAAACCCCACAACTTAACACAAAGGTTAATAAAGAAACTCTTGAAACATCAACAAAATAATGATAACTAAGAGTTGTTCCATTATGCTTCCTGCTACCACAAATCTCAATGATGAAGATATTTGGAGCAATACATTAAAAGATTAGTTAACATGTCACCCCTCATGTGTGGGTGATCACAGAGTACAATGTACATACTTGAGAAGAAAAAAAGGTGAATTGATTGAAAACAAGAAGATCAAGGGTAAAATATAAAATATGTTCACAAGGTAGTAGGGCCTTAATCACTAATTACCATCCATATTGTTCATGCATATTTATATATCTTCTACACGATGGCTAATATATATTAATACCATTTAAAATACTGGTTTTATGAAGAAAAGCATTTTTTAATTTTACTTTTTTTATTTTTTTGAAAAAGAATCTTGCTCTGTCGCCCAGGCTGGAATGCAATGGCATGATTGCAGCTCCTGGCACCCTCCACCTTCCAGGTTCAAGCAATTCTCACACCTCAGCCTCCCAAGTAGCTGGAATTACAGGTACCTGCAACCACACCTGGCTACATTTGTATTTTTAGTAGAGATGGGGTTGCGCCATGTTGGCCAGGCTGGTCTCAAACTCCTGACCTCAAGCGATCTGCCCGCCTTGACTTCCTAAAGTGCTGGGCTTATAGGTGTGAGCCACCGTGCCTAGCCAGAAAAACATATTTTTGAAATAAATATGTTAAAACTACACTTTTCAGTACTTATACTTAAGTACTGAATGACCACTAAATGAGGAAATAAAATAATTAATTATAGCCATGCATAACTTTGGCAATTTAATCATTATGTGAAGTGTACTTACACAAACCTAGATGGTATAGCCTACCACACATGTAGGCTATAAGGTATAGCCTATTGCTCCTAGGCTACAAACCTGTACAACATGTGACTGTACTGAATACTGTAAGCAACTGTGACACAATAAGTATTTGCATAGCTAAACATATCTAACATGTCTAAACATAGAAAAGGTAAAGTAAAAATCTGGTATAAACGATTTAAAATGGTACCCTGTATAAAGTGTATAAGCTCCAAGAATGGAGCTTACAGGCCTGGAAGTTGCTCTGGGTCAATCAGTGAGTGAGTGGTGAGTGAACCTGAAGGCCTAGGACTTTACTGCACTACTGTTGACTTTATAAACACTGTACATTTAGGCTACACAAAATTTATTTTAAATTTTTTCTTCAATAATAAATTAGGCTGGGCATGGTGGCTCATGACTGTAATCCCAAAACTTTGGGAAGCCAAGGCAAGAGGATCACTCGAGGCCAGGAATTTTAGACCAGCCTGGGTAACATAGCTTAAGTTTAATTTTAATTAAAAAATTTATTAAAATTAGCCGAGAGTGGTGGCACATGCCTGTAGTCCTAGCTACTCAGGATGCTGAGGCAGGGGATCTCTTGAGGCCAGGAGTTCAAGGATGCAGTGGGCTATAATGACACTACTACACTGCAGCCTGGGAGGCAAAGTGACCCTGTCCCTAAAAAATAATTTTAAAACAATAATAATAATAATAATAAATTAAGCTTAACTTACCGCATATTTTTATAACTTTTAAAATCTTAAATTTTTTGACTTTTGTAATAACACAGCTTAAAACAAGCACATTATATAGCTGCAGAGAAATACTTTTCTTTAAACCTTTATAAGTCATTTTCTATTTTAAAAAAATATTTTCTTTTTTAAAAAATGTTTTAAATATTTTCCTTAAAAACTAAGACACAAACACACAAATTAGCCTAGGCCTGCACAGGGTCAGGATCATCAATATCACTGTCTTCTACCTCCACATCTTGTCCCACTGGAAGGTCTTCAGGGGCAAAAACATGCATGGAGCTGTCATCTCCTATCATAACAAAGCCTTCTTCTGGAATACCTACTGAAGGACCTGCCTAAGGCTGTTTTACTATTAACTTTTGTTGTTGTTTAAGTAGAAGAACTACACTCTAAAATGATTAAAAGTATAGCATAGTAAATACATAAGCCAGTAACAGTTATTTGTTATCATGATCAAGGATTACGTAATGTACAAAATTGTTTGGGCTAGACTTTTATACAACTGGCAGCACAGTAGGTTTGTTTACACCAGCATCGCCACAAACACACGAGTAGTGCATTGTGCTACAATGCTATGACAGCTATGACTTCACTAGGCAATAGGAATATTTCAGCTCCATTTTAATCTTACGGGACCACCATCATACATGCAGCTCATTGTTAACTGAAACATCATTATGTGGCTCATGACTGTATGTAAACTGTAATTTGAATTCTACAAAAGTGGGATTAAGGTACATTGTCCCCTTGGCCAGTTCACTACAGAGCAGAATATGGTACAAGGTAATTCATTTTTAGACCTAATCAAGAGAGATGATGTTAACTAAAACAACAAAGTAGATTCAAAATTTTGGGATGGCACCTATAAGGTAATGTGAAGGTCTCTACCTATATTTTCATGACAATATTCTTATACACTTCAGAATTCTATTTTGCAAAACAATTTAATCATACTGGGTTGTGGTACTTTAGAAAATATGTAAGAATAAGTCATTTTCATGTGAAATATGAGGAAGAAACTTTCTCTAAAGGAGTATACAATCGAAACAGGTATTAAAAATTACAGACATAAAATTATACTATAAATACGTGACAATAGAGAATTTTTTATTGTCTTATCAAGCTTCCCATTTGTGAATTTAATAAAAACAGACCAGCTTAAATTAAATCAGTAGATAAATGATAATTTTAAAATGGCAATTCTTACTATTCTTGATTACAGCGTAAATACATGAGGATAAAAAAACATGATGTTTGAAATGAGGGATATTTGGAATCAGGAATGAAAATTCCAGGAAGCCAAGCACTATGAATCTCAGTAAAAAAGATGCCCTTCTCTAGTTAACACGTAATTCTCAGTATAATGTAACAAGTTCATAGGTCAAGAAACTTCCATTAACTTCTTTAAATTCATCTATTTAATAACATGACAAGCATTTAATTATGGCTAATTTCTCCACCGCCTTTAAGTATAGGATAAAGATGAACAAGTCTCCTGAAAGTTCTCTCATCATAGTTTAGCTCTCTGAGGTAAATGAACCTCATAATATTCCCCGTATATTCACCAACACCTCCCCACAACATGATTTCCCTCCCTGACCAGAGCCCACTGAAATACTGACTTAGTTGTTGTTCTTTGTGTATAGTACAAATGAAATTGGTGAAAACTAATTAAGGAATTATTCTTCTTTGTCTTGTATGACCAAGTCAGAAATATTTTTTAAAAAGCTATTACCAGTCTAAATTCCCTTTACTCTCTGATTCAGGGCTTCATTCATTCAGCACATTGTGAAGATCTACTATGAACTAAATTACCAATGTCTTGAACAGAACTCAGGAAGGCTGGTGTCTAGTGAATAAGACATATACTTTCTAGAATAAGTATAACATAACATGTAAATGATATAGCAGACAGAGGTACTGGTTTCTACAGGAGAATTCTTAATCCAGACTAAAGAAAATAAAGTGAAACATCAGGAAATCGTTTTAGGCTAAATCATCAAGGAGCTAGTTATTCAGATGATTCAGATAGGCCATTTCAGGCATAAAAATTCAGAAACAAAATGCATTAAGACCTTCGGGGGAAAGACAAATATGTATAAGTGAGAAAGGGACTGCATTGAGGTCAGAAAGGTAAGCAACGACTTGGGTGTCATGCTAAGAAATATGATTTTACCCTGAAGGTTATGGGGATAGACTGAAGAATATAAAGCTGGAGAGAGAGATATGACCAGATTTGGCTTTTAAAAAGATCATGTTGGAAACAATATACCAGTAGTCTGTTAGGAGATGACAGTGGAAATTTAAGTGAGAAATGATGAGGTCCTCAGCCAAGGTAGTGGTAGTAGGGATGCAAAAACAAGAATTCAATCAATAAATACACAGTAGAACCTACTATGGCTGGGTATCATTCAAGGCACTAAGAATAAAACAGTAAACAAAAATCTCATCCCACAGGAACTTATATTCTAATGGCACAAACAATCTATAAACAAGATAAATAAATAATATAATAGTATTTCAGATAGGGATAAGTATAAAAGAGAAAAATGCTGGAAAGAGGAAGAGGATATATCAGGGAGTGGGATTGAAATCTTATACAGAGTAGCCAGGGAGGGTTAGTAAAGGCCTGAATGCTAGTAAAGGCCTGAATGAAGTGAATGAGCCGGCTATGAGAAGATCTAAGTCCAGAGCATTTCCATAATAGAGAAGAGCAAGTACAGAAGCCCTGCAGCAGTGCTGTGCTTGTATGAGTGGGAGAAAAGAAATGGGAGTGGGGGTTGAAGAGAAGGCAGTTGACTATGTCTACACCCCTTGTCCTCTGGACTTCTAAGTAAATACACTAACAGTATTTATCCAAGAGGCAGAAACAATCTCTGAAATACCCGTAGCAAGATGTCCCTAGCTAATGATTCCTATAGTAAACAGAACGCAAGATTTATGAGGTATATCTCCCTAGATAATATTTTCAACAGATAGAACTGTCTAGAGTATTAAATGGAGATGTTTCATAATTTAAATATTCCTGCTATGTGAAGTAATCCCATGAACATCATATGGAGACTTCATCTGCTCTGAGCCAGAGAATCCTGTCCAATGTGGAAAGGACCTTGGAAGCTGCCCTGGATATCCTGGACCTCTCTCTCATTTGTCTAAGCTGTTAGAATGCCTGTATCTTTGACATTAATTAATAGAGTTTGATACTGGGCAAGATCTCTAATGCATGTTTATCAGATTTGACAGTCTGATCCTGTATGTTTGCTCAGAGAGGAAGAGCCCAGTGTGGCTGCTATATTGTGAATGGGAGGAGAATCATAAAAAAAATGATTTCAGAGGCTTAACGAGTAGTCAGATAATATAGTCCCCTGTAAGACACTGTAAGGCCTTTGACTTCTGCTCTGAGAGAGGCGGGAAAATATTGAAGGGTTTGGAGTAGATAAGTGACATGGTAATTGTTACTGGTATCTTCAACAAATACTATAAGGTGCCAAGGACAGAAATAAGGAGACTAGTTAGGAAGCTGTAATAAGTAGGTTAAAGATGTTGGTGGCTGGGAGAGGTAAAGTTAGTGAGAAGTACCTGTATTCTGCATATATTCTGAAGAAAGAACCAAAAGGATTTCCCAACAGATTGGATATAAAATATGAAAACAACAAAAGAAAGAGGACTCAAGGATAACCTCAAGTTTTATGCCCTGAGCATGTGCAAGGATAAAACAGCTATTTGTTGAAATGAGGAGAACCATGGGAAACAGCTTAAATAGGAATGAGGAGGAGTTCTTCTTTGGATATACTGGGTTTCAAATCTAAGTAAATATCGAAATGCTGATGAGAAGGGGACCATTGGATATATGAGTCTGGATATATAGGAAAGAAGTCTGGGATAGACAGATAAATTTGGGAGTCATCAGCATATCAATGGTATTTTTAAACCACAAGCCTGGATGAAATCACTAGAGAGTCACTGTTACTAGGGAAGAGGTCCATGAACTGATACCTAGGGTGCTCTAATTATTAGAGATCAGTAAAAGGAAGAGGAGTAAGCAAAGATGACTGAGTAGCGACTAGGGAAATTAGTGAAACACTAGGAGCACATGGCTTTACTGGAAGCCAGGGGAAGAAAGCATTTCAAGGAAGAAAGAATGATCATCTGTGCCTTTTTAACAGTAAAGAAAAACGAGGATTAAAATTTGTCCATTGGATTTTGCAACATGCAGGTTGCTGGTGACCTTAATAAGAGATATTTAAAAGGCAAAACACATCCCCATTTTAGATATCTAAAAATAATTCCTAAGGTTCTGGCTAGGATAAATGGGTAGGTGATAGGCTGCAGATGGACTTAGTGAGTACAGTTATAATACTCCATACTCAGCTTCAAAGTATGAGGAAAAACACCCAATTACATTTCTAACTAATGAAGTGTTAACACTTAAAATGAAATTTAAACACATTAACACAGAAAATCAGGGGGAAAAGTCTCACATCATACAGTTTACTATTTTTAACCTGTCTCTTCTTAAAATGAGATCATGAACATCACCTGACAAGGGCACGGGCCCATTTACAAACAAAATTTTCTTGGATTAAAGGGCCTCCTCTGTTTAAGAGGAGAGATCCAGATTTAGGTCTATAAGCTTGCCCAACAGTGTCAAATCCTCTGGGTACAGAAGATATTTCCAAATCAGACATTTCTGCTGGAAACAGCAGATGGGAATTTTGTTTTATTTTATACATACCCTTTTGGCAAATATATCTCTGAAAAACTTGCCCTGCAGAAACTAATTGTCTAAGCAAGATTTTCTTTTTTTTTAGGTTTTCGCCCAACAGGAATCAAATCTGTGAATAGAGAATTTAAGGCTGGATAGCAGCACTATTTTTGACTTGATTACAAAGCAGAAACAGAGAAGACCAGGCACTGACTGGCTAGTTGCAGGGAAGATTAGACGGTGAGATTGGCATCCAGGGAAAATGCACGGCCAACTGGGAGGCTGCCCCACTACCTTAATGCCAGGGATACTAGATATGGAAACAGCCAACCATTTCCAGACTCTGTTGAAGAAGCAGTTTTCTCATATTGGTAAATGTGGCTCAGGGTGGATAAAGGGCTAAATCTCCCAGAAGTGAAGTTTTGGTACCCACAGTTGTACAGCATGATATGCTGTAGGGCAGGAACCAATGGGAAAGGACGCTGATATACTGAATTCCCCCTATTAAATTCCAATCCTTTGTTACCTTCATCTTTACCTGCATCTTTGTTACCTGCATCTTGCAAATAAGCAAGAGTTAACTGTTTAAAGCAAGCAAGCAAGCTTGTTTACAGATCATTGAAAACAATTATCAACTTGATGAGCTTCAAAGAGCTGTGGGATAATTTAGTACTAATCTAAAGAGATAGACAACATTTCTAAAATGTTGCTTATTTTAGCAGAAAACAGTTTAAGGCAGATTCCTTCCCACATGGTTCAGCTGACAGCCAGCTGCCCACATAAATTCACGTGAGTACATTCTCTCCAACTGTCTCTGAACATAGAATAGGCTATATTACTAAAAGCCTTTTTCTGTTGGAAATGTATTCTATTAAACACTTTTTCTCCTAAGCCTCAGCTGCACTTTCATGAGCAGTATATTGAACCCAAATCAAAATCTCTACTTTGTGTTGAGATCTCTGATTCTCAATGGAATCTGATAAATATCAATTTGATTTAACAAACCATTTTGGAGCAGTGATAATTTGTCAGGAGCTGTACTAATGAAAATATGCTTTAGAGACCAATTCTTATCATCAAGGATTGAAGGATGGGGTGAGCAAGGACAAAGGAATCAGAAAAAAATTTCATGGAAGGGACATTATTTGAGATGGACTGTGAAACATGGCTAGGGTTTCAAAGGGTAGAAGAACATTCCTAAAAGAAAACACAATGTGCAAAGACCCAGAAGGGCAGAAGCACTGAGTCTGCACAGGCCCAAGAAAGGTCTGCTTAGAAATTGCTCAAGATTTCAGAGTAGCAGAGTGAGATGATCCAGGTTTGATTTTTTGAAAATTAGACTAGGGGCAGGATAATGAAAGCTCTAAAAATATGAGAAAGAAAGAGAAAGAAAACAAGCATTTGTGGTCAAGAAAAGAAGGGGTTTCTGTTTTTATTCAGGGAAATTTAAAGGAAAATAGATTTTTGTAGGCATTACAGGATTAAAGTCTACATGACTGGGTTAATGACTGATTACCCAAGTCAGTGAGGCCTTCCCTAACCAATCTATCCTAAAATCACAGCAGCCTGCTCTCACACATGGGGGCATGCCTCTTTTAGAGTTGATTTTTGAAATAGCACTTACCACAACCTAACATACTTTAAACATGTTTAAACATATATTAAAGCATATTTTACTTACTTAGTTTATTGTCTGTCTTCCTTGAATATAATGTAATATTTATGAGAACAGTGACTGCTGTATCTCTACAAACATAAGTAATAACTAATTCACTAAATGCATAAACACATGAATGAATATAAAAATGACTGAAATCTAACACTGTCATTAAAAGAAACCAGGGAGCCAGGCACGGTGGCTCACACCTGTAATCCCAGCACTTTGAGAGGCTGAGGTGGGTGGATCACTTGAGGTCAGGAGTTGAAGACCAGCCTGGCCAACATGGTGAAACCCTGTCCCTATTAAAAATACAGTAATTAGCCAGGCATGGTGGCATATGCCTGTAATCCCAGCTACTGGGGTGGCTGAGACAGGAGAATCGCTTGAACCCAGGAGACAGAGGTTGCAGCGAGCCAAGATCGCACTATTGCACTCCAGCCTTGGCAACAGAGCAAGACTATGTCTCCCAAAAAAAAAAAAAAAAAAGGGATCTAGGTTCTATCTCCAGCTCTGGCACTAAGAACATCAGTTTAGGCAAGTTACTTTTCTTCCATAAAGTGCATTTCCCTCATCTATAAAATTGAGGCCTAACTGAACTTACATACACCCACTGTAAAATTAGACTAAGTCCCCAGTTAAATAGCTAAGACTACGGCATTTTCCTGCCAGACATGTGAAATTGCCACATTTTTGTCATGCCACTGCCCTCTTATACACATAGTTAAAATCACTTAGCCAGAAAGAACTTATGATGCAATAGACATGCTTCCATTTAAAGGAATGTTTACAAACAGCAGCTCTCCTATTTCTTGAATCAAGCTCAGCATGAGCAAGGTCACAGCCTCATTCAGATGAAGAAAGCAAAGTCAAGGCCCGGGTGTCTTTGATCAATTTCTCTACCCTAGCTTTCCCATGATCCAGAAAGTTTGTTTCCCCAAAGGCCGCCCTTAACTGATTCAATACCATGTTTTCTGGATGATTTTGATCATAAGTTTGGTCTGAGGATCACAACTACAAATTCAATTCTTCCATATGTCCAAAATTCCCTTTAGTGCTAACGTGCTATATTTCCATAAATTTTTATAGAAACTTACCAAGCTGTGGGGTTGATAATCTTTCTTTCTTCTTAATACAAATGCATCATCAGAATACGCATGGTCTCAAACATACCTTTTCTGAGGCATTAAAAAAACATAGTGATTTAGGGGAATTTTAGGTAATTTGAATGGGTAATAAAAAACAATTGTAAAGTCCTTTGAAAATGTAAAATTACTAAGATTTATTCAATGTCATTATTTAAACATACCCTAATTTGTTATTATTTAACATTTGTTTCCCAGTTGGTCAGTTATGGCTGATGAGCTGCAGGGTGATGGGAACTTCATGCCATCTGTTTCATTGCTAGGAGCGCTAGTCTCCCCAGGTCACTTACTGTGATTATAAACATGGCCTCAAAGGAAACAGTGACTCCATGCCCTAAGAGGCCAGAAGCTCAGATTTTCTTCTCCCAATTCTCTCACCGATTTACTGGGCAACTTCTAAGGAGGACATTCTTAACCTTGAATTATCTTTTGACCCAATCTTTAATAGACTTAATAGGGGTAATATTTTTTTTCTTTTTTGAGCTTTCAGATTATATTAACTTTTTTTCTATATACTATTCTCCAGGGGTAATATTACTTCTCATCCATAAAGGTGTTTGCTGGATTAATTAAAATATTATTCCAGGATAGACCACAAATTGAAATGTGGAACAATGATCATTCCTTCATGTCTATGAGTTCATGAGTCATTGTATAAAAATAGTGTCGGTTCATTCTCTGTATCATTACAGAGTATCTTTTTCAAAGAAGAAGTAGTAAATTCTGGCCCATTCATGCCTGTATGCTATCTATTTAAGTATGGTAATTCAAGACATTTTTTAATTGGCACTAATTATAAATAATAACCCCAGCTTCACAAAACAAACAGAGGAAGCAGTCACTGATACATTTACTTTAGAATTAGACAAAAGTCTCTGTCCCCAATTTTCTCACTCATCAACACAGCACCACCATGATGTTTTAAATTCTACCATTAGAGATTTATCTCTCTATGTGTTATATATTATTCCCCCCAAGACATTCTCTTTTAAAAAGCTGATATCCCTAAAAGGAGTAGGATATTAGGATGCAACCAATCAATAACATTGTGTGAAGTCTCACAGGGTGGAAGGAACTCAAGAGTATTAGATGTTTTGTGGATAGCAGAGATAGAAAAGGGAGGCAGGAGTTGTCTTAAGACAAACTTCACCTAGCTCATGGTTTTGCCCAGGAACAGGCTTCAGCTATGTGGTGGCAGCAATAGGAAAACAATGCCAAAGAGGTAAACTTGCTGGGTTTCAAAAATTTTGTTTTTGTCGTTTATCTAATAAAAAAAAAAAAAAAAAAAAAGGAGCCAGAAGCGAAAACTACATTCCCAGGGTAGAGATATGAGTTAAACTTCACATTTCTCTTTTTTTTTTTTTTTTTTTTTTTTTTTTTTTTTTTTTTTTTGAGACCAAGTCTTGCTCTGTTGCCCAGACTGGAATGCAGTGGCATGAACGGGGCTCACTAAAGCCTCAACCTCCTGTGCTCAAACAATCCTCCTCCCACCAGCCTTTCCAATAGCTGGGACCACAGGCGAGCACCACCATGCCTGGCTAATTTTAATTTTTCTATTTTATGTAGAAATGCAACCTCACCCTGTTGCCCTAGCTGGTCTAAAACCCCTGGGCTCAAGCAATCCTCCTATCTCAGCCTTCCAATACCTGGGATTACAGGTATGAGCCACTGCACCTGGCCAAACTTCAGATTTCTATACAAACTATTATCTTTTCTGGTCCTTGGTAAATTGGAGGCATCTGCAAATATTGTCCATTTTTTATTACTTCTAAAGTAGGTGGAGCAAGGTCCAGTTACTGCATAGGGCACAAAAGTAAGGACAATACAGGGAGAGAGGGCTCAGGCTCTGCCTATGCTACTTCTGCCTACAACTGCCAGTGTCTGAGATCCATACCTAGTCATGAGTTGACAGGGCACTGGCAGGGCAGAGTTTGTGGCGATAAGAGGCTTCACTGTAAAATTTTTTATCAAAAGCAGCATCTGCTCATTTAAGAAACACTTTTATCTGATTCATTTCCTTGTCCCAACAAATACCAGTCTTTTTCATATTATTATATTGTCTCATCATGCTAAGACACTATATAAATAAGCATTAATAAATGCAATCCATATAGAAAGACATTATTCATATGGAAAGACTGAACAAATGATAGAATTTTTAAGCCAAATCAAGTATATATCATCTTGAAAGACATGCAAGTATGCAAATAAATGTAAAATAAAGTGGCAAGTACAAAAATTATATGTGTTTGCTATATACTATGGACTCTCCAGAAACAGTGCCACTTTTTTCATCTTATAATTAAAAAATAAAAAGACATATTCACTGACAAGTATTATTAAACACACTATGAATACAGTATTTTCTTCTGTATGTATATGATGTTAAATGCAAGTTTTAATTAATGGTAGTATGTATTACAGTTTTTTTTAAAAAAAAACAATGTTCACATCATGAAAGAAGATGTAACAAATTATGAAATTATGTTATCAAAATATGGAATTATGTGTTTAAATCCAGTTAAGCCCCAGTATCCTATCTAAAAGAAGACCTATCAAATGCAAACTCACCACACAGAAATGCTATCCTAAAGTATATCATCAAAATCCACTCAGAAATTTTCCTGGAGTTGCACCATTTTTGGCTACCTATACCTGCTCTAAGGAGAAGCTCTTATCATGTTCTGATTTGAGAATACCTCTTTCAATATTGGCTAACTCTTCTTGTCTTTCAAGATTCAGGGCAGGCATCACTCTTTGGTACTGCATGTTATTATATTAACCTATACAAACCCTATTCCTATTGTACCATCTTTGTGTGTGTGCATGCATGTGTGTCTGTGTGTGTGTGTGTGTGTGTGTGTGTGTGTGTGTGTGTATCCTCCCCACTGATTTGAAAATCACCGATTTTCTTTTCCTAGTGCCTACAATGTAGCTGCCCTAATTAAATGGGGGAAGAGAAAGCTGGCTTGCCTTTTATTTAAAAAAATAAAAAACTATTTCATTCAAAGAAAATGTGTCAAGTGAATGTACTGTAGCACAGATTCCATTACTTGAAAGTTATCATTACCTGTCTCCCATTATGATAAACTTCAGTAGTGCCTTAAAGAAACCTTTTCAACTGATCTGCTTTTCATTTTTTAATAATGTTCAGTATTATTCTTGAACATAGTGACAGAATGCAATCCTAGGACTGAAGAGTCTAAATGTATTCTATTTGTCATGAGTATTGTATTTAGTGACTTGAATTCTTTTTTATGTAGATGTAGTCCATCAGTTATCTTATATATTTATCAGAGTTCACTATAAAGAAAAAAATTTCTTTAAAAATATGATGCAGAAGAGAAGAAACTTTATGCTATTATGTGAGCAAATTAGCTGTCAAAACCAACTTTAAAAGGCTTACCAAATAGCATCCTACCCTTTGGAAAGTAGTTGCCAAGGTAAAGAGTTTAATCAAAGTAATTTCTACATGATGCCTATATTTCAATAATTTATGAACGGTACGTTTGAACTGAAAAGACCTCCATCTAATAAAAACACAAGTATTTATTTGTTTTTATTTTCTTACTCATAGAATTTTTTCTTTATTCCTCTAGGAATATATAACAATTGGATTTTGTTTATGCCAACTAACATGGCATCTCTAAAATGAGCACTTATCTTACATGAACAATTTTTCAAAATCTTAGTGTAAAGTACAGTCTCAGGACCACATAACTCCCGCTAAGACTATTATATACTCCATTAACATACTGATATGGTTTGGCTGTGTCCCCACCCAAATCTCATCTTGAACTGTAGTTCCCATAATCACCACATGCCATGGGAGGGACCCAATGGGAGGTAATTTAATCACGGGGACAGTTACCCTCATGCTGTTCTTATGATAGTGAGTGAGTTCTCATGAGATCTAATGGTTTTATAAGGGGTTTTTCCCCCTTTTGCTTGGCACTTCTCCTTCCTGTTGCCATATGAGGAAGGACGTGTTTGCTTCCCTTTCCATCATGATTGTAAGTTTCCTGAGGCCTCCCCAGCCATGCTGAACGGTGAATCAATTAAACCTCTTCCTTTATAATTTACCCAGTCTTGGGCAGTCCTTTATAGTACTGTGAGAATGGATTAATATACACACCCAATGGAAGAATGGACAAAAGCTGAATAACATAAAATTCATCACAAATTAAGACTGCTTTTGGAGTAAAATAATGTAAATTACACTTATGCCCTCATGCTGTATTTCACTGCTTTGGCCAGTGGTTCTCAAGCTTCAGTGTACATCAGAACCACAGGGAAGGCTTATTAACACAGATTGTTGGGCCTCACATTCAGAGTTTCTGATATAGAGTAGGTCAAGGTTGGGGCCTAAGTAAGTCCATGTCTAAATTCCAAACATCCAAGTGATGCTGATGTTGCTGGTCACGGGACCACATTTTGACAATCAGTGGCCCAGGTAACTACATCCACACAGATGCCTGCCATGACTCCAAATCCACCTCTCAGGATCAGGCTTATCTATCCAATTGACCATCTGGATATCTTGGAGAGTCCCTAAGTACAAATGCCCTACATTACCTAAAACCTATCTCAGAAAAAAATGACACCACCATGAAGCAAGTTGCTCAAGTTGTTCAAGCTTAGAAGTCATTCTTAACTACTTTCTCTCTCTGGTCACATTCTATTCCTACACATGTTTCCAACCTGTCTACTTCATCTCTATTACCACACTAATCTAAACCAGAGTCATCTCATGCTTGGACCACAGCAACAGCCTCCTAATCAGATAAATACAAACACTCCATTTCTACTTTTTCCCCACCCGATCTGTTTTCTGTAATGCAGACAGAATAACTGTTATAAAACATAAACATGATGACATTAAAATTCTCCAATGACTTCTTATATCTTTTAGACAAAGTCTAAAATCCTTAATGTGGCTTCCCATAACCTCCAAGATAAAGCCCTTACTATATCTCTTCAGGATTATCTTGTGTAAACTCTCCCACCTAACTATGCTGGCCTTCAACCACTTCTCATTTTATCCTCCCTCAGGGCTTTTGCTCATGCTAATGTCTATAAACAGTCTCCACCTTGCTTTTTTAGCAAACTCCTCATTTCTTGGATCTCAGCTTAAATGGCATGTCTAATACAAACCTTTCCTGATTCCCCAAAATAAATAAATCACTACTATATTCTCAAAAGGCACTGTACACTGCTACTTTAGTATGATTAAACACACTGAAAATTACTTGGTCATACTACAACTATTTACCTCACTAGCTAAGCTCCACAAGGAACCATTCTGTCTTGTTCAACATTTTAATCTCAAGGCCTGTACAGTGCTTCACACATAGTAAGTGTCCCAAACTAGGCACTGATTGGCTGATACATAGACTATTATAAAAATTTTTATGTGTTAATAGAGAAGAGGAGCAAACAAAAGTAGAAAAGAGCTGACCAAGTTCACAGAAATGTCCAGCCATGGGCTTATTCCCACAGGACATCCCCAACCTTTTCAATTGGGCTCACCTAGCCCTTTTCTTTGGGCCCACACACCTCAGACTCTAGGACCAAAATTGGCAATTGGCAGAAAGATAGAGATTTCAAAGTCAGCTTTTCATTTACCCAGTAAGATCACCTCAGATTATAATACAGAAGTACATAGCAAGAGTACAGAAATTAGCTAACTGATCTAGATGTTGGAGGAGGTGACAATGGAGTCTTGATAGAGTATAAAGAACATTACAAATGGAAGAAACACCTAGATCAAAGTCCAGAAATTAAAAATAGCTCAGCATCCTGTAATCTCAGCACTTTGGAAGGTGGAGGCGGGCAAACCACTTGAGGTCAGGAGTTCAAGACCAGCCTGGCCAACATGGTGAAACCCCATCTCTACTAAAATACAAAAATTCACTGGGCATGGTGGCGGGCATCTGTAATCCCAGCTACTTGGGAGGCTGAGGCAGGGGAATCGCTTGTACCCAGGAGGCGGAGGTTGCAGTGAGCCGAGATCATGCCAATGCATTCCAGCCTGGGCATCAGAATAAGACTCCATCTCAAAAAAAAAATATATACATACCTCAGCAATGCCGAAACATTACTGGAACACTGAGGTATAAAGCCCAAAGCAGTGGAAATTTTGGGCTGCACGAGAAAGACAGGGATCAGATCATGGGTAGCCTTATTTGACATAATAAGGAGGTTACCATGAGCTCATAGCCTAACAGGAAAAATATGGAAAACTAGACATCATACATAATAATAAACTCTAAAATAAAGGAAGTGGCCGGATATAGAACAACAGTTATCCTGCCATGGGTATGGGGTCATCATGAACAAAGCATACAAACTTCTACCTTGAGGATGCAGGGAGGTGCACGTGCAATATTGTGAGATTCAGAGATAGGGGACATTCATTCCACCTGATGAAGGAACACTTCCCGAGGGAGCAAGGTCTGAAGGGGTCTTAAGTTCTGGATATACAGAGGTTACGGTTAGGAACATTCAAGGCTCAAGCAAAATCATAGCCAAAACCACAAATATTACATGGAATATTTCTGGAATTAATAATTATGTTTGGCTGGAGCATAGTGGCATAAAGGGAAGGAATGAAAAGGATATAAATAAAAGTAGGTTTGATCTTAATACTGAGAGGATGCAAATACCAAAGTCATCAGTTTGATTTATAACAAACTCCATTTTTTATTAAGAACTATATATACTTCTTAAATTTTATGGAAACTAATAACTTGCCTACAGTTTCTTCAGTCAACATATAATTTTCAAAGTCTTTCATGGGAAGAAAATGTGCTTCCCTAACCTATTCTTTATTTACTCTGCCAATGACACCCAAAATTATTACTTCCATCTGGGTTTTAATTACACCTGTTTTTCCCAGGGGGAAAAAATCAATGTAAATCCAAATAAAATATAGTAGATAGTTCTAAAATGTAATTAGTGATAATAATCAAGCAATTCCTACAGGAAAAATTTACAAGTCTCTGATCTGGTAGGATCACCTTTTCAAAATGGGAAGTCATCATTACATAATATGAAACATTAAAACTTCCATTAAAAGGAAGGCTAAAATGAGTCTTAAATAAGATGCACTCATATTAAGAATCTTTTTACAGTAACTGAAGAGAATCTTAATTATTTTACTTTACTTGAGCCTCTCTAAAAACCTTATTGCCAGTAATTTGGGCTGACGAATGTAGTCAATACAGAAGAGCCTCAATTTTAACACTTCTCCCTCAAAGCCTGTCCCTCTTGTGGTTTTCTGATAGGCTATTGTTAGATTCATTTACAGTAAAATAATTACCAGCTCCCTAAGCAAGACACATAGCAGGTTATCTATTGTCCCTTAGAGGACTGTTGGACTGTTCTTAACAAGCATACTAAATTACAATAGCAGCTTTATTGCAATTAACAAACAGACATGAATCACCAATCCAGTTATATCTCAAAAGAGAGAAGGGTTTTCTGAAGTATACTGCTGTGGTTGTTTTCTGAACAACTGTTTTGTAATCCTAAATTCAAAGACCCGTATTTAAGCAAACAGGCACATGTCCCAGGAGCAGGCAACACAGATAGAATAGTTTTTCTTGTTATTCCCAACAGAAAGAGTAATAGTATAATGATTTAGAGAATTAACAGAGTGCAGACATGAAAAGATACCAGCATTCCCCATCAGTACGTAAAGCACTCACGCTTGATCATTTACAGCTCTGTCTGCTTGACATCTTCCAGTCTCTGATCCCAAAGCAGTAGCACCAAGGCGCAACTCTGCTTCTTCATTTACATTGACATTCTAATCTCGAGATGTGTCAGAATTAAAGTTGGCAAGTTTCCAGACTATTTGAATTCTTTCATGTTGAGAAAAATGCAATTGCACTGTGCATATTCATAGGAATCCCATGGAGGCTCCCAGAGGATCTGCTCACAGAGACAAGGAATACAGGTCAGTGCCTGTAAGTCAATGAGACCACATTGCCCACTCATAAGAGGTGGAGGGACGCTAATGAGATAAGAGACTTGGCCCAAATGCTTCTCTACAAATAACAGCAAAGCACTCTCACACAAACATTTCTACCAACAAACTCAAATATTTCCGAGGAGAATTAGCTTGTTAAAAAGAAAGTTTATGTTCTGAATTGAATTCCTAATGGTTTTGAACCAGAATTACTGTTCCCCCAACTAGCATTTCTATACTTGGGCTACTTCCTACAAGTAATTCACACTCCAAAAACAGTTGTGGGGGACTGGTGAAGGAAAGACAGTAATTATACTGAAAATGTAATAATACAAAATTCACTTCTAACAAATCAGATACAACTTATTCAGTGTGGGAGGTGTGCATGAGTTATTCACAAGGTAACACAATTAAGTTTTAACATACAATTTTATAGGGATTGCACTGAATCGGTAGATTTAATGATAATGATTCTTCCAATCTGTGAGAATGGAATGTTTTTCCGTTTGTTTGTGTTATCTATGATTTCTTTCATCAGTGTTTTGTAGTTCTACATATAGAGATCTTTCACTTCCTTGATTAAATATATTCCTAGGCATTTTTTAATAGCTATTGTAAATGGGATTGTCTTCTTGACTTGGTCCTCAGCTAGATTGTTATTGGTATAAAGAAATGCTGCTGATTCCTGTATATTAATTTTGTATCCTGAAACTTTACTGAATCCATTGATCAATTCTAAGAGTTGTTCAGTGGAGTCTGCCGGGTTTTCTAGGTATAAGATCATATCATCAGCAAACAGGGATAATTTGACTTCCTCATTTCCAATTTAGATGCCTCTTATTTCTTAATACTTTCAACTTTTCCCCATTAAGTATAATGTCAGCTGTGGGTTTGTCTTATATTTTCTTTATTATGTTGAGATATGTCCTTCTAAGGCCTAGTCTTTTGAGGATATTTATCATGAAGGGGTGCTGAATTTTACTGAAGGAAATTTTTGCATCTATTGAGACGATCATATGGTTTTTGTCCTTAATTCTGTGTCTGTAATGTATCAGATTTACCAATTTACATATATCGAAGCATCCTTGCATCCTTGAGATAAATCCCACATGATCATGGTATATTAATCTCTTTGATGTGCTGTTGTGTTCTATTTGCTAGTATTTTGTTGAGGATTTTGTGTCTATGGTCATCAGAGATTTTGGTCTGCAGTTTTCTTTTATTGTTGTCTCCTTATCTGGCTTTGGGATGAGGTTGATGCTGGCCTCATAGAGTAAGTTAGGAAGAATTCCCTCCCCCTCAATTTTCTGGAATAGTTCCAAGAGGATTGGTATTAGTTCTTCTTTATTATTTGGTAGAATTCAGCTGTGATCCCATCTGATCCTGGGCTTTTACCAATGTCATTTTTCACAGAATTAGAAAAAAAAAATCCTAATATTCATGTGGAACCGAAAAAAAAAAAAAAAGCCAAAGTAATCCTAAGGGGAAAAAAAGCTAGCTGCATCACACTACCTGACTTCAAATTATATTACAAGGCTATAGCAACCAACAGAGTATGGGACTGATATTAAAATAGATACCAAGATGAATGGAACAGAATAGAGAACCCAGAAATGAAGCCACATACCTACAACCAGCTGATTTTCAACAAAGTCAACAAAAATATACACTGGGGAAAATGCCACCTTATTTAATAAATGGTGCTGGAAAAAATGAATAGCCACATGCAGAAGAATGACTGGACCCATACCTCCTTTCACCATCCACAAAAATTAAGATGGATTAAACACCTAAATGTAAGATCTGAAACTATGAAAATCCTAGAAGAAAACTTGGGAAAAACTCTTCCGGACATTGGCCTAGGCAAATACTTTATGACCAAGTTCTCAAAAGCAAAAGCGACAAAACTAAAAATAGACAAATAGGATTTAATTAAACTAAAAAGCTTCTGCACAACAAAAGGAACAATCAACAGAGTAAACAGACAGTCTATAGAATGGGAAAAAATATTTGCATTTGACAAAGGGCTAATATCCAGAACCTACAACGAACTCAAACAACTCTACAAGATAAAAAAAAAATTAAAAAGTGAGCAAAGGAATGAACATTTTCCAAAAGACGTACAAGCAGCCAACAAACACACACAAAAAAATGCTCAAAATCACTAATCATCAGAGAAATGCAAATTAAACCCACAATGAGATACCATTTTACACCAGTCAGAATGACTATTAAAAAGTCTAAAAACACTGTAATTCTGGCTATTCAGGTGGCTGAGGCACAAGAACTGTTTGAACCCAAGAGGCGGAGGTTGCAGTGAGCCGAGATTACTCCACCACACTCCAGCCTGAGACAGACAGGGACCTTGTCTCATTTAAAAAAAAAAAAAAAAAAGTCTGAAAACAACAGATGTTGGCAAAGATGCAGCAGAAAAGGGAACGCTTGTAGGAATTTCAGTACAACCTTTATGGAAAACAGAATGGAGATTACTCAAAGAACTAAAAATAGAACTACTATTCCATCCAGCAATCCCACTACTGGGTATCTACCCAAAGAGAAAGAAATCATTATATAAAAATGGTAACTGTAATTTGTGTGTTTATTGCAGCACTATTCACAATAGCAAAGCTATGGAATCGACCTAAGTGCCCATCAGCAGAAGACTGGATAAAGAAAATGTAGTATATGTAACACTACATTATGCTATTCAGCCATAAAAAAGAATAAAATCATGTCTTTTGCAGAAACATGGGTGGAACTGAAGGCCATTATCCTTAGTGAAATAACTTAGAAAGTCAAATACCACATGTTCTCACTTATAAGTGGGAGCTAAACAATGGGTACATATGGACCGTGGAGTAAAAGACACTGAAGACTATGAAAGGTGAGAGGATGGGAGAGGGGTGAGGGCTAAAAAGCCACCTGTTGAGTACAATACTCAATATTTGGGTGATGGGTACACTGAAAGCCCAGACTTCACCACTACACAACACATACATGTAAAAAACTTGCACTTGTATCCCCAAATATACAAACAAATAATTTCTTTGAAAAGTTTTAACATACACATTTACAGTGCTTCTCAACAATTTCTGCCCTATGGTATATAGAGAAAATTATACTCTTTATATGAGACATGAGTAAACATGGTTTGTATGTGCAGCTGGAGTGAACTAGCCTGGGGGCTCCAGCCACTCTCAAACTCTTCATCTCTTCTCCACTCCCAACAATTGTTTTTGTAAAATGACACACTTTTATTGTCAAAAAAACACAGTCAGATCAGATAGTTTTAAAAATGAATGTCACCATTTAGAGATAACCATTGTCAATGCTTCACTAAAACATCATTCCAGTTTCTCTCTACACATATACAGACACATCAGTTGCACACCCCAGTTGTGAAACTCAGTAATAAGGCATGATTTACACATATTTGTATTAACGCTCCAACTGAAGACTTTTTCATCTTTAAGCCCTGAAAGTGAGAAAGGAAAACCTAATAAAGTATGATCTTTTGTTAATAACATGTTTTATAATTTTCTAGCTCATATATATTGTTCTTGCTCTACCTTCCCCACATACACAAGTAATCTAGTTTTCTGTGATCAAAACTATTTCCTTGAAATCTACACCCAACTTGTACCCAGAAATTAGATTTAAAACTCTACCTCTAATCCAACTTTTAAGATATCTTGTTCTTAACAGAATTAGAAATATTCATTTTAATGGTTTCTAAGTCATCAGTTCTATGAGAATGAAATATTTTCCCAATCCTTAAGACATGAAACATGAAAAAAAAAATTTCAACCACCCAAATAATCCATAAAAATCAATTAACCTAAGTAGTCTATTGAGAGCAGGTCCTCTGTGCAGTTTTGATAATCACAGACATTGAAAAACATTATTGTATTTGATTTTACTTTTTATCTCCCAATAACAAATCTTATACA
This sequence comes from Homo sapiens, assembly GCF_000001405.40. Taxonomy (NCBI): domain Eukaryota; kingdom Metazoa; phylum Chordata; class Mammalia; order Primates; family Hominidae; genus Homo; species Homo sapiens. The sequence goes on from NC_000007.14 coordinate 111,279,141, forward strand.
GCAGAGGCTATTTTATGGAAGTGATAAGGTTTACGCCAGATTTTCAAAATTGGGTAAAATGTATAAAACAGAAGAATAAAAGCAAAGTTGGAACTAATGTGGTCTTAGCCTGATTCAAAAAGCTCACTGTAATGGGTTGAATAGTGAACCCCCAAAATGATATGCCGAAGTGCCAACTTCCAGAAACTGTAAATATGACCTTATTTGGAAAAAGCTTTTTTGTAATTAACTTAGGATCTTGAGATAAGAGTACTGTGAATTAAGATGGGCCCTAATCCAAAGACAAGTCCGTTGAAGAGAAGGAGAAACAAACAGAAAGACAGAGAAGACCATGTGAAGACTGAGGCAGCAACTAAAAAGCTATTTCTACTAGCCAAAGGATGCCATCTTGAGATCCTAAGTGAATTACGAAAACCCTTTTTCTAAATATTATTGTCTCAATTTTACAGTTTTGTCATCTATGAAACTAAGGCAAGATTTCTCTGACTTGATATCACATAGGAAGGGACAAAGCAAAGATCTGAACTCAGGAAGTCGGGTGCAAAAACATGTGCTTTTAATTACTATATTATAACCTCTTTTGCTTGAAGAACAAAGTGGACCTTGGGGTGTAAAGGAAAATAAACAGACATATAAAGAGGCCAGGTTACAGAGACTTCAAAATACAAAGGATTTTGTCCATGATGCAGCATATAGAGAACAAACATTTCGGGCTTTTAATGCATTGCCCAGTTCATTGCATTGACTCCATCTCCAACCTCTATCTTGACCTATCCAGTTTTCTCCATCTTTAATGCTGACTAACCCACTAGTGTCAACCTTCTTAGTAGTCTCCTACTTCTACTCTTGCCTATTCAAACTATTCTCCACAAATAAGCCAGGATTTATCTATCTTTTAAAAACAAGTCAACTCACTCCTCTTAACACCATCAATGACTTCACAGGACTCTTGAAACAAAATAAAACTCCTTGCCATACTCTAGCAAGGCCCTAAATGATCTGGCTTTCCCTTCGACATCGTCTCATTATTCTCATCCATCATTATGTTTTAGCTGTCACAGCCTCCTTTCTGTTTTACAAGCATGCCAAGCTCTTCCCTATTCCCGGGACGTCACATTTGTTGTTCCCTCTGCATGAAGTCCTTTTTTCCCAGTTCCTGCATGGCTCATTCACATCCTTCAGGTCTCAGCTCACATAACATCTCCTCAGATGTCTTCACTCTTCACCTACCTAAGGTGGTCTCTTAAGTTATCCCAAGATTGTATTTATTACTACCAAAGCCCTTATCACAGTGTGAGAATATCCTTTATATACTTGTTTACTGCCTATCACAACACAGAACAGAAGGCCCAAGGAGGCAGAAACTTTGTCCAGCTTGTTCACCACAGAACCACTGTACCTAAAACAGTGGTTGGTACACATCAAACATTTTAGAAAACATTAGTGGCAAGCAAAAAAAGGAAATGTCATGATGAACTGGTCTTCCGAGAAACTTGGTCTAGGAAGTAACGTACAGGATGACTTCCCAAAAGCACAGACTAAAGAAACAGACAAATTAGGCGCCTCTTACTAAAAACTTAGTAATAAGTGTTTAAAGGCTTGGATAAGAACTGATTGAGTAAGAACAACAAAGAAAGGAGTGAAATTGGCCGGGTGCGGTGGCTCAGGCCTGTAATCCCAGGACTTTGGGAGGCCGAGGCAGGCAGATCACGAGGTCAGGAGATCGAGACCATCCTGTCTAACACGGTGAAACCCTGTCTCTACTAAAAATACAAAAAAATTAGCCAGGCGTGGTGGCAGGCGCCTGTAGTCCCAGCTACTTGGGAGGCTGAGGTAGGAGAATGGCGTGAACCCAGTAGGCAGAGCTTGCTGTGAGTGGAGATCACGCCACTGCACTCCAGCCTGGGCAACAGAGCGAGACTCTGAGAAAAGAAAGAAAGAAGGAAAGAGAGAGAAAGAGAGAAAGAGAGAAAGAGAGAAAGAGAGAAAGAGAGAAAGACAGAAAGACAGAAAGACAGAAAGAAAGAAAGAAAGAAAGAAAGAAAGAAAGAAAGAAAGAAAGAAAGAAAGAAAGAAAAAGAAAGAAAGAAAGAAAGAAAGAAAGAAGAGAGAGAGAGAAAGAGAGAGAGAAAGAAAGAGAAGGAAAGAAAGAAGGAAGGAAGGAAGGAAAGAAAGAAAGACAGAAAGAAAGGACTGAAATTTAGAAACTTGCAGAAGATAAAGGCAATAAAATTTAGTAACCCCTTAAATACATAGGATACAGAGACTAAAAAATGTGGCAAGTCAAGAAACTGTCACAAACCTCACAGCTTAGGTTACATGGAAGACTTCCATAGCATTTGAAGTCTATACTTTATATACTTCATAATTTAACCTTTATTTTATCCAACAGGACCAAACACTAAGTACCCAACAGAGACACTTGGGAGGCATAGTAAACTTCACAGAGGTGCCATCACCCAAGCTGACCCAAAAAATAACCAGTTATTTTTGTCAAAACTAAGAAGACATTAAATTATTACATCCACGTTTATCAGAAAATGTACCAACATTCTGTACACCAGCATTATATAAATGGGGGTACTCTGTTATAAGTCAAGGATAGGAAATGACATCAAGTGGCACCAAAAACAAACAAATTTGATTTCATACAGTGAAGAGACAGATCAGTCAGAGCAGTAAACAGCTCTTCTCTAAAGGTGACAGGGTACTGGAAAGAGACCACAGGAATGGTAGGACAACTAAGGTTGTTTTTATAGAAATCATGAAATGTTGTTAAGCTATAGCAATAAATGTAGCATAATTGTTGCTAAGTTATTTAGTATTATTTTCTTTTTTTAAAATACATTCAAGTGTACCATGAAAAATTTCAGTATTCAAAGCTGTGTCCAAAAGAGAAAATAATTGGGAATTGCTGACCTTCAATATTTCAAGCATTGTGCTAGGTAGTGGACAAATAAACATTAATAAAACATAGCCTCATAAAGCTTATAAGACTAATTGGCTATGATGGAAAACAAGCACACACATAAAAAAATTATAGAAAGAAGCGTGACAGATCAACTTCTGGCATGACAGTATGAGGATCTCCACTGTTCTGGTCTCCCGTGAAACTGGTTAAACAAATTTTTTAAGGCAAATGATCTTCAGAGCAGACAGCAAATGAAGAAATATCTGTTCTTACAAAAATGGAAATTCGGTAAGAAAGGGAAGAGTATGGTATTTGAACCAAGACTGCTCCCTTACTCCCCATTCCCAGTTCAGAAATAAAGAGGGAACTTTTGTAATGATAAAAGAGCCAATCAATCAGGAAGTTATAGAAATGATAAACATATATGCAGCCAATAATGATGCACTTAAATATTTGAAATAAAAACTGACAGAAATGAAGGGAGAAACAGATGATTCAACAATAATAGTTGGAAATTTAAATAACTCTTTTTTTGATTTTTTTTTTCTTTTTAAGACAGGGTCTCTCTGTCACCTAGGCTAGAGATCAGTGGTACAATCTCAGCTCACTGAAGCCTCAACCTCCCAGGCTCAGGCAATCCTCCCACCTCAACCTCCCAAGTAGCTGGGACCACAGGCGTGAGCCACAATGCTAAGCTAATTTTTGTGTGTTTTATAGAGACTGGGTTTCACCATGTTGGCCAGGCTGGTCTCAAATTCTTGGGCTAATATGATTCACCCCCTCGGCCTCCCTAAGTGCTGGGATTATAGGCATGAGACACCATGGCCTGGCCAATAACTCACTTTCAACATTGCATAGAACCACTAACTAGACAGAAGATCAACAAGGAAACAGGAGACTTGAACAATACTATAAACAACTAATCTAACAGACATCAGTAGAATACTCCATCCACAACACCTGAATATACATTATTTTCAAGCACATGTGGAACACTGCTCCAGGACAGATCATATTCTAGGCCATAAAAAAACCTCAATGAATTAAAAGGATAAAAATAATATATGTTCTCTGATCACAATAGAATAAAATTAGACATCAATAACAGGAAAAATGTGGAAAAATCATAAATAGGTAGAAATTAACCTACTCCTATGTAACCAATGGGTCAAAGAAGAAATCAAAAGGGGAATCAGAAGAAAAACAATTACAGAACATTGTGGTAAATGCAAGAATGGGAGCTAGCAAGGAGCTAAATGTGCATATAGAGTTGACACTAATTCTACCTAGGAAAATGCAAGAAAGAAGAAAACTACAGAACAGAGGAAGTAACATTTAGGCAGGTCTTGAAAGATGAATATGAATTTATGTGGCAAAGACAGGGAGAAAGAAAATGAAAAACATGGAAGCAGCTTCCCAAAGCAGGGAGGTGTTGAAGTGAATGATAAAATCTGAAATGATGAGCAGTTAGGAGTGGCTAGCATGTAGGGTATGTGGTAGGAGAATGGCAGTCGAGGAAGACGAGCTGGAAAAAGAGGTTAGGGCCAGATTGTTAATAAACAAGAACACTACTCCAAGGGGCCTGGGCTTTACTTTGGGTAACAAGACATCATTAAAGTTGTAAAAAGAGACATGATTGGCCGGGCGCGGTGGCTCACGCCTGTAATCCCAGCACTTTGGGAGGCCGAGGCGGGCGGATCACGAGGTCAGGAGATCGAGACCATCCCGGCTAAAACGGTGAAACCCCGTCTCTACTAAAAATACAAAAAATTAGCCGGGCGTAGTGGCGGGCGCCTGTAGTCCCAGCTACTTGGGAGGCTGAGGCAGGAGAATGGCGTGAACCCGGGAGGCGGAGCTTGCAGTGAGCCGAGATCCCGCCACTGCACTCCAGCCTGGGCGACAGAGCGAGACTCCGTCTCAAAAAAAAAAAAAAAAAAAAAAAGAGACATGATCAGATTTGCATTTCATATCATATTCTATGTCACAGTACTCATGTATATTACCATTTTCTCCTCAGTATATATAACAAAAGTTTTTCAAGACAGGTAAAATACCCTGTAGTTCTCATGGCTCTGCCACAGTTACGGGCTCAATGCTGGGAACACTGCAGCCATCTAAAAAAAACAGTTACTTTTTCACTGCACTAATAGTACAAAACTTCTAGATATATTTTGCTCATAAACTGAAGAACTGTTCTTTTGTTTGCAAATTCAGTTAGCCTTGCTGACTATTCAATATAACTGAAAAAAATCATAACTTGTGTTTCCATAGCTTTTAATGTCACTGAAAGAAGCCTTAACATCCTCTTCTCCTTCATTACTACATTACTACAGCCACCCATTGTGGCAGTTAGACAAACGAAGCCAGCATTTGGAGAGAGGGAGTAGGACTGAGAAATTGGCCAAGAAAAAAAAAATGTATTTAGTTCATGGAAAGGAAACTTGAAGGGAAATCCATGATTCTTAGAAGTGGAAGAGTTTAGGGAGGAATGTTTGGGAAAACCGTAGTGCTGACAATGACTTTGCTTAAGGGTAGCAAGAGTGAAGAGGAAAGACAGGTCAGTAGAGTTCAGAATGACTATAAGCCCGGGGCTTTAAAAATTTCACAAATAAGAAAGGTTGCAGGCACTGAGAGCAAAAAGAAAACTGGATGAAGTGTTGCCATAGAGGAAAGAAATCCAGAGTGAAATCTCTAGCTCAGCTATGACAATGTACTCTGTGAGCAATGAAAGTTCAAGGGGTTTTTGGAATACTACAAAACTATCCATCTTTATGGTGGACAAAAAGTTGCAAATACAGGAAAACACACTCACTCTACCAGGCATTGGAGAAAGTAGAACAAAATGCAGATCTGGCCACCTAGGAGCTCAAATCTAATGAAAAGGGAGAAATGCAAATTAATATGTGCCATCAGTGAAACAAGGACTGATGAGGCTGTTTGTCTACAGCCATGAGCCACAGGGTGGAGTGACTGTGCTGAGGGTAAGGAAGAGCTTCTCAGATGAATGAGAGGATCATGGAGAATGGAAAGGAGTTTGCACCGACAGCATCACATAATAAAGGCCTTGCAAAGAGAGGATATAGCTTACCCTATGACATGAAACAGTGTGGCATATGAGGAGGAAATGAAGGAACACAAGGCAGGAAAGGCCATCAGGATGCAATTACAGAGGGCTTTTAGTACAATGTAACAGCCTAACAAACGACCTCAAAATCGTATGATCATCTAAGCAGGACACCCTGTGAGGAAAACAAAAACAAAAATAATCAGAAATCATCATTTACAAAATAATTAGCAATGTTTCCTTGGGAAAGACCTGATTGAACAGAGAAAAGCCTTTAAAATGATCAGAAAATGAAGGGAAGAGGCAACACTAAAGTTTTCAAGTTTGGACTGAAGTCTATGAAATCATGATATCATTAAGGGCGTATTCTCTAAATTTCAGAACACTAGCTTAAAGGGGAATCATTGAAACTTAAGGGAGAAAAAAAGCAATTCAGAATCATACAAGAATTACATAAATGCTCATGCAATTCAATTTTCAGTGCTAAGAACAGACTTCCCCAAAGCAGTATTCCCCTGGTCAAATCCTCTAGACCCTCACCAATCAGAATTCATTTCTCCCTCCTCAAGACTTCCACAGCATATGATAGCACTTAACACAGTCTTTCTTGTGTCTCTCCAACTGTAAGTCAATTTCCTGAGGCTAGAGACCACACTTAATTCATATTTGTATACCCAACAGTATCTAGATTCAATAAATGCATATTTATGTACTGCAAAATATTCACAGGGATACTATTAAATACAAAGTAATGTGCTTAATACTTCTGCATGATAAAGAATGAGAGACAACAATAACCCTGAAAGTCCTCATATCTGGTAGGGGGGTTATGTATGAAAACCAGTCACTATAATCCAAAACCAAGGAAGAAGGTTCAATCAAAGCTTACACTTGTAGGTTGTTATGTTGTTTTTCATTCATTACCTACAGGATTCCAAAAGGATTTTTGATAGCTTACAGAAGTACATACAGTATAACACTAAAAAGACTAATTATTGAGAAGGCACACATAAAGAAAAAATAATAAGAGAAGAAGATGGAGTCAGGACAGTTCACGAAAAGTTTAACAGAAGTACAGTTAGAGATGCACTTGGCATCAAAACCAACAGTTAGAAGATTCTCAGCAACAGTTGCTCAGGAGAAGTTTAGCTATTCCTGACACTGGGACAGGACAGTTAAGAACTTTCTCCTATGGTTGTTCATAAGACAAAGACTATGTAATATATGGACCATCTCCTTAAGCATTCCACCACGATCAACGCAATAATGACTTAACTGAGATTGCGTATTAATGACCCTCAATCTGTCAATGATTACACCACACTACCACTCAGTAAAAGCAATTCTCAAAGGGCCAAAACTCTACGATGATGTGGCTTGAATTAAAAGAAAAGGTCTACTCCCTAGCAGAATGAACGGATTACATATTCCTCAGAAATATTATGCAAATATTATCATAGAGACCGTTTTGATAAGGACAAAGTGGCATAGAGTTTGAGATTGTGGTCTCCGAGAAAAAACAGGAATATAAATATTCTCTGTTGTCAATTAAGGGCATATTGAACTTAGAGAATTAGCAGATTAACAACCAGGTTTGCATTACTTCATGAAAACAAAACAGCAGCATGTGGAGAGTACCCCACTCCTAAGCAAAGGAAGGCCATGATTTCTCTCAGAAAATGGTCATGGATCCTCTTTAACACACCCATCAGTGGGTGACTGAGGTCCCAGAGATGTAGAGCCTAGTCAGAATGATTTAGGGATACACACTTTCCAAGGCAGGCATTCCCAATCACCATGCTGTAAAAGAAAACATTTGATAAGACACCCTTAGAATAATTCAAATTAGGCAATGTTTCAAGATAAACTGGCTGCAAAATGTGCTCTCCCTAGAGAAGTGAGATGACTTGCTCCATGGGGTTGTTACTATGAACCATAAAATATCAGAGGATCTCTGCAATTGATTTTAGAGAAGGTGCTATGAAACCATTCTTACAGCCAATAATTAGATATCAGAAACAATGTTCTTTAAAGCCCACCTCAATCCTGTCTGTGGTAATAAATTAATGATACCAGCATAAGAAACAACCTTACTTTTCTCTACATGGGAAGAAAAATAAGAAGGAGCATATATCCTGCTCACTTAAGTGTGCCAAGCCATTACGATACAAAATGAATCTCTAAACGTACATATTCCTGCTTTACCTGCTCAGAAGTATTTACTAAGCAATCAGGAAAACATCTGCAAACCCTGATTTTGACTGTGGTATTAAGCATCATAACTGCTACGTAAAGCCACCATAAAGGCTTTTGTATTAAACACCATAACTGATTTGTAAAGGCACCATGGATGGAGGGCAAAGGATGGCACTAATATCATGGATACAGATGTAACTTACAGTCTTTTGTTCCACAAAATCAAGAATCCACACCAAAAAAAAAAAATAAACAAACAAAATATACTTTAAATTGGCAATATTTTTCTCAAGGTATTGAGTATGAAAATGGCTACGTCGGCTTGCTAGTTTTGTTCAAAGTTGTTATGAAATTAAAAACTGCCATACATTCTGATTCGGGCCCAGAGTTGGAGGGAATTGATGATTATCCAATAAAAAATGTATATAAGTCTAATTACAGAGAACTAGAAATGTAAAGCCAAAAAGACAGCCCTTTGAAATAGCCCTCAAGCAGTTTCACAGACAGGAGAACTTCCACGGACTCCCTTCTGCATGATGGATAGTTGGACCAACAGAAAGAAATATTGGAGTCTATAAAGTTTGCAGCATTTAATCTTGCTTCATAAAGCTGGAAAATATAATCTATCCAAATTCCAATCAAAGAGAATCTGGGTTTCCATAAGCTCAATAATGAAATGCCTTGCATAGGTAAACATCAAAAATTACCAACATTACATTTCTAAGAGTCACATGACGATTCTCTTGTAATTTATTACAGATTTTTTTTGGCTGGTTTTCGTTCTTACTGTTGTTTCCAATGCACTAAGATATATGTTAAACAATGTGCTATGAGAGTTTCAAAGACAGCAGAGATCACATTCAATTGTAGATATGCAGCCATAAGCAGGAATAAAGATGTGGTCAAAGGGAAGAGATATTCTATGAAAGAAATTCGTATTTGGTGGATTTAGGTTATTTGTTAATAAAATTAACTCAAGATGGATTAAAGACTTAAACCTAAGACCTAAAACCATAAAAACCCTAGAAGAAAATCTAGGCAATGCCATTCAGGACACAGGAATGGGAAAAGACTTCATGACTAAAACACCAAAAGCAATGGCAACAAAAGCCAAAACTGGCAAATGGGATCTGATTAAACTAAAGAGCTTCTGCACAGAAAAAGAATGAACAGGCAACCTACAGAATGGGAGAAAAATTTTGCAATCTATCCATCTGACAAAGGGCTAATATCCAGAATCTACAAAGAACTTAAACAAATTTACCAGAAAAAACAACCCCATCAAAAAGTGGGCGAAGGGTATGAACAGACACTTCTCAAAAGAAGACATTTATGCAGCCAACAAACATGAAAAAAAGTTCATCATCACTGGTCGTTAGAGAAATGAAAATGAAAACCACAATGAGATACCATCTCACTCCAGTTAGAATGGCAATCAATAAAAAGTCAGGAAACAACAGATGCTGGAGAGGATGTGGAGAAATAGGAACGCTTTTACACTGTTGGTGGGAGTGTAAATTAGTTCAACTATTGTGGAACACAGTGTGGCGACTCCTCAAAGATGTAGAACCAGAAATACCATTTGACCCAGCCATCCCATTACTAGGCATATACCCAAAAGATTGTAAATCATTCTACTAGAAAGACACAGGCACACATATGTTTATTGCGGCACTGTTGACAATAGCAAAGACTTGGAACCAACCCAAATGCCCATCAATGATAGACTGGATAAAGAAAATGTGGCACATATACACCATGAAATACTATGCAGCCATAAAAAAGGATGAGTTCGTGTCCTTTGCAAGGACATGGATGACACTGGAAACCATCATTCTCAGCAAACTAACACAACAACAGAAAACCAAACACCACATGTTCTCACTCATAAGTGGGAGCTGATCAATGAGAACACATGGACACAGGAAGGGGAACATCACACATGGGGGCTTGTCAGGGGGTTGGGGGGCTAGGGAAGGGACAGCATTAGGATAAATACCTAATGTAGATGATGGGTTGATGTGTGCAACAAACCACCATGGTATGTGTACACCTAGGTAACAAACCTGCACATTCTGCATATGTACCCCAGAACTTAAAGTATAATTAAAAAAAAAAAAAGCCTGGAAAGACAAGTTGGTGGCAAATTCTGAATGATCTTGAATGCTATGGTAAGATTTAGTGCTTAATTTGTAAGGTAATCGTTATCATGATGAACTGAACCTGGACCTGAAATTATAATGAGCAAATTATCTCAAGTTATTCTTTCTGTCGCTTCAAAGGGATATATAAATCAAAAGGCCAATTCTGAAAATTTTAGGAAAGAGATCCAAGCTATTTTGTAGACCCAGAAATAAACTTTATACCTACTGTTCTATTTTGTTTTGTTTTGTTTTGTTTTTTAAGATGGAGTCTCACTCTGCCACCCAGGCTGGAGTGCAGTGGCGCGATCTCGGCTCTGCCTCCCCAGCTCAAACTTTTCTCCAGCCTCAGTATACCTACTGTTCTTATGCTTGGTTGTTGTGTTTTAAGCCTTCTGTGACCTCACGGAAATTTTGATGTTGACACAGCTCCAGGTTTTACATAAATTTAAAGGCCATTTGAATTGGAATTTGATTAATGAACATAAAACCTAGTAGTGAAGTTAACACTCTCTTAACATCCCCACCACAAAAGCAAAGCCTTGAATTGAGTCTCACTCTATTCAAATCACTCACATTCTTATTGCAAATTTCAAACCTACTTATTATCTGGTAGTGTCTTCTCCCCAGTCTGCCACTGCACATAGAAAAGAAGGACATAGTTTAATTGCTTCCCATGCTCACAGCAGTAAGTCCACATCATTCTTAATTTTGTTTTATAAGAGTTTTTCTTCAAATACAAACATCATGCTATTGATCCACCATTAGGTATCATGTGCATTAAGTGGATTTCCTGGGAGTGGGGCTGTTGAATCCTTTCATACTCCATTGCCTATCACCCTTTACAAAAATCCCTCACTGTGCAACACATAATATGAGGAATAAGAAAAATTAGGAGAAATATTCTAAATATATAGAAGAAGGTAAATAGACTGCCTATATACTTGGTAAATTCTGATCATATTTGTATATTCGTTGGAATGTTTTAAATGCCTTCAGATGTAATTTTAAAATATAATCTGTGTTTATTTAAGCATGATTGACTTCTTTTTAAAAAAAAAAAAAATGAATGATTTAAATCCTACAGACCCTACTTATGTCAGAGGTCAGCAACCTTGTAGAAGTAGTGTGTGCCAAGCTGCCAGTTCCTATTTCTGTCAAGCAAGGGAGAAAAGAAGCAGAAGCCCAAAATAGGCAACTGAGAAATATCTGTGATACACAGATATGTGAGGCCTTTCTGATGAATCTATTGCAAATTGAACTTTTGACCCTGTATAAATCCCCTTTTTGTGCTTCATGTTTTCTGATTGCACTTATCACTATTTAATACTCTGTCTCTCTTTCTCTCTCTCTCTCACTATATATATATATACAAACACACACACACACACACACACACACACACATATATATATATCTAATTTTCTATCCACCTCCCAACTAGAATGCAAGCTCCAAAACAGTAGAGATTTTTGTCTGCTTTATATTCACTATACCTAGAATAATGCCTGGCACCTAGCAGGATTTCTGTAAATATTTGTGGGAGGAAAGAAGGAAGTGTGTTCAAATAAAGATCCTATAGAAGTTCTTCATGTGCATTTCATACCTTACTATGTGACTTTAATTAGAAACCACTCCCTCCCTTAAAATCCAAATGAGGCCAGCTGCTTAAGAAATGGATATCATTTCTAGATAAAAAGAGGCAGTGGAAAGACACAGATAGTATCTTGCAATTTGGGGTGATTCAATCAGAAAAGATCTTTTGAGGGAAAAAAAAAGTTCAACAAGAAACACCAAGAAGCCTTTGCAGAAGACCAGTGGTTGCAGCAGCAGCTCCCATCATCTAAATGTCTTCTTTTTCAAAGGGCAGGGCCCTCCTGGGCGATGGCCCACAAACATCTCACAGAGTCCCTAAGGAGTTCTACCAAACTGAATGAGTCTCCTAATTACAACATTAAAATACCTACCATCCAGTCTTACTTTTGACAGATGTCCTTGTACTTTTACAGAGCTTAGAGTGAAAGCATCTAAAAAAATGTTTACCTTTAACCTGGTATAAGGAGTAATGTACCTTTTTTCTTCCTTCAGTTTAAAATCCATTCCACCAAAACCTGGCCGTCTACACACAAAATATAATGATGGTTATCAGGGGCCACAGGAAAAGGATGAGAAAAATGGTGATTAAAGGGTACAAAATTTCAGTTAGAGGGAATAAGCCTTAGTGATCTGATGCAAAATGGTGACTATAATAAATAATAATGCATTGCATATTTCAAAATTACTAAAAAGGTAGATTTCAAATGTTTTCACCACAAAAAAATGACAAGTATATTAGAGGAAGGATTTGTTAATTAACAGATTTAATCATTCCACATTGTAAACATGTATCAAAACATAATATTGTACCCATAAATATGTACAGTTATCTGTCCATTGAAAATAAAACTAAAACAAAACAAAAAGGCTTTGCTAAAGGAATCTCCACAAGCTTCCAAGGATATTTGAAAAGTTCTACCTAAATCACTACTGTGGTGATTTAAGCTCTTTCTTGCCTGTCCCCCTGCAGTGAAGAAAGAACAGCTGCTCATCATCACTCATATAATATCTCTTCACACACAGTGAAACCAAGAAAACAACCATATTCAAAAATGCCTGTCAAAAGACAATCGTCCTGGGAACCACTCATGGCCTCTGTGTCTATGATTTCACTGAACTTGAAGACTGTAATTAAGTCCCTATTCAGACTTCACTTCTCTAGGCTAAATAAACCCAATCCTTTAGACTTTCATCACATAGCAGATTTCTCAAACCTTTTAATAATTTCTGTTGGATTCCTCTGGATTCTCTCCAAATTCTACATAATAAAATCATGACCAGGGCTTCAGGAGAAAAAGGGAATTGCCTGGCAGCCTCTTAATGTTATCCTCTTACATTTGTACAGTTTGTTTTTCCTCCCTATGTGAATTACCCTGCACACATTTCTACAGAGCTATATTCAGTAGATGTAAATGTACTCAGTTTACATGTACTAGTTCTTCCAACTTGCCATGATTTTTTTTTTGAAGTGTAATCCTCTTTTTGTTTTCCAGAGTACTGGCATCCTAGCCTGGTTCAAAGAAATTGACATATTATGTGTCACTAATGAAAAGGAAAAACATCAGGCTAAAGACTGTCATCTAGAGAGTATTATTCAGAATCTACTTCCACAAACTTCCCAGGGTGGGCCAGGTGGGTTTAGATTTCAACTCTGCCATTTACTAGTTTCAGGACTGTGGCAAATATTGAACATTTTTTGGAGAATAATAATGCCTACTTCCCAGGGTTATCATGAAAAATGAATTGAGTTAATAATGGAAAGAATATGGCAGAGTGATACGTGCTCTGCATAATACTATATATATTCATTATTTTATCTTCTTTATGGAACAACCATTATAACCACTTTGAACTACTTTCACAGCACAATGGTAAAGGCCAAGAGAGCTCATTCCTCTATAGAATGAAACTCAATATGAAGGATGAAAGGCTGGTCAAAATAATAAGTCAAAAGACTTAACTCTTAGCATATACCTCACCATCCTGCTTTTCAGTCAGAGCAGCAGCAAGGACATGAGATATAAGCAATGGTGTACACCTAAGAAGTGCAGGGAAACTCAAAAAATGATAACCCAGTATGAGCAAAATAAACTTAGAAACCAAACCCCTGAATTCGGCTCTTTCCCCAGTGTATTGATTGAGCATTAGACCAAAAGACTGATCAGGTATAAATTTAGTATTTTATTTTAGAAAAGAATAGCTTACTGCTCCAAAGATAATCAAAATATTAATCCTTTTCACTTTTTGTGAGAGCAATTTTTGATTCTAATGTTTTTAAAAGGCATATAGGTTTCAATATAAAGAAGCTACATATTATTTCAAATGAAAAACAAGATGAAAATCCTAAGTAGAACAGGGCAAAAAATTAATAATGTATTTTTTTCAACGACTTTCCTGACATTTGACCTCTTGGTGGGGAGTCTACGCAGCTAGCAAACCAAATACGTACCTCCTTCACAAAACTACTATAAAAATATAACTACTGTTTGACAAAGCACTTACGGATATGCTTCAAAATTGCTGATTGACAAGGATATAATATTATCTGTAGTTTTAAAATATTTTTAACAATGTGGTTCAAAAAACTTTCCATGTATTAGATTCTATGTAATGTAATCTTAGCAGAGAGAAGTCACATTCACAACGTGAATAAATAAGAGGAGAGCTAACATGCAATTTCTTCCATACACCAGGTGCTCTGCTAAACACCTTATACACCTTATCTCATTTAATCCTCAGAACACTTTACCACAAGTGAATGGGGAAATTGAAGCTTAGAGAAGGTAAATAACTGTTCAGTGTAACAAATTAAGAATGATACTCAGGAATACATAAATCAAGATATAGATTTCAACCCAACCCTATTCTGATCATGCAATCAAGTTAGTAGGTCATCACTAGCATTTATTTTAATAGGATATTAATAGAACAGAGAAAGACCATAAATAGTAAAACAGAATAAACTTCTTTGAAAGTCACTGCTCTAAACCACTGCTATATTAGAAGCAACTAAACATCAAAGAAACATTAATCTTAAAAGCATTCAAGAATATTCAGAGATCATTTACCCTTACCATTTCACTTTACAGATGAAGAAACTTAAAGTTTGGGTTATTTTCTTTACCCATAGTCATATGGCTAGTTGGTGGCAAAATCAGAACAAGAGCCCAGGGCTAACAAAAGTATATTGATTTGAGAGATGTATTATAAGGCATAATTTACTTTGAGTTAAACAGATTTTTCTCAATAATTACACCAGGAACATGGGCATAAACCTAAACTGTCTCAGGAAAACCAGAATGAGCAGTATATAGCTCTAGAAATTAACCAAAACTTGTCAAACAAAAGTAAACATGGTGAGAAAAATGATCGTTCAATGGAAGTTTTTTCAAAACAATGTAGTTTTAATTTACATACAGAGCTATAAGTAAAAATAACCCTTATATCTAGGCTGTAATTCTTTTTCCGTGTTTTAATGTTTACATAATTTAAACACGAATCTATCAGTGAAACAAGAAGAAAAGATTATAAATTTTGAGCAACCGTGGCAACAAAACCATCAGGACCTTGTCAATGACTCACAATGATTTCCTAGTATTTTCCAGTGTTGATACCAAAACTGGCAAGGACAGATTCAAACTAAATTGCTGATACTGTGAAATAATGCTCACCAGATGCAAGCGCCATGTAATGCAAGTGACAGTTTCTATAAATATAATTCATAACTAATATTAATTTTCAAAGGACTTAGCAAAAACTAAAAAAAGAAATATTTTATTTTCATATGTAATTTTCTCAGTCAGTATTTCAGAGTGAAGATTAGTATGGGTATTTCTTACCCCAGCTAAGTATAATGTAGCAATAAATGGACTTTTCAATAACTGAGAAGAAAACTAATATTTTAGCCTATGAAATCATTATGTAAATTTAACTGGCTTATACTGCAGCCCTTATGACTTGAAACATCTGTTCGATACAAGTTTTCTGATAATATGTGAAGTTTCAAACTGCATATTACAGCATTTTGCAGCATATTTGTAACATGATGGTTTTGTCCTTTACTAGATAGGAGACTTTCAAGGTGTGACCTGTAACAAGGTACTGAAGTTACTACTTACTTCACCATCTGCTCATATGTATTTTCATCTAAAATTACATAGCATTCATAACTATATTAGAAAACTGTCTTCACACAATTTGGCACTTAATTTTATGTGTTGATATATTGCCTGAGGTCCCCAATGCAGTATCATGATAAACAAGGACCACAGATAAGAACCAAAAAGGAGATAAAAGGGTGGTAAGTTGGCAAAACACATATGACAAAGCTTAAGTACTGAAATTGTGGTACAGCCCTAAAGCCTTCACACATAGACTGTATACTCATAGTTTAGACACAAGTTGAACAGATTAAGAGTGCAGGTTTCCCTTTCCACAAAAGATTAGAATAAGTAAAATGGAAAAGAGTCACAAGACTGTCACAGAGAAGCATGCAGCAAACAATACACATGAAATATGAATTGGGAAGCCAGTGAAAAAGAAGGAGAAATCTTATTATACGGTTATTCATAAGAAGTCCAAATAAAGCCAACAAAACTCTCTGGCTGTTCTAGCAGGCGTATAAATGTGTGCAACCATTGTACTACCATTTTACATACACAAGTAAAATTTATATATATATAAAACCACCTAGAGATACTTTTCCACATATCACATGGAGCTATGTATAATGAAATTTTGTCAGTGTTATTTATGATAGTAATCCAAAGTAACAATCACTTGGAGGTTCGATAATAAAAATGTGGCATATCAACAAAAATTAACTCTAAATGGATTTTATACCCAAATATAAAACCTACCACTATAAAACTTTCGGAACACATAGAAGAAAATTTTCATGAATTCTGAGTAGGAAAGGATTTATTAGAAAGAATGTTAAAAAAAAAAAAAAAAGCACTAAAAATGAAAGAAACAAATTGCTACACTGAAATTCATAAAAATGAAAAGCTTCTACTCTTAAAAATACATCATTTAAAAATGAAAAAGGCCATCTATATAATAGGAGAAAATATTTGCAATAAGTATATCTGACAAGGGAGTAATATCAAGATGTGAAGAACTCATAACTTTATAAGACCAATAAACCATCGTTAAAATGGGCAAAATAATCTGAACAGATACTTCACAAAAGAAGATGGTCAATAAGCATTTGAAAAGATGCTCACATCCTAATTCATCTGAAAAGCAAAAACTGAAACCACAGTGAAATACCAATACATGAAATTAAAACGACTAAAGTTAAAAACTGATAATACTAGACACAAACAGACATTTCGCCAGAGAGGATATAAAAATGGCAAATAAGCACACACAAAGATGTTCAACATCACTAGATAATTAGGAAATCGAAATTAAAACTAAAATGAGGTATCTTTACACAACTGTTAGAATAGCTTTAAAAAATGGTAATCCCAATGCTGGTAAGGATATGAAGAAATTATATAAATCATACATTTGCTGGTAGGAATATAAAATGGTACAGCCACCCCAGAGAATAGTTAGAAATTTTCTTTAAAAAAAAATAGAAAACAAAATTTAACATACACTTAGTACACACTTAGCACTCACAATACTAGGCATTTATCCCAGAGAAATGGGAACTGTCCACAAGAAAGCATGCCCATAGATATTCATAACAGACTTTTTTTGTAATAATCAAAAGTTAAAAACAATCCAAATGTCTTTTACTGGCTGAATGGTTAAATAAACTGTGTTATAGCCATACTACTCAGCAATGAAATGCAAAAAACTAGAACTCTCAATACATGTAACACAACACCTTGGATGGATATCAAAGGCATTGCACTGAGTGAAAAAGCCAACTTCAAAAGGTTATATTCTATATGATTTCACTTATATAATATTCTCTAAATGGCAAAATTATGGAGATGAAGAACAGATTAGTGGTTGCCAAGGGCCCACAAAAGTGGAGAGGAAATGGAGAAAAGGGAGCCAAAAGGGATGCATAAGAATATAAAGGGCTAGAATGAGGAATCTTTGGGATAACAGGAAAGTTCTGCATCTTGATTATGGTGGTGTTTGCATGAATCTACAAATGTGACAAATTCCATAGGACTATATATACATGTACACTGAAATGAATCCATATAAAACTAGTGAAATCTGAATAAGGTCTGTGGATTGTACCAACATCTCTTCCCTGCTTTTGATACAGTTCTAAAATTACACAAGATGTTATCACTGGAGAAAACTGGGTAAAAGAAACACAGGACCTTTCAGCATTATTTTTGCAACTATGACTCTATTTCAAAATAAAAAGCTTAAAAATAAAAGACTGACAATATTCCAAGTGTTGTCAAGAATGTGAAGGAACTCAAACTCTTATTTGTTACTGGTGAGACTGTCACACAATCACTTTATAAAACATTTTGGCAGTTTTAGAAATAAAGTTATTATATACTTATCACAAGACTCAGGAATTCCATTCCTACGTATTTACCAAGAGAAAAGAAAACATGACAACACAATGACTTGTGCATAAATGTATATACCAGCTTTAATGATACTAGTCAAAAACTAGAAACAACGAAAATATCCATAAACAGGTGAATGGATAAACAAGTTGTGGTATATTCCCACAAAGAAAAATTGCACAGAAATAAAAAGAAATGAACTAGTCATTCAAACAACAGCATAAATGAGTCTCAAAAACAAGCTGAACAAAAGAAACCAGACTCAAAAAGTGTATACTGTATAAGTCCATTTATACAAAATCTAGTTTAGGAAAAATGAATCCACTGTGACAAAAAGATCAGTGATTTCATGCAGCCAGAAGCAGGATTTACTGGTAAGGGGTACCAGGGTACTCCTTCACATCTTGGGGTGAAGGGAATATTCTATATATTGATTGTGATGTTGGTTACAAAAATGTATTCATTTGTCAAAACTCACTATACATTTAAAATGACATTATCTTATTATATATATTATAACTTAATAAAGTTGAAAATGTGGCGTATGCTTAAAACAGAATATCAAGTAGCAATTAAAGATTATGAATTTTATGTACACATGGCAACATGGAAAAGGAGGAAAGAACCAAGCAGGATTTATAGCACAATACTTCAGCATTAATGGAGAGGGAGCTTATTATACTGGTCAAGGAGGTGTGGACTCTAGAACCAGACAGCCTCAGCTGAAATCCTGGCTCCACACTTATGAGTTACATACCCTTGGGCAAATTACTTAATCTTTCTGTGCCAAGAGGGATAGCAGTACTTGCCACACAGGGTTCTTGGGAGGATCCGATAAATTAATGTTGCTAAAAGCTTAAAACAGTGTCTGGGATTTGAAAAATGCTATGTAAGTATTTGTTAAAAATATATAATAAAACAGCTGGGCCAAGCACGGTGGCTCTCGCCTGTAATCCCAGCACTTTGGGAGACTGAAGTGGGTGGATCACCTAAGGTCAGGAGTTCAAGACCAGGCTGGCCAACATGGTGAAACCCCATCTCTACTAAAAACACACAAAAAAAATTTAGCTGGGCATGGTGGCAGGTGCCTGTAGTTCCAGGTACTCAGGAGGCTGAGACAAGAGAATCGCTTGAACCAGGGAGGCATAGGTTACAGTGAGCCAAGATCGTGCCACTGCACTCCAGCAGCCTGGGTGACAGAGCGAGACTCTGCCTCAAAAAAAAAAAAAAGCAGCCGATCTTTTTTTCAAGGATATACATATATCTAAATAAGGTGATGGAGAGGAAACTGTAAGGACATATATTAAATACTTTACATACATATTCAATGCAAGAAGAAGAATGCAGGCAGTATGAAAGAAAAGTAATAAACTAAAATAAAGGGGTTAATATTGATCAGTAATGAGTGTCTGTTATAAGCAAACATAGTCTGTGCACTTGAAGTCATAAATGGGAGAAAGTACAGTCAAAAGGCACAACTATCAGGACTAACTTTATTTAAGGACAAGCCTACATACCTCACTATTTGTCTTGAATTACCAGAACCATAAATAACTGGTGTACAATGTCATTGAGACTTAAGAAAAAGAGACAAAGGCAAAGACAGAAGGCACCAAGACAGGGTACAGTTAAAAACACACACAGACAAATGCCAAATACATTTGAGAAAGAGTTTCCATCATGTTCATAAGTAGGATATTATAACAAGTCTTGGACAGCTGTCATTATGCATAAATAATGTACCACAAAATTGAAAGCTACATGAACATAGAACCGGCCAGAATACCAAACAGTGGTGGTACACACCAGTTATCACTAAATAGCTGTTAATCTCATTCAATAACCATCACTGAATGCCTACTATATGCTAGGTGTTCTAGTAAGCTCATCAAATAAATAATCTTCAAAATGCAACATAGAATTCAGTGGCCATTAGAAAAATCAAACAAGAGTTTGTCATTTTCAGAAGCAAATACAAAACTATTATTAGTGGGGTTTTCCCAGATAATTCTTTAAAGGTAGCTGAAGCAGAAAAAAAAAAAAAAAAAGAAATGCGTGATTATCTACTTAAAAAGGACACAAAGTGGATCTTTTGAAAAATAAAATATTAAACTTATTAATGAGATAACAGTTTACTGTAGTTTCTGATCATAAGCAACATGCACACAAAAGAGGAATCTCATGTGTGAATTTGTCTTTTTTTTTTAATAGGAAGGATTCTGCAGCTACCATGCAAAGATACTTGCATATGGTCTGTTTACACATAGAATTTATTGTCTAGCCAGGGCCCATTTTAAAAAGAAAAGAGAACAAAAGGACTAACGGCAATATACAAGCACAAATGAACAAGGGCTGCATCCTTGCTGACGAAATTGCAGTAACTACAAGTAAGGAAAGTAATTATTTCAACAGGTATCTGAAATAAAAGCTGGATAGACCCTAGAGAAGTGGAGTGGAATTACAGTAAAACTTATTTTGAAGGAAAAAATATTAAGACATCTATAGACATATAAGTATCTCTGACATTCTCAGTTAAGAGGTTCTTAGTTGAGTAAGTGATACTGGTCCTCTGGGATCAGGTCACAGACTTACAGAGTCAAATGCCTGTAACAAGTATCACACACAACCTAAAACACTCCTGGATAACATCCTGTACTTTTAAGTGCAGAGATTTGTTTGCAGCTTTGCTGAGGTCCTCAATTCTGTTTGCATAGCAGACCCACCTGAAGATCTTTCTAAAAGTACAGACACGGACCCCACCAGTTAAATCAAAATCACTAGGGCTGGAAGTCATATGTTGTCTACTAATCAGCCAAAATAATGAGTAAAGGGTTTTTCTTTAATTAAATTTTTTTTATTTTGAGATAATTGTAGATTCACATGCAGTTGTAAGAAATAATACATAGAGATCCCATGTACTCTCTAGCCACATTGTCATAGTAGTGACATCTTGCAAAAATATGATGCAAAATCACAACCATGATATTAACATTAACACAGTCAAAATATAAAACAATTCCATCACCACAAGGATGCCTTCTGTTGTCCTTTCATAGACACAACCAAACTCCTTCCGCACCCATCCCCAACTCCAAGTCCTGACTCCGGGCAACCATTTCATAATTTTGTCATGTCAAGAATCTTATATAAAGGTATTCACTTGTGACCTATGTGCATTAGTTTTCTTTGATGCAGAAAAATTCCCTGGAGATTCAGCCAGATTATTTCATGTATCATACCTTTCCATTGCTGAGTAGGATTCTAGGTATATATGTGTACAATTAATTTCACCACTGACAGTTGCAGAACATTCAGGATGTTGCCAGTTTGGGCCCACCAATAAAGTTGCTACAAACATTCATGTACAGGTTTTTGTTGGAACATAAGTTTTCATCACTCTCAGATAAATACACAAGAGTGCAATTGCTGGGTCGTATGGTAATTGCATGTTTAGGTTCATAGGAAACTGCCACACTGTTTTTTTTCCAGAGTGGCTGTACAATTTTGTGTATCCTATCAGCAATATTATGAGTGATCCAGTTTCCTCACATCCTCACCAGCACTTGATGTTGTTACTTTCTTATTTTAGTCATTCTGATAGGTGTGTAGTAATAACTTATTGTGATTTTAATTTACATCTCTCTAATGCCTAATGATGTTGTACGTCTTTTCATTGTACTTATTTGTCATCTGTATATCTTCTTTGGTAAAAAGTTTCTTCTTGTCTTTTGTTCATTTCCTAATTGAATTGTTTATTTTTTGCAGTTAGGTTTTAAGAGTTATTTATATATTCTAGACACTGGGGGTTTGTTTGTTTTGTTTTTTTTTTTGGCAGGAGATATGGTTTGCAAATATTTTCTCCAAGCCTGCAGCTTTGTCTTTCCATTCTCTCTTAACAAGAGTCTTACACAGAACAAATAAGGCCCAATTTATCAATCTTTCCTTCTATGGATCATGCTTTCAGTGTCAAGTCTAAGAACTGATTGCCTAGCCCTAGATCCTAAAGATTTTAACCTATTTTTTTCTAAAAGTTGTATACTTTCATATTTTGTATTTAAGCCAATGATCCATTTTGAGCTAATTTTTGTAGAAGGTATGAGGTTTAGGTCAAGGTTCATTATTTTACCTGTGAATGTCCAGTTTCTCCAGCATCATTTGTTGAAATTTCTAACCTTCCTCCATTGAACTATTTGGCTCCTTTGTCAAAAATTAAGTTGGCCACATCTGTGTAGGCTATTTCTGTGTTTCATATACTATGCCATTGATCTATGTGTCTATCCCTCCACCAATAACACATTGTCTTGAATACTATAGCTATACAGTAGGTCTTATCAAAATGGTTTTTAAATGTAAATTACGCCATGTCAGTTTCATGCTTTAAAAAAAAAAAAAAAAAAAAAAAAAAAAAACCTTAAGAATTCCCTGCCACAATTAGAATGATATCCTGACTCCTTATCCAGGCTCACAGAGCTGTACATGACTAGATTCACCAGCCTCTCAGGTCACACCTCACACTGCACAGGCCCAGGTCAGTACCCATTAGCATCACCAGTCTTTTTGTTCTCTGAGTACATCTTAGTAACTTCACTGGAATGCCCTTGCCCCAGATTTCTACAAGGTTAGTTCTCTGTCATCAGTTCTCAACTAAAATGTTACCTCCTAAAAAAATACTTCCTTGACTATCCAAGCTATACAAACACCCAAGTTTAATCCTCTACATATCAGTTAGCACTACCTGAAAATTTTATCATTTATTTACCTGTTGTATTGTCTCCCTGACCTCCTGAACCAAAATATAAGTTTCATATGAACAGGATCCTTGTCTGCCTTGTTCAGCAGACCAGCACATAGAATAGTGCTTGACGTCCCTATTTATGAAGTGTGGCATGAATAATAATAAGTACAGCAATAACAAAAACACATCTATACATAGCACTTGTCTAAAAGCTCTTTCGATAACTCTGTGTGTGTGTGTGCAGGCACATGCGGGCTCATTCAGTCTTCATGATAACCCTAGGAGGTGCTATTACTGTTCCCATTATATAAATAAAAGAAATTGAAGCACGGAGAGGTTAAATAACCAAATCAAGGTTACACATCTACTAAAAGAGCATTAGTCATCACACAAAAAAAGTAATGAAATAAAGAATTTGTTTTTCTCTTTGGCTTATCTTATGGAGATTATGACAATTACCAAAATCTTTATTACCTAGAATCTTTTATTTGGTGACTTATAGTTTAAGTTCCAAAGAAAAATATTGCCATATAAGGAAAGGGTATGACATAGAATACACCTGAAAGAGAGTTTTCTTAATATGACTCGTTTGTGAGATAATTTCTGGGGCTACCACATCCCTGGTTTTACACTAGAGTCCAGTGACCTGAACCTCCAATACTGAAGTCACTAAATTTTCTTCACAAAATAACTGTATCCTACTAGCATCAAGACAGCACATTACACTGCCATCTTGCCTCCATCCTTGAAATTTTAGAAAGCAAAATATGGCCTCATACAAATATCATTTGGAATTCTGAAACTGCAAAGATACCCAGGACTCAAATGTTTAAAAACCCAAATGCATTTCTAAGTATACATTTTCCCCCTTAGATTGCCTTGTTCTGCTCTAAGTATCCTCAAAGTGCTTTGATTTTTTTTCTCTAAGTGAGCTATAGAAATCTGAAAAGTTAAAATAGCATGTATTCTTTACAGATCATTTCATCATTGTATCAACTAGTAAGTATTAGCAATTTATAACGTATGAATATGTTCTCACTCTTTCCTTAAAGAGAAAATCACACAGACATCAGAACAATGAATCTCTGGCTGAATAAATTTAAAAGTTCAGTCTCATAAAGCAAATTTTTTGTTTGTTTACATATACTCACAGTTTGGAAGCAATCAATCTTGATTATTTATTTCTGCAATGCTTTTACTTACCTCTATAAGTGCTTTGGGATTTGATTTCTATGATCATGACTATGCAAAGTTAGGGCATCCTATATTTTATTTTGTGGGACTCCTTTCATATTTGTGAAGAAATAACTTAAGGTTGATTCTCCCATTCTTTAAAACTACACCTGATCCATATGTCAGAAATAATAATGGCAAAAACAAGGCAATTTTTCAAAACTGAGTTGACAGTTTTTGAATATTAAGCTTCCCAAAGATATGGGCTTCACACATTTCTCTGTACAATTTTTAAAAAGGAAACACAAAAATCAATCTCACCACCTTTACTAGGGTTCTTCAGGGATTTCATAAATGCTTTTTGGTGAGACCTCATCATTTAATGTGCAATAAAAGAAAAAAAGGTGTGATGGAAGGAACAGAGTTGAGGGAACAACTACTAAAACCACAAACCTCCCAAACGAACTTTACTCTGAACAGAATAAAATACCCTATTGAATACTCTAACCATCAGTTGTATAGGAAAAGAAAAAAAACATAAAAATTATCTCATACATTAATGGAAAGTTTATTGCATCAGAAAGAAAATGAATTTCCATATACTGTTAATTTCATACACTAAAATGAATTGAAGAAACTAATTATTCATAACGAATATTGGCCTTTGGGAAACACTGCTTCCTAAAAGGATTTAATGGTCAAAGCTTGTGTGAATTATTATCATGAATTAAACTAATGAAAGGATGAAGATATTGTTAACAGAAGTTCTGAAATGCTAACCTTGCCATTTCTGTCATGAGATGAGAAATCAATGTCCAAATAACATGTGCAGTTAAAGCTTTAACAGGAAATAAGTGCCACAGAATCTACAGAAAGAGGTTTTTCCTATCTCTCAACAAAAAATATATGAATGGAGGTAAGGTGGAGAAAGGGGACAATAGTAAAAATCATGCCCCAAATGGAAATGAAATTAGCACCCTGAGAATGAATTGAGAAGAGTAAAAATTAACGTTCAGCCATTTGTAGAATATTGTGAGCCCATAGGTGTGTATATATATAAAATGTGTATATATACATATATATAACGTGTGTATATATATGTGTGTGTGTACATATGTATAGTGTGTATATAAAACACATATATGGGTGTATATACATATATAATGTATGGGTGTATATACATACATAATGTATGGGTGTTTATACATACACATATATAATGTGTGTGTGTGTGTGTGTGTGTGTGTGTGTGTGTGTGTGTGTGTGTGGTGTATCCTGTAAAGAGGAAATTAAACCATCTGAATTATCAGTGCCCAAAATCAAGATGACCCACATGTTACTTTAAAAAATATATAATTAGAAGGGAAATTTAAGAAAGTTTAAACCTTACCTTTCCTATTTTCCTCAACAAACAAAAAGAAACAACAACCAACACATTCAAAAAAATTGATCTACTTGACACTGATCAAAGGAAAGTCTCGGAAATAAGAATTTGAAAGTATAATCTACCTAAGAGAGAGGGCTCTTTGTTGGAGAAAGTGGCTCCAGATTTCAGATTTTAGTTGATGACAGGAAGTGAAATAAGAAAACTCTTTGACAAGTGTATGAATAGAGAAACTTTGTCTTGTTTTTTTGATGAGGTAGGTTGTTTTCTTTTGATTTGCTATGAAATGGCATCTCCAGAGTCTTGCAAGGGTTAAGAAGAGTGGGAAGCTGGGTAGGAAAAAAAAATCCAAGAAGAGTACGAGCAGAGTTGGAGAGAGGGCTAAATTATTAGAAAAGGAATGGCACTTTGTTTAGCAACCCAGAATAGCAGTAGTGTGAAGCTCAGTGGGATCAGCTGGCTTCAGGGCTTTACAAAGAAATCCATTTCCCTGAGTGCTAAATATTTTTTTTGAGATGGAGTCTCACTTTGTCACCCAGGCTGGAGTGCAGTGGCGCGATCTCAGCTCACTGCAACCTCCGCCTCCCAAGTTCAAGTGATTCTCCCGCCTCAGCCTCCTGAGTGGCTGGGACTAATGGCAAATTAATAAATTAGCACTCTGATTTATATATCAGTAATACCAGAGGCTGCAGTGCAGTGGCACGATCTCAGCTCACTGCAACCTCCGCCTCCCAAGTTCAAGTGATTCTCCCGCCTCAGCCTCCTGAGTGGCTGGGACTAATGGCAAATTAATAAATTAGCACTCTGATTTATATATCAGTAATACCAGATAACATATATTTATGAATTTGTTTGGTGAGTCTATCCTGGAAAGGCTAATAAACTTTAAAATAATGAAGAATCAGCTTTCAGGTCCTGTGAAGCTAAGAACCATATCCTAGAACCTGGTCTTAGAACCAACACACTCCCTGTGAGAATGTCACTAACCTGGATGAGTTCTCCATTCTATTGTTCTCTATCTGCATTGCTTTACACAAAAAGTGGTTGATAATTAGGTAAACTAGCTTCTGAGGAAAAGTGGTGGAGGCCAGAATAGGGCAAGGGAATGGATGGCTGCTGATACCTTCTAGAAACTATCACAAATTTTTATAATAAATCTCTAAATATCATGAAATGTAAAAAAGATGGCCCAAATTTGCAAGGATCACTTTGATATCTTTGTTTAAATAAAATTTATATCAAAATGTGTGCAATGACTATCTTTTCCTCTTCTTCATTCTATTTTACATTTCTAAATTTTCCAAAGTACATATATACAATTTTAATCATCAAAAAAATTTATAAATTCACAGAAGATTTTTAGAGCAGTGAAACTACCCTATATACTCTAGCAGTGGATACATGTTATTACAAACTTGTCCAAAGCCATAGAATGTACAACATCAACAGTGAATGCTAATGTAAAATGTGAAATTTGGGTGATGATGTGTCAATGTCAATTCAACTGTAACAAATGTACCAGTTTGGTGGGGGATACTGATAAATGGGGAAGTCTATGAATGTATGGGAACAGGAGTAGGTACATAGAAAATCTCTGTATGTTCCGTTCAATTTCTCTGTGAAACTAAAACTTCTCTAAAAATTATGTCTATTTAAAAAATTCTAGCATAAATCTGTCTTTATTTATTTGGTATCTATGTCAACAAATTTTCAGAAATATTTAAAGGCCTTTCATTTTTATATATGAGATCACATTGATTATCACTGGACTCTGTGTGTGTGTGTGTGTGTGTGTGTGTGTGTGTGTGTGTGTGTGTGTGTCCAGTTTTAAAGCAGAAAAGGGGTTACTGACTGGGAAGCTGTAATGATGAGATCTCTTGATAAAGTAATGCAGTGTAAGCAATCTTTAGAGACTCTTTCAATTTGATGATGTTTTCTGACTTTTATCCTTTGGGCTGAATCAAGAAAAATAAAACAATTTACAAAACTAAGACTCTGCTACCCACAGCAAATGGGGGAGGCAGGGAAGACTATATTGATTGTCAATATATAGCAACATTATATTTTTTAAATTTATCCTTATGAAAATTATCTCTCATTATTAAAAGAGCTTCTCTGATGTTTAAAGAACTGGTTAACTATATTCTATATAGATATATATTACATTCTAATTATATTCTATATATATTTTTCTATCTATTTTCTTTATATAGTCCTTAGTTTATCATTTCTGTCCATTTTCTACACAAATAAGATGGGAACCTCAAAAAAGGAAATAAGCACCTCTATTATACAATCTTAAATTGGGTTAGAAAACTTAGTACCTTACTTTTGGATCCTAAAAAATATTTTATTGATATATTCCAGAATTTAAGATCTTAATTTTCTTATATATTTGCTCTAAATGGCACTTGAAATAAGAAACTAAAGAGTGATTAATATTTGGCCAATGTTACATGAATGTTACTATTTATCTTGTTATTCTTATTTTAACAGTATTTACCAATACTGTCGAGTCACTAAGTTTTGATTTTTGGTTCCACTCCTTCTAGTTTCACTTATGCATTTTAGTCCTGATCTTTGCACTAAACATGCTTATGTGTACCATATTCTGTAATAAAATATAACTAGGCAAAAACTATGATTATCTACCTCGCAGTAGGTAAAAATATAGAAGGTTCCAGAGTGATACTTCTCAAAATTATATCTGCTATATATAACATATAAACTTTGCATAAAAACAATATACCATTATAAAATATAATTACATACATTTTATATATATAGTATTTATTAAATCGAGAAAATATTTTCAAGTTACTATGTTCCCCATAAGTTTTACCATATTCATAATTTACAGTTTGTTTTTATTCCTTGAGAGAATTTTTTTTCTTACTTGGAACTATTTCCTATTTGTTCCAATTGTGTTTCCAACTTCCTTAGAAATGGCCATAGCAATACAATTTTTATTGATATACTAGCTCATGGGGCATTGTTTCTTGTTGTTAGGTGTAAATCCAGTAATAATAAAAATAAGTTCCATAAATACAAAACAGTAAAATTCAACCAAAATCAGGCCTGATATTAAGGGGATTTGAATACATATACAGAATATAATTGAACACTTTAAGCAATTCTACAAATTTTAAGAAATAGAGATATAGATTGAGATTTTCACAAACTAAAACAATTATAGTGATATAGTTCAACTCAGTCTCTTAACTTACAACTATGCTTGTGCGTATCTGTCCAAATTCAATTGTATTTCTGGCCTATAAGATTATTTGCTTCAATCAACCAACATAGAGAAAAAAATCCCAGGCTAAAAAGTAAATATAATGTCTACACTGGCAGTACCCTATCTCACAGATATATTGTGACAAAATCTTACTATTAATATCTGTAAATATTATACACCTTTCATGAAAATATGAAAGCTAAATAAATATATAAGGGTAAACAAATAAAATCTAAAGGTAAAGTTTTATTTGGTGCATTTGAGAAAAATACAAAAGAAAAGGAAACTTTGGGTCTTATTGGTGATGTAGGAATCTGGAGATTGAAGACGTAGGCAGTGGGGATAGTGCAGGAGTGAAAAAACAAGCAGTTACAAAAAATTATTTAAACTTGCCATCTTAATGTAATATGCTTTGAGTCGGCCTTTATTTCTATGTATGGAGAACAAAAAGTTTCTAGGCAGAAAAATATTATAAAATTGATAGTACAGACAGTGAACTACTACAATTTAAAAACATCTGACTCTTTCTGGCCAATCTTACTTTAATGGTATCATCATACAAAAGAAAGAAAATTACATGGAACAAATGAGAAAAAAAAGTACCTTTGTCATAAACTTTCAAATATAACATTATAATAAAAAATTCTCAGGAGAAATTTTGGGGGAAAAAAAGATGTATTCTTCAATAATAATTTAACTTGGCCTAAATTCATGAGAATATCCTCCAGTTTTGCAAACTGCCTTCAATTTGCTGAGAACCATTCTTTTATGCCAGCTTAAAATAAGCAAAGATTACACAAGTACCATGTGCCACCTTAAATAAGGAAAGGGAAAAAAGTACAATATGGTATTTAAACAGCTGTGTGAAGATACTGGTTAAAACAAGAATCATTTTTCAGCTGAGCTTGTAATGCTTCATTTTGCTAAATTTAAACTAGTGCATCATTAACTTAACCACTGATTTGTAGAATAAAGTACAGAACCGCACCTGCATATAATCCAATAAACACAATAATTTTTCAAATGGTTGTGAAATTGTCATAATTTGGGATCAAGATTTGAGAGAAGGAAGAAAAAATAAGAAGACATTATTTCACAGATGTACTGGAGAAAATACAATTGTTTTCATTATTTGCAGTTTTATTTGAGTGAGCTGACAAATGTACAACAAACAGTACACGTGGAAACACACTAGTAAGAATTCTATGCCAGGCAATTAGTGAAGATGATTGCAAGAAATCAATTTTTTGGAAATAAACAAAAATTTTAAATGTTATATGGCCAGTTTGGATGAGTATTATAAGTAAATGAGCTCAAACCAGTTAACGAAATGGAAGAAAACAGAGTGTGTGCTCAAAATAATTTTGCTCCCAAAGGTCCATAAGGAACCATTTAGTATATCAGAAGTATTCATTTACTATGTGGTATCTCCCTGGTCAAAGAATTGATACTTTTTCACATAGATTCACTCAGTCTTGTCTTTCCACTATGTTAGAGGTTTTAAACCCCACCGAAAAGTTCAATAGATACAATATAGGGAATATGATTCATGTATTTGGATGAAAAAAAGATCATATGCTTATTTTCACTAACAATTAGCTAAAAGTTTAAATTTCCCTTTATTAAGAATGCAGACAACAAATCACAGTAGTATTTGTTGTACTTGTGACCGACAGAAATAATATATATTTTGAAATATTGTTACACTCATCACTAACTCCAAAATTATAGTACCTGTTAGAAGTAATGCCGCATCCCATTACTATTACTATTCATGTATTACTATTTTAGAGATTTTAAAATATTTTGATGGCACTATTTCAATTTAGTTTATTTCCTTTACAATCCTATGCATTTATTTTGTGCATTAATAACATTCTGGCCGGGCACGGTGGCTCACACCTGTAATCCCAGCACTTTGGGAGGCCAAGGCGGGTGGATCACCTGAGGTTAGGAGTTCAAGACCATCCTGGCCAACATGGGGAAATCCCAACTCTACTAAAAATACAAAAACTAGCTGGGCATGGTGGTGTGTGCCTGTAATCCCAGCTACTCGCGGGGCTGAGGCAGGAGAATCGCTTGAACCCGGGAGGTGGAGGTTGCAGTGAGTCGAGATCACCACTGCACTCAAGCCTGGGCAACAGAGCGAGACTCCATCTCAAAAAAAAAAAAAATCTAAGACTTTTGAGTTCACATGCTTAATTTTTTTTTTTTTAATTCTGAGACTGGATCCACGAACTTCGCCAGATTGGAAAAGGGGTCCATGGCACAAAAAGTATTAAGAACCTCTCATTTTCAATTTGGCACATAAGATAAGGGAAACGTAGGGAGACAAGAAACTCTATAGCTTAAAATTAACTTTTATGTTAAAGTTTTGTTTCTGTTGGTCTTTATTTTTAATTCTGGAAGAGCAATCATCCTAAATTAAGCCAATCAAATACATATTGCTTTAAGCACTAATTAACACCTTCTTCTTCTACCTTTTATTAGTTCTAAGAAATGTTCTTTGGTTTAAAATTTTCCACTAATAATGGAAAAAGTATGAAATTTCTTATCCTTATTTAACCATTTTAAAATTAACTCCAATATGTACTACATTATGACAGAGCAGATTTTACATCGCCCTGACAGTAAAGTATACTGCATTCTTGGTCAGATGAATGTAATGAGCTTCTTGTAATCCTGGCTAATTGATATAGGAATGGGGGAAGGATTTGCAAGATCAATAGCCGTATACCAAGTGCCAGAGACAAGAATGACTGGCTCTAGTAAAAAAGAACACATCTAGAAGAGTATCTCCAATCAGAATTGCAACCTGATTAAATTTAAAACAGAGCATTATGGTTTCTAACGCCTATTCTCCTTTGCGCAAGGCAAGTAGGTGAGTAAAATGAGTATGTGCTAAAAATCTCTTTTAAAATTTTTAAGTATTTAATAGCAGCGGTAATCTCTGACATTTCTCTAGTGAATTTACTGCTTTTGATTTGCTCTCCTGGATGGGAGAACAGTTCCAGGGCTTTCCACTTGTCCCCTTCTACCACAATATCCTTCATTCCATGGTTCAGAAAGCCAATATGGACATTCTGCAAGCTACAGAGGATATCTAGTCAAGGTAAGCATTGAAGAACTGGACAATGATCACAAGGTAGATAAACAAACTCCCTGGAACTACAGTAAGAGTAATTCAAGTTACAAAGAAAGAAAAAGGAAAAGAACATGAGAGAAGGGAAAGAAAGAAGGAAGGAAAGAAGGAAGGAAGAAAGGCAGGCAGGCAGGGAGGGAGGGATCATTTGGTCCCCATAAGGTCACACTTTGACAAGAACAATGGTCAAGCATTTTGGGTCTCCCCTCCCTGCCAAGGATTAGTGTCAAGTAAGAGCCATGTATGGTAATCCCTGAAATAACTAAGAATTTCCCTTTCCACAATGTACAATCATCCTGGTAAATGACTGAGATCACACTGGGGACAACTTGAAGAAAGATTTTTGGTATGTATTTGTAGCAATACTCATGCTTTATCTTCAGAGGGATACAGTTGCCCTCATTTCATTTAAGGGCTGTGGCTCTGTGAACTGGCTCCGGTCTAGAAACTGAGTGAGAGGCCATGATGTTGTATCAGGGTGAGGAAATGAGTTTTCTGCTCACGACATCAATTATGTTTCTGTACCCTAGAGTCTGTATTTTAGTGATATTTCAGCCACCATCAAAAATTAAAAGTTTGGTGTCACAATAGTCTGATTGTCACTCTGGCTCTTCCACCCATTATCGCAATTGTACTCACTTTGCTTCCAGTGATTACACTGGGACACTCAGCCTCTGCCACTCCAGAATTCCATCATTCCATTAAAATGAGAGAGTCTATTTTGAAAGTAGCACCTAATATCACATCCAAGGCAATCAGAATACAGCCTTCCCAGATTTCTTCAAGGACACTGATGTTCCCTTCACCAATGCATTTCTCAATATTTCCATGAGGAAAGCATTTGTGGGTCACACATGATAAACCCACTGCAACATTCCTATCTCCCTAAGGCTTTGGGATATTTTCATGCAAGACTGAAGTCACTATGGCCATTACAGACTCTTCAAGAAGAGGGAATTTAATCTCCTTAGAGAAAGAAGAAGAGGTTGGTTCCACAATAAAGCACTGGGGAAACTGCAGATGAAGCATAGAGGAAACTGGAGTTCAAGGCTCTGAGATTTAGGTGAGTTCACTCACATAAATATATTCATTTCAATTATCATGATCCATGTCTACCATTCATGTCTTATCTTCCATATAAGAAAGCTAGTGAGGCTGTGAATTCAACTTGTACTGTGATTCTATAATTCTCAGAACTGAAGTTTGGTTCTTATTTTCAGCTGCATCATTACTGCAATGATAAAAGACAAGACAATTTGTGTTGGCAGTGGGAGTGGGGAGGGGATCATAGATCTCTGTTTACGTGACTATCCTTGAACTGAGAGAAGTCCTGAACCCATAATTTCCTTTCTATAAACCTTCTAGTGTAGTCAAAAACAGCCAACAGGAGTCATTATTCAATCCATAACAGTCAATTACAACTTCCATTTGATTTCCCAAAACTTTGACTTTAGTAAACACTTCATTTCTGATAAGAAAGGTGATACATTAAGTAACTGAGCTGACCCTGCATGGAACGGCAATTTTCCACTGGCAATGATATACTATTGTGTTCAATTGCAGTATGGTCAGATAACCAATCTCAAATTCTCATCTTTGAAATTCTGTCTCCTAAAACCACTCCTGGTTATTGTTCACTAAAGAAAGCAGAAACTACTATAGACATTTCCAGAATAGGAAATTTAATACCAGAAACTGATTATACAGTTGTTGAAGGGGTTAGAAAAAAAAGGAAGAAATAAATACTTGAAGGCACAAAACAAAAACAGGGTTTCAAACCAAAGTGAGGGTGCTACCCCACTAGGCTGGAGCCCACAAGCCTGCAGTAATTGCTGAGCTCCTGGAAAAACTTCTACAGGTGCCACTGGGAATGCTCTGTTATTGCTCAACAGAGCCTATACTGTCCAGCAGCAGGAGTACTGCTACTGCTATTCAAGATGCCAACACTAATGCTTCTGGAACTCACAGCCACCAGAGGTCACCTTCAGTATCCTCTTCTGCATGCTGAAGTACACCATCCAATAAAAGGAAATAAATAGCTGCTTCTTCTCTCCTACCTTACAATCTTTCAAGATTGCCTTGCTTTGGCTGTACCTAATAGAAAACTTGCTAGCAATGGAATCTGGCATGTGTGGTTCACAGGTTTTATATCTTTGCAGTAGAGTGTGGAAGGGCAGATATATAGATAAGAGATAACAGCACTAACTGTCACAAAACCAAACAATAATGGAAAAACAGAATGTGATGCATTTTATCTTCTAACCATTTATAAAATAAATTAAATATATGTTTTATGGTATAATAATAACTGTAAAGAAAACCAAATACTACACAAGCACTCAAAATGCCATTCTCAATCTAATCTTAACTTTCTTAATAATCAACAAATACTTACTGTGTCTATGTTCCTGACATTGTGACAAATCCCAGAGTTACAGATGTAAAATCAACTATAGGAGTTTTTACTCTCGTCAGGAAATAGAATCAGAGGAAACAGACAAAATACAGTAAATAATAACTAGACTATGTGTATCAGGTATACAGGAGAGCCAACTACAACAGCCAAGAAGGGTCATAGATGGTGTATAATTTGGATATTTGTCCAATCCAAATTTCATGTTGAACTGCAATCCCCAGCACTGGAGGTGGGGCCTGGTGGGAGGTGTTTGGATCCCAGGGGTGTATGTTTAATGGCTTGGTGCTGTCTTTGTGATAGTGAGTTCTCGCAAGATCTAGTCATTTGAAAGAGTGTGGCACTTTCTGCCCTCCACTCTCTGTCTAGCTCCTGCTTTTGCTGTGTGAAGTGCCTGTTCCCGCTTTGCCTTCCACCATGAGTAAAAGCTCCCTGAGGCCTCCCTAGAAGCAGATGCTGCTATGCTTCCTGTACATCCTGAAGAACTGAGCCAATTAAACCTCTCATCTTATAAATTGCCCAGTTTCAGGTATTTCTCTATAGCAATGTGAGAATAGCCTAATACAGGCGGCTTCAGGGAAGTGACTTGGGGAAAAACTAGGGCTTCTAAAGAATACAAGAAAAAATAATATTTCAGATCAGAAAAACAGCATGTATGGAGGCATACAGACCTGACAAAGCATAAGATGTCCTGGAAAGTAGAATTGTATATAATTTGAAATATAGCAAATGAGGAGATAATCAGGAATATGCCGAAGAAAAGGTTAGACAGGCAAAAGGTGAGCAAAGTATGATTCTATTAATATATTGCTCATACAATTGATTGAATGATGTTGCATTTGAAATTTTTTAATTTAAATTTTAGAAAGATAATTGCCAGAGGAATGGAGGATTGACTAGAGTGAATAAGATGAGGAAAATAAGATCATTTAGAAAGCTGTTCTAGTATAGGATAATAAAACTGAAGTAATGCAATAACTACTGAAGTAATACAATAAACTGAAGTAATTCCCACTTGTCTAGGAAAAAGCTAGTTCTCCTCCTCCTTCTCTATGCAAGTTCCCCAGCTTCTAATCAATCTATCAGTTAAGCCCACTTTAATAACTATTAATATGTTTTCAATGTCCATTTTAATAACTGTGTTTTCTACAAGATTAAAGAAATAAAATTATCCTATAGATTTTTCTAAACAAATAGTGGAGACCTATGGAATATAATTGCAAGGGTAGTAAAAATGTAACTTAAATTAAGCTGTGAAATATATTCTATTTTTTGTCTGCTATTTTGTCATGACTGTTTGACAGAAAATCTACCCTTTTAATATGCCAAATTCACACATATTAATTAGGAGAACTAGAAGTTAACCAAAGTAAATCGGGAGGAAAATATTTTAAAAGTATACGTGCATATCTCACCCAAAGAAAAATTCCGATTTAATTCTCACTTCTTTTAAGGTGGCCCTCCCCCAGAATATCGTTGACTTTTTAAAACATATCATAAGGCAAACATTTGTGACGCTATCACAGTCCATCTTATACAACCAACCAGGAAAAATATCCTCTTTAATCAAAATCAGTAATTTTGCGTTAAGCTTCTTTTATTGATATGAAAAATTTGGGCAGTCCTGCAGAGAGAAGTCCAAATAACACAGGAAACTAGCCCTGACAGGTGGTAAGACAATAGGAAGAAACTAGTATTTCCTCAGGATCTTGCTTATACATATGGTACTTATGATACTTTACTAAAAAGTATTTATCTGAATCCTTCAGTAGCCTATGAGTCCCTTAATGGCAGGAAATGACTGAAAAAAAAAACAAATAAATAAAGTGAAGACAGAAACGACATGGATTTCTAAAAATATTTCTGATGCTTCTGCATTTCTTAAAAATTTACGTGGATATTTTCCAGGATGGACAATTATCTGTGCACACAATGCAATTTGCTCTTCCAAATCCTTTCTACCACAGCTTCAGACTTAAGCTCTATTTAATGTAAACCAATCATAGTAATACCTTCCTCACCGCCACGTAGTCTTTCAGTAATGAATGAGACTACGTCCATTTAAGCAAACAACACACAAGGAAACATTTCCTAGTGGCTTCTTAAAAAAAAAAAAAAGGCTTCATTTTTCAACTAATAAAAAGGTGAGTATTACAGATAATAACTACATAGGAATGTAAAAAAAAACTTACTCTGGCTATGGAAGTCTGAAAAGACTTCATGTAAGAGATAAGGCTTAAACCACACCTGAACAACAGGAAAGTACAGTTATGCATCACTTAATGATGGAAACACATTCTGAGAAAAGCATATAGGCAATTTCATAATTGTGCGAACATCACAGGGTATACTTACACAAACATAGATGGTATGGCCGACTACCCCTAGCTTATGGCTCCTAGACTACAATCCTGTACAGCATGTAACTGCACTGAATTCCATAGGCAATTGTAGCACAATGATATTTGTGTATCTAAACATAAAAAAGGTACAGTAAAAACATGGTATTATCCTCTTATGGGAAGACCATCAAAAACACAGTCTATCACTGACATTATGCAGTGGCACATGGCTGTATCTGAGAGTAGACAGGAATTACAACTGGGTGGATGGTATAAAGAAAGGCATAAGAAGCATAAAGAGTGGAGGATGTTAGATGTATTCAAAGCACAAGCCAGCCACCCCAAGTAAAAGACTCATAGACAAAGAAAGAACATGCAGGAAACAAAAGTCGAAAAAAGGGCCTGAAAACCAGAATATATTTCATTATGTTAAGAGCCAACAAAGTAAAATTCTTAGTTATGATCTAAATGTATGATTTAGGGATGAATACATAGTTAGGGAGAAAAGAAAAATTATTTAGCCATGAATAAATTAATCCAGGTTCTTATTCATCAAGATTCCATTTTGAAGAGGGCTGCCGCTTAGGAACACTCAAGCTACGAGGGCCATAAATTTAACACACACATTTCTTTATGAAGGAGTAGAGAGAATAAACAAATTTTTTAAAAAGTAAAGGGAGAAAAGGGAAAATAAAGTAATATGCAAGGACATCCGATAGTCAAAATGTATTATCTCATAAATTTATATGCTTCAGTAAAAAAATTATCATATTTACAATCAAAAAAGGCCATTTGTAAAGAATCTCACATATATTATCTCTGTCAAATCTCACAACAACCCAATGAGAGAGATATTGTTGGCTCCTTTTTTTTTTCTTTTTTTTTTTTTTTTTTTTTTTGAGATGGAGTCTCGCTATGTCGCCAGACTGGAGTGCAGTGGCGAGATCTCGGCTCACTGCAAGCTCCGCCTCCCGAGTTCAAGTGATTCTCCTGCCTCAGTCTCTCAAGTAGCTGGGATTACAGGCACGTGCAACCACGCCCAACTAATTTTTGTATTTTTAGTAGAGACGGGGTTTCACCATGTTGGCCAGAATGGTCTCGATCTCCTGACCTCGTGATCCGCCCGCCTCAGCCTCCCAAAGTGCTGGGATTGCAGGCATGATTTTTGGCTCGTTTGTACAGACATGAAAGTGTCTCAACGTGGTTAAGTGAGTTTGGAAGAGCCAGATTATTATCCAGGCCTCTGACTTTACATCCTGTACCCACTCAGGCCTACCTCATTTCATTCAAGAGATAAGTACAACACAAAGTTCAACAACATCTGAAGCCATTCTGAACTAGAAATAAATGAAGATTCTAATTGTCAGTATATCATTATTCAGACATAATGTAGAAACAAAGGATTTTGCCAAGCTTAATATGGTTTGGCTGAATGCAAGATTTATATATTAAGATCCAACATTATATGGGCAAAGAAATACTACCTGACTCTCTGGAAATTGAGGTTTATCAATCAGACTCCCTAGATATTCAGTATTTTGAAGATATAATAATACTGAATCAGAGACAGAAAAAAACTAGTAATAAAATACTCAAAGGTCTAAAAATTAAAGGCAAATTTTCTTAGCAAAGAGTACATGGCATTCTATTTAAAAATCAACAATTTGTCTTCATTCCCCAGATCATAAACCCAAGGAGACCATTATAAGGCTGCTACAAACAATCTGTCAGTTTGATTTCACTTGGTTAGTGAGGGTGTTGATTTTGTTGTTGAACTGCTTAAGAAAAATTTAAGATGCTTAAAGAAAGTTCTTTAAACATATTAATAATAAGCTTTTCAAAGTCTGTGAATTTAATATTTCATTATTTCCTTGAACCTGTTAGAGTTAAGTGAAACTTTGAAAATTCCAGGAAAGGTTCAATAAAATTTGTTATAGATTCTACATGGTCTCATTTTCCTTTACTTAAGAAAAAATACCAAATAGGCTGTTATATTTTGAAATCTACATTTTTTCAATCTGCCCTTTAATGAGCACCAATTATGGTAAATAAATATTAACAGAATATAACCACTTACTTATAATGCAATCCTTATAATGTTATATTTATCCAAGCCATGAAGGATTAGGGAAGTAAAAACTACACTAGCTTATGATTTAGCAGTTTTATTTTCCAATATAGGTCAGAATCTAAAAAGTTAAAGAGTGAAGGAGGGCCACGGGGCCTTTAAGGAGCCCAAATATCAGTGTAAATGAAAGGGTGATTGATTCTCTCCTCAAAGCAGATGGCGTCCTTTCCCCAGATGCCTGGTTAATACAGATGTGGAAGCCAATGGAGAACTCAGGTTCCTTACAAAGAACAGAAAAGGGGTTGAGCACACAAACAATTCAAGAGTTCAAGGGCTGGTGGTGAAATCTGGTAGTAACAGATTGCAGACACATACAGATGTCTAAAGGAAACAGCAAAAGGAAGATCTGGGAAGCAACTCCCCAGGAAAAGATTTTACCATAGAAATCATCATCATCATTAAGAAGCCTCAGATCAGATGTAACCTATAGCAGATCTGAACATGACTAAACCCTAGACAAAAGTAATTAATTCCAAAACAGTGGTATGGATCAATTCAAATGAGAAATTGATTTTCTAGTTCTGAGGTGCAATGGCAAACTTGTAAGTCAAATGATATCCTAGAAGACAGCACTTTTTAAAGACAATACCTTACCAAGCCACTTGAAGACGGAATAACTATACCATAATGAAGAAAAATTTCTATTACTTAATAGATTCTTTTAAAAATATTTTAGATACTAAATTAGGACTATTACATAATTGGTATTATCTATATTTCAACTATGGAAGTAACAGTTCTTCATTTCAATTAACAAGCTAATATACTGTCTATTCATCATGATTCGACCATTAGCCAGACTTTGCTGAATAATTCTAAGATTAGCCTGCCATTTAGCCACAAGTTAGCCAACTATATAGATAAGTGAACTATTTTGCTATCATTACCTTAAATGTTGTCCACACATCACAATGACCAATAAGAAAACATCCCTGTCCTACCATCCTGGTAATCAGAAAATCACCATGTGGCTTAATGTAAGGCTAAGTAAGCGTTACCAAATATGTCTGTAGGAGGGCAAGTCTGAGGGCACGATTACACTTTCAAGACTTTGTGAGGAATCATTTGTAATCTTGTCACACTCAAAAAAAGTGCTGAGAGCATTCTTTTTTCACCCTCACATCATCCAGAGAACTGTTCAGCAATATAAAGCTGTGACCTTGATGTTCTATATAGCTTAAAGACCATAGTTAAAGTCCTCATAAGCACTAAAAGTCATCTCTGCACAGGAAGTAGAATATCCTTCTACACTAATGTGCTACATATTATAGATTTCTCCAATATGTTCCAAATATAATATAATGTTATTTCCAAAACCGTAAAAAAAATTCATAGTTTAGCAGATCTAAGTAGAACTCCTTTTGGCTGGTGAGATGGTGGGAAGAGATTAGGGTAGAAAGTGGAAGAAGCAGAGTCATAAGAGAATAGTAATCAGTGAACTACCAAAATTTTCATCATTCAAAATTTTTACAAATCAAAATTTTAGCTTTAAATCAATTTTATATGTTTGGTTTCAAAGATCAGCCCTCAATAACAACCCTATAATCTGTTTTAATACAGAAGGCTATATTCTATAGCGATAAGTTCTATTTTAGAAAAGAAGCAATTTAAACCTAAGTTTTTTTAGAATGTTAGCATAACATATAGTATGAAACAGGAAACAAACAGATTAAAGGAAGACCAGAACATTGGCTGAAAATACACCTTCAGGGCCCATTTCCAGGTAATGCCCAAGGCCTCCTAGGGGATAACTAATAGTTAATATTTCGGCTGCCACATTCCATGGGAGGTCGTAACAATGACTTTATATAAAAATTATTTCTATTTTTCTCTTTTATTTTTAACTTAGTACTATTAACTGGAGCTCTTTCTTCCCTTGTTAACTATTCATTACTGTATATTTCTGTGCATTAAAACCACTTTAAAAAAAATCTTCATCCCCACATCAGCCTCCATCGTGGGAAGATATATATACACAGAAAGAGAGGAAAAGTCATTGATCCCCAGCCATAAGTCAAGTGAGGCTTCAACAATAGATCATACCCAGGCTGCACACTGTTAGGTCACAGAACATGTGGTCACACTGTCCTACCAAGACAGAAGCTAATTCTATGAAATCCCAAACTACACCTTCTTGTGTTTCTCCATTCACCTCAGTCAATGGCTTCACCACCATCCATCCACCTTCTTACTCAAATCAGAAGCTGAGGAGCCACTCTGCCTCTTCCCATTCTTACAGTCCAAATTCTTGTTCACTCATGCAACTATTCATTTCTCTCTCACTTCCTCAGCATTTGCTTCAGCCCATATAATTTCTGACCTAGGTGATTTTATCAGTTTCCTAACTGGTTTCCCTTTCTCTGGCCTACAACCCATAAATTCTAAAACACAATCTGAATAATCTTTCTAAAACATTTTAGGAACAACCCACTACCCTCAGATCAAGTCCAAACTCTTTAACACTGTTTACAAGGCCCTTGATAATCTGACTGGTTGCTGCTCACACTGAACTCTTACCACTCCCACTGTGGTACCCAACAATGCCAAACAATTTGAAATTACTCAGTTACTCATATTCTCTCAGTACTAGGCACCACCATTCCTCATCCAGAACACTAAAGCAATTGAGTTTGATTCAGGTGTAATCCTCAAGAAAACATTGTTAGACTTCTCCAGTTTCTCCAGGTGACACATCTGTGTGCTCTGAAAGCACCCTATGCTTATAGTTATCATACCATACAGTACTGTTTACTTTGTTCTTCCTCCCCCAATCACTGATTATTAGATCCTTAAAGTACAAGCAACTTATTCATATTTGTATCATAATGACTAGAATAGTACTTGGAACAAAGGAGACACTCACTAAATGTTTGCTGAATTAATGAATAAAGATATAAATGAAAGGCGGTATGTGTTCCATGTTTTCTTCAAGAAAATATGGCCACCAAAATGTGTATGAACTAAGTATTCTCCAATCTGCCCAATGGAAAAATAAATAAATAACAGCTAAGAGTTTGTCATAAATTTCAGGGCAATCCTAATGAATCTAGGAAAGTCAATTGATCAAGAGGCTACATCATGGCCTTTTGATTTGACTTACCCTTATTTGCTCCTACGATAATACCAAAAAAGCATCTGTCCATACAGTGAGAATGTAAGTCAACACACAATTGGCTCAGGGTAAGCAGATTACAACTCTATTAAAATAAAAGAATTATAATCAAAATCCTGCTTCCGTATATGATTTAATCATTGCACACTGATTAAATAAATGACAATAATTATAAAGAAAAATCTCCATCCATTTTGAGTGCTCCTGAGAAGCTAGAGACTACTCAGATCTCTGATTTGAGGTAATAT
The DNA here is from genome assembly GCF_000001405.40 of Homo sapiens. Classification (NCBI taxonomy): domain Eukaryota; kingdom Metazoa; phylum Chordata; class Mammalia; order Primates; family Hominidae; genus Homo; species Homo sapiens. The sequence continues at coordinate 111,321,458 of NC_000007.14, forward strand.
TCTCAATGTCTCAAATTAAATGCAAATATTCTCATGGAAAAAAAACTACAACAATCTTTTTTTTTCTCTAAATTATTAATATTTATCTTTGAGGTTGAGATTCTCAGGTTTTTGTAGTACATCATGGGAGTGATATAAAAGGAGTCCTTAACTGCAAATCAAAATTTTAGCCTTAAATCCAAAGCTTGCTTTACTATATAGCTATGCTCTAAATCACCAAATTCAGAAATCCTTTAAAATAGACACTTGAATGTGGTTTCAATGTAAGCACTCTCTTAGCAGACTCACTCTTCAAAGTCCAAAATGAAAGAAAAATTATATGCTCAGCAGTTTATTTAATTAAAAGGAATGGAACTACAGAGTGATAAGTATAGAAAAGTTCAGCATGTCTTTTCAAAGGACTGTAAAAAAAACTTCCAACACTTTACTTATATTCTTGCCCTTGTGACTAAGTTATGGACAATGAAACACCTTGAGTTATGATACAAATCCTTAAACCTAAAATGCCATATGTTAAAACTCAAATTATGTTAAAGCCCATAACTATTTTAAAACCCTGTGTATAATGTGATCTACTGCATTCACAGTACTTAAAGTACTTTCATTTTTGAACTTTTATAATTTCTGCAAGAGAAAACAATGCCAAGAGACATCCCTACAGTAATTAATGTAAGATAACAGCTTTGAATTTACAGTTATTGGTAATTTAATTAGTCTTGAACATAGCCACTATAAGACTTGATAACTACTAAACAATTATTAATGAATAAAAGGCTGGCCCCCAGATTCTTTTATGCCAGACCCATGGAAATAGTATGTGCCAGATAAATAGATTCTCAATAAATATTTATTGAGGTCGAATTGACCCCATGACTGGTTAGATGCAGAATTTTAGTTCACATCATATAGACATTCTGAAACTGAATTTAACACAAGCATAATATCAGCATAATATTATACTGAATTGTACAGACAGAACCATGAGTCACTTTCTGCTCCAAATCAATGAAATGTTGAAGTAGAAGGAACAGCATAAGAATTCTCCATTATGTAGCTAAGTTTGAAACAATGGTAGAGAAATCTCCAGGTCCCAAAAAATGAAAAAGAAATTCGATATCTGGGTGGTAGAAGGAACTGAATTTTAAAAAAAATTAGAAATATACTAATATTAGTAATATTAATACTAATATACAAATACATTTAATAGTGGTGTTCTCAGATCACGACGCAAAATCTCCCCAAGAAACCTACTAATAATGAATAATAATTTACATGAGAAAAAGACCTTTTCACCTGCAAATTAAAAAGCAGGTTAACATTTATGGGTCATGGTAAAAGCACTTCTCCAAAGAAAATCCATAGCATTAAATACTTACATATTTTTTAAAGAAATAAAATGAGGAATGCATCTATATTTTATATCAAAGCCTACGTCTCCCAGCTTTGTTCATAGCATTAAATACTTACATAATTTTTTTTTTACAAAAGTAAATAAAATGGTGAATGCACCTTTGTTTTACACGGACGGCTGCATCTCCCACATTTGCAAACTCTTCACTGTAATAAACTCTCTTTCTTCAAAATGAAAAAAAGAAAGCAAATAAAATGACTTAAACATTTAATTTGAAAAGCTAGAAAAAGACTGACAACAGAAAACAAAAGCAGAAGGAAATTAATAAAAATAAAAATGAAGTCAGAAAAACAGCAAAATTAATAAACAGATCAAAAAGCTGGTTCTTTCAGGCAACCTACAGAACAGGAGAAAATTTCTGCAATCTACTCATCTGACAAAGGGCTAATATCCAGAATCTACAATGAACTCAAACAAATTTACAAGAAGAAAACAAAAAACCCCATCAAAAAGTGGGCAAAGGATATGAACAGACACTTCTCAAAAGAAGTCATTTATGCAGCCAAAAGGCACATGAAAAAATGCTCATCATCACCAGCCATCAGAGAAATGCAAATCAAAACCCCAATGAGATACCATCTCACACCAGTTAGAATGACAATCATTAAAAAGTCAGGAAACAAAAGCTGCTGGAGAAGATATGGAGAAATAGGAACACTTTTACACTGTTGGTAGGACTGTAAACTAGTTCAACCATTGTGGAAGTCAGTGTGGCGATTCCTCAGGGATCTAGAACTAGAAATACCATTTCACCCAGCCATCCCATTACTGGGTATATACCCAAAGGACTATAAAACATGCTTCTATAAAGACACATCCACGCATATGTTTATTGCGGCACTATTCACAACAGCAAAGATTTGGAACCAACTCAAATGTCCAACAATGATAGACTGGATAAAGAAAATGTGGCACATATACACCATGGAATACTATGCAGCCATAAAAAATGATGAGTTCATGTCCTTTGTAGGGACATGGATGAAGCTGGAAACCATCATTCTCAGCAAACTGTCACAAGGACAAAAAACCAAACACTGCATGTTCTCACTCACAGGTGGGAAATGAACAATGAGAACACAGGGACACAGGAAGGGGAACATCACACACCGGGACCTGTTGTGGGGTGGTGGGAGTGGGGAGGGATAGCATTAGGAGATACACCTAATGTTAAATGATGAGTTAATGGGTGCAGAACACCAACATGGCACATGTATACATATGTAATTAACCTGCACATTGTGCACATATACCCTAAAACTTAAAGTACAATAAAATAAAAAAAGCTGGTTCTTTGAAACACTCAACAAAATAGAAAAATTACTAGCCAACCTAATAAATAAAAAGGTGGGGGAGATTAGGGTGAAAGCCCAAAAACACAAAGTGAAAAATAACAAAGAAGAAATAGTCATCAAAAGAGATGAACTGAAAGAGAAAATGAAGCACAAAGAGGAAAAGAAATCTATTGTATATGCAAATAAATCTGAAACATAGGTAAAATAAAATTTCATTTGGCAAAACTGACCATAATAGAGAGAGAATGCATTAAGGAAATGCCTAAAAAGGGAAGTAAAACTAATTAGTCAACTACAGACCATAATTCATCAGAGGTTCCTTAAATTAAGTTGAGGCAAGTCACTCTTTTTCAAGTTGAGAAAAGATGCTATAAAACATGAAGGCATGTTTGAGAAAACCAGTAAATATTTTTAACAATAGTTCCTAGAGTCAAATAAAAAATTCATTCAAAATCATGTGTAATATAATGTTTAAGTGTAATATATTCAAATGAGAAATTCCAATACTATATTCCCTAACAAAGGGAAAAAAATAAATTATAGCTAAAAAATAAATATTCAATATCAACCAATATCAACAACAATCTGTTTATTGACAAAATGTATTTTTAGTTTTTAAAAAACAATAAAAGGTAAATAAACTAAAATTCAAAGTGCAAACAATAACACACCAAAGATTTTTTTTGAATACTGAAAATCTAGGGGAACAACTGCTCAACATTTGGTTGCTTCACAATCTGTTAATTTTTTTAATCAAATATGACTAAGATAAGTCTGCCACATCCATAAAAACATTAACTGAAATTAATATGCAAATTATGGTGCCTGTGTGGGATGCCATTTCATTAATTTCAATTCACTGACATAATTGTGTTCTCTGAATTTATGAGATTTGCAAATGCCATCTCATAGAGAATGCAATGTTCAGTGAATGTTATTTTACTAGCATAAAACCCAATAATAGGTTAATCCACAAAAAAGAAATATAAGATTTTAGTTACAAAATAATATATGTTTTCATAGCTGTATATTCTTTGAGCTAATTCTTAGAGCTTTTTAAAATAATGTTTAACTTTTAATATAACACTGATTAATGGTAGCAATCTTGGAAAGTTCAAAAAGGTATATAAAATGAGAACCTTTTAAAGATTAGCTATCTTTAAATTATAAATAATAACAGTATTTGGTATATTTTGCTTCAATCTTCTTGTATGCAGATAAGTACAAATGTGAAAGCGCGCAAAATAAATATAATGTTTTAATTCCATTTTTTCCACTTAATATAGCTATAGATATTTTACCATATTAGTAAATGAATTCCAAAATATAATTTTAAATGAATGTATATTAAGATCATCATGTGGACCTACCAAAATATTTTTAATCTTTCCATTATTTTTTGGAGTTTAGGTTTTTTTAGTGTTTTAATAGTATAAATCCTTCTGTAATCGAGCCCTTCATGTAATTATTTGTGTCTCTGATTATTTCCTTAACAAAAAAATCCTTGAAGTGAAATTCCTGAATCAAAGGATGTAAATTTTAATATATCATCTAAATACCTTTCAAAAATATTGAAACTTTACATTCCGACCACGAGTATATAACTTCTATTCCCTTGACCCCTTTTCCATACTACATTCTATCTTTTGGCATCATCAGTGTAGTAGATCAAAATGGCATCTCACAGTTGATTCATTTGCATTTCTTTATTAGAGAGGTTGAACCCCTCATGAAATTTTACTGTAGTAATAATGTTCTGGAATTTTAATTTAAATTATAATGTAGTTTTGCCTATAACTGAATTGTGAGCAACATTGCTATTTATAATTTATTACTGCTTGAAGTTGCATACTGTAAAACATGCTGTGTTTAAATTATGTACAGTATTTTTTTATGGTTAGATTTCATAAAATCTCCTAAACCAAACCTGAGTAAATTTCTGCTCTCTTTACTTGCTATTACTTTCAGGTCTATAAAGATATAAAGAAAATTACACTTAATCGAATTTTATATATTTTAGGTATTTTGAAGGCAATTAGTTCATCATAATACCTCAATTGAGATATAAATTATGCATTTATAAGACTGAGATTGCCAAATAAAAATTAAGATGCTTAGCAAATAATGAATTTGATTAAATTTTTAAAATTTTCTCAAAACTACAAAAAAGTTTTTGATCAATACCAAAGATTATAATTGAAATATCTTTCCATCTCAGATATTAAAGTTACAATAATTCCAAAATTATGGGCATGCATTCTCCCTCCATAAGTGAAAGCTGTACAATGCCTCAATTCTCAGTTGTCTCTTAAACAATTCCATTCAGAAATCTTCTTCAGCTGCTAACATATTCCTCATTAAGATTCCTACTTCTCATAAACATTTCTCCAAAGAAGACATAAAAATGGCCAATAGGAATATGCAAAGATGGTCAAGATCACTAATCATCAGAAATATGCAATGAAAACCGCAAGGATATATCAATTCACACCTGCTAGGATGGCTGTTACCAAACAAACAACAACAAAAGAAAAACAAGTACAGGGAACACTGGAAAAACTGGAACCCTTATGCACTGTTGGTGGGAAATGCAACAGCTCTGGAAGCAGTATGGAGGTTCCACCCAAATTATAAAAAGAACTACCATTTCTTGGAGCAATCCCATTTTCAGGTATTATCCAAAATAAATTTTGGTTTTTGGTATTTCAAAATAACTGAAATCAGGATCTCAAAGAAGTATTTGTATTCCCATGTTCACTGCAGCACTATTCACAATAGCCAAGATATGGAATCAACCTAAGTGTCCATCAATAGATGAAAGGATAAGGAAAACGTAGTACATTTACATACTCTAGAATATTATTCAGCTTCTAAAAAGAAGGGAATCCTGGCATATGGATGGGGAAAAAGGGGAATCCTGCCAGCATAGATAAACCTGGAAAACACTGTGCTACATGAAATAGGCCAGTCACAGAAGCGCAAATACTGCATACATTCTACTTATATGAAGTATCTAAAATAGTTTAATTCATAAAGGCAAAAAGGGAATGGTGGTGGTCAGGGGCTTGGGAGAGGGAAAAATGAGAAGTTGCTGTCCAACTGGTATAAAGTTTCAGTTAAGCAAGATAATAATTCTTAAAATTCATGTAAGAGAAAATATTATCAAAATAGAATGCCTCATTTAACCTGCTTTATGAGTGTTCACTCACATAGATCATTATATATAAAAAGTGTCACTGTAACTAAATAATTTCTACAATTTCATTAACATGTACTCAACTCCCTTTGCTGCATGTCTCTATCATAGCTGTTCCTGCGAGGTACTGTAACCCACCATTCATTCATCCATGTACTTCTTACACTTCAAAAGACTGAACTATTTCTTTTGTAGCACTTGGCATGAGCAAATACATAATATATTAATAAATAAAAATAAATATAGGAAAATTCAGCTCACAAATGTGCTATTTGTGCATGAAAAGGAAAAATATTTTTAACTATTTTCAGAAATAAGTTAGAGGCTAGAAAGTAATCTTATGGTATATTAATAATTTAAAAGTCATCATCAAATCCTGTGGTTTGGCCAAAATAAATGCAGAAGTAGAAAGAAAGAGAGCCATAAATTGCTTAAGGTCAGAAATGCAAGCTGAAAACATAGTGTACATAATACAAGAAATTCTTAATTCTCCAGATTTCTATGTGTCAAAAGGCTCCTGATTTCAGTGTGGAAATGAGGGTTTTAACTACATACCTGAATCACCTGTTTGGAAAATAGGTACGTATAGTAGATATATAATATATAAGAATACATATGAGAATAAAGTATTATAAAGCAGCATAACCACCCACATTTCACCATCTTTTCATCATTAAACTAAAAAATATTTTTACAAAACCACATGACCTCTCAGTCATAATAGAACTAATGAAACTACAAAGATCCAATCTTACTCAGAGAACTTGTACGATTTTTGAAAACAGCACCATTAAAACAGCTCTCTCAGAGTATTCTCCTATAAGCTCTTAAAAGTTATTTTGAAAACTGTCAATACAGCTGGGGTTCTTTTCCACCCAGTGGCAGGTTACAAAGGAATATTAAAGATGTTTCAAAAACTGATATAATTCAGGAAAAATAATTTAAACAATATGACTGCAATTATGACATATTACAATGAAATACATGGCAGCTAGAACTAAATAGGAGCCCACAGAATGATACTTAGAAATGCATTTACATGGTTACTGAGTTTTCCCCAGTAGAAAAGCAACTATCCCTTCTTGCTCCTTATTGGTACAAAAATTATTTCAGGGCCCACAAATTCTAAAAGCATTACAAAGTTTGAAGAATATAAAGTAAATGGCAATTATAAAAAGTAAGGGTTTATATTTTACAAGCCCCAATACAGCAAGGCTTAGAATTAGTTATAAAAACTAGAGGTGTGTTACGTCTTAGAGTAGGTAACAGCTGGATACTGTGTAGAATAAATGCTCATGCCCATGGGTGGGATGTTCATAATGCTGAAGGGCAAGAGAGAGAGATGTATAGCTTGAGAAGTGATGTGGATAATTGCTTGTCATTAAACAGCAGAGTAATTGCTGCAGCAAATTCCCATGTAACTATTCCACATGAAACTTCAACGTGCCCTTGGACTTACTAAACATACATAGTTTTCTCAGATAAAAAGACAGCAGTCAATGATGCACCACACTTAAAAAGATCATTATTTTATTATTTAGTCTCACAAAAAAACATTGGGACCCTAACCATTAATAACACAGAGAAAAAAAAAGCCATTGATTTTTACATTAGTAAGACCTTGGTAAGATCTCAGAATCTACTTTTTCCTAACCTGCTCAGACTAGGTGTCTCATAAAGCCTACAATAATTTAAAAGATCGTCACATCTTTTGAAAAGCTTTCATGTACAATCATGTTATTCAGTATTCAAATTCATAATAAGCCAAGATACGAAACATTTAAGTTGCTGCAGGATGTTGAGCGCTATTAAGAATGCATTAATAGAGAGGATTCTAGGCAGCTGAAGCTGTGGCAGAGGTATAAATTTGAAAGTACCAAAATATCCTGAAAAGAAACAGAAACAGGAAGAGGAAAAAAAAGAGAAGGAGAAGAATTAAAACTACACACCCTATCTCAACATAACTAGAAAACAAGGAAACTCCAAACTTCAAAGTACTTGTAAATATAAATATAAACATCAAGACCTACCTACCTCTCTCATGTGCTCCTGCCAGTAGCCTTCATGGAGACCAAGAGCAGTTCAGGAGAAACTACACAAACGAGAGCAGAGAGGAGTTAAGGGCAGGTTGAACCATGATTTAAAACCACTGCTAGAAACAGAAAGAAACTCAGCCCTTGGCCCTATATATACTGAAAAGTGAACAGTTAGCTCAGAACACTGATAACAGAAAGGAGACTTGAAAACGCACATGGGACATGACAAGCCACCTTGCAAAGGCGTCACTTTGGAGAGAAAAGACAGCTAAAACAACAGGAGAGGTTTCTTTGGAAACTATACATTAGAGAGAGAAAAAGGGGAGAACATTTCGAATTACATAAAACAAAAGAAAATTTAAAAATTGGAAGGCATATGCCATTTGAAAACCATGCCATCCAGTAAAGAAACAATACTTTGCTTACAATAACAGGAGAGGGTGCTCTTGAACTAGAAATGTTAAGCCATCCCAACATACAGATAAACAAAAACCTAGCATAAAAAGAAAATTGAAAATAAGGACCCAAACAATTAAGGTGATAAAAAATTCCACCCTCTCACACAAACAAATGGCAAGACACTGGCAAGAACAGTGGCAAAACAGAAGAAAACCATAACACTCAAAACTAATAAATATCCATAAATTCTGCAATTAGGTAGATTTAAAAAACAACCTTGAAATAAGAATTAAAAACTAAGTAGAGAAATGAATGACCAGAAAATTTTAAAAGGAAAAAATAAAACACCAATTGATTGAACACAGAAAGAAAAGAGAAGAAAAATACAAAATCACATCAGAAATGGAACGTAAATTACAAGATGCCCAAGGAAAAACAGATTTGAAAGAAAATGCAATAAGAGACACTGGAAAAATAGTAGAAAATCAACTAAATGAATAAAATGAAATAGAGAAAAAAGTAAAAAGGGTCAAAGAGAAAGTGGCTGAAATGGAAGACAGGAAAAAGAAGATACAATTTATATATAAATGGAATTTCTGAAGAAGACTTTTTAAAATAAAATATGACTAATAATGAAATTCTAACCAAGAAAGTATTCAAACACAAACAACCACAACTTATATACTGAAAGGGCCCACTAGCCACGGGGTGGGGGGAAAAAAAAAACTTGTAACAATCAACTCAGAGACATATTTTAGTAAAAGTAGTAGACATTCAAGATAAAGGAAAAATCCTCAGGGAATCCAGGCAAATGAATTCAAACAACATACACAAGTAAAAGAATTAGACTGGCAATAGATTTATCAAAAATAAGATTCATATCCAACAAGAGGTTAGTATACAAAATGTACATAAAGCTCAAATGACTCAATAGCAAGAAAACCAAAAATCCAATTTAAAAATGGTCAAGATATCTGAATAAAAATTTCTCAAAAGAAGACATACAAATGTCCAGCAGACATATGAAAAAATGTTCAACATCGCTAATCATTAGAGAAATGCAAATTAAAGACCACAATGAGATATCATCTTACACTTATCAGAATGGCTATTATCAAAAAGACAAAAGTTAACAAATATTGACAAGGATGTGGAGAAAAGGGAATCCTTGTATACTGTTGGTGCGAATATATATTAGTATATCGATTATGAAAAACTGTATGGAAGTTCCTCAAAAAACTAAAAATAGAATTAGCATATGACCCAGCAATCCCACTTCTGGGTGTTTACCTAAAAGATTTGAAATCAGTTTGTTGAAGAAATGTCTGCATTCCATGTTTATTGCAGCACTATTCACCATCGCTAAGTTATGGAATCAACCTAAGTGCCCATCAATGGATGAATGGATAAACAAAATGTGGTAAATATACACAGTGAAATTCTATTCAGCCCTTAAAAAGAAGGATTCTGTCATTTGTAGCAGCATGTGTGAAAATGGAGAACATTATGCTAAGTGAAATAAATAAGGCAAACAAAGACAAATATCACGTTCTCACTTATATGTGAAATCTACAATAACCTAACTCATAGAAGCAGAGAGTAGGATGGTGGTTAAAGCAGTTCAGGCAGTAAGGAATGGGGAAATGATAACCAAAGGGTATAAAATCTCAGGAGAAATATGCTTTTTTTAGTTCTATTGCACAGCATGATGATTATAGTCAATAATAGAGTACTGCACATCTTAAAATTGCTAAGAGAGTAACATTCAAATGTTCTCACCACAAAAAAAGGTATTTGAGGTATTGAATATGTTGTTAACTAACTTGATTTAATTATTCCACATTGTATTCATGGATCATACATCACTTTATACTCCATAAATTTATACAATTATAAATTATCAATTTACAATTTTTAAAAAGATTCAAAGCAAGATACCAATGGGGCAGCATTTCCATAAGGCTCCAGGAAATAAAGGGAAATCCAAGGATTTGTATATAGCCAAGCTGCCTTCGAGTATCCAAGCTATAAAAAAAGTTTTTAACATGCAAGAATTCAAGGAATTCTGGATCCATGAGTTCTTAAGGAATCTACTAGAAGATGACCTTAACCCAACTTGTTATTAACTGGGAAAGTTAAGCAAAAAAACTAATAGTATACATATATATATTTATTTGTAGGTATAAGACACACGGGAAAATACATCATGTGCTATATGCTATATATTATGTGCTGTTTTCTCAAAGTAGAAATAATGCCACAAAAACAATAAGACAAAAAGGCTGTTTTATAGGCATGAGGCAGGAACTAAAGAATATCAATAACAGCCGAATAACCAGATGTTAAAAGGTCATAATGTTTAAATGGGGAATAAGGACGTTAGTAAAGAAATAAGTATAAACACATCATCTAGACCAAAATAAAACCTTCCTAGAAAAAAAAACTTCAAAAATCGAATAGTAAAAAAGGTTACTAGAGAAAGAAGCCAAGCAAATATAATATAGCGTGCATAATATTTATAATATGACAAAATTAAAATCAAAACATCAGTCTTTTCAATAATTGTGCAGGCACTTAACCTACCAACTGAAAGAAAATCATATAAAATCAAATGCAAGCCAAAAAGCATTAAATGTAACAAAGAAGGACACGTTTTAACGCTAAAGCCAAAATCACAATAAAGACATATTAAATATAAATATCTATGTACCAAATAATATAGTACCTTTTTGTAAAACAAAAACTATAAGAGATGCCAGAAGTCCCAAAAAGAACACTAATAATAGGAGATTTTAACATACTACTTAGAACAAGGCAGATCAATAAACATGTAAAATGAAAATTTAAAAACACCTACAATATAACTAATAAGGTAGATTTTATGAATATATGTCAAACTTTACACCCTAAAAATAAACTTTTCTCTCAAATGCATGTGGAGCATCACAAAAACTGATCATATATTAGGTGATAAGGAAAATATCAGTATGTTCTATAAAATAGTAATGCTATAAGAAATATTTTCTAACCAAAATTAAAATAAAACTAGAAATTATTTAAGCACTTTTTAAAAAAGGCTCCTTGCGATGGTTAATACTGTCAACTTGATTGGATTAAATGAAATCAGTCTACTACTCCACAATGGAGGTAAGGGATATCTGGAATACAGGAGATCCCTTAGGGTGTCTCTTAGTATTACCATGCCCTCTGATTAAGGTCAATGGGAAACTACAACAGCCCAATCCAGTCAGGGCTACAAATAGCCCAGACCCTCCAGGAATGAAGGTTTGTGTCACTCCACCAGGAAAAAAACAAGACCTGCTGAGGTGCTTGCTGAAGGCAAAGGGAATACAGAATGGGTAGTAGAAGAAGGTAGTCATCAATACCAGCACGTGACCAGTTGCACAAACAAGGACTGTAATTGTAATGAGTATTTCCTCCTTCTTTTGTTAAGAACATGTTTGTGCATGTATATATTTGTACAAGAAAATATCTTCATTTTATTTCCTTTTTCCTTTAAATGTGACATAAGATTCATTGACTTGCTATCAGCATTTAAGTGTTGTTAACCTTACATAATAGCATTTGGGTTGGGGATTTGTGCATTCCTGGTTGTACGAAGGATAGTTTTATTATGTTAGGCATAATTATGATATTATTGTCTTTATTTGAAGACTATGATTTCAGGAAATGTATATGGGTTCAAGTTGACAAGGGGTCGACTTGTGATGGTAAATATTGAGTGGATTGTAATATTGATTGGATTGAAGGATGCAAAGCTCCCTAGGTGTGTCTGTGAGGGTGCTACCAAAGGAGATTAACATTTGAGAGACAAAGGAGAGACAGACCCACCCTCAATCTTAGTGGGCACCATCTAATTAATCAGCTGACAGTGTAGCCAGAATAAAAGCAGGCAGAACATGAAAAGACTAGACTGGCATAGTCTCCCAGCCTACATCTTTCTCCCGTGCTGGGTCCTTCCTGCCCTTGAACATTGGACTCCAAGTTCTTCACCTTTGTAATTCGGACTGGCTTCCTTGCTCCGCAGCTTGCAGATGGCCTATTGTGGGACCTCACCTTGTGATCATGTGAGTCAATACACCTTAATAAACTCCGCTTTATATACACATCTAACTTATTAGTTCTCTCCCTCTAGAAAACCCTGATACACTCTTCAACCTGTATATCTTCTTCTAGAAAAAAACCTTTTCTTAAACAACTCTTAGGTGAAGGGGTAAATACAAGCTAAAAGTAGAAAATATATTTTAAACAATTATAAGCACACTACATATCAAAAATTTTTATTTTTATTGATGTAAAATATACATATGTAATTTATCATCTATACCATTTTTAAGTGTATAATTTGGTGGTAATAAATACATATTATATATATATATATTTCCCCCCTTCATCTCCTCCTCCCCTCTTCCACTTCCCAGCCTCTGGTAACTACAAATCTACTCTCTGTGTTCTTGACAGTCACTTTTTTAGCTCCCACATGAATGTGAACATGTTATATTTGCCTTTCTGTGCTTGGCTTATTTCACTTAACAAAACGGCCTTCTGTTTCATCCACGTTGCTGTACATGATAGGATTTCATTCTTTTTTATGGCAGAATAATATTCCACTGGGTATATATACCACATTTTCTTTATGCATGCATCAGTTGATTGGCACTTAGGTTGATCAAGTATTTTTAAAGCAATGGTCAGAGAAAAATTCATAGCCTTAACATTTCTATCAATGAAATTTTAAAAATAAAAAAGAATTAAATTCCCAGCTCATAAAGGCATTCAGGGTAATAAGCTAATTTGTATAACATGGCATTTCATACATGCATGACTAAAGAAACAGTCCCCAGGTATGCTCTAGGTTCTCATCCTTTTTTCAACTTGGTCCTGGCAGTGCAAAAGACTTCCAGGGAATTTAGCTCCCTAGAAGTTGATGGCACTGATTGCCCAAGTATGTAAGATAATACCAGACTACTAAAATTATTGTTTTTTAAACCTTCACTTGTATTTCTTCCATTTCCCTCACTTTTCCTAACGTCTCTCAGTACACAGAAAAAAACAAGAGAAAGGTTGATTCGGGGTAATATCAGTCAGGTAACGATGGAATTCAGAAATTTGAGACACATCTCTTCTTTCTTGAGGCATATCACTCTTATACTGTTAATCATTCCACAGAGAGCTCTAACAAGAAGCTTTCATTGGTCTTTGAATCTGTAGCAGGAGCAGTTTATAGGCCAAGTCCCATAAGCTCAGCTGAGATTCACACTTACCGATGCTCTTCTGGAATCTAAACCTTAACACTGGCATAAGAAGCAGAGGAGACAGAAAAAGAGACCTAAAAAAACTTTTCTTTATAGAAAAGATACAAACTAGAGCTAGGTTTCAGCCTCCCTCACCTTCTCTTTGGAACAGATCTTACATATTTAAAACCATATTTGATGAAATGGATGCATCCCTTTAAATAGTAACAGATATGAGGATGACTACCAAATATCTCTCTGTTATTATAAGCCTGGAGAGTCCCAAAAAAGTCAGCCAGACAACATGAAATGTAAAATGTCTAAAGAGTGGAAATATAACAAAGCTAAATGGCAAATGGACAGGGAGGAAATATCTACAGCACAAAGATGAAAGGTTAATATTATATAGAACAACTCAAAATAAAAATAGGTAAAAGTTATCAACGTGAAATTTACAGGTGAAATAAACATGAGAACATGAAGATATCTCCAAGATCACTAATAACTTAAGAAATACGAGAAAGTTTATTGAAATGCTGTTTATAGCAGCAGTAAGTAGAAACAGCCTAAATGTCCATCAGTAAGAAAATTACTAAAAAGACTAGGAAATACACATATCAAAGAACACAACAGGACACTTTAAAAGAATGAGTTTGAGCTACATAAACAACATGGAAAGTTCTCTAACATTTATTGTGACATGATGACATTTATTGTAAATCGTTTAAAGGTGTGTAATATGCACAAGTTTGATCCTTCTTATAAAACAGCAGGAAAGTATATATTTCTACATGTATGTATATAATTTCATGGAAATACACAGGAATAAAGTTATCTGGGATGATATACATCAAATGAATAATAATTACCTATGGGGTAGGAATTGCTCTTGGCTAAAAAGGGTAAGAACGTTCTTGTACTTTGTACATCAATAGATACTTACTTGATGTTTAAATTGTTTTGTCAAAAAAATGGTTTCAAGTATACTTAATTTCATCTTAAGTTTTTGTTGTTGTTTGAGAAGGGATCTCACTGTGTCATCCAGGCTGGAGGGCAGAGGCACAATGTTGGCTCACTGCAGCCTCAAACTCCCAGGAAGAAATCCTCCTGCCTCAGCCCCCCAACTAGCTGAGACTACAGGTGTGTGCCGCCAGGCCGGCTATTTTTTTTTTTTTTAAGTTTTTTGTAGAGACAGGGTCCCACTATGTTGCCCAGGCTGGTCTTGAACTCCTGAGCTCAAGCAACCCACCCACCTCAGCCTCCCAAAGTGCTGGGATTACAGGTGTGAGCCACCACACCAGGCCTTATTTTAAAGTGAATGGAAGATAAAGAAATAAAAATATTATGTGTTTAAAATGTTTTAGATACTTTTAGTTATGATGACACTTCTCAACCTAACTTGTAGTCTCAACCATATTTTTATATGTTTTATCTATCTTTGATTTGGGGTGGATCTCTCAATACTATCTTTCAGCTTAAAAATTATCTCTAACAGTAAATTTTCTAGAGTTTATCTTGTCTACAGTAGTGTTTTAATTTCAATTACATTTTTCAATTCCACAGTTTCTAATAAGTTCTCTTTCATATTCATGCATTCATGTTTCATTCTGCCTATTTTGTTATATAATTTCTTGCTCTTTCTCAATGAAAGTTCTCTCTTCAATTATCTTCATAATAAAGCACACTTATTTTATAGTATTGATCAGATCTTTCTGCTAAATTAATTTTACCCAAAATGAATTCATGTTTACATTATTGATTAATCAAGTTGCCTTTCTCAGAAGTAGACTTTTTTTTTTTTTTAGAATTTTGGTACTCAGTCTTATTTATACTGAATAAGGTAAAGTGGCTTAACAGAAACTAGTCTTGATAAGGTAAACCAAATAAGTGAAAATAGTGCCAAACACAGATTCATAAGCATCATATATATTTAATGTCAATTGTTCCAATCTTTTCTCAACTCCAACTTTAAATTTTAATCAAGTTAATGAAAAGCAAGCCTACATTGTTATTATTTAAGTCTGAATATTCGGCCTTCAGAAATTCTGCAAAACTTTCTTGGTTCAGTAAGATTTCTATATTAAGATAAAAAATCTATCTAATGCAACGAACATCCACAGCTGTCAGCTAAATGAAATGTCTGGGTTTTCTTTTTTTAAAAAAAGCAGAGAATTATAAAAAGTAATACACTAAATAGTTTATTTTAACTTAGAAACACAAATAGATATTGATTTGCCTATCTTTTAAAGTTATTTGAAGATATAAAAATTATTTAAGAATAGCCAATAATAGAAATTATGCCATAATCACCCCATTAATTACTTTTTTTCTATCTTCCATGGCTCCCAGCACATATTTTGCAGTATCTAACTGAAGGTATTAATTAAGTTATTTGGATGGAAGGATGGATGGATGGATGGATGGATGGATGGATGGATGGATGGATGGATGAAATGGACCAATGAATGGGCAGATGGATGGACAGTTGAATGGGCAGGTAGGCTGACAAATAAAAGAATCAACCATTCAGCAAGATGAGCCAAGTCTGACCTCAAATTAGTTAAACCTAGAGTGTCTTAGTTACCCAAGGTAAACAGAGAAACTAAGTACCATACATGGGCAGATGTATGGACAGTTGAATGGGCAGGTAGGCTGACAAATAAATGAATCAACCATTCAGCAAGGTGAACCAAGTCTGACCTCAAATTAGTTAAACCTAGAGTGTCTTAGTTACCCAAGGCAAACAGAAAAACTAAGTACCATACATTCAGGATTAGATTTTCCTTCTTTTCCATCAACATTAGCAGAAGCAAAACCAGCAACAGCATCAACAAACATTCACTAAAAATCTGTCATGTGAAGGCCTCTATGAGGTTTACCAGAGATACAAAGAAATAAAAAGGACTGCCTCTGCACATAATCCAGTTGGAGAGTTAAAACACACATAAAAGGATAGATTACGATTCAGGGCAACTTGTGAAAGGTGGCAAGTAGGTGAGACAGAGAACAGAGTGAGACAAAGGAAGAAGGCAAGGGCAGAAGCACAGTGAAAGCACTTCATGGAGGAGGCAGGACCTCAACTATGGTAGAGAAGAGAAAGTTCTGCAGTCAAATGCACAGTGGCAGAGATGATAACTGTAGGGCAAAGATGAGATCAGTTTAACAGAGGAGAGTGTTTGTAGGAAAGATGTGTAGAAGTTATGTGTGATTAAAGAATAGAAGCAAACTGTGAAGGAAAGAAATGCTATTGCTATTTTTTTTCTCCTTAGCACGTTCCTCCCCCCCTTTTTTTGCTATGAATCTCAATATTTTAGATAAGAACATTAAAGTTCAACCATCTACCCCCACCCCTGTCATTCTAGTTACAGTAAATTGTTATTGCATAAATGGGGACTAGGTATTCTCAATAATAAACTACATTGGTAAAAATAATTAATGGATATGCCATAAATCAAACAATCATATATAATAAGTACACTTAATAGTACAAGTTTATGAAAAATAAATTGCTTTACCTACTTGGGAGTTAGTTTAGGATCTTATAGCACAAAAAGCACACATGAAGGAAATAAAAATTGTTGATCCTTATCTAGCATCATTTAGCCAGACACTGTAGTATATGCCTCTGATTATCATTTCACTAACACTTACTATATACTCTGTGAGGTATTATTGTCTTGTGAATAAAGAAATCTAGGTTTGTAATTTTTATCCATTAATGAGAAAGAACTAGCAATAGAAAGAATTAGCAGGAATTCCACATTCTTGTCCCTTTGCCCCAATATTGCATGCATGTGCACATGCTTAAGATTTGCAGTTGGCAACAAGCTTCACCAAAAATAAATTCTGTCAATACAACTATTTATCCTGAGTCTCAAGAATATTGTCCCAGGAGTCAATAACTACCTTTTTTCTTGATCCCAGTACACTACAAGTGAGCTCCTCTGGATTTTATTTGTACAAACGATTCTTCCTTCAAACTAAATTACTGTAAAAACACTTACCACAAAGGAAATTGCTAACAAAATCATTATCTACCTCAGTACAAACTAATGTTATTACTTTCAGGAAACAGAAGCAACTGAATTATATAATAGAAATATTAGTTTAAAAGGTCACTGGATGTCAGAATGTATCATTTTGCAGAAGCCTCTTGAGACTATTCATCAGAAATTATAATGCTTAGAACATCAAATTCAATGCCATGATTCAGCAGATCTCTCTCCTCCCTGGTTCATTTAGCACCAGCCATGAAGCTAAGTAAAGGGAAGATAGTTATTCTCTCTGAAAAGAGAGAGTATTTCTCTCTGAAATAATTCCTTCCACTTGCAATTAAGAAGAATTAAAAAAAAAGAGAGGCCCATGTAAGTTGTTCTTTATTAATATACACCTAATACCCTACATAAATATATAGAACATACACCTTGACATTAGCTCTAGGAAGAACCAGCTTAGCCCTACACCGCATTTTACAGATGAAGCAACTAAGACACAGTGAAGTAAAGAGTTTAACCAATCAAAATTGCAGAAATAGTGACTGAAAAAACTGGAAGTAAGGAGGAGTAATTAAACAAACTACACCACTCCTCTCAACTAGATAAAAACTATTCAGTACAATTGAACATGAAACAAAGATACAAAAGCTAGTAATGTTTTCAGTCCTCTATCTCATTCAAAGACTTCAACTCAACTTTTTATTCTGTACCTATACTTGCATAGTAAAAGAATTTTGGTGAAAATTGACTAGTTAGCCTTCTGTAATATATCAAAATACCTTCCAAACACCATACTGAAAGGAACTGAGGCTAAAATAGCATTCAAAAGCCATATCAAATAAGGATGCTATGTTCCAAAACACATGGTTTAAGAACTGCACATAGCCCCCCAGAGTGCTAGTTGGGATTCTCAGGCAAATTATAGTTGTCAAAGAAATATCAATTCTTTGTAGATCACTGATACTACCATTCTATATACAGAATACTCTAGAAACAATTCACTGTAACATATTAAACATAATCAAGAAACTCTAGTACATGTGGAAAAAATAGAAAAAAAAAGTTATTGGGTATCAAATGAACTGAAATCCGAAAGTTCCTTTTTCCTGACTTCAAGTTTTGTAGCATACACAGTGCAAAAAGAATCATTATTATTGGGCAACAAATATATCTATAGTAATTCAATATGATCCCTGAATATTTGACATTTTTTGTTCTGTTACAGACTTCTTTGTACTTCAAAGAGATGACAGCCTGATAATACATCCATTCAACTTTTTCCTATGTCAAAGGAAAAGCTGGGATAAACAGAAAAATATAAAAGATGTTATTCTAGTTGTTCTTAAAAAACAAAGTAATTATATCCTATTTAGATTCTTTAAGAATTAAGACTGTGTATGTTTTCAGCCAATATGATCCCTATTTCCTCAAAACACATCTCTAATGTCCACCATACTTTCAAATATAGAACATAATAGAACCACTTTGGAGAATTCTTTAGCTGTATCTCCTAGGGCAGAACATGTATGTACATATCCTAGGTCCCAGGAAGTCCACTCCTAGATTTATACCAAAGAGAAATTCACAAATGTACAGGAAAGTTCAAGCATTTGTAATAGCCAAAAACTGGAAACAACCCAAATGTCTATTAACAAGAGGATGGAAACATAAATCATAGAACAGTCTTACAAAGGAATACTACATAGCAAAAAAACATTGAACTTCTGTTATAAATAGCAGGAATGAACCTCACCTGCACAATGGTCAGTGAAAGAAGTCAGGCACAAAAGAGTACTTACTATAAGTACGCTTTTGATTAATACACACTTCTGGCAAATCTAACCTATGGAGACAAAAGTCATCTGGGTAAAGACAGGAAGGTCACATGAGGGAGGAAATGTTCTTTATCGATATTGATCAGTGTGATAATTACATGGACCAATACTCTGGAAAAGTTCATCAAGCTGTACTTTCAAGATGTGTGCACATTTCTGTTTGTATGATATACTTCAATTTTTAATTTTCACCAAAAATATTAAGTATATGTTAGAATTTTTCAAAGATTACATTCTGCAGCAATGAATTCAGCAGAGCAATATTGAGAATAATTGGATTCTAGTAATAATTCGTCTACTAATCAGCTGTGTAATCAATCTTTAATACAACCTAACCTCTCAGTGATAATTCTGGTAGCCAATACATCACACAGAAAAGTTCTCAAGATATTAAATCAATTTTATTCATTTAACAAATATTTACTATGAGCCACTGTTCTAGGCACCTGTCTCTTGCATTCTAATGGAGGGAAACAGAAAATACTCAGCAAACATAATGAATGAATATATGAATAAATGATGTAAACTGCAATCAATGTTTAAAAAAACATAGTTACATACATATGAATTTGTACGTGTATATATACACCAAATGAGACTTTCAATCCAGTCTTAACACACCTAAACATATATAAATACAGAAAGGAAACTGGCTTGAAATAACTATTTCATTATGATCTAAATTAAAACCATTCCCATGGTAAATGCTCCTGCATAAATCTTTATAAATAATTAGCCTTGATAACATATGAAATATTTAAACATATCCTTGAAACCACAGAGGATAGAGCTAGAACCAAAAAGGCAGATTTTTCAAAGGAAGAAATTAGTTCAATATTGCTATGGTCTGAACGTGTCTTCCAAAAAGCAAGTTTTAGAAACTTAATCCCAATGCAACAGGGTTGAAAGGTGAGGCCTAATGGGAGGTGTTTAGGTCATGCAGGCTCCACCTTTATGCGGAGATTCACACTAATTACAAAAGAGTTTGAGGCTGTGTGTTTGATCTCTCACCCTCTTTTGACTTCTTTTTGCTCTTCCACCACAAGATGAAACAGCAAGATGGCCCTCACCAGATGCCAGCTGCTCAATCTTAGACTTCCCAGACTCTAGAACCATGAGCCAATAAATTTCTATTCATTATAAATTACCCAGTCTCAGGTAGGCTGTTATAGCGGCACAAAACAGGCCAAGACAGGTATTTAAGAAAGAACTTTAAGTAACCAAAATATTTTAAAAGACAATATTAAAAGAGAGATTTGATACTGGATTGTAGAGGAGAAATAACTTTTGTATTTGGGAGGAAGGTTAGATTTGACTTATAGAAAACTTCCAGAACTTAAATTTGTCAATTGGGAGTTTTCAATATATACTAAAATATTATATTTTTATAAAATCTTTTTTGCATATATACAAAATACAAAGAACAAAGGTTGGCTGGGCACAGTGGCTCACGCCTGTAATCCCAGCACCTTGGGAGGCCGAGGTGAGCAGATCAAGAGGTCAGGAGATCGAGACCATCCTGGTCAACATGGTGAAACCCTGTCTCTACTAAAAATACAAAAATTAGCTGGGCGTGGTGGCACGTGCCTGTAATCCCAGCTACTCAGGAGGCTGAGGTAGGAGAATCCCTTGAACCAGGGAGTTGGAGGTTGCAGTGAGCCGAGATCTCAACACTGCACTCCAGTCTGGCGACAGAGTGAGACTCCATCTCAAAAAAAAAGAATAAAGGTCATATACAATTTTACACTGGTAATAAACTGACATTTGAATTTCTCTGTATTATCTTATTGATCTTAAAAATGCTATTATAATTACGCAAATATAATTATATATAATTTTCTGTTCATTATTCAACGAGCATTGTCTAGAAGTATTTTAAATATGTCAACTTTCACTGTAATTCTAGCTAGCTTAAAATTTTTGTAGTAGTAAGTATTCACTCTTTCAAAGATACACGAATCTCTAAAAAGTTATATGATTTCTTTAAAATTTAACACCCTTCTAACATAAAAGTTATGCAAAACCCCAGCAAACTACCAAAACAAACCATGTATATGCTAAACTCAAATTGCCTAAAAATTTAAATAACAGAATAAAGTAGCAATAAGATTCAGTGAGGACCTGTTTATACCACTCCCTGGTAGTTTCAAACAGTCTCATTGATTAAACCTAACCAAGCTGAAAATCCTTGCAACTACCTATTATGCATACTAGACTTTTGCAGAATATTATCAACAAATATTTATTGAGTGGTTGTATCCCTTTCCAATCTATTATTCACACTACAATTACAAGGATCTTTGTTAAATGTTAATTGTATCAAGTCATGCCTCTTCTAAAAATCATAAATGGCCCCCTGTCTACCACAACATTATATCTAAGTTCTTAAAATGGCTCTTGGAGTATTATAACATGCCCTGCTCACTTCTGTGACTTTTCCTTTCTCTAGTCTCTCTGAACTAAACTCTTCAACTACAGGGATCCAACTTCAACTCCTCTTCTGAGCTTTTCAGATTCTGGCTCTAATCACAAGCTATCACCTCTGCCTACCACACTATATCCTGTCCTTTCTAACTTCCACTCGGCCTTCACTATTCAGCTGAGACATGACATTCACCCAGAATCCTTTCCTGGCTCCCGGCGCACCCAGTGCTTCACTCCTTCAGCAACCACATAGTGTGTAATGTCCCGTCTTCTCCACTATCAGCAAGAGAGGGACCATTTCTCTGTGTCCCTGCTCTATATACAATGGCACTTAGTAAACTCAGTATCTTTTTAATACATGAGTGAAAGATATCAATGCCAGCCCCATGCTGAGTCCTTGAGACATAACATAGAATAAAAATGTATTTCCTGCACAGAGAATTTGATGGTCTAGGTGTTCATTTACATTTGAAAAGGCAGGGTGAAACAGAAAGTAACCTTGTGATCACCATAAACTCTTCAAGCTTTATTTTCCTCTTCTGTAAAGTGAGGAACCTTCACCACCCCATTTTGTGGTACAACCATCATTTACTGATCAAAACAGAAAACTGATCGTGGTCATTGTTTCTTCTCTCTCCCTGAAACGCTATTTCCCATACAACCCAAAAAGTCTCGGTATGAACCTGCAAAGGGATATTTTGAATCTGACCACTTATCTCCATTTTTTCTATACTCACAGTAATCCACTTCCCCTCTCTTAGACCTCTAAATGCATTATTTCCATTCTTGCCCCATCCAATTTATTTTAATATAGAGCTGTCAAACTATAAATAGAAGTCACTTTACTTAAAATCTCTCTCAATGACTTCCTACCATCCTATTAATGATCTGATTTCTACTGACCTCTCCAAACATACCTCCACCAGCTTTGTCCTAGTAAAGCTCCAGCCACATGGCCTCCTCCAGATCTTGCAACATGCCAAGTTTTTTCCACCTCAGAACCTTTATACATGCTGTTCATTCTGGCTAGCACATTCTTCCCTTCACTTTGTGTATGCCTGCTTCCTTTTCTTCCTTCAGTTTCAATGTAATACCTCTTGAAATAGACTTTCCTTGGACACCATATCTAAACTGAACTCTCAATCTGTATTCCTGTTTTTCTCTATTACCCATTCACTGATCTTTCCTTCTTTGTTCTTCAGCATATTCCCAATAGATAGAGCCATGTCTGGCATACAGTAGAAAGACTAAAAATGATTTAGGAAGGAAGCAAAAAGGCAGGGAAGCTGTCTATAGGTGTAATATATGCAGACTATTTTGATGTGAACACAAGGTTCTTATTTTCTCTAAATTTCACCTTCAACAGCCTAACACCCATCAGTAGAGATGGATAAATGCCTTCTGTTTTGAACACTACCGTTCATACATAAGTTACCTGAGATTAAGTCATGTATTAACATGTATCAATATAGCTGAGTTTTTAAAAGTAGATCGCTGTTACCTTAGGAAGGACAAACAGGAGAATGGAGGAAAAGAAGATAAAACACTGGAGAATTTTAATAAGAGAGAACAAGTCGACAAAGTTCTGAAAATGAAGTGGCACCTAAAGGCACCAGGAAGAGGCCACAGTGATAAATCTCTGGAGGAGAATATGAGGCAAAACAACATTTAAGTCCCAGAAACCCAGGGACTCAACTCGGGTATAACAGTAGTAAAACTGACAGGGCAGAGGTAGTAGTAAAGATAAACCCTGAGTAACTCACATACAGTTTTCCTTAGAGTTTTATTGAACAGATTTATTAAGAATGAAAACTGGAAATTTCATA
This sequence comes from Homo sapiens, assembly GCF_000001405.40. Classification (NCBI taxonomy): domain Eukaryota; kingdom Metazoa; phylum Chordata; class Mammalia; order Primates; family Hominidae; genus Homo; species Homo sapiens. Next base: position 111,345,130 of record NC_000007.14, read on the forward strand.
TAATATCACATAAAACATTATCCACATTTTAAGATTCAATAAATTCCTTTATCACTCCTGGGCAAATCTAATATTACTAAATGTGTAATATTACTAATTTGAGGTCAAGTAAAAATTCCAAGTAGACAGATTTTTACATCAAACTATTTTAGTTGTGCTTCATTAGAAAGCTCAACATGATCAGGTTCATTTCCTCTTGGTCACCTGAGGCACAATTTGCTACCCACCACTCTGCAATAAGCAGCTGTTTGCAATAAGCCCTATGTTGCACACATTGGACTGTCTCCTGGGGTTTACAGGATGTTGATTCCTAAAGGCCAGATTTAACACTTTGGGGAAATATAAAAGACAGCATGCAAATACAGAAGAAGAAATAATGTATGGTATTTGATTATTTGAGGACTGCAACATATTACAGGAATTGGTTACCACAGAAACTGTGATCTGTAAATGGTCCAGGTGGAATATGCTTGAAAATAACATGATATGCAAAAACTGAGTTGACTCATAGAACATCAGAGGAGGCTAGTGCAATGGAGATTATCTAGTGGGATTCTGGCTAGTGGCTAACAAGTCTAGCTCTGTATTCAAAGTACTAATGTCCCATTTGACAATCCTGACTGGTGAACATCAGGCCTCCACCAAAATAGCTGCTATACTGTCCAGGTCATTTTAAGGCAGCTCTGTTATGGAATTCTTCATATTGAGTGAAAAACCTACCTAAACTCTTTAATATACACCCATGTGGCTATGCTCCTTAGAGCCAAGAGAATAAACTGAATTCATCTTCCACATCTCCACAAATACTTGGAAGCAGCTATTGCATATCCTCTTGCCTCAGTTTTCTTGTCTTCAGATTAAATAGCTATAGCTTATTCAATTTCAACCATTACTGCAAGACATAACATTGGGTTATTTCAATTACCTAACCACTCTCTTCTAAATATGTTGTCATTGCTATATTTCAATGATCAAAGACAAATACACTAAGTCAACGATAAGAACCATCATATGTAGTAAGTGCTTTGTATGTCTTATTTCAGTAAAGCCTAATATGGAAGACATTATAATCACCAACTTATAAATGAAGATACTGAGGATTACAGAAATAGAAATACTTGCTAGAGGCTATATTGGGAGTAACAAAGTCAGGAATTGAACCCATGTTGACTCCACTATGCCCTAACCCTTGTCCTGGGCTATTTCAGGAGAGACCTAAGCAGAGCAGAGGAGAGAAGGGGGTAAGAGACACTACTGAGCATCTGTTAGATCCAGAATCTGTTATTCAATATGTAAGCTGACTCATATATTCAAACTATCTATGCAATCAACATACCAACTACATTTTTCTCCAAGTAGTTTGGATGGAGCCTTCCAAATGATCCAGGAAAAAGTGTGAACTTACCTCACACTTACAGGCCCACTGAGTTTTTTAAGTGATAAAATTTATACTTTCACTATGGTATTTTAAAAGATCCCTCTGGAAGTATACATGGACAGATAAACAGAAAGCCACACTAGAGACTGAGAGCTTATAGCTCTGAGGTGAGCCAAGACAAGAAGCTGACTAGATTACAGGTGTGTAGATGGAACAATATTTATGAATTCAAGAGAGATTTTTAAAAGCAGAACTGACAGTACTTGGTGATGCTTTAGATTTGTAAGCTGTGGTATAGCAGTGACTTAGAATGTGGCTCTGGTCAGACTCTGGGCTTTAAATTCCAGCTACACCACTTTAATTTGTGTGAATGAAGCTATACTTTGGTTTCTGTAACTGTGACATAGGCACAAGAGCACCTAACTCATAGAGATGCTGGCAAAATTAACTGTGATAATAGATGGCAGAGGGTTTAAAAAGTCTCTGTCTCATAAGAAATGTTCACTAATCACTAATGTGATTGATAAGGAGAAGAAGGAAAAAAAAGAAGAGAGGTGGGAAAAGGCAGTCTAGAACGACTGCCAAGTCTCTGCTTAGGTGAATGAATAAACTCAGAGAGAACAGAGGCAGAAAGGCTGGCTTGAGGAAGAAGAATTTTGTTCTGAATGTGATGGGCTTGAGGTATGTGACAGGCATACAGATAGCAATAGATTGAAGAATATGGAGTGTCAGCAGGGTAGTCTAGCCTTTTAAAGAAGCTTGGTTAAGAAGGAAAGCAGAGAGGATGTAAGGGCCAGAGGAGGGAAGTGACTTATTTTTATGGGTACACAAGCAAGTTAGAGTTTGAAAGAGAAATGCCAGAAGACAGGGAGGGGTTGAAGGTAAAAACGATTAAGAAGTGGACGAAACCAGTCTCCAAGGGACAAGGTCAGGAATTAAACTCATGTTTTGCTCCAAAGCCCCTACCCTAACTCCTGACCTGACTACTTGAGCAGAAACCAAGCCAGGGCAGAAGAGAGAATGGATAACCAGAGAAACAGGCTAAGAGCACAAGAATAAGCTTCAAGCAGGACTAAGAGGAACAGTAGGAAAGAGGGAAGGATGGCTACAGAGAGGAAGCCTCTCTCCGGTGTTCATATTTCCCAATCACCTGAGATCAGCTCCAAGGAGGTTGGGGAGTAGAGGGTTGGGCTTGAGTATGATTATCAGATTTAGAATATATGAAAAAAACAGGAGAGAAAGGGACAAAAGAAAAGCCATTCCTGCAATGAGCTTCTACTCAATCTTTCAAGGCCCAATTCCATTGTGTGTCATCTGTGACATAGTTCCCCACCTTTCCTCTTTCATAAATGAAATTTATCTCTCACAGAAAATTTTATTTTAAAAAGTTCTATCAAGACTGGATTAAGAAAATGTGGCACATATACACCATGGAATACTATGCAGCCATAAAAAAAAGGATGAGTTCATGTCCTTTGTAGGGACATGGATGCAGCTGGAAACCATCACTCTGAGCAAACTATCGCAAGGACAGAAAACCAAATACTGCATGTTCTCACTCATAGGTGGGAACTGAACAATGAGAACACTTGGACACAGGGTGGGGAACATCACACACTGGAGCCTGTCGTGGGGTGGGGGGAGGGGGGAGGGATAGCATTAGGAGATAGACCTAATGTAAATGATGAGTTGATGGGTGCAGCACACCAACATGGCACATGTATACATACGTAACAAACCTGCACATTGTGCACATGTACCCTAGAACTTAAAGTATAATAAAAAAAAAGTTCTATCAAAGTATTTATGAAGATGAAATACTTCTAAAGTGCTTATATAAAATCTTTATATGAGAAGATTTTATCTTCATAAATACGTCTCTCCAACTAGGTCACATTTTGTTTAATGCTAAATTCTCATCCACTCCCTAAAACACAGTAGATGTTCATGTTTTCTTAAAAAGACTGAGCCAGTTTTCGGTCCATCTAACTATACTCTAATACACTTCCTTCTCCATTTCAGTATGTTAGAAACCAAATGATGCAGTTTTTGAGAATAACAAATAAAGAAAACCTGCAAAATTGTCCTAATAGCAAACAGTTAACATGAGTCTGCCCTACGAATAAGATCATTGCTTCCAAACGTTTTTAAAATACTCCCAATGGTATTATTAGTATCATTTATAGAACTAGACTTGTGTGATAGTCTTTAGAAACTGTTAAGATAGCATTAAAATATATCTCATAGGTCCCTCGATGCTCTCCTGGTACAAAATGAACCTGTGCCATTTACATATTAGCTGACTCTGACATCCAAGGGTTCTGGTATCTGAAAGCAATGAATATGACTTCTTCTGTCCATCTTATGTGTATCTCATAAGCTCCTAAGGACTTTCCTGGAAAGATTTTAGACTAGCAAAGAAATATTTTCTTCATCAAAAATCCTTTCAAGTATTTATTTCCTTCCCAAGTAGACTGAGTTCTGTGTGTACTGGTTAATACTTTATAAGCTTCAGCTTGCATGCAGAACACATCAGAGGCTGTTTTATTTCCAGACATAGTTTTCCTGAAATTTTAATTGTTTGCCATGAGGAAAAAAATGATTTCAGAGCTCAAACTACATTACCTACGAGGAGTCTCCCAGAGCTCTAATTACCAGAATCAGAACATAGGATTGCTACTTCAATTCCATTTTTCACTAAAATATTGGCAAAATAACAAATTAAATAAAATTATGGCTAATGTTAATAACAATAAATTATTTAACAAATATGAAGGAGCACCTATGTTGAGCAGCTGCTATGTTAGGCATTGGGATGGTAACCAAAATGCATGAAACATTGTTTCCACTCCCCCAAGAATTTTACAGGCAAGTGGGATGCAATATACCTCACTATGGAAAAAAAAGTGAGACAGCAAAAAATAGTTTTAAATTTTTGAGCAAAGTTTAACCAAATGCAACCCAGTTAATTTACATCAGGTGCCTTTCTCTTTAAATTTCAAATGATAAAAGTCAGCTTCTCCCTCTAAACTTCAATAAGGCAAATAAATATTTCTTGGCTTTCATGAAGCCCTAGGAGCCTTAACTATGCAACAGTTCATTCACTAAGAATGCCTGTAGAGGAAGAAGGGTAGTCAGGTGGTACCAGCAAGGGGAGTAGAATGAAGTCCCTGCTTTAAAGAGAGACAAGAGCTAGATAAAACAGCCACTGAAAGAAAGGAAAGGAAGGGGAGGCCAAAGAAAATACATGGCTTCTCTTAGTAGGGCCAAATCATGAGGCCCAATCCAGCCTTCTAGCTTGACTTCCTCTCCTATTGTCTCTCAGGAGCCCTCTCCCTGTTCTAGTCAAAATAAATGTCTCTTCTCTGATGTAGAATAAGAGTCCCCGACCCACACCCAATATCATGGCTCTCATCTACTGCATGTGAGCTCATTACTTTATTTATCAAAACAAAGATGGTCCTTTTTTTTTTTTTTGAGACGGAGTTTAGCTCTTATTGCCTAGACTGGAGTGCAGTGGTGCGATCTCAGCTCACTGCAACCTCCATCTTCTGCTTTCAAGGGATTCTCCTGCCTCACCCTCCCAAGTAGCTTGGATTACACGTGCACGCCACCATGCCAGGCTAATTTTTGTATTTTTAGTAGAGAGGGGGTTTCACCATGTTGGCCAGGCTGGTCTCGAAATCCTGACCTCGTGATCCACCTGCCTCAGCCTCCCAAAGTGCTGGGATTATAGGCGTGAGCCACCACACCTGGCCCAGATGTTCCCTTCTTAAAAGGAATCCTGATGTTAACTATTAAAATAATAAACTATATTACATATCATCAAGCTTGCATATATACATATATATATATATATATAGTTGGACTTATCTTTATTTTTTAAATATTAGTGTATATTATTATAAATTGTTAGGCTATGAACTCATTGAACAGGGCCATCTTAGTGTCCCCAGATCCTAAAGCAGTACACAGTAGGTGTTCAACACACTGTAATGTTACAATATTCCTTCCTCAGATAGGGGGGTCTAGGCATATAATAATTATCTGCATTTTATATGATCATTCTTCATAAATAATCATAGCCACAATAGCAGCTTTTATCTGAAGTCGTGTATTGATTCAGAGAAGGTTTCAGCTTGACCTCACCATAGAATATCAACTTTTCACTTCCTTTCTATAGAGTATTTTATACTATAGGAAAAGAGACTCTAACACCTCTTCCAAAAATAATCCATAACATTTAATAGTTTATTCATAGTCACCATGAGGACTTTGACCTCTCATCTTTTGTATCTATTTTTAATTGTGTTAGAGGCCACATTACCCTAATTTCCTTACAAAGTTTCCACTTAGACCAAAACCGTGAATACTGTAATTGTTGGGGATGATGAATTAGATGAAAAATAGACTATGCATTTTCAATCATTGCATTTAGTATTATTAGGGTAGATGGCCAACTATTACACAGTAAGAGATGAAAGTACAATGCAAATTGATGAAGAAATCATAATCTTAAAATTTTCAACAACAGGCTGGTATTGATTTTGATGTGAAAGTAAAAAGCTTACTTAATACATTTTTTGCTCAATTCGCTATTGCGTGTACACTGGGAAAAATATCTTGCATTCTATACCAACCCATTAAATCAAAATGAATGAGGGGAGCATTTTTATTTTATTTATTTATTTATTTATTTTTGAGACGGAGTCTTGCTCTGTCACCCAGGCTGGAGTGCAGTGGCGCAATCTCTGCTCACCGCAACCTCCGCCTCCTGGGTTCAAGCGATTCTCCTGCCTCAGCCTCTCGAGTAGCTGAGATTACAGACGCGTGCCACCACGCCCAGCTAATTTTTGTATTTTTAGTAGAGACGGGGTTTCACCATGTTGACCAGGCTGGTCTTGAACTCCTGACCTCGTGATCTGCCCACCTCAGCCTCCCAAAGTTCTGGGATTACAGGTGTGAGCCACCGCACCCGGCCCATCTTTTTTACTTACACTGCACTGTGTAACTCCCAATTCCTGATGATAGCCAGCTACAGGAGCAATTCATCACCAACATCATTTTATCATCAAGTTCTTTCATATCTGATAAAACCTATTCCTTTCTGACATATGTAAATTTCAAATGAGTGCTACAGATAAAAATTGTTAAATAAGTGGCTATAATGTGATTCCAAAAACAAAAGGCACCCACTCACTGTACTTTGTTATCTAATTACATGATCATTCTGTTAAACTTCAAGCAATGTATTTGAAATAAGAAAGTGCAGACATATTGTCCATCTCAATTTCATAAATGTTGTATCATATATCCAATGCATATCACTTTAAATTTTTTCAACCTGCATATTTCAAGACAGCTGCTACACAGTACTTTAATTTTTCCTGTTTGATATATTAACATGCAGCTGAATCTGATTTGGTTACAACTTCTCAGTGAAAAAGATGTTCATCTACTTAAACATCAGTTTCAACAGAATGGCACTTGACAGAGAATATTTCCTTTTTCTGTACTACTTTTTCCAGTTGCATTTTATATCAGTATGCTTCCCATTAACACAACAAATATATACATAAAACCAAGACATATGTGTAAAAGGTATAAATGCAGTCAATTAGCCAGATGTTTGGAATCATGGACACAAACATCAGAAGCATTATAAAACCTACAGGAATGGTAATGCTTGACAGGATATGGGAGAAGTATTTTTTAAGAAAACCTTATAAACATAGTACAAAGATGACAAAGACACAATTATAGCCCACTGCAGCCCTGAACTCCTGGGTTCAAGCAATCCCCTGGCTTAGCCTCCCAAGTAGCTGGGTAATGCAGGTACATGCCACCATGCACAACTAACTTTTTTTTTTTTTTTTTTTTTGATAGAGATGGGGTATCACTGTGTTGACCAGGCTGATCTAAAACTCCTGGCCTTGAGTAATCATTGTGCCTCAACCTTCTAAAGTACTGAGATTATAGGCATGAGCCACTGTGCCTGGTCATACTGTTTTCTGCAATAGAACTTACCTCCTCTCTCTCATGCTTCTGTAGCACCAAGTATCAGAAAACATAATCTAGTCATTTCTAGATAAGCTTACATCATTCTGATTTTCCTCAGTAATTTCTGCATATGCTCATCTTAAGAATTCATGACTTCTCATCCTTCTCTTCCCTAAGGTGAGGGTTACGTGGTGAGGGAAGTTCACACAGCAGCCGCATGGTATCGGTGAGAGGCATTGGACCTGTAGCACTCTGATTTGGCACCTGTCAAGTCTCTAGTCACAGCATTTGTGTGATCGGGTTTTCAGTGAACTATCTGTAGTCTTAGTAGACTCTAATCATGTATTCCATACTACCATTCCTGGCTTCTTCTCAACATTACTGTGAGGTCCTTTAAAGCACTGGTCTTGCATCCAGCTCCCTTGTTCTGCCCAAAAGTGCATGAAGTCTCAACTGCCTTCCTGGGCCCATAGGAGCCTGCTAACTATCTTCTACCTGCTTTATCTACAGACTTCTCTCATATAGTTAACCATCTCCATCTAAGTGATACCATGTCATTCAATATGGGACACACCCATGACATTGTTGCTTCACAAAATTCCAGAAGAAGCAGGCTGTGCAGCCATTCCAACTCTGCCACCAGCACACTATCATCAGACAGGGGCCTTAGATAACGCTTGCCATCCCCTGGCTTTCACCTGGAGAGTGAAGCACAAATCTCCAATGCTCAAATCTTCAACTAAAGGGAGCTTCTATCATTATCCCTGGTCTCAGGCTGTAGAGGAAAGAAAGGCAGAACACAGGGCTGCCATGTCTCCTGAACCTTGTTTCAACTCCCCTTCTAACCAAGGCAACACTTATTTAATAATGTGATGAGATCATCTCACTCTTTGGCTAATTTCTTTCCAATCTGTTGTTAAAAGTTAAAATAAAAATAAATTTATGCACTGATATCTTCAGAGCTTTATTTTAAAAACTCAAAACCCTTTTCTATTTCATATAGCTCAGCTGCTTGAAATACACTATCTTGTGTGTCAAGATTATTAAGCCAACTAGAAGTTTCAGGAGCCTACTTAGAACTCAGAAAAAAGAAACTTAACTTTTCTTTATTGCATTAACACTCTTCTCTGAAAAAACATTGTAATGGCAATAAGGTTCCGTCCAGTTCAGTGGGAAAAGGGCTATGGGTATTGAAAACATATACAGACTACATATATACATAAATATACACATACACAAAAAAGGACTTTCTCAGAATATACAACTTAATATATCAAAAGACTATCTTTATACATTTTTATGATAGACACCATAAACATAGTCAGCTATATATGTTACATAAGTTATGAATAGAAAACACTGGTTTTATCCACATATTTCTTCTTTCTCCTTCTTCTGTGTCTTCTGAAAACATTTGAAATATCAACCATAGCTGCCTACATAGGGTCCTCTGACAGAATATTAGGTGATAAAATGGTATAAGGAGACATATAATTGAAGTGGTAAGACCAGATATTACTCAGAGAGAATGTAAAATCAATAAAGAGTAGAACATCAAGCTTTATATTTAGGAAAAATGGGGACAGAATAACTCTGATACCAAAAAATGAAAAAAGACATCAGGAAAAAACTACAGAACCTTATTTATAAATATAGGTACAAATTTTCCAAATAAAATCTTGATAAATCCAGCTGAATAGTTAAAAATATGACCAAATAAGATTTAATCCAGGAATGTAAGACAGGTAAATTTAAAGATACCTATTAAGGTAACATATTTACCACATTAACAGATAAATAGAGAACATATATATTACCATCTTTATTGATACCTAGTATCAAAGGCCAAAGTACTTGAAAATCTAATTTCCACCTAAGGTAAACAAACAGCAACCGACAACGAAAATAAAGCTCTTGACCAACTGGAAATAGACAGGAAAAATCTTATTTGATAACATATGAGGAGCCTAAGGGAAATATTACATTAAATGATAAATATCAGAAGGATGCCCATGAAAGTCAAGAGGGACGAGAGGTTCTAGTCAACAAAGAAAAAAAATTGAGATGTATAAGGCTTTAAAAAAAAAAGAAAGAAAATGTGTTATTTTGAATAATATGACTACCTAGAAACACACAGACAATAAACTTAAAAATATAAATAAGAATATTTTGAAATATGGTTGGAATCAAGATCAACATTAATGGCCTTCTTATACACAGAAATAAGCAACTGGAAGACTTATTGGAAAGAATATTTTTTAACAATAACAAAAAAATATGGAAAACCTAGAAATAAACCTAAGAAGGAATGTGCAAAGTTTATATGAAGACAACTATAAAATTTAACCAAAGGAAATACAAGAAGTTCTGAAAAATGAAGATACGCCATTCATTCGACAAAAAGTTAAATCCCTACCCTATCCTGGACCCTAATCTCAATAGAATAAACACAGCTATATAGGTACTAGAATAAAATATTAGAGAATAAAGAGAAAGTGAAGGATCTGAAAAGGATACTACTGGGGAAACGTACTAATGAATTTAGTTTTTCCCAAGGTAATCTTTAGCAGCAGCATCCATGAATAACTTTTATGAATGTCCAATTTATAATACAGTACTCTAAAACTGACAGTTTTTATTGAATATAAAGAACAATGGTTGCCTGTGAAAAGTGAAATTAAATTTTCTTCTTAAAAGTTCCTTTATTTTTTACAATGTACATCGAATTTTTTAAAAATCAAAATGAATAAATTTTTAAAAGTTAAAAATATAATGTACATAATAATACTAATGCATGACATCAGTTTGGTGAAATATTTTTCTTATATAAATTAATTATGAAAATTAGCAATTTATACACTATAAATCTTTAACCAGATACTGTATAAATAAAAAGTGTTATTACTCTTCAAAACTTCTTCAATGTAAATTGTAATATTGGGCTTTATTACTTAATGTATAGAATCTGTGTATATCCTCTTAATTAGTAATTTCAGATATTTTTTCAAAATTTCTCTTCTTCAGTTATTCTCATAAATACCCACCAGTTTTAAGAGCAATTTTGAAAACTTCTACTCAAAACAGAAAAACAATAAAAAAACAGGGAAAAAATAGAATAGAAAAACCTTCTGGTCACTCATAAGATGTACAGAAATGTTGTTCATGAGTAATCTTTTAAATGTTCACCTCTATATCAAATGTAATTTATTTTCTACTCTCTGAGCAATGATCCAAACATATTTGAAGCTATTTTTTTAACTAAGGAGAACATACAATTAGTCTATTTTGATTTTGCTTCATATTTCAAAGGTTTGTGTTTAAGCTTTATTAATAGTGCTCTTTAAGTTATTTTCCTCCCAATAGGTCTTTAATTACATGTATCTGAAAATACAAAGTCTAATTCTGTTAGAAAACTTAATGATTCTTAAAATATTTGCTTTCATGAGTATATGATTATCTGAAAAACAAACTCCAAAGGGCAATAATTAAGCGACATGGGGTTCCACATAGGCAGAATTTAGAAAATTAAACTAATTTTCTATTTTATTTAATTTAAACATTAAATTTAAATTTAGAAAATTAAACATACACCATATATATATACACAGAAAACTTCATATTGAATAAAATACAATCAGCTATAAAGTAGATTAACAGACTCAGATTCCTTTTAGGCTAGTAAATTTGACTCATTCAACATGTTCAGATGCAGTTGGCCCACTGTATCCATGGGTTCCTCATCTGTGGATTCAAGCAACCAAGGATTGAAAATATTCAAAAAAAAATTTGCATCTCTTAACATGTATAGACTTTTTGTTCTTGTCATTATCCCCCAAACAATATAGTATAATAACTATTTATATAGTATTTACATTCTATTAGGAAATATATGTAATCTAGAGGTGACTTTAAGTATAAGAAAGGATCTACATAGGTTATAAGCAAATACTACACTATGTTATATCAGGGATTTGAGCATCCTCGGATTCTGGTATCAAGGGAGGTCCTAGACCAGTCCCTCACAGATACAGAGGAATGACTGCAACCCCTTATTCAACGTTAAATCCCAATTGTACGCTTTTTAGTGTAGCACTGAAAAGTTTTAGAAGAATTCTCATATAAACAATGCTATAAAGTTAACTTTCCAGATAAACTGAAATAAAACTGGTTTTTAAAAAAAGAAAGAATTGACAATTTTATAGTTATTTTTATTCATAAGATTTTAAAAGCATATATAGGCTGGGCTCAGTGGCTCATGCCTGTAATCCCTGCACTTTGGGAGGCTGAGGTAGGCGGATCACCTAAGGTCAAGAGTTCAAGACTAGCCTGGCCAACACGGTGAAACCCTATCTCCACTAAAAATACAAAAATTAGCCAGGCGTTGTGGTGGGTGCCTGTAATTCCAACTACTCAGGAGGCTGAGGCAGGAGAAGCGCTTGAACCAGGAGGTTGCAGTGAGCCCGAGATGGTGCCATTGCACTCCAGCCTGGGCAACAAGAGTGAAACTCTGTCTCAAAAAAAAAGCACATATATGCAAGCTACAAGATTACTATCAACTGGTACAGTACTTTATAAACTACAAACTCATCTTTGCCCTAGGATTAATCACTAACCACTTCAAGAAGGAATGTGGACACAGACTGGCCCACTGTAGCATTTAAAGTTTTTTGGCTAAATACACACATCTGTGTTGTTCTTTTCAAACCGTCAAGATATAAAACTCATTTAAAACCTATTTTTAAATACCATGCAGCAATGATCCCTTAGAGGCAGCAACTTTAGATGATGCTTAAACAATGAATTTTTTTTCCAACAATAACAATTTTCTTTAAATTCATTTACAAAACCTCACCACACAGCATGAGGTATACTTTCCTGGTAAGCAACTATAAAGTAGAATTAACTATCCTCAAATGACCATGAAATTAAGTCAGCCATATCAGATTAAGATGACCATAAATGCAGTTAAAACCATGCTAATTTACATAGCCCCCTAACCATGTTTAATTGCCACATTAAAAACCCTTCAGATGCTGGTCTGTCCTTTTACAACTTAGAACAGTGTCACCTGAATTAACTTGTTTTGTCTGAATGTTGCACTTTGTTTTTTCATTTATATAGCTGGGAACATTCATGAGCTCTAGTTATTATGTCTAAATATTTTTATTAAACAGAATAAAATAATCAAATCTATCAAACTGGTTTTAATGAAGTAAGCAATGCATTTTTAAAAGGAAGTACTCTCTTAGCCCTAAGCAACATGAGTCATCATGAAGAAATTATATATATATATACTTATCCATTTCTATCTGGTACTTTTAACCATGTGGGGCATGCCAATCTTCCCATGAGCATGGAAACTGAAAGTAACCCAAGGGCACTAGCCAGCTTTGGAATTACTGCTATAATGCCTCCTACACCACACCCATCACACTCCCATACTCTGATTTCTGCAAGCCACAGCAAGCCAAGGTTTTCACCCTAGGGCATTCTGGACTCTTTTGATACCCTATCTCAGAGTAGAAACCCAATCTTTGTACTGGGCTGTCAACCATTCACTTTTTAGATTCAGAGTACATAATCATTTGGCTTGTTTTTGCTATACCCTCTGGGTGCCTCACACTCTAGAATGAACTATTTGATTTGCTGACATCTAGTATGTTTAGATTTCCCTTCCTTTCTGGACTACTCTTTCACGTTTCCTCACCTACCCCACAGCCTCAGATGCATTATCTTACTACCCTCTATTCTCAGCTCCTCAATGACCAGGATATAACCAGGAACTGAGGATAAATCATTTATTCCACTTGTTACTTAGGCAACCCCGAAACGTTAATGAAAGCATCTTTTGCCATCATGTATTATATAGAATCTTCAGTAAGCAGCAATGCATAACAAGACAAAAGTGACTGATTCTGACCTACCTAAGGAAAAAAAATCACATTATCTTGTGATTATCTTGGCTTCTTCCCTAACACAATAATCTTTGGTTACCATAATGCCTAAGCTCAATTAGAAGTCAGAAACCCCAAAGTATCCACACCAGGCAGCAAAGCAAGAATAATCAAGATTGACATATTTCAACACACATATAGTTGCACTGAAAGGCTCCCTTAACCAATTCACCAGACAACCCCACCCCCAAAAGAATTATGCATGGGTGAAATTTCTATAGTTTTTGCACTAAAAGTAAAGTCTTCCCATGGCTGCCAGAAATCACCAATATGACCGTTCTCATTGTTGATCTTATGCTGTTATAGCAACCAAGGGAGACAACTGGAAATGGGAGAAAGTCTCTTTTAGACTGATGAAAATTAACAAGGGACAGAAATCAAGATAGTAAAGGAAGGAGAAGGTGCTGTGATTTAGCCAGAGATAATCATTGTCGACATACTATTATATTTCATTTTAGATCTTTTTCCTAGGTGTGCAGATTAGTGTACTCAACTCCATTTCAGTTGTGTTCTTTCATGCACGCTAAGTTAGATAGCTAGAACAAAAGCTAAGCTAGAAAGCTAAAGTTTATTTCCTAGACTTCCTGACAGTTAGATGTTGGCACATCACCTAGCTCTTGCCAAGCCGATACACTGGCATTACTTTGGAAGGCAAGGTTAACACGGTGAGACAGAGGCTGGCTGCTGTTGCCTCTGCTGTTTTTACTGGCAAGGTCAGTGATACAAAAATTTGATTTTTCTGCAACGTAGATCTGAATGTCCAAACTCTACTTTCATGAAAACAAAAGCTAGGGCCAGGGCATCCATGTGAGGTGGCCTCCTAATTCTCCAGGTTTTTGTTTGTTTGTTTGTTTTAATGAGACAGAGTCTCTCTCTGTCACCCAGGCTGGAGTGCAGTGGCATAATCTCAGCTCACTGCAACTTCCACCTCCCAGGTTCAACAGATTCTCCTGCCTCAGCCTCCTGAGTAGCTGGGATTATAGGCACCCGCCACCACTCCTGGCTAATTTTTGTATTTTTAGTAGAGACGGGGTTTCACCATATTGGCCCATCTGGTCTGGAACTCCTGACCCCAAGTAACCCACCTGCCTCAGCCTCCCAAAGTGCTGGAATTACAGACGTAAGTCACCGTGCCCGGCCTCTCCAGGTTCATAAACACCACAGAAATTGCAGCTTCCTTAGCCACCTATAAAATGAGCAGCCACTACTCCAAGCAGAAACATGCTCATTGGTTGTTAAGCAAGAAATAAACTTTCATTGTGTTTGAACCATTATGCATTTTTTAATCTCTTTGTTACATAAGCTAGTGGTTACCCTAACTGATAAAGAGTCCAATAAATATTTATTGAATGAATGTTAAAGAAGAGGAAATAAATGCAAGAAGTAGGTGGAGGGAGGGTGGGAAAGATGGTGAAAGATAAATAGATGGTTAAGGATCTTGATTTTTTAAAGAATTAATGGGATAAATGTTCTCTTGGAGTACAGAATTATTTCATACTATTATAATTACTAAATTAATAATAACCTATTTGAATTTCTTTTCTATTGGTTTTTCAGTATAACATCTGTTCACAATTCCTATCCTGTTGAAATTTATACTCTAATCCACTCCATAAATTTTAAAAAATGGTTTTGGTTTCTGATTACAATTTCGCCATAATGTGATTACAATTTCGCCATAATGTCATTACAAATCCAAAAGTAAGGGAAAGTCCTCCATAATACATGGAGCTAAAATCAAATACAGACATCAACATAATACATATGCAAAAACTAGATTTCCATTTTATTACATGCATACTAATTATTAAAATGTAACACTTTTGATAATATTTTAAAGCAGTGTCCCCATAGTGTGCTCTGAAGACGCCACTCTGATGGTCCCCATGAACCTTGCAGGGGGTCCATAAGGCCTCCCTTTCCCAAGTACATACCTGTGTGAGGGAAGATTGTTTTCATACATACTCCAAATCAAATAACATTACACAACATATTGAATGCAAAAGCAGATATGAGAATCCACCTGTTTGTATTCGGCCAGATATTGAAGAGATTTATGAAAATCTAAAACAGGCCTGGGGCACAGTGGCTCTTGCCTGTAATCCCAGCACTTTTGGAAGCTGAGGTAGAAGGATTGCTTGAACCCAGGAGTTTGAGACCAGCCTGGGCAACATAGCAAGACCTCATCTCTACAAAAAATAAAAAAATTAGTCAAGCATGGTGGCACATATCTATAGTCCCAGATACTTGGGATGCTGAGGCAGGAGAATCACTTGAGCCCAGGAAGTCAAGGCTGCAGTGAGCTATGATTATGCTGCTGCACTATAGCCTGGGCGACAGAGCGATACCTTGTTTCAAAAAAACAAAGAACAAAGCAAAAGTAAAATAGTGCCCTCTTCTCACTAAATATTTTTGTTTTGAAATATATAGTTATTTTTCATAAAACTGTCGTATTTATGTTGATACATAATAAATATTTTTATTTTTAAATGATGAATATATATTTTAAATTTTCTCAATCTTAATTTCCAATATGCTAAATATTGATGAAACTAACCCACAGAACAGAAGCTCTTTAGGGTCCTAAATTTTTAAGAGTTTAATGAACCATAAATAAACTAGTGAAATCCTGTAACAATGCCAGGATTCCTTTTATTAATAGTAAACAATAAACTATATTTAAATATAGCCAATTTTCTATATGTACAAAATGCTAGGCAGCCTTCCTATTGCTGTAGTAGAAATAACATGGCATTGAACACATGGGTTTAAATACCAGTTTCATAACTTATTAACTGTGTGGGCATCTGTTCCCTATTATTCTCACTGCTACCATTACAACAAACTCAACGTTATGCATATCAAAACTAAAATTGTTGCATTTTGCAAGCATTCTTGAAGATTTAATTGTGCAGGATTATAGAGAGTAATTTATATATAATTATATACACTTACTAATTCAATTATCTGGGAGTATATTTTAGCTAACTCACTATTCAGAGTTATACTTTCTATAGTAGCAGTTGCAGCATAACTGAGTATTCTTAAAGCAAGCAATTAATAAACTCCAACATAAAATTTTTCCTTGCCAAATTATATCTGTCTTGTTCTATCGAAACTCAACAAAACATTTACTTGTTCAAGGGACTATGTTGATCCAAAGATTTCCCTTCAGGAAAATGCTGGTGCTGCCTAGGGATACTAGTAGCTTTCCATAAAAAAAGTGTTCAACTAAGAGAGCTGTCCAGGCCACTCATCTTTGATAACAGAAGTTCAGCTTTATCATAACCTGTATGTCAGGCATCCAAAACCTAGGAAACTACTCTTCATTACTAACAAGATAATAACCTTTCAGTAGGTATTATCTCAATTCTTTTTCTCATCTACATTTTACAAAATGGTTTGTTGAAGAAAGTTAGGTTCTAAAAAGGAAGCTCTAAAACAATAGTCTTCATTTTTTTTCTCTCATATTCCTAAAAGAATTTTCTAAAAATACACAACATACATTTTCAGTTGACATGTAAAAATTTTCATCATGAATTTAAATGATTGCAAAGGCTATAATTTCTAGCATGTTACAAATACTGCCATTTTTATATAAAACTGTTATACCAGTCTTTTAAGAGTACCAAAGAAATCTAACTTCCACAGTAATCTGATATACACCAGCAACCATTTTATCAAAAAAAAATTCAAGAGTTAGAAAATTTATACACACTTTTTTGCTTAAACTCATTTCCAGTTATCTCCCCATAGGATTTTACCCTAATGTAATCGTTTTTATTTCTAAAAGTTTTTAACTGATCCTCTATCATACTTCTCTTCAATAAAAATGTACCTTAAAATTGAACTTTTAAATTGTGTTTAATTTTCTAAAACTGTAATGTTCAAACTAAGAAATATATGGAAATGTATTTCTTAATGAGAAGGGCTAGATTTTTTTCTTTTTTAAAATAGTTTATAGGCCTCTGAATGAATGTTACTCATTGCTAGTATAAGGTTTCACATACATTTTTTTTCTATTTTTTATTTTCTCTGTTTATGAAAGAACTGAAACTGTTCACTAAGTAGATGAGAAGGATGTTTTGTTATGGCAATGTTACTAAATCCTTCAAAATCACATAGCTTATTAAAAATATTTGATGTGTGAAAACTATCAGCTGTTAACTCAATTACATCTCCCTTAAGTCTGTTGAAACCGAAGAATTAGAAACCATATGAGTTGCAAAAGGATTTTTTACCTTGAGTTTAGGTCATTCACTTTTTCAATACCAATACCAATACCAATACTTCTAGCTAATCCTCTGCTATCATGATGCAAGGGAATTTTCCATCCTGGAGAAGTGTACAATGAGAAGATCTGGGAGGGGCGAGAAGTCTGCCTTGCTTGTTGTAACATGAGTCAAGAGCAATTCTGAAAGGGGAGTTAGGAAAGGAAAAGCTGCTTTCACTGTCTTTCACAGGAGGACCAATTTTAGGACAGACTATGGAAACTGAGGACTTAGATTCCTTCAAAATCAACTATGTGCAACCTTGGCAAACAATCATATACAAATTTGAAGACCTCAAATCTAAGGGACACTATTCCTTCACTACTCCAAGTGTTTTAAATCCCTTCTCTCTGTCTCTTTTTTTCATACACACATGAATGCAAGCCAAAGCCCATTCACAGAAAACAATCATATAAGGCACATCTTTGCATTTATTATAAAATTATTGTTGGTGCCACAATAATCACAATACTGAATAAGCTCTAAATCCTTGCTACTCAAAGTATGGACTTCAGGACAAGAGCATAAAGCATCATAACCCTGTTAGAAATGTGGAATTTGGGGCCCCATTCCAAACATACTGAATCAGAATCTAATTTTAACAAAATCTCCAAGTGATCCCTATGCAGACAAAAGTTTGAGAAGCACGGACCTAAGAAGCAGAGAAATAATTTTTAAAAATGTAGTTTGTAAAAAACATACCTCTTGTAGAAATAATATTTCCTCCTTTTTGATCATAATAAAGTAACCCTCATGTTTCCATTTTTGTCAATCTTACTAGCACCAGCCAGTGTATTTCCTAAGACCGTTAAGGCTTGAAGTAAAAAATATATTGGAAATGTATCTCTTCCTCATTATCCTGGATTTCTGGAGTGTTAGTCTAGCTGATTTGTCTGCCTACGGTCTTTCCCCCCTTCAATCCATCCTCTGCACAGCTGCAAGAGTAGAATTTATATAACAAATCTAATCATAGGACTCTCCTGTTTTAAAACCTTCAAGGTATCTCCAAATTAAAATACAAGCATATAAGGACAAGATTACCTGATCCCTATTGACCTCTCTAGCCTCATCTCCCAACCACCTCCCATTTTCTCCTGTACTTACTCTTTTAGCTCCCTGTACACACCACGTGGTTTTATGCATTACCTTTCCATCATGTTGTCCCTTACCAGAATATCCATTCCCTATTTATTGCCTAGCTGATTATCACCTGTGCCTAAAGGTTCGATTCAGTAATCTTCTTTTCCAGAAAACTTTCATGTAAGATCCCCCCCCACACACACACATCTACCCCTTTATACACATACAATGGGCAAAGGTTATTTTCTTTGTACTGTCACAGCACTTACCATTTTGTATTTAAATAATATATTTATATCTCTGTTTCTCTATATAGACAGTAACCTCTTCTAAGGACTAACAAAATTAACAGCACAAAGCAGGTGCTAAACATTAAAAGTCAAATTGAATAAAACAAAACGTGATTGTTAATCATAAGAATTGTAATAGCCAGCTCTTATAATTAGCATATTCACTTCTCTATTCATATGCTTTTAGTGTTCTTATGTCATCTGCTAGTTATCATTTTACTTTTATTTTGGTTTAAAAAAAATCTACCTCAATTCTTTTTTTTGCAACTAGGCAGAGTATACATACGTATATAGAGCACAGCTCTGTGACTTTGGTGAAATTACATAATGTGTCTTAGTCACAGTTCCTTTATTAATAAAATGGTAATTACAGGATCATATTCAGTAGGTAGGATTAAATGAGGATGCTATAGTCCCAGCTACTCGGCAGGCTGAGACACAAGAATCACCTGAGCCCTGGAGGCAGAGGTTGCAGTGAGTCAAGATTGCGCCACTGCACTCCAGCTTGGGCTACAGAGTGAGACTCGGTCTCAAAAAAAAAAAAAAAAGGATTCATGTGAAATATTTTATATAAACTATAAACATTGGCCAGGCACGGTGACTCACTCCTGTAATCCCAGCACTTTGGGACGCCAAGGCAGGCGAATCACTTGAGGTCAGGAGATCAAGAACAGCCTGGGCAACATGGTGAAACCCCACCTCTATTAAAAATACAAAAATCAGCCAGGTGTGGTGGCAGGCGCTGTAATCCCAGCTACCAGGGAGGCTGAGGCAGGAGAATCGCTTGAACCCAGGAGGTGGAGGTTGCAGTGAGCCAAGATCATACCACTTCACTCCAACCTGGGCGACAGAGTGAGACTCTGTCAAAAAAAAAAAAAATCTATAAACATTATATACATAAGTAATAAAAATTGCTTATTTTATTAAAATCATCCATTATAACAAAAAGTACAGTGGTTAGAACTCTAAACAACAGGAAATACCTTAAGAAATAAGATAAACTTTAAATAAGAAGGTCTTAACCTTTCTGCTGCTGAACTTTTAAAATTGAATTCAGTATAAAATTAATACCCCGCAGTGGCCTTTGCACAATCCTATATCTCCTTAGTTTCCTGTACTTCACGAAAGATGTAGGAGAAATAAGTGATTATTTGAAACTGTTCAGGTTTTGAAACACAATCTGCTATCATGAATATTTCATTTCTTGAAAATATTTTCATGCTTATCCTTTTCAATAATGCCACATCATAATGCTTTATTTCATCTGCCTGTGACAGACATCATTACTAATCCTATATAGCTGCTTGTTTCACGCCACGCTAGAGCAGCTATTGAATTTCCTACAACATGGCAGCCAGTCCTGACATTCATATGAAGAATACTATGATAAATATATAAAGGACTATAAATAAGGCAACAAGAATTAAAACATCATAGGTTCTGAAGGTGGCATCTTGACTTAATTGAAAGAAACTCAATACATAACCAAAGCTGAAGGATGAAAAGGAGAAACAATTACCAACTAGTTTATAAACCACAATTTAATCAACTTACAGGGCAAATAAACCTAGCACTCAGATCTTGTTGAAACCGATTTTTATGAAACTTGGTTTTATGAAACTTGGTTTTTAATGCCATTCCTCACCAAAAAGAATCATGGCTTCTGGAGAAATGGCTAGCTTCAGGGCTAGATAGAGAAGGTACACAATTATCCTGGAGCACCTTGCTATGCCAAAAAGTAAGGAAATGCTCAAAAATGATTTTTTAAAACCTATCACAAAGACTTAGAATTATAAACCACCAGTAAAAAAATTTTCTAATAAAAAGTAGAAGGAAATGAGGAAGAAGGGATGACTGGTAGAGCAGGATGCTGAAGACTGACTAGTAAATGAAGAGGAAATACTGGCACTGGTACATCATCATTTTGCAACCATGACAATAAAGCCTGGTCCAGGCAAGAATTATTAGTAGATGCTAAATCAAGAAGAGAAATTTACATGCACGGTCTCTGAGTATCTCCCCATGGATTGCTCATTAATAGCAAGGGGATAAGTAGTAACTAAAAAATAGAGAAACTAGACAGTACCTTGACCAGATAAATACTGAGAGCTTCCAGATGCGATGCCTGGAAAAGGAAAATCATTTATATAATATCCTGGCTAGGAATGCAAAATCTGAACTTAACTCATGAGAAAACATCAAACAGACCTCAAATGAGAAGCATTCTATTAAAAAAAGAAAGAAAAAAAAAAAAAGAAAGAGCAAGGGCGCTGTATTCTTCAAATATATCAGTGTTATAAAAGACAAAAAAGCAAGCTGAAGAATTGTTATAGATTAAAGATTAAAAGAGATTAAAGAGACCTGAAAACCAAGTACAATACACGGCTCCATGCTGGATCCTGTACTGGAGAGAAACAAAAAGCAAATGTTTATAAACTACATTACTAGGTACACTGACAAAATTCAAATATGAATGGTAAGTTAGGTAATGGCAATATATTAATGTTAAATTTACTGACACTGGATATTATACTGTGATTATATAAATAAAATGCCTTAATCTTAGGAAATTGCATTGCGATATTTAGAGGTAAAGGAAGGCAATAATATCTGAAACTTTCGGAAGATTCTAAAAAAAGAAGAATATATACATATATTCATTCTCTCTATACATATGCATTCTCTCTATATATTATTTCATAAATACATTCATTGTCTCTGTATATATGTATACACACACGTATATATGTGGAGAGGAGAGACAGGGAGAGAGATCACATGATAAAACCAATGGGACAAAATACTAGCATGTTAACACTTGCTAAGTCCTAGCTTTAGAAGAATATAGGTATTCTTTGTACCATCTTTGCAACTTTGATGTAAGTTTAAAATCATTTCCAAATACAAAGCTTGAGGGGAAAAAAAGCAGGCAAAAGATAAACACAAAATTCAGGTACTGTGAGAGAGAGGAATAGGAGAGAGGAGGAACGCACAGAAGAATATGCTGACAGTGTTCTCGGTGACACTTGTGGCTGTTCCTCTTATTGTTATGCTTTATAACTACCTACATGCTACATATATTCCTGTGTGGGTAAAATATTACGTTAGGAAATATTACATCAGAAAGAAGAATAAAGAAAAAAATAATGTTCTGTAAATTGTTTTAATAATTTCTTCAAAACTACAATAAGAATACGAAGAGCCCTCACAATGCAAGCACAAAAGGACATACGCTAATAGGTATTTCCGGAGTAACAATCATTAATTTGTTTTTATTCCTACTGGGTTAAAAGCATAATACTATATTTAGGTCCAGTTAGTTAGTTACCTTCATTCTTCCTCAATTTGGTAGTACTTGTTTCTCTCAGCAAAAAGGCTTTTTTTTTTTAACACAACATGTAGTACAGTTAACAAGAGTTAATACACAGAATTATAGCTAACATTTATTGCTTACTAAATGCCAGGCACTATGCTAATAAGTACTTGATATTCATTATATCTTTCAATTTTCACAGTTACTTGAGCAATATATATCCTATTATTTTCCCTCTTTTCGCATGGGGAAAAAACAGAAATAGAAAGGTTAAGTAACCTGTCCAAAGCCACACAGCTAGTGTGAGTCCAAATTTGAACCCAGAGACTCTCATTCTAGACCTCATACTTGTAAACAACATGCTCCACTGCACTTGAACCTGAGATTCTGATCTCAAATAGTTCTTACATTGAAAACAGAGGTAAAATGCCCATATAGTACTTTAAAACCAGTGGATAAGCAATAGATGATAGCTATTATTTCCATTCACTGAGCAACAAACGCTGTACATAAAATAAAGACTATCTTAGATTTGAATTCTCCTCTTCGTTTTTCCTTTTGACCACTCATTAAAAAAAGGAAAAGGTATTATTAAGTAATTAAGATGCCACCAGAGACAAAAGGATAGAAAAACTTTTAAAATATTCTCAATCTATACACACTAGATAATCCACATTTTATAAATATTGAATATGCTTATATGGAAAATGCTGGTTATATTGGATATAGGAAAAAAGAGTTTTCCAGCACAATAGAATTATCAGGTGTATTAAGTGGATATGTCATTTTACGGCAGCCCAGCATCCAGCCCTTTTCCTGACATCACCCCTACTTCTTTTGGGGGAATTTTCTCTACTATGCAGTCCTGGTGGAAGCATAAATCCAAATACATGTTCTCCATTATGGAAACCAAAGATGTCTTTTAAAGGCTACTTCCAGAAAACTCTCTGCTCAGTCCAATGGTATAGGGAAGTGAACATATAACCCAAGTTCAGTCAGTCAGACACATTCTCTCAAGACTTAGTGTATTAAGCAGAATCAATGCACATACCAAAGACGTGGTTAGAGTTTATTTACGCCAGCAACACAGCCTAACATTTTTGTTGCTGTTGTTCCTGAAAGTTCTTGCTACCAAGACCTTCCAGATCTGCCTAATTCTTATCTGTTTCAAGCATAACTCTTTAGTCTCCCTTCAATCCTGTGAGCTTTTCCCATCCCAGATACCAGATATGTCTAACAAACTCCTTTTTTGCTTTTAAGTCAATCTGTTTCCTTTACTGGCAACAAGAGTAACAACAACGACAAATCTGTAAAATAAAATATAAAAGCATAAGGGGATAAAATTATATAATCTTATTTAGCAGTTCTTTGGGTGACTTTTATTCTTTTCCAATGGTTTAGTATACTGGAAAAAGTACTGGCCAAAGTATTTAAAGAGCTAAAATCTAGTCCAGGCTTTCCATCAGCTGGCTTCAACATCTGAAGTGTGAATTCATTCTGGTCCTCATTTTTTTTAAATATGTAAAGGAAAATGGTTTGAACTTCAAGTTTTGTTATATTCATAAAATATTATGTTTTATAGAAAGGACCAAAGATTTCAATGACAATACCAATAATACAGACCTTCTTTTAAGAAATTAGCACATGAATGACTGTTACAGTATTTCCTATTCTTTTTTAATAATAGTTTTCATAGAAATAAAATGTTACAGTAGTTTTTCAATGACAAACAGGAATCAAATACTTTCAGACCATTTCCCTAAAGGGATGACATTACATATCTTAGAAGATTTAGTGGTAAGAAAAAAATTGGTTTGAAATATTACTCTCAGTAAATAGCATTACGTTTGTAAGATCTACAGGCAAAACAATGCATCTTCTATAGGTTTTTACATTTTGTAATACCACAACATTCTCCTGAAATGTAATTCCCTTCATGTTTTCAAATGTTTTGCTACAGTTGTATAAAATTCATTGGTATAATTACTAAGGAATATATTCATAATAGTACTAGGATTTCAATTTTCATGAAAGGGCTAAAATTACTCGTGTCAAAGTCAGGCAAAATTTTGCAAACTGGCATTAATCATGGATTGGTGAGAGTCTAAAAAGCCAGTAGGAAATCATAGAATAAGGTCAGAAGGAGTTTTAATGTTGAAACCAATATATCAATAGAAAAGTATTGCTATCAATTCTTTAAAAATTAAAAAACAAAGCCATTTTCAAAAGCCAATCAAGATTAACATCATTAAATCACATCTCCAAGAATAATAATTATTTAATTTTAACACTTATCAAGCATTAACTGTATGCTTGATTTAAAAAGCAATGAGACTTTGTTCTTCTCATAAAAGTTTTATCTCCCTAGACCTAGGCTTAGATATACTATTTGTTACCACCTCTCACAGCAATTCAAAACACAGAACAACTATCATGGCAGTCATTATGCTAAATTCTAGATGGTAAAGAGGAAGATGAATTAGTCCTTGGTCTTAAGCACTCACCGCCATGAAATCAACTCAATATAATGTGATCCATGCTAGAAAACAATGGTATTTAGTATAATCTGTTAAGGAAGCAATTAATTCTGTTTAGGGACAGAGGAAAACCTATAAAGAAAAGGTGACATATTAAAATTTTATAAAAAATATCAAAAACTCTTATCCAGACAAAGGACTTCATTGTCGGTCAGATCTGAGTTTAAACCCCAACTCTAACCTGTGTTGTCATGTGAAACTGAGCAAGTTGTTTGGAAACCTAGAATCTAGGCCTAGTTCTGCTGCTCTTAAACCATGCCCTCAGGCAACATTTAACATCTCTCAGCCCCAATTTCAATGGAGAGAGTCAGTGAGTCATTCTCTATGATCCTTAATTTCCCCTCCAGTAATAACATGAATCTACACCTTATAGTAAATTAGAGAAATTCCTATTGATATTGAATGTGTTCATTTAGCAAATACCTCTAGAATATCCAACTAAGTACTACTGGGCTTAGCAAGTGGAATACATCATTGAACAAAATAAGCAAAAATCTCTGTTTTCAGGGAGATTACACAGAAAACGTCTATGGAAAAACTTTTAAAATACTTTATTGCACCCTTGTTCAAACGTAACTTCCCTGTGCAGTTGACATAGACGTTAAAAATAGTTAACACTTGAAAATTTCCAAATAACCATAAATATTAACACAGAGAAAGAAATCTAGATAGTGATGAAGCATAATTAGTAGCACTACCATCAAAATCCCGTTTCTCTAAATTCACACTGAGTCAGTGAGCTTTAGTGGCTTGACAAAAAGGCAGCATGTTAACGAGATTCCCCTAAACCAGTTTAGTATATAGCCATATTTTTTTTCTCATTTAAATTATTCCATAGTTTCTTAAGAACTATGATACAACCAGGTAAGTTTTATTTAAAGATAAATAAAATCTGCACATGGTGAGAAAATATTAACACAAAAACCTATTATCTCACTTCTTTTTCAGACATTCCACTTCCATACCTGGTGTTTTTCAGCCTCATTTTAGGCTATTTTATTATATAAGATTTTTATTTGAGTTATATATCATCACTGTTTGAAAACTGATTTATTATTCAATAGTCAAGTGCAAGACATCCATTCTTAGGCATCTCCAAAGCAGAAACACAGTCAGAGTATGCCAGGTGATGGAGGGGCTACAGAAAGGATACATGATGAGGTAAGGAAGAACAGAATATAGCTGCCCTCAAAATACATAGCAACTTGAGGAGAGTCGTGGCAAGTCTTACAATCTTCCATGCTTGGACTCTTCTTCACTAATCTACTAATTTCTCTGTACGACTTTTCCCATTCTCTCGTGGTGATGTCTTCTTCATGGCTGCTACAGTATCCTAGATTCTGCAGCCTGCCTTCTCTCAAAATGTCTGCATACTTTTGCATCTTTCTATTAATTGCATCCCTTTCTTAGAAAAGAAGATCTTACTGGGGTTGTGGTGACTTTCCAGTATGGACTATAAAGTCCTCTTGTTCAGCCCCCTTAATGGCTGTGTGCTTTTGACTGCCTTTGGATAATGGGGTCACAAGATTTTTAAAAAACAAAATCTTGTTAGCATATGCCTAAGGCATCCATCAAAAGAGGACTATAGCATAGGAGTACCAGAAAGTTTCTAAGAAAGACATGCAAGTACTTTCTGTGGACTGTTCACCATGTAACGATACAGTATCACCATAGAGACTGTATGTACAGAGACTGAACTTAAAAGTCACTCCCACAATGTTAAGGCATTGCATTAAAGGCACAAAAGTAAAGTAAACACTGGCAAATATATATAGCATATACTAAAAATTTAAAATTCTAAAAGGTGTGAAGAGGTGGGTGTAGTCATATGTTTATGTAATTTAAATAGGCTCAGCTTAGGCAACTATTCTTTGAAGCAAAACAAAACAAACATACAAATAAAATATTGTGAAAACACTGTTTTTAAAGCTGAGCTGGTCAGCATCAAACACGCACTTCAAAGTAGTGAGTCTTAAGTTTCATAACTGGTATTCTTCAAACTGTGAAACTCAGAATATATTGACAAATGGCCACAATTTTGGGTAAGAGAACAATCACCTTGACAAACATTTTCCAAAGTTTCAGTATTCCAATTTTGTCAAGGAGAAACAGCCAGGATTACACAACTGCCAGTCTGAGGTTCTGTGCCAACATCATGCATAAAAATTGCAAGCAATGACCAAACAAAATATAAAATACAAAGGACAAATGCTTGAGGAAATGGATACCCCATTTTATATGATGTGATTATTATACATTGCATACCCGTATCAAAACATCTCATGTATCCCATAAATATATACACTTACTATATATCCACAAAAATTAAAATAAAAAATTTGAAAAAAATACAAAACACAACAAAGAAA
Source organism: Homo sapiens (assembly GCF_000001405.40). NCBI lineage: Eukaryota > Metazoa > Chordata > Mammalia > Primates > Hominidae > Homo > Homo sapiens. The sequence continues at coordinate 111,372,322 of NC_000007.14, forward strand.
ACTTTGGAATAATACTTCCTTTAAGCTGAATACTTCTATAAAATACTGGAGCCACATGAAAGAAAAGAATACGTATCTCTTGTTCTCCTTCCTTCTGTCAGTGGGCACATGATAAATATTCCTTCACCCTCCACCTGCCACCCACCAGATCCCACTGGCTACTATCACACAACCACAAAATGAGCCACCTTACAAGGAAGCAGATACCAAGGAAGGCAGAGAAGAGAGATGGAGCTGACTGCCTGTAAACATTCAAATGATCACTTGACTTTGTCACTTCTTCTGATGAGTTCTGTTCTTTTTTTTTTAACATAAGCAAATTCTGTTTCATAAAATAAAGGAAATGATGAGCATGGTACAGGATGGCAGATAAGAAAGGGTATTTAATCTATCTCTTTCCCTCCTAGTCTACCCAAAAGGCCATGAACATAATGTATGAGCAAGGATGATAAGAAACACTAGTTTTGCACTAGCAAAACAAAACAGGGACAGAATAATATGAGCAGTCATAATTCCTCATCAGTTTCATTTTTCTATTTCAAGTGCTGTAGATCATTGATCATGTTCTTGCAAATACCCATAAAGTCTACACATTGAAGATGAACAATTAGGGTAAAAGTGAACATAAAACATTGATGTAATCTGTTCTGTTACCCACTGGAGGAAGGAACCTATAAAATTATCCAAAGTTTTAATTACGGAGGATTAAGAGACTTGCCCCTACAATATCTTCCAATGTTTTCATTATTGAGGATTAAGAAACTTTCCCCAAAACACTTTAAAGTAGCATTAAGTGGTGAAAAAAAAAAAACTGTAGAGAGAAAGAGATCACATGCCTCCCACAGGGTAGTTGTTAAATGAGTATTTCTTAAATTTAACTGAAAATATATAAAAGGAAAGAAAAAAATAAGTTTTCTATGAAAAGGAAAAAGAATTCGAGATGATCAAAAAGGTTAACATACTGGAAGACAGTGTGGCATCTGAGGAATAAAGGTTGGTATCATCTACTGGGCAGAATTGTTTTGAAAACTGGATGAGATGTTTGCAAATATACTCAGCAAATGTCACACAGTAAATACATTGAAATTGAGAAAAAACACTGAATAAAAGAGAGAAACCTGCTTTTCACTGCTACTAAGTAAGGTGAAGTGGAAAAGAGGCCATGCAGTTAGGATCCTCTTTCTTGGTCCTTTCATGATCCAGGAGCTGCTGCTTGTAAAGCTGCTCTGGGGCAGACATTTCAATTTGTCTGTTTTCTTGACAACTTCAGTTATAAGCTTTGCTAATGTTTATAAGTTCCCATTGGAGAAAAATTGGTTAGTGAGGATTATGAACTGAAGGAAAATGCCTTCAAGGATGGGTTGGTAAGATTAGGATAAATTCTAATATTATACAAAAATAGTAAGATTATACTCTACATATTTTATACCAAATTTATTTCTCCTGTGCTGAGTACAGTAACTCATAAATCCCACTCACTCTGTCCCCAAGCATGAATGAAGAACACGAGAAAATACATCAGGGATTTAAATGAATGCATTTTTAAGTTAAGGAACTCATATTTGACAAGAATGGCTTATGTTTTAGGAAATACTATTTTGAATCAAATCGAAGTTGAGGTGGGTTTTTTTCCCCTACTTTTTTAATCGTGGAGGAAAAAAAAAGCCAAACATCAATTTCTAATGGTAGGTTTGCTCTGACCCTTCCCATTTTACTCTGCAGCAAAGACCTCATTCAGTTCCTGAAAAAAGCCAAGCCTTCATCATGGTCACTTCAGATTATATAATGGGAGCTGCTCTGAACTATCCAAGCACAAAGCAGGTCTCCAAAAATTGCTCACATGCTAAAGCTTGATATTGTCAGGTGTCTATAAATGCATACTGAATAATGTAAATTGGTAACCTGCTGACAATGCATTTGCATAAATCAAGTCAATATTCATGTAATAAAATCACCACTGAGCCTTTTATCTTTCCTAGTACTGATCATTCTGTAGCTAGTAAAGTCCTAGACTAGGCTGGTAACTTAAAGTTAATGAATGGAAAGACTGGCATCCTAGAAGAACAACTAAGAAAAACCTAATAGAACTTAGTGATGAGAAGCTAGTTCTCAAGAGGAAAAAAACCAAAATTAGGAAAAAGAAAATGACAAGACTCAACAATTCCACAAAGTGAGCTTTTCAAAGTCCATTCTTTCTCCCACATTATTATTGTCCTTATGTCTAACAAGTACTCTGATGAACAACATATCATAAGGCTCCTTGCATTTTTCACAGTATAAAGGGGAAAAAGCCATATAGCTCTTACAAAGTTAAACCCAAAAGACAGTCAGACCCTGAGAGTCAAACAAGTAAAATGGCTTTGGCCTTAAATCAAAAGCTAATAGGGCCTGACCACATAAGTCTGACCCTTTAATAGTATTCTCTCCTAGCTTGGCAACCCAAGTGAGAAAACAAAGTGTTGAGGTTATCTAAGCCTGTGTGAAGACACTGGATGCTGCATTCAATGTTAGCTACAGCTATCACATTGCTGAGGGAAAGTTACATTAAATCAGGGAAAAAACTATTGTCACTAAGTCTAGACTTTTGTTTTCAGAGACAAGAAAATGTGAAATTTAAGCATCAAATATGATATCACGATGTATCAAGAAGACTTGAATATTTTTGGTAAATATTTACAGTTCCTACCACAGTTTTAGCTCCTTCATAGCGGGGGGTCTTATACTTTAGTGTTGTCTCCCACTATTTAGGAGGTGCTCAGAAAGAGAGTCTTCACTGATTATTAACTCAGCAGAACTCTCAGGATGTAAACTATAGACTAAAAGTACTCACACACTGATGCCGTATTTGCCAAACATTAAAAGGAACAGGCTTGTTGAGTGTTGCTACAAAGAGTAGAGGCAGGTCAAAAGACAAAAACTACCAGGAAACAGATGAAAAGCCATCTAAAGTAATAATAATAGTAGTCTTATGAGACAGTAAAATATCTGCCACCAAAAAAAAAAGTGGTTTTTAATCCAATCCACTTGCTTAAATTATGATGTCAAGGTCTGGTACTCAACTGGCTCGTTCATAATATCTGAGTGAAGCCTGGAAATGTGCATTTTCAACAAACACAGTTCTCATGTAGGTAGAAAACAACATGTAATCCTGGCTAAGCAACTGTACCTTAGCAAACCTGTGAACAGATTTCCTGAGTTTGGTAAAAGCGACTTTTTTTTTTCAAGATGGAGTCTTGCTCTTTCACCCAGGATGGAGTGCAGTGGTGCCAACTCAGCTCACTGCAACCTCCACTTCCCGGGTCAAGCAATTCTCCTGCCTCAGCCTCCCGAGTAGCTAGGATTACAGGTGTGCGCCACCATGCCTGACTAGTTTTATATTTCTAGTAGAGATGGGGATTCACCATGTTGGCCAGGCTCATCTTGAACTCTTCACCTCAAGTGATTCATCTGCCTTGGCCTCCCAAAGTGCTAGGCTTACAGGCATGAGCCACCAGGCCCGGCCAAAAGTGACATTTTTGAACTGAGGGTCATGTGAAATTTAAGTCTTTGTCTCTATGAGATTATGTAGTTGGGTAAAATAAAGTAACAACCAGAGCAAAAACAATAACAATAGTAATACAAGAAACCTAAAAACATATATTACTTGAGACATGTTATAGTACCATTTTTAAAGAACTCAGGCTCTGGATTTAAAATGACCTGGATTCAAATCCTACACAATTTACTAGCTCTGTGACCTTGAACAAATAACTTACCTTCTCTCAGTCCCAATTTCTTACAACAGTTAGCTAACAGAGAAATTATGTAGAGTAACACTGTGTTACATAACGCACACTCAAAATTATAAACAATGAAGAGTAATGGTACAAATATCTAAACAAATCTGACAAGTTTTTTGGTAAAAAAAATAAATTCCAAAAGTAAAAAAGCCCCATAATCTCATTAACTTAAAATACATATGTGGCCAATAAACACATAAAAAGATGTTCCACATCATTAGTTATCAGGGAAATGCAAATCAAAACCACGAGATACTACCTCACATCTACTAGGATGGCTACAATCAAAGAAATAGATAATAACAGTGTTGATGAAGATACGGAGGAAGTGAACCCCATACACTGCTGGTGAGAATGTGAAATGGAGCAGCAGCTTCCGAAAACAGTTTGGCATTTCCTCAAATGCTTAAACACAGAGTTACCATATAATCCATCAATTCTACTCCTAGCTATATATATATGAGAATTGAAAACAGTTATTCAAAAATTTGCAAACAAATGTTCATAAAAGCATTATTCATAATAGCTAAAAGGTGGAAACAATCTAAATGTTCATCAACTGATGACTGGACACATAAAATGGGGTCTATCCATACAGTGAATATTATTAAGACATAAAAGGGAATAAAAAGTAGTGATACATACAACATGATGAACCTTGAAGACATCATGCTAAGTGAAAGAAGTCGGTCACAAAGAACCACATATCATGTAATTCCATTTATATGAAATGTTCAGAATAGGAAAATCTATAGAGACATAAAGCATATTAGTGGTTGCTAGGGACAGAGTGAATGGAGGTGGCATGGTGGTGACAGCTAAGGGATGTGGGGTTTTCTTTGAGGGTAATACAAATGTTCTAAAATTATTCTGATGAATGTACAACTCTGTGAATATACTAGAAGTCATTGAATTGTATACTTCAAATGGGTGAATCATATGGTATATGAATTAAATTTCAGTAAAGGTGTTTTTAAAATAAATATATGTAATATATATTTGCACAATAAAAAATATAGTATATATAGTTATTTTCTTCTAATATTGGATTTTCCCCCTAGAAGTAGCTCCTTATCACCAAGTTGTATAGGTTTTTCTTAGTCATTCTTCTATAATGTTACTCTTTCCTTTCCATTTCATATGTAAATATATATATGTGTGTATGTGTATGTGTGTATGCGTTCATATATATAAAGAAGGAAAACATCCCTCTATAGTACAGCTCTATAGTATAGTATCCTTCTATAGTACAGCTCTATAGTATAGTATCCCTCTATACTACAGCTCTGTAGTATAGCATCCCTCTATAGTACAGCTCTATAGTATAGTATCCCTCTATAATACAGCTCTATGATACTCTTCATGCCCAGCACCTGTTCCTGTGGTAAACTGCTTTTCCCTCCATTCTATGTCATTCTAGTACGGCTGTCAGTCACATGAAATCCCCAAATCCCACTCCTGCCACAGAAACTGCACAGGAATTTCTGCCAATGAACTGTCTCAGCTGTTTATAGTTCCATGCTTCCAGGGGCCTATTTATTCGGCTTGGCTTTTGATTCTGTGATATAACCACATTTTATCTAATAAATCCTCTTCTTATTTTGCTTAGATAATCTCTGAGTTTAGGCTGCTTGCAATTACAAAACTCCATTTGATATATACTCTAAACTGTTTTAATCTCTTCACCCGAAGTAATGCTATGAACAATTTGCTGTTAATCCTACCACAGTATTTTCTATGCATATACAACTACACATCCACATATATATCTTATCATAATACTATACATAGTATTAATGTACCATAATTGATTTTAGCATCCTTCCATTAATAATTCTAACTTAACTTAGTTTTACTTATTCATTTTTCTTTTAAAATCAAGGGGAATACGGAGAATCCATTAAAAAAAATCATGTTAAAATCCAAGAAATATTTATGGAATAGACTTGGTAGCTGAAGATCGTGTTTTTTAACACAACTTTAGATAATATAAAAAAAACTGAAATATAATCTCTAATCAATTTTTGTTTACAATGTAGTTTGGCAGGTAATATAGAAAAATTATAAAACAATTATATGTCAGGATGTAAGCAAAATTGCATGATAATCATCTTATACCAGTTGAAGCCATGAAAATTCAATTCAATTTTATTAAATGTCAACTGTATAATGTTTTCTGATATGTGGATTGTATTGGCACTCAAAGGACCACCCAAAAAGTTTATAGCTTAGCATACTTATAATCCAGTTAGTCAACATTTTATAATTGTCACAAATATAAAAATTGATAAAACTTCCAGCAAATTTAAATATATTTAAGACAAAAATGTTCATGACTTTTATAATAATACTTCACATTTATTAGTACTTACTAAATCTTATTATCTAAATTATTTTTCAAAGCAATTCTATGAAGCAGGTATTGTTATAATCACCCAAGGGCACCGCTGTAGTTGTAACTGGCAAATCAGAGAACTGAAGTCAAGTCTTTCTATCTCTAAAATCCCTTTCTTAATCAATATCTGTTATATCAAAATTATTTTAATGACTAAACAGTTGAACTGAAGAGTGTTTATAATATCCAATTGCATTCTCACATCAGTATTAACAAAAAAGCTGTTAGCAACAAATCCATTGTCTGAATCAGCTCAAAGACTTATTAAACTTGAGATCTTCTTGTTACATGATAAGTTGCAGTATCAATTTCTTCAGCTCTATCATGAAGGTGAATTCAGATTAATTCAAGCCACCTAGCTGACTTGCAGTCTTTACAAACATAAAAACAGGTTAGTATACTCTCTTAAGGGTGTAGTTATTCTGCATGAGAAACAGGTATACAATTCCATAAGAATACAAGATAATTTGAAACATATAATAACCATGTTGTTACACAGTAGACCTTCCCATATTTATGCATATTTAATTATAATATTTATTAAAAGGCTAATGAGACCATTTTGAAACACATTTACTGAAAGGCTAATCCAGTAGTAGAATACAATCTGTTTATCAACTGAAGAACACAATACGTGACATTTGTACACTGTAAGAGAAGACCAGAATTGCCAATAAAATATCATTGAAAACTTCAAGTAACCCTTATGGTAAAAAAAAAAAAAAAAAAAGTCCTATTAAAGATAAGAAACATCATGTACAGTATCACTTCCTCTCTCCTACAACATAATTCAAACTTAAACTGATATGTAAATGAAAATTTATATTCCAGTCAAGGAACGTACCCAATGAGAGTACATAAATTATATATGTATTATGCAAGATAATAGTTGTTACAGACATTTCATCAAAAGCCATTTTAAAAACTGCAAAATATGTCAAGATGTTTACATGGTGAAATGAAATTTCATAATATGGCACCTTAAAACAATCTCACATTAGATTGCTGCACCTCAGAAAAGCACTATTGATATTTCACTGAGCCAAAGAATAATCATAATTCCCTTATCAAGTGAATATAGTGGAAAGGAACCAGGCTGAAAGTCAAATAGAAACACCATTTTCTCAAATAATAATATATTATTAATAATGATACATATCTGAAGGCTTAAGTTTCAAGATCCGAAAATTCCAGAAGTATAAAATGCCACATATTATCAAACTCTAAATAACAAAATTGTCTAACATGTAACTGCCTACTATTTGCTCATCAAGTAAATAAGAACTCATTTTAAGATTAAGAAAACTAGCAAGTCAGTTCGAGTCTGCAATTTTTAGACGAAATAACATTCATGAACAACTTTATTTTCTAACATTAATAACAGATTTCATACATCCACGTAAGTTTAGGTAAAAATAAAATCCATGTATACATTGCAAGTGGCAACTGTTCTCCATAGCCAATTCAGTATTATGAACTATCTAAATAAAAATCAAAAGTAAGTTACTAGAAAATAGTAAAATAGCTCCATCGAAAACTCTTCTGTGCATATTCTGCAACATTAATTAACTTAAAATGATTAAATCACTGCTAATTTATTTGTCAGGAAAAAATAATATTTTATTATAATATCTAAAAAATTTGAAGGCACTTCACAGTATTACGTCTTTTTGTTAACACCATCCAATGGTATATTTATTAGTTGTCATATGAAGGCCCCGCCATGAGAGTTTTTAAACATTTATTAAGAAATACCCTCTATATTCAAAGTTAGATATTTAATATCTTTAAGGAATCTGAAATAGATTATATATTCATTGACTCCTACAACATGCTTCAGCCAGATAATGATCGTTTGTCAAAATATGAGCAAGCTAATCGTGTGATCCTCCACACACAGACTGATAACAACACTCAGAATGCAATAGAAGCAAAACTATTCACCTAAATGGACATGAAAGGACTAGTGCTAGGGTTCAGATTTTTTTTCTTTAAAATTTTAGTCCCTTGAAATTTAACTTCTTGAATTAACATGCAGCTATTGAAAAAGCAGCAGATATGTAACAATATTTTTACTAACAGCTATTCCCTAGGGTTCCTTAATTATAAGCAGCAGAGGTATGCAAGATGGAAATACCCAATTAGGTTTTCCTGGACCAATTTAGCTTGTCCAGCTATTGAATATTTTCACAATAAATAGTCACAGTTGAGTTTGAGAGAGAAAAATTAGCCCTTTAGTTAGCACTAAAACTAGTCTAAAATTGGCCATCTGGCTTGTCTCTGATATACTCTGATATCATATTGTATCATCAGACATTGTAAAAAGAAATACCAGGCATAAACTGCTAACCTTAGAATACAATTTAACCTCAGTATTCTCCACAAAAAAGTAACAGAATCTGTTTCTCTAAGGTACCTGAGTTGATTCTAAGTGAAAAATATCAGGTTATTCTCACTACTATCTATTTTCCATGTTTCCAGAATGAGAGTGCAAATCTGAGCACCGTATTTAAAAATAAATAGATCTGAGAATAAAGAAAACCATGTTTTCACCCAGATGCCTGCATTTCCATCAACAAGTGCTGAAACACCACGCGAACTGTTGTAGCTGATTAACCCAGCATATTTCTAGGAAGTACATTAGTTTGGTATTAGTAGGGTGCAAAGTACAAAGGTCAGAGAGGGAAGTAGAGAAGGGCCAGACCACATCACACCTTACAGCAGATACTACTAAGCTGAGATTTTTTTGACCTGTAAGACATGGGAGTCACTGAAAAAGTGAAAACAGAGGAGCAATGTAAGCAGAGACTGGATGAGATTTTCACTCTGCTAGCAGCGTAGAGCTACTTTAGTGAATATGGTATTCCCTAGCCACGTGTCTACTGAGCATTTGAAATGTGACCATGACCACAAGTTGAAAGAATATTCTGGATAAACTAGATCAAATAAACTATATTATTATAATCAATACCACCTGTTTATTTTTATTTTTAAATGTAGCCACTAGAATAGGTAAAACTGTATATATGCCTTGTATAATACATCTCAATTGGACAGTACTTGTATAGATGAAAAACTGTGAGGAGGAAAATACACTAACAATGATGAGAACAAGGTAGACTATTGCAATCGCCAAGGTGAGAGAGGACAGTCTCAGCCAGAATATTAAGAATGGAGAAGAACAAAAGAGAAAAGCTCAAAAGAAGAAAGAAAAGATGCAGGACTTGGTGACTGACTGAGTATAAGGAGTCAGAGAGAAGGCATTTGTTCATTCATTCATTCATTCAAACACATCATTATTGCATGCCTAGGATATGCAGGTACCATGATGGTTATACTATAATGAGCTAAATGGAAGTCGGAAATGCTTACCAACTCTCTGGTTTGAGAAACTGAGGAAAGGCTGTTATCACCCATTGAAATAGCAAACAGGAAAGAGGAACACTTTTATTATCATCAAATGTATCAAGTATGAAGTGTGTGTAGGTTATTTAAGTGGAAATGTCTGGGAAGCAATTGGATGTCATGATCTGAAGTGTAACAGAAATGCCTACGCTGAAGCTAGAGAATATGGAAATAGCAGCAGACCCATAAAAGGGTTTGCTCCAGGAGAGGTTGTAGAGTGATAAGGTCAAGGGTCCAAGACAGAACAGTGACACAAAAATTCTGAAAAGGAGAGAGAGGACAGACAGCAAGTTCACTAACAAATAGCCATGTATGAACAAGAAAAATTCATAAAGAGTAGAATCACAAAAACCAAAACAGAAGAACTTTTTAAGGAAGTAACATTCAATAGAATCAAATACAAAAGAAAAGTACATAATTTCAGAGAAGCATTGAAAAGTATACACAATGCCAGAAAAAAAATCAAAAAGTATTTGGCAAGTCAGAGATCACTGATGACCTTCATGAAGGCGATCCCAATGGTAAGAACAAGCAGGACTGCCAAAGACTCCAAAAGGCGAAAGAGCAAAGGAGAGGCAAGAAAGACCAAGTATAAACAACTGTTTCTAAAATCTTAACTATAATAAAAAAATAATAAAGTAGTGAGCACAGAATCAAGGGATGGTTTGGGGTATTGTCATTTTTTATTTTGGACATGAGAGAGACCTGAGCATGTTCAAAAGCTCAGAAAAGCAATCAGTACAGAAAAGCTGATTAAAGGGGCAAGAAATGGAATAACTAATGGAGCAAGAGCCTGAGGAACTGGGAGAGAAGACCTAGAACACAGATGGACAGGCAAACCTGAACAGAAGAAAGAACACCTCTTCGTCCAGAAATGAAAGTGAAGGTGGCTCAAGAGGCAAAGATAAATTCAGAAGCAGGTAAGAACTCTAGGTTCTGTATTAAAATATTACTCAGGTTATACAGTAATTACCGGGCACCTTTAGCTAACAGTAGCTGCAAATGTGGTTCCATACTTCCAAGGATTTAATATTTATAGCAAATATTCGAAAGCCAAGGACACAGATTCATCCAGGTAGGGGAGAGTCATCTTTAATCTACTCTGTGGCCAGTCATCTATACTCTACTACACAAAAAATAAACCTGTGAGAAATGATTGCCATTAGTCATGGAGGAAGAAAATGTAGACTAGAGTGATTGGGGACAGGGAACCCACATATCTCTCTACGGTTTCTATCTATGCACATGGAAGTAGAGAGACTGAAGAGAATAAAGAGGGTTTCTCTCCTGTCTATATAACCCTAATTAGTTCCTTCCCAAGGCAAGAGTCATAGTTATCATACTTTGCCACAGTTTAAACCTTTTAGATGAAGTTATTGTGCTTTAAAGAAATGAGCCCAGATTCCCCGGACTTCTACTCTGCCTGTTTCTGGGAGTGGTAGGCATGCCTAGGCAGGATCTGGTCCTCCAGGCTGAGTGGTCATAATTATTTTGTGTGATTAAAAAGAATCTCTTGGCCTGCCCATCCTCATCTCTACTCTGCTTCAGTGTCTCCACCTACAATTGAATGAGTGAAGAGTATTGGGCTTCACTGGACCAGAAAACCGAGCTACGCCTACAAAACCAAGACTCATGGTTCAACACTCCTCATTGAAAAAGTCAGACATTGAGGGCTATCCAGCCTTTGTCCACCTTTTAAACAGTACTTTATTTCCCTGTTGGCTTCTATACATTTTTATAAATAATGCATCAGTCCAGAATCCCAGAAGGCAGGAGGGGTAGGTGGAGGATTCAATAATCAAAATCTCACCTTGAACCTCCAAAAACCCTAGTGACAAACTAAAATGTGCACTAAGTTTTTCTGCCTCTTTCTTTTTCATTTTTCTTTTTCTCACTCTGCCCCTCCTGAAATCCCCCTCCTTCCACTTTTATATGTTCAAGCCCATGAATATTCAGTTTATATGTCACCTTATCAAGGAAGTTTTCTCTGACCTGTCCAGTTACATTTCAGTATCACTGCCTCATCTATGCTCTTGTGTCTTATTTATATCTCAATTAAGCACTTGGTTATAATTAGTTATTTAATTGTATCTCCCAGCCAGGTGAGGTGGCTCACATCTTCAACCCCAGCTACACAGGACACTGAGGTGGGGGAAACATTTGAGATCAGGAGTTTGAGGTTGTAATGAGCCATAACTATACCAGTGCACTCCAGCCCGCGTGGCAGAGTGAGAGCCCCCATCTCTAAATGATGAAGAAGAAGGAGGAGAAAGGAGGAGAAGGAGAAGGAGAAAGGAGAAAGGAGAGAAGAGAGAGGAGAGAGGAGAAAGGAGAGAGGAGAAAGGAGAGAGGAGAAAGGAGAAAGGAGAGAGGAGAAAGGAGAAAGGAGAGAGGAGAAAGGAGGAGGAGGGAAAAGGAGAAGGAGGAGGGAGGAGGAGGATGAGGAAGAGAAGAGGGGGAGGAGGGGGAATTGTATCTCCACTAGGAAATCAGGTAGAGATTGCTGAATTCAGCTTTGTATCTCAGGCCTTGAGTACATTGTCAAGGTTGGTCCCCACTCCAAGTCACAATTCATTCCTACTTCTCCCAAACTCCTAAAGCACTTTGTAGGGCAGAAACTGGGCCTTGCTGCACTCTATCAGCACTGCCCCTCTATTATTGAAAGAAGACAGAAAGAAGGAGATCCTGAAGGCCTTTGTATAATAGGTAAAAATCTTTTGACTCTTCAGCCAATCACTGCTCCATTTGGCCTCTAGCTAAGGAATCTCTTAAGCAGCAAGCAAAAAATATGATTCATAAACAAGTGAAAATGAGTCACGTAGCAGTAAACAGAACTGGGGCCAGAAAGGCAGCTTTGGAGTTGTCCCCATTCATTTCAAAAAGAGCATTTTACATACTTTTTACATATTTACATTTTATGTATTTTTTTAACTGGATAAAGTTAGGAAATACATAAATTGTACTAAATTTAGAATTTCTAACTTGATTAATAATGACAAAACACCTTATAAAGTATATTACAGCACACAAAGTACTTCCTAACACTTCCATTTTATAGTTGAGGAAATGAATTTTTAGAAAAATTAGGTGGGTTCTGTAAGGCCTTATTCATCAACCAATAATGAACAAATGCCTATTTTGTGCAATGCACTGGGATTTCAGCAGCCCTGCCCTCATGCACCTCTTTCTTATAGGGAAGACGTGTAATAAATAAAATGTATATGTCAAATGGTACTACTGGGAAAATAAGGCAAGGTGGAGGTGGGGGGGCAAGGGTACAGTTTTGAATAAGATAGCCAAAGAAGGCCTCACTGACAAGTGGCATTTGAGCAAAAAGGGGGTAAGAAAGTCAAGTGGTTGGTACCCTAACCTGAACTATTAACCAAATCTTGGATTTGCATTGCTTACACTCCTTTCAATACAGCAATTTGCCCTTTATAAGAGAAAAAGATGCTGACATTCAGGAAAGCAGCAGGGGAAGCAGTATCCTGTTCTCTACATTTTGGGCACATTAGAAAAGTGGTTCAGAAAATCCTGTACAAGACCCATAGCGCTACCCTAGGCCGAAGTGAGTCCACAACCACACATTCGGATACTCCAAAAAGATGCCAAGTGGTCCTTTTCATTGACAGGACTAGCAGTATCACTCCAAATGGTAAAATGTTAAAGTTGTAACTAGAGAATGTTTGATCTTTTTATTGCTGTTTTTAAAGGCAGATGTCCTGAGTGGTTCATTGTGGTTTCTACCATATAAACGTCATTTTACTCTACTGGTTACTTGGCTGTCATAAGACAGAAAATGAGCTGCCATAAGAAAAGCTGATGGAAAAGGAAAAAAATTACAAATATCTGATCCCATACCCAGGTCACTGTCTTCATCTAAGGCATAATTTATCTTTTCCAATGAAATATGTGTACATCTCAATTAATTATCCACTTACCCTCTACTAATCAGAAATAAGATTTGGTTCAGTAAGGCGGGGTGAAGGAATAAACTCAACCTACCAATTGCTCCACATGAATTTTTTTTTTTAATAGAGGCAGGGTCTTACTCTGTCACCCAGGCTGGACTGTGCAGCCTCCAACTCCTGGGCTTAAGCCTCCCGAGTAGCTAGGACTACAACCACATGCCACCACTCCCAGCTAATTTTTTTTTTTTAAGAAACAGGGTCTCGCTCTGTTGTCCAGGCTGGTCTTGAACTCCTGGCCTCAGACAAACCTCCCACCACAGCCTCCCAAAGCAGTGGGATAATAGGCATAAACCACCACTCCCAGCCTGCTCCACATGATTGATAAATAACCTGATATAATAATCTAGACAAGTCAATCTTTGCTGAATAAATAACTTCCCCATGAGTAATCCTTCCTATGCCCAGTTTTCCCCAATCCTTAATATCATTGCTCTTTTTAGACTCATACATTCATTCACTTAACAAACATAAACTGAATGTTTAAGATAAGGCAAATACTTTGTATGACTGGTTTTCTATTTGAAAATAGAGTGTGTGACTATACAAATACATATATACATAAAGGTACATCAATTTATATACATTGGCCCTATGTAACCCCCATTTGAGAATATTTCTAAGCATGCCAGCTACTCAAATTCAAGTGTGAAGGTATGTGTATTTGGGTGTGTGTGAATGAATGTATGTGAGAGACAAAGGCAGACAGAGAGAGGGAATGGATAAGAAGCAAGTAAAGTTACAGCAGACAAGGACATGAAAACTCATAAAAGACTCATGATAAACTGTAAATACATTTAAAGAAAAAGAATAACACAAGCCTTCACTCCCCTTCCCTGTGCGATCATAATCACTGCCCATCAACTTCTCTGTCCATATCATGTGTGCTCCCTGTGTTCCTTGAAGGTTATGTATAACCAAGATCTACCTTTAATGTGTTTGGCAAAAATATCTGTGCCATAAACTATTAGCTGACAAGCAATTATATTCTACCTTGTAAAAGAAAATTAGGCATAAAATAACCCCACAAAAAGAAGAGAATGACTGTTTCACAAAAGAGGCAAAAGAGATTTAAACAAGATAATACCATAAGTTTCTATCTCACCATCCATTAATTTTAAATTTGATTTTGCTTCTTATATCACATAGCACTTATTCAAAAATAGCAGAAGAATACTTCTATCTATCTGTTGTCCTGTAAAAAGAAAAGAAAATACTATTATTTGTATTTCTTGTTCAAACACTCTAAGGATAAAAGTACTGTTTTCAAAAATGATGAGGTTCCTGCAGATAACATTTACCCACAGGATTTGAGGCTTTTTTGTGACATAAAGTGCAGAGTACTTTGAGGATGGTTACAGATGCAATGGCACAGAAAAGGCTTTTAACTTTGGCTCATTTCCTCTGACCACCATGTCTCCATTCTAAATTACAACCTCTCAAGCTACAGATCCTTTAAAACTAGCTTTTAAACCAGCTTTCTGTGGTATCATCACAAAATAAGAACACTTTGTTACTTGAAAATAAAAGCACAAAATTATTGGACTCAATAACTGTTCTCATTATTGCAAACCAATAAACAAGGTTCAACAAGAACTCGTTTTAGCTATTGCTTATCAAGCTGCCAAAAAATAAATCCAAAAGAAACCAAAGAAAAACCTGCCTTAACAATATAGATGGTTTCTTATTCATAAACTATCTTTAACATCAAAAATGGCTAGCATGTATGCCAGTGTTATTGCCTTGCATAACAGAATCTTAAGCTAAGCACTAAAGTTCTGTCATTCACATCTAGAATAATAATTTTTTTTACAAAAACTAAAATACGGCCAGGCGCAGTGGCTCACACCTATAATTCCAACACTTTGGGAGGCCAAGGTGGGCAGACAACGAGGTCAGGAGATCAAGATCACCCTGGCCAACATGATGAAACCTCATCTCTACTAAAATACAAAAAATTAGCCAGGCATGGTGGCGCGTGCCTGCAGTTCCAACTACTCAGGAGGTTGAGGCAGGGGAATCACCTGAAACCAGGAGGCAGAGGTTGCAGTGAGCCAACATCACACCACTGCACTCCAGCCTGGAGACAGAGCAAGACTCTGTCTTTAAAAAAAAAAAAAAAAAAAAAAAACTAAAATACTAAATAACCCCATTTTTAATAGAAATTTGTTTTATGATATAACCCATACCAAATGCTACCTGCTCAGCCAAATCACTTTTAGAGTCCACACAGCCCTTTATATCTAAAAGAAAATAATAAAAGTGCTAGGAAACAAGAAGTATCTGGGCCAGTTACCCTTGGTTAGGACTGAGAAATTAGCTGGCACAGACAGCAAGACCGGGACCAAATATTCAACCAGTTGGCTGGGGATAGTGGGTTGAGGTCAAGGAGATGACCCATACAGCTGTAAAATTAAGTATAAAAAGGGGAAATTGGGCAAACAAATAAATATACTGAGGATAATGGGAGCCAGGTTTTCTAATGTTGGAGAAGGAACCTACAAGTACAAAAAGGGGAAGGAAGAATAAACCCTGTCGTTTGGAATCGAGGAGATCAGTGGGAACATATATTTTTAGATAATCACTGATCAATAGATAGATAGATGGAGATGTATATGTATATATGTACGTACATATATACATGTAATGTACATATGTATTAGTCCGTTTTCATGCTGCTGATAAAGACATACCCAAAACTGGGAACAAACAGAGGTTTAATTGGACTTACAGTTCCACATGGCTGAGGAGGCCTCAGTATCATGGCAGGAAGCGAAAAGTACTTCTTACATGGCAGTGGCAAGAGAAAAATGAGGAGGAAGCAAAAGCAGAAACCCCGGATAAACACATCAGATCTCGTGAGACTTATTCACTACCACGAGAATAGCACAGGAAAGACCGGCCCCCATGATTCAATTACCTCCCCCTGGGTCCCTCCCACAACACATGGGAATTCTGGGAGATACAACTCAAGTTGAGATTTGGGTGGGGACACAGCCAAGCCATATCAATATATGTATGTACATGCATATATGTACATACATATATACATATAATGTGCAAATCTGTATTTCCTAGGTTTGTTCACTGAAAAGATCTAGAAGCAAAGACACCTCAGTAGTAAAGAGCAATCTTAGACCCAGTAGCAAAGAGCAACCTTAGCATCCACTAAAAGAAACCAGAAGTCTTTGGTAGCGCCAGGGCTGGGGCAAGAAAAGTACAAGATAAGCTTGAACCACACCTTTTAACATGAGGAACTGAGAACATAGCATCGCTTTTGTGGTAATAATGCCCAAAATAACAACTTATTCATAAGGAAACATCAGATAAACCCAAGTAGAGAAACAAAACATAGCTGTACTCTTCAGAAATGTCAAAATCATTAAAGATAAGGCAAGATTAATGAAGATTCCAGATTGAAGGAGAGCAAAGAGCCAGGGCAGCTAAATACAAGGCTTAGATTCTGGACATATAAAGAACATCATTGGGACAGTTAGTGAATTATGAATTGAATCTGTGTAATAGACGGTAATATTGTATCAATACTAGTTTCCTATTTTGGTGGTTATACTGAGATTATGTAGGGAAATGTCCTTATTTTTAGAAAATAGTCACTGAAGTACTAAGGGAGTACTGGGGCATCATGTCTCCAATGTACTCTCAAGCCAAAAAAAAACTTCAAAATAATAATAATGTGTAATGGTAAGAGGAGAGGGAGGGCAGATTGAGAGAGAGAGAGAGAATATGATAAAGCAACTATAATAAAATTTTAATATTGAAAATTTGAGTGAAAATCATATCAGTTCTTTGTACTATTCTTGCAATGTTTCTACAAGCTTGAAATCATTGTCAAATGATTAAAAAACAAAGACATGTTTGGCCTTAAATGCCCATATAACTATTAAGAAAAACCTTAACTCTCTATGAAGGGCCACAATCTGCTCTGAATTTTGAATATAAAAAAGTATGCTTGTGCTAGAGGCTAATACAGCCTATATAATTCTAAGGGCACTAAACAAATAAAATAAGGATGTTAAAAGGTGTCTTGAACGTGTCTAAAATCTGTAAAATGTTAATTCTCACAGAATACTTGGCTTAGAAAGATGATGTACATTGGGGAATTATAAATATAAGGATAAAATTGCAAAATTTCCCTGATAGTCACAAAATAAGACCTATGTAGACAACAGTATGCATCACCCAGATCCCCCTTCAAAGAAGCACTCACTCATGGCCCATATATGGGCAGTGCAGTCAGTAGACAGCCGCCAGGTCAGTAGACTTCAACATCGCCACAGCTGCAGAGAACCGCCCTCCCTTGGGGTATTCGACATCCTCAGACAGGGCAGGGGTAACTTGAGACAACTCTGAAGGCCACACTGTCTGAGGGCCCCACTGGCTTGTCTAGGGTTCTGTCAGGCCTGCCTCACAGTTTGGCTTCCTCCCCTGCTCAATCCTGTATCTTTCTTCTTCCTTTCCCCAGGGATGATCCCTAAAATACATCTCACACCCCAAACTCCATCTCAATGTCTGCTTCTAGGGAACCCAACCTGCCACAGGACCTCTTTTGTGACTTGACAAAACATAGCTTGATATAGGCACATTTTATAATTTTGTCTTGTGAGTAGGTAACTTTATTTCCTCAAAAGACAGGTATAAATTTTTTTCAGGTAAATTCTGTCTCTAAATCTCATCCATTTACCTTCTCATGCGGTGTGACAGAAAAAGTGTACTTTCCCCTTTTCATGTTAGCCAAATATAAAAGATAATCATTGTTTAAACAACAAATTTCCCTCTTATGGTCCATTAGCTCCTGCTGCTTGTTCCTGTAGTGAAATAGAAATACAACAAACGATTTCCATGGCAATAGGTAATAATCTAGCAAATGTGAATTTCCGACTTAGCAACAGAACAAAGCAAGAAGAAATTATGGAACTGCAGTGGGGCTAAATTTCAATTTCTGTGTATTTTTAGTATCACATTTTAAAACAAAAAAGCACAAATGCAGACACATTAACACGTAACTATGAAGAATAAAATTCTAATTATAGGATAAATTCAAGAGACCTCAATAATCAACCTGTAATATCACTCCTTACTTCACTACTAAAATATATTCAACTAACATAAAACACCTTACCTTACAAATTTGAGAATTCTTACACTTATTTGAAAGCCTATTATCTACTATAATAGCAGTCCCAATTACTGATATATCCTGTTATTTTCATTTTTAGTAATAATTATAAACATGGCTTATTGCTAATATGTAAACGAAAGATGTTCAAAGGACTAAAGAATCTCTAGGAAGCACAGGAATAGAGGAACTGGAAAGACTGCAAGCATCAGGAGCAGCTCTCTTGCTGATACTCCATTAGTCAAGGCTCTCCACTCCCTTGTGGAACATGCAGCACCCTGTACAGGCTACTCTCTAGTCTGCACCTGCTCTTCTTCCCACCCCTGAGCTTCACACTCACCAAGAGGGGTTGTTTTGTTCCCACACTTATTACCATTTCTTCTTGTTATAGTAATTATATAGTTTAATTATATTATTCACAATCTGATGAAATATGAGTGCAGAAAGGATTATCGTATCCAAGAAAGTAAGTACAACGCTTTGCAAAGATTTGATAAAGATGAATCACTAAAACTATGAACAAATTAGATATGGGCAATGTTAGACTGTGGACAGTTACAGAAAAAATAATTCAAATCTAGGATTCTACACTCAGATTGCTTTGTAAGTGTCTTAAATTTCTGCACTTTTAAATAACCCAACGTGAAAATTATAGGTAATGCACTGCCTTCGTTTTATACAGAATGACTATCCAAAGATGCAAATTTTTTAAAATAAAAAGCTTCAGCCTTATACAATCAGAAAAATGGCAAAAAGACAAACAACTACGATAAGAGTATGAGTTCAAGGAAACCTGAATAGAGGTCCTTAATATATGACAACACGACCATACCTCTCTTTCAGTTGCCTCCACTCTCCAGATGGGATTCCTGCCCTCTGTTCTAAAGGATGACATTGAGCACTGCCCGCCTTGTCCTTGACCTCAGATATGCACTTCTTCAATCTTAGGCTAACTCTTCTCGGTTGGCAACAGAGGTTCAGAAAGTGTCTCCTTGCTTCAATGTCCTCTCCTACCTTTGTATATGCAAATTCTTCATTACCAGCTTGATTGCATTTATATCCAGCATACAGCAATGTGCAAACTATATTTTCTCTTTGGCTATTAGCGACCCAAGGAGGACCTCAGACAACAACATACTTTTAGCCCCAAAGTCACATGGGCAATCACATTTCCAATCTTTTAAGCACCCTTCCAATGGATATACTGTCTAACCAGGAAAAAGATTAACTGGACCAGTCAAGTCTCTTTTTCCTATTCTAGCCACATATAAATGATCAATGCCCCCACCCACTGGAAATGTACAGAAGCTACAATAAAAAGAATTTCCTGCCCAGGGCCAAGAATTTATAGATTTAGATTCTAAAGCATCTGATGTGACTACTTTTTTATTTTATTGCCTTAACTTCCTTAGCTACAACTGAACACACTTCCCATCAACCTATTACTTCTTTACCTCCCTCCAGTTTTCCTGGCCTTTAACTCAATGCCTCTCCTAAGTATGCTTGAGCTGTGTTTACTCAAGCCACCTCTGACATCAAGTGAGAAGTGTTTTTCCTTCTAACACCAACCAATTCTGACACAAACTCGAAGTCCCATAATTCAATTAATTCTGATAATAACAACCAGGAGTTAGCATCAGAATTTTTAGTGCTCAGTCCCACAAATCAAGGTCCCTAGGTTACACACACTTCTGTCCAACTTGGCTATAAAGTCTGAGGTGGGAGGGTCCTCCCCTCACTTCAGGTTCAGTAATTTGCTAGAGTGGTCATAAAACTCCAAAAAACACTTTACTTACCATTACTGGTGCATTAAAAGTACCACAAATGAAGAGCCAGATGAGGAGGTAAATCTAGTGAGGTCTGGAAGGGTCCAGAGCATAGTAGCTTTTGTCCCCATGGAGCTGGGGGGTCCCACCCACCTGGCATGTGGATGTGTTCGCCAATTATAAAAGTCTCAGAACCCAAGCATTTAGGGGTTTTTGTGGAGGCTGCATTACATAAGCGTTATTCATTAAATCACTGGCCATCAGTGATTAGCTCAATCTCCAGCCCCTTTGCCCTCCCCAGAGGTTGTCACATGAGATTAAAAGTCCCAAGCTGCTAATCAAGGCTTGGTCTGTTGGGCAACCAGCCTGCAACCTGAAGCTTTTTAAGGGCCCACCAAGAATAACCTCACTAGAACAAAAGATGCTCTCATCACCCTAATAACTCAGGAAATTCCAAGGATTTCTGAAGCTCTCTGCTGGGAACTGGAAACAAAAAAAGAAATATCTTTCTACACTACTATAATGCTTTAATCTCTTTTTTCCACTTTTTCACAGATCTTACAAGTGAATAGCCAGTTACTTGTTCCCTGGCTCTGCAACAGCTCTCCTCCCATTACCTTTTGTAAAAAACTTGTCCCATTTCTCTTTCCCTTCCTTCCTCCTTCCTCAAGTTTTGCACCAAACAATGTGCAGAATTTAGAACACTGCATATTTTCAATTAAATTACTCTATTGTCTGCTGTGCTCAGGGAATATCTGCAGTCTGTAAACTCTGCATGCTAGGAAGAGCTATTTAATCTTGCTCCTGACATTTTACGTAGGAGGGAATGGTTTACAGGCTCAGTGTCTCTAGAAAGAACACTCCCCAAGGAACAACGTATTTATTTCTCAATGTTCTTTTTCTGTTTTACTCTTAAAATCTTTCCTACCACCATCCCTCACGCCCAAGAGTACAACTTTGAAATCTAATGTATAAAACTAGCAGAAATTAAAGTTTATCCTATACTTACATTAAAAGCTACTCCTACTTGAAGATATGCAGACCCCTCCAAATCCTTCTTTTGATTCTCTGCTCACATAAGTGGGTTTTATGTACGTGTGTTTTTTTCCACAAAGGAGAGGCCCAAAGATAGCCAAGAGATCAGGATTGGAACAGTTTCTTAACATCATATTCTCACATTTTCAAAATTTCCTCCTTTATTAGTGATAAACTTTTTAAAAACTGATTTCAAAATAGGAAACAGTTGTTCATCAGTCTGCTAGTCTCACTTTCACCAATCAACATATTTCATTGATGATAATATAATTTTTAAAATATTTTATCATCTCTGGAATCAAGATATATCTTACAGTCGATAATATCATAGTTTAACTGACAATATTTTTGATAAAGTACATGAAGAAATACTTTATCATAAATACATAAGACAAAGATAAAATAAATGACACAAAGATGAATCTTAGGTTTGATAAATATATTAAGTTCCTCTCTCAACAGTTTCTGGCTTACCTCAGATATAACCTATGTAAAGCATTTAGCATTAAATGTAGTATAACAGATTTTCATTGCTGCCATCATTGATGACATCAACATCATCAACATCATCATCATTTCTAAACAAATAACAAAAGTCTCAGAAACAAATATGAATCAAGTTAGGGTTCTGATGTGTTCTCCTTATTCTATTTCTTTTCTGAGTGCCATTTTTGTTTGTTTGTTTTCTATCCTAATTTTCTAAATTTTTCATTTGTCCCCATATTAAAAAACTGTAAACACTCTGATGGGGTTATGTAAGGTTGTGCTAAATGACTTAGCTCAGAGTATTCAAGCCGAAATAAGTTAGTTCTTTCATCTCAAAGAAATAAGTAAATAAATAAAGTAATAAAGTTCTTTCATCTCAAAGAACTTTAAATATCCGTCCCTGTCACTAGCTACCAAATCAAAAACCTAGGAATCTCATTGGAAAATAGACTATAAGACAATTCCATGGTTATGAGTTTTAAAAGATAACTCTAATCGATCATCCTTTTTTTGTACTTATTTTTTGTATATTTGTAAAATAGTAGTTACATGAAGCAAATAGTATCAGTGTAAGGCCCATTCACTTTTCAGGCTACTCGACATGCAGAAATGGTGGCCATTGATCAGGTCCTTGATTGGTGTCATCGAAGTGGCAAGGGTCTTTCTGAAGTATTTGAACACACTGTTATATGTCACTGTGGAGCTGTGCATTATGTGTGCAGCTGTTCGCCACCTGATGAGTATCCTTTGACTTCATGAGTTAATGTCTTGTACCATTCATGTGAACATGAGAGTGGCCAAACATATAGCGCAGCAGGAAGCAGAGGGCAGCTGTGACGGGACTGGCCAGCAGTGGTTAGGATGGTGAAAACACTAAGAAGCCAAAGGAGTCAAGAGTAGTCAGACAGAGCAGGTGTGGCCAATTGCCTCAATCATCTTTTTCTTTCAACCAAAAGTATCAAGTTATATTTTCTATTTTTTCTTCCACATCACTCTTCTACCCTCTGCCATTTTTTTCTTTCTCCATAAATGGAAACCTAAAATGTATTTCTACCATAATTAGAAAGCAATCAATAAAAAATTTTAGTCCAATTTTGTTCGTGTCTCCACACATTACTACATGAACTCAGTTTTACTTTATACTGTATTATAATCATTTGAGCAAAATTTCTTTATTTCTTGTAAATGAATGTGCTAGTATAAGAAATATCTACATTTTAATGAAAATCATAGTACAGGTACAAAATTTCTAAAAGTGAGAAAATGAAGCAAACACAATACAGCTTTTTGGTACTTTTACATATGTAATCTTTCTTTATTCTGCTGTTGATAGTTTTTGCCTTTCGCCCATTTAAGTAAGTTAATTGAAAGCATAGTATAATTTAATCTCTATTGTACTAAAAATACACAACTATCTATAGTAATATTATTCTGCCACATTCTCAAAAAAACTATTGGGCATTAATTCCATCTGGACTCTCCACTAAATAAGCATTAGTAAACAAATTTACTTAAACTATAAAATTCATATTACTGAATTTGCATATATCCAGAGTGTCTGAAGAAGAGAAAACAAACATATGAGAAAAAGCTCATCATCACTGGTCATTAGAGAAATGCAAATCAAAACCACAATGAGATGCCATCTCATGCCAGTTAGAATGGCGATTATTAAAAAGTCAGGAAACAACAGATGCTGGTGAGGCTGTGGAGAAACAGGAATACTTTTACAGTGTTGGTGGGAGTGTAAATTAGTTCAACCATTGTGGAAGATAGTGTGGCAATTCCTCAAGGATCTAGAACTAGAAATACCATTTGACCCAGCAAACCCATTACTGGGTATATACCCAAAGGATTATAAATCATTTTACTATAAAGACACATGGATATGTATGTTTATAAAGACACATGGACACGTATGTTTACTGCAGCACTATTTACAATAGCAAAGACTTGGAACCAACCTAAATGCCCATCAATGATAAACCGGATAAAGAAAATGTGGCACATATATACCACGGAATACTATGCAGCCATAAAAAGAATAAGTTCATGTCCTTTGCAGGGACATGGATAAAGCTGGAAGCCATCATTCTCAGCAAACCAACAAAGGAACAGAAAACCACATGTTCTCACTCATAAGTGGCAGTTGAACAATGAGAACACATGGATACAGGGAGGGGAACATCACACACCAGGGCCTGTGGAGGCTGTGGGGCAAGGGGAGATATAGCATTAGGACAAATACCTAATGCATGCAGGGCTTGAAACCTAGATGATGGGTTGACAGGTGCAGCAAACCACCATGGCACATGTATACCTATTTAACAAACCCGTACGTTTTGCATATGTATCCCAGAACTTAAAGTAAAATAAAAATGAAAAAGAATAGATAAATATAGTTAGCAAATTATATGTATATATACAATACTATCATAACAATATACAATGCTAGTCTGTAGTTTGTAACTTTTTCTCATAAAATAAATGAAGCTTTAGAAAACATTTTTCACTGGGTGCGGTGGCTCACGCCTGTAATCCCAGCACTTTGGGAGGCCGAGGAGGGCGGATCACAAGGTCAGGAGATTGAGACCATCCTGGCTAACACGGTGAAACCCCATCTCTACTAAAAATACAAAAACAAAATTAGCTAGGCATCGTGGCAGGCGCCTGTAATCCCAGCTACTCAGGAGGCTGACGCAGGAGAATGGTATGAACCAGGGAGGCAGAGCTTGCAGTGAGCTGAGATCGCGCCACTGCACTCCAGCCTGGGCAACAGAGCGAGACTCTATCTCAAAAAAAAAAAGAAAACATTTTTCACTATAAGAAAATAAAATCACTTATAATAGACATATTTCCAATATTTACATTCTCTGTAGTCCTCTAGTCCTTTATCTAGACATATATACTATATTTTTCAAATACTGGAATTATAGTATACATCATTTTGTAACTTGCTTTTTTGTTTGACAATATTATAGGAGCACTTTCAATATTCATAGTCTTCGAAAACATGATTTTTGAATGGCTGTATGAATATTCCATCATTTGTAAATATTGTAGTTGATTTTGCTAACCCACCACTATTGGACAGTTACTACCATAATAATGCAGTAGCGAACATCCCTTTATCTTTGCTCTGGTCTCTGATTTATGTCTTGGAAAAAAATTCTAAAAGTTGAAAGTACCAAGTAAAGACATGTAAATACTGTCAAGCCTTTTGATGCCTACCACCAAACTGTTCTTTCTCCAATATCTATAAAAGTACAGTTTAAAGAAACCATCAATATTGTGTTGCTGGTATGATGGATGAAAAAGTATGTCTCATTTAATTTCATGCCATTTCATTTACAAGTAAGATTAATCACTTTAATAAATTCATTTTTCATTTTCTTTTTTGAACTATCTGTTCATGACCTTTGCCTATTATCCTTCGGATGTATTTGCTTTTTATTACTATTTTGTGGCTGTTTTTTATACAGGAGTGATATGTTTGATGTTGCAAATACTTTTCCAGGTTCTCATTCACTTTATCATTTCATGTTTTTTTGACATATAAGAGACTTTCATTTTGCATAATCAAATTTGTTAAACTTTTCCTTCATTATATGTCCCTTTGGTTTTATATCGAGGAAGGCCTTTCTGGGCCTACTATGAAATAATTCATTTATACTTTCTTCTAAGTATTTTATGACTTACATTTAATATTATTTCTATATTTAACCCATCTGAAATGCATTTTGTATACAGAATTGGAGAGAGCTAATCATGTTTTTTTCAGACAAAAGTATTTTAACACGTCAAGTTTAAACCATAAACACTTTTCGGATTAATTTTTTTCCATAAGTTTTTGGGGTGGAGGTGGTATTTGGTTACATGAGTAAAAGAAAACTACTGACTGATATCCTTGATCAACACAGATGCTAAACTCCTTAACAAAACACTAGCTAACCTAATCCAACAACATATCAAAAAGATAGTCCACCATGATCAAGTGGGTTTCATACCAGGGATGCAGGAGTAGTTTAACATACACAAGTCAATAACTGTGATACACCATATAAACAGAATTAAAAATAAAAATCACATGATCATCTCAGTAGGTAAGAAGTATTCGACAAAATCCAGCATCCGTTTATGATTAAAACTTTCAGCAAAAATCGACATACAAGGGACATACCTCAATGTAATAAAAGCCATTTATGACAAACCCACAGCCAACATAATACTAAATGGGGAAAAGTTGAAAGCATTCCTTCTGAGTACTGGAACAAGACAAGGATGCCCCCTCCCACCACTTCTCTTCAGCATAGTACTGGAAGTCCTAGACAGAGCAAACAGACAAGAGACAGAAATAAAGGGCATCCAAATCGGTAAAGAGGAATTCAAACTGTCACTGTTTGCTGAAAACATGATCATTTACCTTGAAAACCCTAAAGACTCCTACAGAAAGCTCCTAGAACTGATAAAAGAATTCAGCAAAATTTCCAGATATAAGATTAATGTACACAAATCAGTAGTTCTTCTATACACCAACAGTGACCAAGCAGAGAATCAAATAAAGAACTCAACCCCTTTTACAATAGCTGCAAAAAAAAAAAAAAAATACTTAGGAATACAGCTAAACAAGGAGTTGAAAGACCTCTACAAGGAAAACTACAAAATGCTGCTGAAAGAAATCACAGATGACACAAACAAATAGAAACACATCCCATGCTCATGGATGGGTAGAATCAATATTGTGAAAATGACCATACTGCCAAAAGCAGTCTACAAATTCAAAGCAATCTCCACCAAAATACCACCATTATTCTTCTTCACAGAATTAGAAAAAACAATTCTAAAATTCATATGGAACCAAAAAAGAGCCTGCATAGCCAAAGCAAGACTAAGCAAAAAGAACAAATCTGGAGGCATCACACTACCTGATTTCAAACTATACTGTAAGGCCATAGTCATCAAAACAGCGTGGTACTGGTTTAAAAATAGGCACATAGACCAATGGAACACAATAGAGAACCCAGAAATAAACCCAAATACATACAGCCAATTGGTCTTCAACAAAGCAAACAGATTAATTTTTTTTTGACCCAGTATCTCTTTCTGTTGCCCAGGCTGCAGTGCAATGGCATAATCTCAGCTCACTGCAACCTCCACCTCCCAGATTCAAGTGTGCTTCAGCCACCTGAATGCCTGGGATTACAGGCATGCACCACCATGCCTGCCTAATTTTTTTATTTTTATTAGAGACAGGGTTTCATCATATTGCCCAGGCTGATCTCCAACTCCTGGTCTCAAGTTATCCATCAGCCTCAGCCTCCCAAAGTGCTGGGATTACAGGCATGAGCCTCTGCACCCGGCCTAGATGTATTATTAATGCATTATTATTAATGTATCCTTTCATACTAACAACACCTAAGTTGTTTTTAACATGTACTAACATTTCCTACCTTTTAAACATGTAGTAGTATATCCTATCATTTAAACATGTACTAGCATATCCTATCTTTAGGCTCCTTTAATATAGAGTCAAGGTTCTCCTTCTCCTTGCTTCCCATGCTACCAGCACTATAAAGTAAGAGAATCAACAAAACATCCTATATTATAAAGAGTAGTTTGACGTTTTGGCTCTATGTAGAACACATCAATTATATCTATAATATATTAATTTAAAAAGTGAACTCAATTCCTCTAGCTATTGAAAAAGATTTGCCCCAGAAGTCTTTTCTGAGTCCTTAGTCCCACTCTCCATCTGAATGTGATACCTCTCCTGTGTGTTTTCCAAGACCTCTCAACGTATCTGATCACAGCCCTTATCACCTTATATTTCTGACTTACTAGTCAGTCCCCCAACTAAACCAAAAGAATTTCAGAAGAACTATGTCTCAGATATTTTATCACTATCACCTAGCTCATAGTAAGCAGTCTGTAAATATTTGTTAAATAAATGAATGAGTACAAGACTACAAGACTTTTAATTCCTTTCAGGCCTGCCAGTGACTAACGATTGCAACAGTGAATAAGTCACTTAACATTTTAGACTGTGGTGAACAATTCAGAAATCAGTAATTTCTTAGCACAAAGATCTCTTAAGATTTTTCAATCTCAAAATTCTATGATGACATGACCTGTATCCCCAGAAACCAATTTTACACACCCTGCTGCTACATCTCTTGCTTGGTAATATTCCCCTATCCCCACCAGTCTGACCCTTCCAGACTTCCTTGACCTTCTCCAGCCTACCCCACTGTCCATTTAAAATGTTCTCACCTTGTGCTCCTTAAGGCTTTTCTATGGATCAGCCATCTATATCTGTAGTCTGAACAACAGTGCATTTTACTGTACCTTCCCCATGTTAAATTTGTGTGTAGATATACTGCATGGCTTATTCAGAAGATATCGGTGATGTGAAATGCTTAGGTGTGAGGTTAAAAAGGAGCTCTCAATCTCTTGCTTACCCCATAGACTTATCTTTGGAAATGCGTATGACATTAGATCAATGACTGCATCCTACTCTAAAACAAAATGCCTCAAGAGTATTAGTATTATTTTATAATTTTACAACTTTTCTTGTTTCCATAATGATCAACAGAAGTGACATGATTTTGCAGTCATGCCAAAAAAGAAAAAAAAAAGGATTATACTGATAATCTCTTCCCAAATATATTCTGGTGAGGAAAGGTTTATTTTGTTGCTTTTTGCTTTTTGTCATTTCCTTGCTCTAGTTTAGTTGTTTTTAATATTTCCATAAATGTTGGGAGTAAGTTTACTTTGGACAGAACAGATTTGCTTCTATTTTTAAGAATTTGAGAGCATGTGGTGAGATTGTTTATCTTGTTGAAATACCCCAAAAACTCAGCCTCTTGATCTAAAATGCAATCCAATAAGTTATAACATGAGTTAAGGTTAATCTGTAAATAAAATACAATTCCAATTTGCTAGTGAATACTTACCTGTAAATACTAAAGACAGTATTTTAACTCAAACATTTTCTGATTGCCAACCTATTCTAAGTGTTATGGGGGAGCAAAGGCAATTAAAGTCAATTTTCTGCCTCCAAGGAGTGTATTCTGATTAAGACAGACCTGTGCTTAACTAACAATAACACAAGGCAGAATATGGTTCTTTAAAGAAAAACAAATCCTGTAGTAGCAAAAGAATTTTAGCATTAAAATAATATATAGATAAGTAGGATTAAAACTGCAGTTCTAATACCTTTCCAAATTTCAATGTACTTCTTTGAATAAGAGAAAAATTAACCAGTCATGTCCTTTCCAAAGAAACACTACAGATTACACATCCTGTAGCACTCTGGAATTATGGGCTCTGACTGGTAGTAGACTACTACTTCTGTTCAAGAGGTTCTTTAAATATTCACGAAGTCTGATTGAGAAAAATGTTAAGCAAGTCATGGTCATACTGAGCAATTCAACTGGTAAACCACGGACTGCATAGCTACGTTCAACATCAGATGGAAGGAATAACTTGAGAGGCTATTAAGGAATAGAATTAGGAAGACTATAGGCTCATTATTAAACCATTATTTATTTAGCACTGCCAACATTCCAAACACAGTGGTAAATGCAAGACTGGTGAATACAATCCATAAAAATATTCTCTGAGAGACTGTTTATCATGTTATAAATTCAAGGTTTTAAAAAAATAATAGAAGCCAGGTAGGGTGGCATGCATCTCTAGTCCCATCTACTCAGGAGGTTGAGGCAAGAGGACTGCTTGAGCCCAGGAGTTCAAGGCTGTAGTGAGCTACGACTGTGCTTGTGAATTGCCACTGCACTCCAGGCTGGACCACATAGCAAGACCCCATCTCAAAAATAATAATAATAATAATAATAATAATAATAATAATAATAATAATAATATTAAGTTAGGAAAAAGCAATCCTCCATTCATTCACAATGTACATGTCCTATATATTCAAATTAAAACCAAGCAAAAGCCTTCTGTTCTGAAACTAACTTTCTATGAAACGCCCAACTTGTATTCCCAGCAATATCAAGTTTCCTTATTCATCTCTATAGATTACCTCATATAATGAAATGGAATCATCCTTTTCCAGAATTAAGATGCTGCTTTTATCACTTTACTTGCTCAAAAACCTTAAAAGCTTTCATTTACAGATGGGCACGGTGGCTCACGCATGCAATCCCAGCACTTTGGGAGGCTGAGGCAGGCAGATCACCTGAAGTCAAGAGTTCAAGACCAGCCCAGGCAACACAGTGAAACCCCGTCTCTAATAAAAATACGAAAATTAGCCAGGCGCAGTAGCATGCACCAGAAGTCCCAGCTACTCGAGAGGCTAAGGCAGGAGAATTACTTGAATTACCAGGAGGCAGAGGTTACAGTGAGCCAAGATCGCACCACTGCAATCCAGCCTGGGTGACAGAGTGAGATTCTGTCTCAAAACAAAACAAAAAAAGCTTCAATTTACTATAAAATCAAATTAAAAATCCTCAAGGTGGCATTCAAGAATCTGCATATCTGTATATTAAAACTATTTCCTAATACCTTCACAATGGAAATTTTCTGTTCCAGACACATTGCCTTCATAGTCCACGAACACATTATATATATTTATGTCTATTTACATCTATTCTTTCTTTTCTTTCTCTGAGACAGGGTTTCACTCTGTCACCCAGTCTGGAGTGCTGTGGTGCAATCTCGGCTCACTGCAGCCTTGACCCCCCCCCCCCACCCCGCCAGGCTCAGGTGATCCTCCCACCTCAGCCTCCCAGGCAGCTGGGACTACAGGTGCAAGCTACCACGACCGTGATATGGTTTGGCTCTGTGTCCCCACCCAAATCTCATCTCAAATTGTAATCCCCACATGTTGAGGAAGGGACCTGGTGGGAGGTGACTGTATCACAGGGCGGTTTCCCCATGCTATTCTCGTGATAGTGAGTACTCACGAGATCTCATGGTTTAAAATTGTTTAATAGGTCCTCCCCCCTCACTCTCTCTCTCTCTCTCCTGCCACCACATAAGACATCCACTTTGCCTTCCACCATGATTGTAAGTTTCCTGAGGCATTTCCAGCCATGTAGAACTGTAAGTCAATTGAACCTCTTTTCTTTATAAATTACCCAGTCTCAGGTAGTTCTTTATAGCAGTGTAAAAACAGACTAATACAGCCCAGGTATATATATATATATATATTTTTAAACAGGGTCTCACTTTGTCACCCAGGTTGGTGCAATCACACCTGCAATGTTGGTGCAATGTACCAGGTTGGTACAATCACTGCAGCCTCAAGTAGTAAGTATTCAAAATATATGTTTTGTTTAAAGGGGGTCAATAAAATAATCTAAGTCAACTATTTTATTTATTACACATGAAGAATCACAGGAAAAAAGTTAAGCAGCTATTCCAAATTACATAGTTTGAAAGCTACATCCCAAACACAAAACCCAATATTTTTTGGGTTGTAAAGAATCCTGCAGAGGATTGTGAAAGGGTAGAAGTGAGGATCCCTTTCTGTGTAATATTGTTAAAGTTGGGATCCTTTGATTACATGATAGCTTGAATTCTAAATACAGAGATGCCATCAGTTAAATATAAAATAATATTGGGGCAAAATTAGCCATGCCACTTGGAAGTCTTTTGAAAGGTTTGTGTTTATTTTTCTAACCTATATATTACTGTAAGAGGCATACTTGGAACAACCCCCCCACAAACACATATACTAATTAACTAATCCAGCAGCGGCATAACACACAGGGAGTTTTATCCTTTATGAAGGCCTGGCATATGCATCACATTTAACACAGCCCTAGCTCACAGTACTTTATCTACTTGGCTAGAAAACAAATGGCCACAGAAATTCATGCTAGTCAATCCATTTTTTATATATTTTGGAGTAAAAAGGATGTAAATTCATCTGAGTAGATAACTAGCATACAAAGAATTCAGGTTGAGTGTGCTACAATTAAAAATGGTCACCACAAGAAGCTGAAATATTAGGAGTGTTCAGGGGCATTACTGAGAGTCTTCAAGCAAAAAGGGTTTTCCCAGCTGTCACTGTAATTACAATGAAAAAATTTTACTTCCTAAGGATTTCATCTAGAACACATTATACATAACAGAATATACATGCATTCAAATGTAATAGACACATAAGGAATACCAATTTTGACTACCTTCTTCCCACAAATCACAAGCGACCTCTGAGCACAACTCTCAAGACTTTTAAATGCTTTCTGGAACTCTTTTTCCATTTAGAAATAAGTAACTACATACAACAGTTCACGGAAAACTCAACCACTTAACTATTTCAGTGAAAACAGGTAGAAAGAAAGTCTATAAACTATACTTTTTATCCATTTGAAAAAATTTAAATTTGGAAAGGAATCACTTCATTCTTAAGGTCCCAACACCCTAAAAATAAAGTTTATTCTAAATTTTCACATTTGTCAAAGACAATAATATCAAGCAGTAGCCCACAATTCCCTAAAGGAATGATGTCAATTGGTATTTCTTAAATTAATTCAGTGACCTACAGTAATGTGAGTTCTTGGTACATAATGTCTGTCAGTAGGCAATACAAAAATTTCAGAATCACTTCTGGTGTCTGAACTCCAAAATGCAACCCAAAAAATGTGTCTAAAGTAGTTCCTTAATTCCTACTTCACCTTGCATCTGTTACTTATAGCAACGTCAGAAAAATAAAAATTACACCAGGTGTAGATTGCTAGAACTACAGTTCTACAAATTAAATACAGTACAAATTTAACCAAGACTTCTGGTAACATACAATCAGTTATCTTTCTGAGCTAAGACATTACAAGTCTGTAACTCCTTTTACCGACTATGGTTTAGTGAGTTTCACATGTGCTTACACAGCTCATTTTTAGTTACTTACTAGACAATGTGCAATGGTGTACTTTTATAAAAATTTCAAAGGTCTCAAGAAATGGAAATACTCAAATTTAAAGGATTTATCTGTTATCTCTGAACTCTCTTTCTCTGCTTTTACTGCTCCCAAGTATACAGGCACCACGAACACAGAGACCAGCTAAAAGTTCAGGAACAGAAAATTCCAACTACATCATCTTAACAAATAACCCCACACATTATAGTTTAAAAATAGCATATTTGAAAAAAATGCACTAAAAATTATTATTAGAACTTCACACTCAAATCTCTAAAAAGTTATGAACATTTTATATTGTAATACACATAAATTCTAAAGAATATCAAAGTATAATATCAGAGAAACAATATGTGTAAGATTATAAAAGATTAGAGTATTATCTGTTTGGATTTTTACATGAATTATTTATGCACTTAAAAACATAGTTGAAGTGAGGAGAAACATAAATGATAACCTAATCACATTCTCTGAGTTTCCCTCCTAGGTCACTGGCTGCTCCTTCTCATTTTCCTGACTCCCATTATTCCTAACCTCTAAGTGTTGGACTACCCTAGGAGGGGTATAGGACTTTTGTCTTTCTCTATTCACTGTCTAGGTCACAGGTCAGTAAACTCTACCTGCAGACCAAATGTAGCTTACCACCTATTAATTTTTATAAATAAAGTTTTATTGGAACGCAGCCACACCCATTTTCTTAATTATTGTCTACAGCTCCTTTCACAATACAAGGTAAAAATTGAATAGCTGCAACAAGGACTAGATAGTGCTTCTGATCCTTTACAGAAGAAAAATTGCCAATCTCTGTCTAGGTGATCTCACTAAGGTGCATAGCTTTAAATATAATGTATATCCTGAAAATTACCCAAATTCTATCTTCAGTCCTGACTCAGATATGAATGACAACTTCTCTACATTATATTTGGATGTCTTATAGGCATACAAATTTAACATGTCTAAAAGGTAAAATTTGCTTTCTACCACCCCTGCCACTCCTTTGCCTCTTGTATCTCAATACACAATTTCCATTCATCCAATTGCTTAGGCCAAAAACTTCAGAATCCTCCTTGATTCCTCTATTTCTCTCATACTCCATATCCCAGCCATCAAAAAAGTACATCTTTAAAATATATCCAGAATCTGGCCACTTCTCAGCCACTCCAATGCTACCACCCTAACTCAAGTCACAACCATTTTCACCTGGACTATTGTAGTAGCCTCCTTACTGGGTCCCTATTTCTGTTCTTGGTCCCTTACACTCAATTTTTACAGAGCATCTAGAGTGATCATGGAATTCCATTACTGAAAACACTTCAAAAGCCATGCAAGGTGTGGCCTCTTGTTATATTCTACCTTTCCTCCCTCTTACTGACTCTGGTCACTCCCCACATGGTCTTTTACTGTCAAGCATGGTCCTGCCTTAGATCTTTGCATTTGCTCTTCTGTCTGGAAAAGTTTCCCCCAACTTATCTAGGTGGTTTAATTCCTCATTTTATTCAGGTCTCTGATCAAAGATTACCTCAAGTTAGAGGTCTTCCTTAATCACTCTCTCTAAATTAGTGACTCCTATCAATTCTATATCCCTGTTAATAGGTGGATTCCCTAGAAAACAGGCTCTAAGATTCTGGGATTTGCATGCATTTTGGGGAGTGCCCTTAGGAACAACATCTGAAAGGGAGTGAAGGAAGCAGGACAGGCAGAGAAAGAAGCTGAATTGCAGTGTGGTTCTAACAGAGGTTTAAGCCACAGGAACCTCTGCAGTGGGTATAGTTTTTGAAAATTATCCCACATGAGGAAAAGAGACAGGGTCTTTGAGCCGACATATACATAATGAAATTCCCAGTATCCCCAGAGTTGGGGTGTAACCTTGAGTAAGACACATAAATATGTGTTTTAGGGAAATGCAAATTAAATCCAAAATAAGATACTACTTTACACACACTAGGATAGCTAAAATCAAAAAAGATAAAAAATAACAAATGTTGGTGAGGTTGTGGGGAAAATAGAACCCTCATACACTGCTCATGGGAATGTAACATGGTACACACAGCAGCTCCGGAAAACAGGTTTGGCAGTCTCTTCAAAAGTTAAACATAAATATATCACACAACTCAGCAATACCATACCTAGAAATCTGCCTAAGAGACATGAAAACATATATCTACGGAAAGAATTATAAAAGCATATTCATGGTATTATTCATAATACCTAAAAGCAACACAACATAAAAGTCTAGCAAATGGTGTGTGGATTAACAAAATGAGGTGCATCTAAACAAAAAATAATATTCAGCAAAAAAAAGAACAAAATACAGATACATACTGTAACATGGATGAACCTCAGAAACATTACACTCAGGGAAAGAAGCCAACACAAAAGACCATTTATTGTGTGATTCTTTTTAAATGAAATATCCAGAAGGGGAAAATCAATAGAAATACAAAATAGATTACTGGTTGCCTGGAGGTAGGGGTAAGAAATAACAGTAAGTGCAAATGGCCATGGGGAGTATTTTCAGGATGATTAAAACATTCCAAAATTGGATTACAGTGATGGCTGTACAACCCTATACATTCACTATATCATCAATTTCTATACTTAGCATGAGTGAATTTTATGAAATGTAAATTACATATAAATAAAGACATAAAAAAGAAAAATAAATATTACTGGCTGATTCTTAAATTGACTAATAATAATGGTGACAATAACTACTACTCACTGAAAATTTGCTTAGGTTCAAGAATTGTTCTGAGTGCTTCATTTGTATTAACTCATTTAATCTTCAACACAATCCTACGAAGCAGGAACTATTTTATTCCTATTTCAGAGATGAGATAACTCAGGCATGGGAAAATTAAATAGCATGCTCAAGGTCATAGAACTAAATATATATTAATTAACTTATAAAAATAAAACATTCTACCTTAAATGCTAAGCAACAGCACTTATCTAAAACAAACCAAAAAAGTAGAAGATAATACCATATGTGTACATACATGGTAAGTTCCCTGTAAGTAGCGTATTTAAGATTTTCCAATAAGTGACCAACTTGCAACACTTCTGATTATCTGTATAGCCATTGAAACAAGTAATAAGTATAATATTTATTATAAGACAGCTTGGCCAGTACTTGGTGCATATTCAGTGAGAGACTTAATTACTGTAGACAAATATAAAGAATGCTCATGATCTAATCTACTGAATCACTATGTTCATACAGACACAGAAATATCACTATGGGTACACATAAATACAACTTTATTCTGCAACAGTCACGCATAAACACACACACAAACTCTAAGTCACACAATCTCTATAATAAAGATTTTTCTAGTGCATCATATCACAGAACTGCAAGCATATCATTTTGTTCCTGTAACTGAAATGTACAATGGGACAAGATGAGATGACAGTGTGTTTTATCTTTTTCATATGAAAGTTCAGTAATAAATTTCACATGGCAGTAAGCCAATATGAATGAAATACTTGGAGATACTAACTTCTCATGTATCTACCAATAAAACACTCTCAAATTTACAGATACCCCTAGAAAAGACAGCTGATAACCACATTGTATGTAGTTAATATTTTTTTTAAATATGAAGGCATATAAATGATCAGCAAGCCTGACATTTAGATATTTGACAACAATGTATTTTAAGCAGTCTAATAAAACACAAAGCACAGATGTAGAGGAAGGAAGATATGTAACTAAAACCACATTCACCTTCAATTCCTTTGCAGACTAGCACTGAAAAACCTACATCAGCACTTTCTGTCTAGATGATATATTGATACAAAGCTAGAATAAAAATGGTGATAAAAAGTACCATTTGTAATTGAAAATAAATGTTGCTAAGTGCTGACAAGCTTCTGTCAGTTAAATTGTTTTTATTTAGAAATATTTTGCATTTCCTCTATTATTCTTAAGAAACTTTGTAATTAATTTTTGTTCCAAATAATGTTTTTGTGTATTGATTACACAAACTAGTAATATTTACATTTAAGACATCCATTTAAAGTTGAAGAAACCATTTCATAATAGAAAGCCAATTCCTACCCTTAATTCTCTTAAAATTTAACGTCCACCTAGAAAGCAATGCATCAGTAATAAATTTATGATTCAATATGGTTATCAGCCCACAGCTAAAAATTTGCAGATCTGTATAACCAAGCATATTAAAAGTCCCCATGGATAACATATAACCATGAGTAACTCTCATAATTCAACATGCACTACAGTAAGAACCATTACAACTGCATGTTTTCATTGTTAGGTCCCAATCCATTTTTAAAAGAAGCTGTACATGTACATCACCAACTTGCACATACATGCAAGTAAAATTAAATTACCTAAAGGGTATCTTCTGAAAAACCTGAGAGTTTTTTTTAAGACATCAGTATAACCTTGGTTAAATAATCTTATGGTCTCTATATAAAGATTTGAAATTTCTGAAAATAAAAACATACAGTAACATAAAGCTTGCTTCTAAGAGTAGCCAGATTCAATATTCAGATTTAGAAAAATTACATTCATTAAATTTAAGTGAAACAAATAATTATGCTGAACTTCTACAGGATTGCCCTCAAAATCCTATACATAACTAGAAAAGTGGACAAAATATATAAAGCTATTTCAGATAGTGGACCAATGGCAGAAGAGGCATGTGATTATTAACAAAAGGGAAACAAATCAGGTGATATCTAAGACTGCCCCTATTCCAACCTAGATGCAAAGTCCAAACTGTGGTATAAGAATGGGGAACTCAGAGCCTCATGGTCCAAATAAGTTGAGAAACAGATTAGAGTTTGAAGACACTGGGATGGCTGGAATTTGTGGGACATATTAAAGATAAAAAGAACGCTATGCAGAGATTGGCATAAGAATACTCATGAGGCTTTGAATAGGAATCTGTGCTGCATAGGGTGAAACTCCAAGCAGCCAAGTGAAAAATAGCAGGAAAAGATCAATTTCAGGGGAGTTATAAAGTGAACAATTCCAAGAATGAAGAGCCCTTGTTGTTGAATACCCAGAGTATTCTGTAGAGACTCCAGAAAGCTCATGCCTTAGTAGTGAGTCTAAACTAGCTCTAAAGATTACCCTAGATCATCCTTGAAAAGCACAAAAATAGCCTTGAAATGAGCAGGCTGATCTGCAAATAATTTAAATGCCTACCAAAAAAGTGGAGGGTGGTGGGGAGAGAGACCATTTAAAAGAAAAACCAAAATGTAATTAGTACTACATTAGTAACCAAAAAGAAAAACCAATGTAAATTAGTATGTACATTGTTCAAATTCAGCTGAACAATGTAAATACTAATATTCAATGCCTAACAGTGAAAAAAAAAATTAGAGACAGACAAATAAAAGGGAGGAAAATGTTGCCCACAACTAGGAGAAAAATCAGTCAATAAAAACAGATCCAATTAACAAAGATAACAAAATTAACATTAAAAGGCCTTAAAACAGCTATTAAAATAAGTTCAATAAGATTAAAGACTTAAAGGAAATATGAACATAACGAGAAGACAAAGAGAACATATTGAGAATCACCAAATTAAGTGTCTAAATATTTAAAAATATTTTTGATACGAAAATGTTGCAGATAAGACACTACAGAAAATATCAGTGAAGCTGGAAACATAGCAACATAAATTATTTTAAACAAAGTATGAAGGAAGAAAATATTTTAAAAATAAACAGTCTTGGTAACATGTGAGGGCAACAACAATCTAACATTTTTATAATTCAAGCACTAAAATAAGAGGAAAGAGGTCAAGAAAATATTTAAAGAAAACATGCCCCCAATTTTTCTGAATTTAATAAACAATATCAGCCTACAAATCCAAGAAGTTCAACAAAGCCCAGGAAGAATAAAGAAAAACCATGACATGATATAATCAAATTGCTAAAAAAAAAAAAAAAAAGTAACAAAGAAAAAAATCTTAAAAGTACCCAGAAAAAAAGGCACATAATATAGGAGTAAATATAATAACACATGTCTTGTCAGAAATTATGCAAGCTGGAAGGAAATGGAATGACATTCTTAGAGTGCTGTTAGAAAAAAACTGTGAGACTAAAAATCATACAGCCAGATCAAATATTTTTCAAAAATGAACACAAAGGCAAAGATGTCATTACCGATATACCCAGGACCTAGCCAAAGCCCACAACACCCCTGAAATTCTCAAGATCAAGTTCAAAAAAAGGGGTCCCCGTGAAAGTGACCATCAAGATGGCACCACCTCACCAGACCTCCTTGGAGCTCTTCGTGTACCTGAACGAAGTCACGGGCAAGCACGGCATGGGCTGTATTGACATTATGGAGAACTGCTTCATTAGAATAAAGTCCAGAGGTATCTACAAGACCCCAGCAGGCACCATCCTTCAACAGGCTGATTTAGACATCGAGGACTTCACTATGGATCGGGAAGTGCACAAAATCAACCCTGAGTGTAAATCTGTCCACCATTGCATCACCAAGTCCCAGGAGCAAATGGAAGGAAAAGTGCAGGTGCCCATCTTCAAGGGCCAGGTGCACATCCTCAGCCAGGAGTCTCTACTCTCTCTCTACAAGGAGGAGCTGGTGAGCGTCAACGTGCAGGGGAATTATGAGCCAATCGATGCCACCGGTTTCATCAACATCAATTACCTCAGACTGAAGGAATATCATTATTTCCAGAGTAAGGTCACTGTCAAATAGACCCATGTACAATGGAGACCTGGGGCCTCCTCACTTTGCAGCTCTCCCAACTACAGGTGCTAATTGTTGTGACGATTTGTAATTGTGACTTGTTCTCCCCAGCTGGCAGAATAGTGGGGCTGCCAGGCCCCAACTTTGTTCCCTGATCTCCCTGAAGCCTGCAAAATTGGTCATCAAAGGGAAGGGTGGAGGACAAATGCAGGAGTAAGCTATAAAATGACAATTAAAAAATAACAATTCTAAATATTTATGCACCTAATAATGAAGCTTCAAAACACATGAAGTAAAAACTAGAACTGAAAGGAAAAAAAAGAAACCCATAATAATAGCTGGAGATTTCAACACTACTCTCTAGGTAATTGACAGAACAAAGAGACCAGAAACAGTAAGGATATAAAATACTTCAGTGGCACCATCAACAAGTTGACCTATTTGATATTTACAGAACACTCACCCAACAATAGCAGAATACACATAATTTGCTAATGCACGTAAAAAAATTAACTAAAATAGGGCATATTCCAGGCCTTAAAAAAATGGATTGAAATCACTCAAAGTACTTTCTTTGATCACAAAGGAGTTAAAACGGAAATCAATTAAGGAACAAGTCCTGAAATATCTGGAAGTCAAACAATATAATTCTAAATAATCAATGGAAAAAAGAAACCACAAGGGAAATTTAAAAACATCTTGAATAAAATGAAAACATAATATACCAAAATTTGTGGGAGAAAACTAAAGTACTGCTCAGAACAGTGTTTCCCCAAATGTGCTACACACTAAAAATCACATAGGGAGTTTTTAAAAATCCCATTGTACCTCATATCAATTTAATCAATTAAATAAAAATATCTGGGGATGGGAGACAGAATTATTAATTTTTAAGGATTCCCCAGACAATTCCAATTGGCAACAAAATTTGAGAGCCACTGGTTTAGAAGAAATTTTTTTTTTAAATAAACTTCTACGTTAACAAGGTAGAAAAAGAAAAGCAAATTAAAATCAAAGTACATAGAAGGGAAGAAATAATAACAAGCAAATAATCGAAGAAATAAAAAACAAACCCAAAGCTGCTTTTTGGAAAACATTTTTAAATGATAAATAGCTAGATGACCATGGGAATAAAATAGAAAAGACACAAATTAACAAATATCAGAAATAAAAAAGGAGATATTATCCAGATACTTCAGACATCGAAACAAAAACAGAGGACTATTGTGAACAATTTTATACCATAACTTGGATAAATTAAATGAACCAATTGATTAAAAGACACAAATTATAAAACTGAATCAAAATAAACCCCTCATCAATCTCAAAAGTTTAACTCATAATTAACAATCTTCCCAAAAAGAAAATTCCTGGACCAGATGGTTTCACTGGTCAATTCTATCAAATATTTAAGGAAGAATTAAACCCTATACAAACTTTTTTTAGAAAAGAAAAAAAGAAGAAATACTTCCCAGCTTGTTTATGAAGCCACCAAGCCTCCAAATCCAGATAGAGATTACAAAAAAAAAATAAAAGACAGACCAATGTATCTCATACATATAGACATAAAGAAAGATCTTTAACAAAATATTACCAAATCAAACCCAGCAATATAAAAAAAAAATACATCATGATGAGGTTTGGCTTATCCAGGAATGTGAGATGGGTTTAGCATCCAAAAATCCAATCAATGTAATTTACCATATTAACAGATTAAAAAACAAAACTATATGACAATATCAATAGTTACAGAAAAGCATGTGGCAATAATCCCTCAGTCCTAATTTAAGAAAAAAAAAAAATCTCAGCAAAGTTGAAACAGAAAGTGTGCCAGTTATCAACCTCTTGCCTGTCAGCTCCAAATTTACCCTTCCCTGTCCTGCTTTGTGATGTGGGAGCTAGACCCTGTATCTTTTCTTTGCCAGCTGCTGTAACACTAAATTTTGTTAGCAGAGGGTGCTGGAGAGAACAATGCAAGATGAAGGAGCTTCTCTTTCTGCTTCCGATATGCTTTGTTCTCCTGTTTTTCTTATGGCAATCAGCATCACAAAGATACCCAGTGATACTCACATCCCAGCAAGTTGCAGCAGCACCTCCATAAGCAACTTCCCAGCCAGTTCCACTAGCATCCCAAGTGGTTTCCTGGCAAGTCGCAAGATGTTCCAACCAGCAGTTTCCCGGAAAGTTTCAAAAACACCCCCATGAGAATCTTTGCAGTGAACTTGACCCCCTCCTCAGGGGCTGGCTCACTTCCACCACATACCACAGAAGCAAGAAGAGAATAAAGTACACTAGAACCAGAAAGAGAAGCCCCTTCCTCCTGTTCCCCTGCAGGAAGATTCCGAGTGAATTTCAATGTCACCTCTGCAGGCAATTTCCCAGCAAGTCTCAAAAAGACCCAGAGGGTAGCTTCCTGAATCAACAAACTAGGGTGCATCCATGTAATCAAATATTAGTGAGTGATTTAAAAAATCATAACCTATAAAGCCATGGAAAGACATGAAAGAGTCTTAGCCAGCATACTGCTGAAAGAAGCCAGTATGAAAAAGCTACATATTGTATGATCCCAATTAAATGACATTCTAAAAAAGACAAAATTGTATAAACAGTAAAAAGAACAGTAGTAGGAGTAATGGGCAGGAGGAAGATAGAGATGAATAGGTAGGAGCATGGGATTTTTAGGGAAGTGAAACTATTCTGTATGATATCACAATGATGGAAGCATGACATGCATTTGTCAAAATCCATAGAGCTGTACAACACAAAGAATGAACCCTAATGTATAGACTTTAGTTAATAATATTGTATCAATATTGGTTCATCAGTTTTAACAAATGTACATTAATGTAAGACTATCATAATAGGTGAAACTGTGTACAGGGAAAAAGGGATTATATGAGAGCTCTCTACAAAAATATAAAACTGCACTAAAAAATACAGTCTATTAATTTTTAAAAAAACACATTTTCAAATTTTCCCATAGCTTCCTGTAGTGGGCAGAATTCTAAGGTGGCATCCCAGATTCCTGCCCACTGGTGCACACACTCTGAAGATTCCCTTCCCCTTGGGGGTGGGTAGGGCTTTAAGTATGATAGTTTTCACTCCCAGTATGATGTTACATTATATGACAAGCATGAAAAGATTGTATTAACGTAATTAAAGTCCCAAAGCAGTTGTCTTCGAGTTTGTCAAAACAGAGATGATTCTGGGAGTCCTTAAAAGGGAGTGGGTCCTCCTTGAAGGATAAGCCTCAAAGCTTGAGAGAGCTTTTCCTGTTGGTCTTAAAGAAGGGGGCCTGTATAGGAGCCATGTAGCAAGGACTTACAGGAGGGGACCTCTAGAGACCGAGAGCAGTCTCCAGACAAGAGCTAGCAAGAAAATGTGGACTTCAGTCACACAATCCCCAAAAACTGGATTATGCCAACAACCACATGAACATGAAAAAGGATCCTATGAGATCCCAGATGAGATTATAGCCCAGGGGAGACCTTGACTTTAGTATATAAGAACTTGAGCACAAAATTCAGCTATGCCCAGACTTTTGCCCTACAAAAAGTCTGAGATAATTAATTTATATTTTTACAAGCCACTAAGTTTGTGGCTTATTAAACAGCAATAGAAAACTAATACAGTCTGTTACCTTCAGGTTGACAAATCACCAACGTCAACAAAATAGGCTAAAAGAAGACATTTTGGAATTTTGTACATTTTGACAATTGAAGTGAATTTCATAGTCATAAAAATTTACTTATTTTGCATATAGTTGGCATTTGATATTTTGAAAAGCCAAATTATAACTAGTATATATGACACAACCACAGCCTATAGAAAAAAATTACACACCTGAGAATAAAATGCAACAACAAATCTATCAGGAAGTAATTTAGGAATAAAATTCTCAATTTCAAAGAAATTTCACATAACAACTTAAAATTCTACTTAGGATTTTACAAATTGCTACCAAGTGATAATTAAATGTTTTTAATTTTTAAACATATACAGGTTTTAAACAACAACAACAACAAAAAAACAGAAAAAAAATTTTGAAACCTGCAAATAAAACATATCATGAGTCCTAAATTTCTGAAAAGAGATTTGCATAATTTTCCTTAATTGTACACTTTAAAATGGTTCATAATATTATGTGAACTTCATCTCAGTTTTAAAAAGTTAATCTGAGCATTCTAAATATTAATTATAATTATTACATGTAGATCTACGGAGAACATCTATTCCCAGTTTTTGTCAACACCCAACTACGCAAATAAAATCAACAGCACATAAACAGAAAATCATCAGCTATCCCATTAAAGTACATATTGAAACTTTATATACGATGCTTGAAAGGTCACCTGTTCACTGCATTAAAAATTTCTTCCCCGTGCTAGGCATACAATGAATAAAATATGCAGTCTTTCAGAAAACTGTATGTAATGATATGTCATAGCAGTTCACACAATTGTACTAAACAATATGCATGCTTTCTGTTTTTCTATCAATTAAATATTCAGGAATTACTGTCAAATGCCATGTCATAGCATGACAGAGATTTAGCCCAGATTTTGAAATCTGGTTTGAACCACTAGAATTAGCAAACTAAGCAGCAACATAAAATATTAAGCATGTCAACCAAATAATCCACTTTCCCTCTGTCTTTGGAGATGCCTTATTAAATTTCCTAAGAGAAAAATAAAAGTACTTCATGTAAAAAGTTTTAACCCCTGCTTTGAAAACACATATTTTAGC
This sequence comes from Homo sapiens, assembly GCF_000001405.40. Classification (NCBI taxonomy): domain Eukaryota; kingdom Metazoa; phylum Chordata; class Mammalia; order Primates; family Hominidae; genus Homo; species Homo sapiens. The sequence goes on from NC_000007.14 coordinate 111,416,621, forward strand.
CCATCATATAAGGTTTTTTAATATGATTGGTTCTAATAATCATATTTTTAAAATCCCAACCAGAAGAAGCACTTTAAAAGTATTTTTTCAGTTTAATATGCACAGGTCTGCCAGCATAATATTTGTCCATAATTAAGAAAATTGCTTACTTGCTCAGTAGGCAATACATGAATCATATGTAGTATAAAATTAGACCACAATTGAGAGTTTAATCCCTAAACAACATCCAAAGTTAAGCAGAATATGGTATGATACATAATACCTTTAATATAATTAAATGAGCCTTAATTTTACATAAATATATTAATAAATTAGATATATACTATCCAATACAGTAACCATAAACTACATGTATCTATTTAAACTGAAAATAATTTAAAGTACATAAAATTAAAGATTCACTTTCTTAGTTGCACTCACCACATCTCAAGTATTCAACAAACTACCATATTAGGTAGCACAGATATAGAAGATTTCTATCATTGAAGAAACAGTACTTATTTGACAGAGTTGAGTTTACCATAAAACTCATCATAAAGCTTAAGCTTCAGGCCTCCTCATTTGAAAATGTCCCTGCAGGTACCCTAGCAATGTGTCCATGATTATATATTTTAGTAAAATTTGTAAAAGTAAGATACTTTGCCAATGAAATATCTTTCTCCACTTCCTCTTCTTCTCCACCAATCTCCTGTTGTCGGGTGGAGGGCGTCACAGTGAGCAACCTGGGGATCATGCAAAGGGTGATATATTCAGTTTGGGTGATACATTCAGAATTGGTAGCACATTGTTTTTAGTGGGATATATGTAAGTGGTTCTTGGTCATTTCTATGTGTAATTAGTTTACCATCTGTTCCAGTATAGGAATGGCTTCTAGGAATACATCCCTTTCCCAACTGTGCTAACTCACATGGGGTCCTGATATGAAGGTTCGTAGTCAGAGGTCTATGAAGACCCCTCAATGTGTAACCTCTGTCACGAATGTGTCCCATGGCAACGAGAACTAAAGATTTGTGGCAAATGGGAGAGAAGCAGAGACTGAAATTTATACAGCCAGAAGCTACTCTGTGGAAAATTCTTCCAATAAGGAGACATGAAATAGAATAAGCAGATAATTCCATTTGTAATCAATGCCTAGTCAAGTTTTCTCTTATTAGGAATAGAGTTGATAGTGCATATACAATTATAAATGTAGCAGACATTTCTTTTTTCTTTTTGATGGGACTCACAATGAAATAGAACTTTTCAGACACTGCGTTTGCAAAGCCCAAATCTGCAGCTGTTCTATAAATACTATGTCTGTGAGTGAAGCTGCACAGTTTATACAGCTCAATTATCAATAATAAAAACAAAATCTTCCTAACCATAGTACAGGAAAGTCCAATTTATCTTTCTAAATCTATAAAAAATTATATTATAAAGTCATTGTCATCTGAGAGGGGCTCAAACATTATGTATCCTATAGATGTGGAAAAGGTAGTTTAAAAGTGTGATCAGCAGCTATTTTTCCAAATATTATTATGATAATGTCACTGACCATCTTTTACGAAATTGTAATCAGTTGTGATTTCTTTTCTCATTCTAAATACATATTGACTTGTATATAAATTTGCATCTGTAATTTTGTATTTTTTTTAGGAGGGCTGCCTCCAAATGGTCTGCCTCCTTTCAGGTCCCCAATAAAACCTTGATCTGACCCTGATGCTAGAAAATTATGTCTTGATTAAAATATATATTCACTAATTAGTAATCTCTATGTATTCCTTTCTTCATCCTAGATGTACTGCAATATCAATAACCCAGTCACATCATTGTCACTGAATTCTAGGATTTAAAAGGGTAAATTTGAAATACGTCCCTTCTGCTCACTCTGGACCTAATCTGATATCTTTTCAGCCTTCGGTACAAAAAGCTCACACCTCACTAGCACTAATACAAATGTCATTCCTAGTAATTAGGTTACACTGAGTGCCTTTGAGCTTTGCAGTGCTACTGCCAGTGAAGTTCTTAATACATTTACAGTCATGGTTATTTAAACCACTAAGGCTTTTCTTTGAGTAAACAATATATTGATCAAATCAAATGCTAGCCTGACAATACCAATTAATTTAAGAAAATAAAAAATACACAAAAATTTCTGTTATCTAATTATATTGAAGAGATTGCTCCTAAAACAAACATTTGTAAAACCACCTTTTTGTACTATGAAAATTATATTTGTACACATACAAATATAAAAATGCCCAATAGCTAAATGCCACTTATGCAAATAGTCCCTAAGTTTTCTTTGATTTACAGTTTATTTCATACTCTTTATATTTCATTAAGCCATCCTTCAATAAACTATTTTTTCAATATTGTGTTGCGAAGATATTCTCAGCCTGAAATTACATCAAATAAATTACAAATCAAATTTCTGAAAGCCACTGCCATAGGTGGAAATCAAATCAAATGCCTAGCTTCACATAAATGGTTAAAGCTTTAAATAAATTGCATTTATATAATTGCCTTACTTGCTGCTGCCTCCTACAGCTGTAGAATAATGTTATTCCAATATATGAAGAATATATTGGCAGACAAGACTAAAAAATTTTGAATTATTAATTAAAAATGGGAAGTTTTATTAAATACATTAAAGAACTGAATTTAGACTTGGAATACATATATTCCTGTAGCTCTGTTTCTCTGATTAGGCCCTGACTGTTACACTTTTACTAAAGATTTTTTTTAAAAGGAAGAAAAAATTTCTTACCTAAGAGGATTTGGAGCTGTGAAAGGAAATGGGCCCCAAAATCACTAAGCTAAAGGGAAAAGTCGATCTGGGAACTGCTTAGGACAAACCTGTCTCCCGTGCTATTCAAAGTCACTCCTCTGCTCACTGAAATAAATGTGTATCTGATTGCCTCCTTTGGAGAGGCTAATCAGAAACTCAAAAGAAGGCAATCATTTGTCTCTTATCTACCTATGACCTGGAAGTCCCCTCCCTGCTTTGAGTTGTCCTGCCTTTCTGGACAGAACCAATGTTTATCTTACATATGTTTATTATGTCTCATGTCTCCCTAAAATGCATGAAACCAAACTGTGTTCTGACCACCATGGGCACATATCGTCAGGACCACCGGAGACCTTGTCACAGGCACGTGTCCTCAGCCTTGGCAAAATAAACTTTCTAAATTAACTGAGACCTGTCTCAGATTTTCAGGGTTCACAGAACAAAATGATAATTTACTGCCCTTACTCAAAAAATATTGTCCTATTCATAGAAAAAGAAAATGATAAGGTGGTTTCCAGACACTGGAAGTAGTGGAGAAGTGTTACATAGTTATTGCTTAATGGATACACGGCTTCAGTTTGAGACTATGAAAACATTCTGGAAATGGATAGTGAGGATGGCTGCACCTGCACCACAATAAGAATGTATTTAATGTCATTGAACTGTACACTTAAAGATGGTTAAAATGGTACATTACATGTTATATATATTCTATCACAATAAAAATGTTTCAATTGTTCTAATTATATTTACATTTTTATATTCATTTTTTCTGAGATTCAGCCTGAATTGAAAAGTGCTTCATTATAAATAATAGAAATTAAATACTTAAGTTGGTCATTCAAACTCACAATAAAATGGAGAAAAGAAATCAAGTTTTCTAAGTTGTGACTCTGTGAGCACTTTACTACCACACAAATTGAGAGATCACAAAAGAAATTCCGAACTTCTCTGACCAAGGACAGTTGTTTTGAAACAAATAAAAAAACTATCTGTACAATAAAGGTACAGGTGAAACTTTCTTTTTTTTAAACTTCAAGTTCTAGGGTACATGTGCACAATGTTTGCAGGTTTGATACATAACTATGCATGTGCCATCTTGGTTTGCTGCATCCATCAACTCATCTTTTACATTAGGTATTTCTCCTAACGCTATCCCTCCCCCAGCCCCCCACCCCCCGATAGTCCCCCGTGTGTGATGTTCCCCGCCCTGTGTCCAGGCGATCTCATTGTTCAATTCCCACCTATGAGTGAGAACATGCGGTGTCTGGTTTTCTGTCCTTGTGATAATTTACTGAGAATGATGGTTTCCAGCTTCAGCCACATCCCTGCCAATAACATGAAATCATCCTTTTTTATGACTACATAGTATTCCATGGTGTATAAGTGCCACATTTTCTTAATCCAGTCTATCAATGATGGACATTTGGGTTGGTTCCAAGTCTTTGCTATTGTGAATAGTGCTGCAATAAACATACGTGTGCATGTGCCTTTATAGTAGCATGATTTATAATCCTTTGGGTATATACCCAGTAATGGGACCGCTGGGTCAAATGGTAATTCTAGTTCTAGATCCTTGAGGAATCACCACACTGTCTTCCACAATGGCAGAACTAATTTACAGTCCCACCAACAGTGTAAAAGCATTCCTATTTCTCCACATCCTCTCCAGCATCTGTTGTTCCCTGAGTTTTTAATGATTGCCATTCTAACTGGCATGAGATGGTTATCTCATTGTGGTTTTGATTTGCATTTCTCTGATGACCAGTGATGATGACCATTTTTTCATGTGTCTGTTGGCTGCATAGATGTCTTCTTTTGAGAAGTGTCTGTTTATATCCTTTGCCCACTTTTTGATGGGGTTGTTTGTTTTTTTCTTTTTTTTTTTTTTTTTTTTGAGACGGAGTCTCGCTCTGTGGCCCAGGTGGGAGTGCAGTGGCGCAATCTCGGCTCACTGCAAGCTCCGCCTCCCGGGTTCACGCCATTCTCCTGCCTCAGCCTCCCGAGTAGCTGGGACTACAGGCGCCCGCCATCATGCCCGGCTAATTTTTTTTTGTATTTTTAGTAGAGACGGGGTTTCACCGTGTTAGCCAGGATGGTCTCGATCTCCTGACCTTGATCCACCCGCCTCGGCCTCCCAAAGTGCTGGGATTACAAGCGTGAGCCACCGCGCCCGGCCTGTTTTTTTCTTGTAAATTGGTTTGAGTACTTTGTAGATTCTGGATATTAGCCCTTTGTCAGACGGGTAGATTGCAAAAATTTTCTCCCATTCTGTAGATTGCCTGTTCACTCTGATGGTAGTTTCTTTTGCCATGCAGAAGCTCTTTAGTTTAATTAGATCCCATTTGTCTATTTTGGCTTTTGTTGCCATTGCTTATGGTGTTTTAGTCATGAAGTCCTTGTCCATGCCTATGTCCTGAATGGTATTGCCTAGGTTTCCTTCTAGGGTTTTTATGGTTTTAGGTCTAGCATAGAAGTCTTTAATCCATCTTGAATTAATTTTTGTATAAGGGGTTAGGAAGGGATCCAGTTTCAGCTTTCTACATACAGCTAGCCAGTTTTCCCAGCACCATTTATTAAACAGAGAATCCTTTCCCCATTTCTTGTTGTTTTTGTCACGTTTGTCAAAGAACAGATGGCTGTAGATGTGTGGTGTTATTTCTGAGCCCTCTGTTCTGTTCCATTGGTCTATATCTCTGTTTTGGTACCAGTACCATGCTGTTTTGGTTACTGTAGCATTGTAGTCTAGTTTGAAATCAGGTAGCATGATGCCTCCAGCTTTGTTCTTTTGGCTTAGGAGTGTCTTGGCAATGAGGGCTCTTTTTTGGTTCCATAGAACTTTAAGGTACCTTTTCCAATTCTGTAAAGAAAGTCATTGGTAGCTTGATGGGGATGGCATTGAATCAATAAATTACTTTGGGCAGTATGGCCATTTTCATGATATTGATTCTTCCTATCCATGAGCAAGGGATATTCTTCCACTTGTTTCTGTCCTCTTCTATTTCATTGAGCAGTGGTTTGTAGTTCTCCTTGAAGAGGTCACCACATCCCTTGGAAGTTGGATTCCTAGGTATTTTACTCTCTTTGTAGCAATTGTGAATGGGAGATCATTCATGATTTGGCTCTCTGTTTGTTAATGGGGTATAGAAATGCTTGTGATTTTTGCACATTGGTTTTGCATCCTGAGACTTTGCTGAAGTTGCTTATCAGCTTAAGGAGATTTTGGGTTGAGACGATAGTCTTTTCTACAAATACAATCATGTCATCTGCAAACAGGAAAAATTTGACTTCCTCTTTTCCTAACTGAATACCCTTTATTTCTTTCTCTTGCCTGATTGCCCTGGCCAGAACTTCCAACACTACGTTGAATAGGAGTGGTGAGAGAGGGCATCCTTGTCTTGTGTCGGTTTTCAAAGGGAATGCTTCCAGTTTTTGCCCATTCAGTGTGATATTGGCTGTGGGTTTGTCATAGATAGCTCTTTTAATTTTGAGATATGTTTCATCAATACCTAGTTTATTGAAAGTTTTTAGCATGAAGGGGTGTTGAATTTTGTCAAAGGCCTTTTCTGCATCTATTGAGATAATCATGTGGTTTTTGTCATTGGTTCTGTTTAAGTGATGGATTACGTTTATTGATTTGCATATATTGAACCAGCCTTGCATCCCAGGGATGAAGCCCACTTGATCATGGTGGATAAGCTTCTTGATGTGCTGCTGGATTTGGTTTGCCAGTATTTTATTGAGGATTTCTGCATCGATTTTCATCAGGGATATTGGTCTAAAATTCTTTTTTGTTGTGTCTCTGCCAGGCTTTGGTATCAGGATGATGCTGGCCTCATAAAATGAGTTAAGGAGGATTCCCTCTTTTTCTATTGAATGGAATAGTTTCAGAAGGAATGGTACCAGCTAATCTTTGTACCTCTGGTAGAATTCGGCTGTGAATCCATCTGGTCCTGGACTTTTTTTGTTTGGTAGCCTATTAATTATTGCCTCAATTTCAGAGCCTGTTATTGGTCTATTTAGAGATTCAACTTCTTCCTGGTTTAGTCTTGGGAGGCTGTATGTTTCCAGGAATTTATCCACTTCTTCTAGATTTTCTAGTTTATTTGCGTAAAGGTGTTTATAGTATTCTCTGATGGTAGTTTGTATTTCTGTGGGATAGGTGGTTATACCCCCTTTATCATTTTTTATTGTGTCTATTTGATTCTTCTCTCTTTTCTTCTTTATTAAACTTGCTAGAGGTGTATCTTTGGGACACATTTAAAGCAGTGTGTAGAGGGAAATTTATAGCACTAAATGCCCACAAGAGAAAGCAGGAAAGATCTAAAATCGACACTCTAACATCACAATTAAAAGAACTAGAGAAGCAAAAGCAAACAAATTCAAAAGCCAGCAGAAGGCAAGAAATAACTAAGATCAGTGCAGAAGTGAAAGACACAAAAAATCCTTCAAAAAAATCAATGAATCCAGGAACTGGTTTTTTGAAAACATCAACAAAATTGACAGTGAAACTTTTTTAAGTAAAAAGATAGTTAACTATACTAATGGCTACACTGAGCATGATAATTATTGCAGATGGTCAATGGTAAAGCAAGTGTAGTTGTTTCAGCTGTAGAGATAACGTAATTAAATGAACAGTATAGACATCTGATCAACTTTGAATAATCAATCTTATCACGTATACCAACATGCCCTGTTCTTCACAAAATCCATTCACAAATTCTAGGATGTATGATTTTTTAAGTGAATTCTGATTCGTTAGAGGTTAATGTTTACGAATGCAAACAGCATCTGTAGAACCTGATTTACGGTAAGGTACTTTCTACTCATCACAGTATCTCCACCGTTTAACACTGTTACAACGCAAGTGCACAACAAATATCTGTTTAAGTAGCCAGGAAGGAAGGAGAGAAGGAAGAAGAGAATGAGGGAGAGAAGGAAGATAGATGGGTGGTTTCGGTAGATTCTTAAAACCCATCCGTTAATACTCAGTGTTTGGCTGTGGTATGAATAAAAGAGAGAGGCTAGAGACTACAAGTAATTAACAGACTGCGAGGGCCAGTGTCCCAGACTAAGCCATGCTAATTTTTAGATATTACTCGTGACTTTTTTCTCTACTGACAAAAGCTCAGCATTTAAATATATTAGGTGACACATATATCACAAGGTACCTGAATAACAGCTGGGATTCATTACATCTGTATAATCATCTATGCATGATGTATAGCCATGCTACTTAAAACTATATCTTAAATATGAAGACTCTTAACAGAGTAATTTCATACATTCCAAAATATTTCTCTTCATTGTACATTAATTAAAACTATATTTTCAACATTTTATAATAAATCATTCTAAAAGCCAAATATTAAGCAATTCTACCACAAAACCAAAACATTTGAAACAATCACCATATTTTGACTTTGCAACTTTTGTAAAATATGTGGTTATTTGGGTCACAGAATTGTATCACATTTGTTGACTACCAGGCAAAATTCTTTGACAAGTGACTTTCAGGTTTACACAGTCTGCTGCCATTATAGCAATTATATGGCATAATGGAATGCTAGCCATGTGTACTTCTGACATTCCTCTAAATCCAGGTCATTAGTCATTACATGAAGTCATTTTAAGTTTCCTTCATCAATTGCCCTCTGTAGTTTTCCAGCTGTCATTTCATTTGTTAGTTTCAACTGAAATGTAAATGTAATAGATGTAAATGTTTATTTAGGGATTGCTTCCCCTTTCTGTTTTTCACATAAACACTTACATACTTCGATTCCTTAAACACAACATGTTTTGGCAAAACTAATCTATAGTAAAGGGGGAAAAGTGAGAAATGTGGTTCCCTGTGAGGTGTGGGAGCAGAAGGTGACTGAGAAGGACCATGAGAGGACTTTCTGGGATGATGTTAATGTTCTGTATCTTGATAGAGATTAGGGTTACACAACATAGGCATATGTTAAAACTAGCAAATGTTCACTTAAGATTTATATACACTATTGTATTTAAATTTTACCTCAAAAGAAAAAAAAACTGTAAACTATTCTTGAACTCTAGTTAACAATACGCATGTTGAAAGTATTTAGGGGGAAGTGCCTATAGTTTACTTTGAAATGCATTATAAATAAATAAGATGGACTGATGGATGAATAGAGGGATTAAAATATAGATAGATAAGATAACAGAAAAGTGATAAGATATGAGTGGTGAGTATACTGGTGTTCACTGTAATTGTCTTTTGACTTCTCTGTATGTTTGAAAATTTCCATAATAAAATACATTTTCAAATTTAAAAAGTCATTTCTCCAAAATCCTTTTAATTTTCAAATTCACTCAGTAAAGAAAGAGGAATCAGCAAGTGTTCCCAAACATTTTGAACCATAATCTTAGTTACCCACCTGCTGGATCATTCTTAGATCATTTCTTAGTAGTCAGAAAAACTGGTCCAAATAATTAAGACTCGATAAAAATCTTGCTAAATTAATCAAACATATAATTTATTCATCTACTCCTTCATTTATTCCACAAATACATGTCAAAGACCTCTAAGAAGCAGATGTCTCTTCTAAATGCTACAGAAAAAGAGAACTGAATTGTAATACAACGTGATATACATTAACTGCTATAAAAACACGACAGGGAGGGCATTTTCGGGACCATGAAGGGTGAGTAAAATTTTGCCAGATTGGGTACAGGGAGCAGAAAGTTCATCCCAGGGTATGGACTATCATGTAGGTAACCTTATAATACATAAACTTTGTTTTACAGCTAAAAAAGGTAAATTATATATTTCTGGTAGTTGCTTCTCAAATATGTCAAAATAATTTAAAATAAATATATGTACATTAATCCCTCCTTTTTGTATCTTACATACTGATTTTAGAAGATTCTGCAATCTTTTCAATCACCAGTATAATTTAGGTTTTGCTTATTCACCACTAAATCACAGCAACATGTATTTCATTTATAATAATTAAAGGTATGTTCGTTCACATTTGATGGTATTACCACTGAGAGGTTTTTTGCAATAACATGTTTTCCCTGGAACTCACTTTGGGAAACAATTCTCTAAAGTCTTGAAATCCCAAGAGTGCATACTCAGGGATTAGAAAGGTTTCCCTAGACCAGGATGCAAATAAAAATGCAAATCTTTCACACAGCAACTCTGCCCCCAAAAAACTGACAAAGGACAAATATCAAAGTACTGTGTAAATTGTCTACAATCTATTTAGAGACTTTAAATATGTTATGTTGTCCTTTTTAAGGCATGTGGCTGGTCACATTTCCTTTGATGAGTAGTTTGCCTTTCTAAGCAACCTAACCAAAATTCTGGCATATGTGAGTTTACTGCAATATTATTTCTTTATGATCTGCAAGATGTGGATATCACTGTCTATCTCACATGCTTAACGTGAAGGTTATATGAGATTTTTTTAAATAATGAAAGTCAGTGTTTGGTGTTTAATAAATAGTAGTAATTAACAATAAAAAATATTTACCCATATACCTATTCAGGCAATTGTACAACCATGCTTTTAAATTTGAGCCAGGAACTGAGGTGAGCCAGAATTCATCTTATTTTATGAGTATAGTTACAAAGTCCTAACTCATAGTCTCATTGCATTACTGATCACTTTAATGTCATGATAATTTTTCATTTGCTCCCTTTCAGATCCAAACTCCTTACTTCACTGATCACCCAAGACTGGTACTCTTTACGGAGTTCGCTAGCGAAGACCTTAGAATTCTTTTATCATTTATCTGTTAGTGGCTGAGGATAGAAATATCAGTGGACCTTCACCTCAAATAATCCTCTAAAAAAATTCCCAGCGACTGAGTTGGGCCAGAAGTTCAGACTCAAGATACTTTGTAATTTGTTTCAAATTATTTTCTGTAGGTACTATCAAATGATCCCTAAGCCAAATGAAATGCTTTGTTCTAATGACTGAAAAAATCAGTTAAGAAAGGCAGGATTAATATTAGGGCACTTCTTAGGACTGGACAGTGCATTATAAAAGAAAATGAAGAACATTCAGAGATCCAAGAGAAAAGAGACTTCTAGAACAAAAAATAAATAGAAAACCTGATTTCATTTGTTAGTACAAATAATAATGACTGTCACTATTTAACAGAAAACTACATTACCATATTGAAATAGAAAGAAGTGAGAATTCGAAGCTATAACTTTGAGATGCAATTAAGTGATCCAACTCAATAAACCTTAAACAGAAGACTGTTTCTATTCAGAGTGCCAGAACAGTGTGAATCTGGGAACAACCTTGGAAAAGGATCTTGACTATGGATCAGATATTAATCTCCATGCTATGTTTCCATTATGCCAAAAAATTAAGCACTCTTAATATTTACGACAGTATTAAATTATAAATCTAGCCCCACATATCAAAAAATTTTAAAATAGTTACATCTTTAATGTCATTAAGAGCAAATACAGAGCCTCAGGCTCAGTTCTATTAGGTAAGTTCATATCACTGACATTTTCTTCCCATGAAACACATTGGACTTAAGATATAGCTATGAATATAATTTTGCTGGAATACTAATGATATTCATTTTAAAATCTGAGTGCTATTAGTACCCACTTTCAATTTTTCATCTTTCATGATACGCTCCTGGTACAAGTGTAGTCTGTGTAGCAACACACTCATGCTGTACACCTCATTGGCTCAGTCCTGTCAGCAGATTGAGTGCATTTGAATCTTTATGTTCCTTTTTTTAGAATTTGCAATATTCTAGGAGAGTGATTTTCTTTATTGTTCCCTTATATTGTATTTCACCCTTACAGAAAATGATAGAGTAATTAGAATCTTATTTTCCAAATAAGTCACTCTGTCTTCTTTGTCTAAAAAATATATTTTCTGTTTCACATATAGATGATAAAGACTAAAGCAGTAGAAAAATGAATACCAAAAATGTCAAGAGAAATAGGGGGTTTCAATTGTAATTTTTTAAAGTAATAAGGACTGGAAAAAAATTCTATATAAAAATTGAATGATTAAAAATACTAAAATGGTTCCTTACTGCCCTAAATAAAACCTTTACAAGATGCTTCATATGTGAAATAAATTAAGAATCAATTCAAAAGAAGAGAAACTTTTTTCAGTAAAATGGGTAAAATCTTTTAAAAACCTTTTAAAATTTTCTTTGATACAGTAACTTTCTAAAGAAATGTTCAAGTGTCTATCAATTTTACTTTCACGAAAGAAATCTAACTCTGCTTTACTGACAATGCAGTTTATTTTAAAACTAGAGCAGTACAAAAAGGTCACAAAAAGACTTTCTGAAATATAAAATCAGTCTAAGATAAGCAAAGCTGAAATGACTATCTATACCACCTTTCCAAACCTATTAATGCTTCAAACTATATTATTATACAACCACAAACAAATATGTACATACTCTCTACTAGAACATCTCCATAGTTGCCGTGAATCATTCTTTCATTTTCCATAAGTACTTACAAAGCTCCATAAGTACTTACAAAGCAGTATAGTATTCAATTTTAAAAGTGTAAAAATAAAATACACAGAGTTTTGACAAATAGAAAGTATCAGATAAAACGCGAATGAAGGCTAGATGGCTAGGTGGATGGGAGGTGGGTGGATGGACAGATACATAAGTAGTTGGATGAATAGGTGCTCAGGACATATGAATGGATGAATATGGTGCTTTCTATCAAATAAAAGAACATGCAATCCTTTTTTCTTCTTTCATTAAGTAACACTTGTATATTAATCTAGGTGTTGCCCATGAGCTTCAAGAGCAGCTTCATGAATCTCTGGGAACTGCATGTAGGGAAATGCATGTTGATATAGGTACACACATGTGGGGCCTGGGGAAGGGGGTAAGCATGCCTATAGGCATCAACACAAAAAAAGGCCCCTTCTTCTAATCTCCAGAAACAATTAACCTACTCTTTTCAAAAACTCTACTTTGCCAGTCTTTCATCTTTCAGCAGAAGAGGCAAGGCCTGAGTGAAAAGTATGATGCCTCCTCTGGCTTGGCAGCCTAAACAAACAAGCTTTCCACACATAGACCAGGGAAGCTTCCACACCCACATCTGGTGCTAGGCATGGTTCCTGAATTCAACAGCAGGATAATACCTGTCCACTATGTAATAAAGGCACTAAAAGTTAGCTTTAAAAAAAAAAATCAACATAGAATTCCTGATTTCATATTTATGAAATAGCATCCTTTCACAATAGCACAGAAGAATTAAGTAAACAATTTAAAGATTCACATCTAATTGAGCTCCAACTCAGATAAAATAGCCTGTGTTTCTTAAATTGAGACTCCCACAACTAAATTTTGCCTTTCAAAGGCAAAAGAATTTTGAAGAAATGGTATCTTCCTAGAGATCCCTTTGGGGAACATTTTTACAAACACTTTTCATGTGGGCAAAATAATTTCACTAGTTTGTTTATTGGACATATTGGCCTGTACTTTCACAAATGCAGACCCAAAAATCAAAATCAGAGATGGAAAAGGGCAAACAGTATTATATAGCAAGTATGCTTGGATAAGAATCAAAGTAGAAGGCTTAGGGTTTGGCTCTAAAATTAGCCAACTAGACATGAGTTTCTGAGCAAGAATGATCATAATGTAGTTTAGTTCCCTTTCAGTGGCTATTGCCACATGTATACAAAACAAACATAAGGAAATGCATCATATTCTTAAGATACTCATCCTCTCATCCATCTGGTTTTATCTCATAAATTACAAAGTCCTATTTGAAATTCTTATTATAATATTAAAATTGGGAAAAGAGCAAAATTAGAGAATACATAAGGTAAGGAATATTGAAAATTAATAACAAAGTAAAGAAATACGTTTGAATTTTTTCACAATTTCTACAATATGCCTCCTGAATAACCTAACTGAAATATGTCTGACAACTACAGCTATGGAATCTAAAAGTAACAGAATATTATTATTTTCCTTCCTGGTAAAAAAATAAAAAGCATATAAATTTATACATTTTTAGGAAAAGCTAAAAATGTCATCAAGTATGCCTTTTAGCCTTCTTTAACTTCTTTTCAAAAATCTAAATTTATAATAGATCTATAGTTCTGAGACTATATAATCCTGTTAGCCTAAAAAGAGATAAATAATTATAAATAAAATTATTGTATTTCCTTGATTTATCAGACTCTCCATCCTCAAACCAAAATCCTTACTTAATTAAGCAGGGCAAATATAAGCAATCACTTAGAAAAGTGGTGTGATAACTATTTTAAACTATTAATCTTTTTAAAAGTAAGCCTTTTTAGGAGATCTAAGTAGTACACTCAAATATTGTCTTGGATGCTGGGTGCACAAAATAAGAACCTATACCAGTTCATGAATATTTTTATTGTTTTCTCTTTTACCCAGGGAGAGAAATAGACAAAAGACACTATTAAAGTTAAATATAGGCTGGGCATGGTGGCTGACATCTGTAATCCCATAACTTTGGAAGCCCAAGGGAGGTGGATCACTTGAGGTCAGCAGTTCGAGACCAGCCTGGACAACATGGCAAAACCCCATTTCTACTAAAAATACAAAAATTAGTCAGACGTGGTGGTGAGTGCCTGTAGGGCCAGCTACTCGGGAGGCTGAGGCATGAGAATCGCTTGAACCTAGGAGACAGAGATTGCAGTGAGCCAAGATCACGCCACTGCACTCCAGCCTAGGCAAAAGAGTGAGACTCTGTCTCACAAAAAAGTTAAATACACTGTGCCCTTTTTTATCTTGACCACAAAAGGTCTCCATCTCAGTAATAGGTATCATACTTGCAGTACCTCCGTGGCATATGCCCAGGATTTATAGATCTTTTGTTAGATAACAAAATCCAGATAAATTAAGAGAGAAAATGCAACCTGTGGTACAATAATACCCATCATTAATGAACTTCGGACTTTCCCAGTATTTCACTAGTCAGTGTAAAGAGAAATTGTTGTACGCTCATGAGCAAGTCAGTTTGCTTGGTCTCAGTTTTCTCATACATAATAAAGTATTTTACACATTCCTTTTATTAATCTATAAACTCTATAAGCAAGGATCATGGTACCCTAACACCCGCCCAACATAGGCAGCCAAAAAATATGCATGTGCAGAATGCAAGATCACACAGGTTTTTTCCAGCCAACTTTATCTTCAATTATATAATTTTTTAAGTCTAATATTTGGGTGGATAGGTCCATAATGCATATTAAAACAAAAAAGAGGGTGGTTAGGGCCACAAAAATGTGGTAGAAATAATTGAAGATCACAAAAGAAGAAACAATTTCCTAGAGTTCAAGTGGCCTCCATCAAACTTTACCAAAACCCTACCAAAAGCTCTAATTCTAAACTTTATAAAAAAGTCATAGAAGTATAATTTCTCTTTCAGAAGTAATGGCTTTTGTTGTTGTTGCTGTTGTTGTTGTTTCTAGTTGAGACCTTTGCTGAATGTCTAAGAATTGGAAAAACAATGAAGTCAAACCTTTCCTAATTTCTATTTTAAGATATTTATACTTTTTCCAAACTTTCCTCAGATTTAAAAAAAAAATTGTATTCTTTGGAAAACAAAAAGTTAGTACTCAGAAATTCATATTTGGTAAACCACTCCAGTAAATTAATTGAACCCAAAGAGGGGGTCATGGGAACTGCAACTTGAAGCCAGTTCATCAGAAGTTCCAGAGACCTAGACTTGAGACTGGTAGAGGAGGAATAGGGAAAGGTGCAGTCTTGGGAACTATGCCCTAAACCTGTGGGATCTGACACTATCTCCAGGTAGGTAGTGTCAGGACTGAATTAGAGGACACCCAGCTGGTGTCTGCTGCTTGGAGTGTGGGGGAAAAAAAACCCCACACATATGGTCACAGCAGTCTTCTGTGTTGATGATTGTTGTGGTGTTAGAGTAGAGGAAAAACACAGTTAGAGAGAGTTTTCCTTAAACAAATGGTGTCAGTGAAGCAAGATTAGCTGGAACACCATGATCAGGTGGGATTTATCCTAGGGAAGCAAGGATGGTTCAAAAGACACAAATTAATAAATGTGATACATTGCATAAACAGAATTAAGGACAAAACCCATATGATCATCTCAACAGATGCAGAAAATGCCTTCAGTAAAATTCAGCATGGCTTCGTGATAAAAATCCTCAACAAACTAGGTATAGAAGGAACATACTTCAACATAATAAAGGCCATATATGACAAACCCACAGCCAACATTTTACTTAATATGGAAAAGTTGAAAGCATTTCCTCTGAGAACTGGAAAAGGACAAGAATTCCCACTTTCACCACTCTTACTCAATATCATACTGGAAGTTCTCACTAGAGCAATCAGGCAAGAGAAAATATTCAAAGGCATCCAAATTGGATGCCTCTTCACTGATGATAAGATCTAGTATCTAGAGAACCCTAAAGATTCCACCAAAAAAACCTTAGATTTGATAAATGAATTCAGTAAAGTTTCAGGATACAAAATTAATATACAGAAATCAGTAGCATTTCTATACACCAGTAACGACCTAGCCAAGAACCAAATCAAGGAGGCAATCCCACTTCCAACAGCTACAAAAAAAAAGAAAAAAAAAAACACACCTGGGAATATATTTAACAAAGAAGGTGAACTATCTGTTGTATTAGTCAATTCTCATGCTGCTATGAAGAAACCTGACACTGGGTAATTTATAAAGAAAAGAGGTTCAATTGGCTCACAGTTCTGCATGTCTGGGGAGGCCTCAGGATACTTACAATCATGGCAGAAGACACCTCTTCACATGGCAGCAGGAGACAGAATGAGTGCCAGAAGGGGAAATGCCAGATGCTTATCTCATGAGAACTCACTCACTATCACGAGAACAGCATGGGGGAAACCACCCCAGTATTAGTCCGTTTTCACACTGCTGATAAAGACATACCCTAGACTGGGCAATTTACAAAAGAAAGAGATTTAATTGGACTTACAGGTCAACATGGCTGGGGAAGCCTCACAATCATGGTGGAAGGCAAGGAAGAACAAGTCCCATCTTACACGGATGGCAGCAGGCAAGGAGAGAAATGATGAGGAAGACATGAAAGCAGAAACCCCTTATCAAACCATCAGATCCTGTGAGAGTTATTCACTACAATGAGAACTGAATCATGAGTGAAACTGCTCCCATAATTCAATTGTCTCCCACCATGTCCTTCCTACAACACATGGGAATTATGGGAGTACAATTCAAGATGAGATTTGGGTGGGGACACAGAGCCAAACCATATCAGACCCCACGATTCAATTAGCTCCACCTGTCTTGCCCTTGAAACGTGAGGATATTATAATTCAAGGTGAGATTTGGGTGGGGACACAGAACAAAACCATATCATCTCTTTAAGAAGAACTACAAAATACTGATGAAAGAAAGTGTAGATGACACAACCAAATTTTTAAAAATCCCATAACCATAGAATGGAAGAAATAATATTGTTAAAAATGACCATACTACATGGAGCAATCTACAGGTTCAACACAATCCCTATTAAATTACTAACATCATTTTTCACAGAATTAGAGAAAACAATCCTAAAATTCATATGGAAACAAAAAAGACCCCAAATAGCCACAGCAATCCTAAGCAGAAAGAACAATGTTGGAGGCATCACATTACCTGACTTTAAATTATACTACGAGGCTACAGGAACCAAAACAGCATGGTACAGGTATAAAAGTAGACAGGTCCATGGTATAGAATAGAGAACCCAGAAACAATGCCACATACATATAACTAACTAATCTTCAACAAAGTCAACAAAAATATACACTGAAAAAGTTCTATCCTATTTAATACATAGTGCTGTGAAAACTGAATAGCCTAGCCATATGCAGAAGAATGAAAGTGGACCCATACCTGTCACAAAGTCTTATGTTCTGGTCTTTGGATTAGGCAATGATTTTATGACCAAGTCCTCAAAAGCCAATGCAACAAAAACAAAAATAGACAAATGAGGATTAAATACAGTAAAAAGCTTCTGCACAGCAAAAGAATCACAATCAGCAGAGTAAACAGACAAACTACAGAATGTTTTCCACAAGAAAAAAAAAAAATAACCCCATTAAAAAGTGGGCAAAGGACATGAACAGTCATTTTTCTTTTTGTTTTTTTGTCTTGTTTGTTTTTTGTTTTTTTGTTTTATTGTTTTTGAGACAGACTCTCACTCTGTTGCACAGGATGGAGTGCAGTGGCGCAATCTTGGCTCACTGCAACCTCCACCTCTTGGATTCAAGAGATTCTCCTGCCTCAGCCTCCCACCCAGGATTACAGCTGGGATTACAGGCGCCTTCCACCATGCCCAGCTAATTTTTGTATTTTTAGTAGAGACAGGGTTTTAACATGTTGGTCAGGCTGGTCTCAAACTCTTGACCTCCGGTGATCCACCCGCCTCGGCCTCCCAAAGTGCTGGGATTTACAAGCATGAGCCACTGTGCCTGGCTGAACAGCCATTTTTCAAAAGAAGACAAACAAGCAGCCAACAAGCAGCCAGTCATGACACAAGGTGAAAAATGCTCACCATCACTATTCATCAGAGAAATTCAAATTAGAAGCACAATCATACATTTCTCATACCATCTTTCACCAGTCAGAATGGCTACTATTAAAAATCCTAAAAACAATAGATGTTGGCAAGGATGCAGATAAGTGAACACTTATAAACTATTGGTAAAAATGTAAATTAGTACAAGCTCTATAGAAAACTGTATGGAGATTTCTCAAAGAATTAAAAGTGAAACTACCATTAGATATACTGATCACACTTCTGGGTATCTATCCAAAGGGAAGAAATCATCATATTAAAAAGATGCTTGAAATTATATCTTTATCACTGCACTAGTCACAATAGCAAAGGTATGGAATCAACCTAAATGTCCATCAATGGAGGATTTCATAAAGAAAATGTGGTATATATACAACTTAGAATACTATGCAGTCATAAAAAAGAATGAAATAATGTCCTTGGCAGCAACATGGATAGAACTGGAGGCCATTACCTTAGTAAAATAACTCACAAAGTCAAATACTTCATATTCTCACTTATAAATGGAGGCTAAACAATGAGTACACATGGACATACAGAGTGGAACAATGGACACTGCAGACTCCAAAAGGTGGGAGGGTGGGAGGTGGGTAAGGGTTTAAAAATTACCTATTGGGTGCAATGTTCACTATTCAGGTGATGGGCACACTAAATGCCAAGACTACACCACTATGTAATATACACATGTAAGAAACCTGCACTTGTCCCCACTAAATATATTTTTAAAGAAATTCACAATTGGACAAGCGATTTTAATATCCCAAAATACAGGAAAAAAAACTATGAGCTACAAATTATAGAAGCAGCCAGCCAATCACAGCTGCCACAGCTTGGGCATCTCACTTTCATTTAGTTAGATCCACCCCGGGCAACAGTTCTTCCAGACCCTTCAGTGTTTTGGGGGCATCCCTATACTCCTGCAGTGGGCCCCATTCATCAAGGATAGCAGCTATCAGACCCCCTATAGATGTAGACAGCCAGCCTAGAATTTCCTCCGCATACTTCCTCTCTCCCAATCCCATCATCTTGGCACTCATGGGATTTTCTTCAACTTATTGCCATGCATACCAGGTGTCCTGCCAGACCTCTGTGGACTTCAATTAGATGGCACTATGTTTGAGAGGCCAAAGAAGAGACCCAGAATTAGTAAAAGAGACAACAGAGTTTATTAAGGGAACATATGTACTGGGCAGTCCAATGGCGGAGGCTGGACAGGAGAACCTGTCCAGTAAGACTCCAGAAAAAGCAAAAAATATTAAAATAAAGGATTTATTACATAAATTATGTCATATCCACTTGGCCCTCTATTTAAAATCCATTAGGATATTAAACATAAAAACCAACAGGCAACATGGAAAAGCTTTGTTTACAAAAAAAAATGACATTGGGCTGGAAGGAAATACACTACACTCTAAAAAGGTATACTTTTAACCAAACAATGTATAAATACAAAAACAAAATTTCTCAGCATAATATTTCATAAACTAGAAAACTTACATAAAAATGTATTCTTAAGTAAGACAGTACGGACTTGTCTCCCAAGTCTTTTTTTCTTACACACACACATACACACACACACACACACCCCACACATATATGAATACTTTTTAAACATTTTTTCTCATTATGTAAAAAATCAAAATAAAGTAACCCAAAAATTTTTAAGCCCTAAATATTTTATTATACTTGTAATACTGTCACTAAGTTAAACTCAAAGAATCTAACATTAGGTCATTAGACAAAACTGCACTGTGTTAATCTGTTTGCACTGCTATAAAGCAATACCTCAGACTGGGTAATTTATAAAGAAGAGGTTTATTTTGGCTTACAGTTCTACAGGCTGTACAGGAAGCAGATTGCTAGCATCTGCTCCTGGTGAGGGCCTGAGGAAGTTTCCAGTCATGGCAGAAGGTGAAGGGGGTGCAGGTATGGCAAGAGAGCAAGCAAGAGTGGAGAGGTGCCACACTCTTTTAGACAAACAGATTTTGCATGAACTTAGAGCAAGAACTCACTCATTATCATGAGGAACGCAATAAGCTTTTCATTAGGGATCCGCCCCCATGACCCAACCACCTCCCCTACCTTCATCATTGGGGGTTATATTTCAACATGAGATTTGGAGCAGACAAACATCCAAACTGTATATAACGCACTTATTCTTTTTTAATGAAAATCAGTCAAAATATATCTTTAAAAAAATACATCCACAGCCAGACACGGTGGCTCGTGCCTGTAATCCCAGCACTTTGGGAGGCCAAGGCGGGTGGATCACCTGAGGTCATGAGTTCGAGACCAGCCTGACCAACGTGGAAAAACCCCATCTCTACTAAAAATACAAAATTAACCAGGCAACATGCCACATGCCTGTAATCCCAGCTACTCAGGAGGCTGAGGCAAGAGAATCGCTTGAACCCGGGAGACAGAGGTTGCACTGAGCCGAGATCACGCCCATTGCCCCACAGACTGGGCAACAAGAGCGAAACTACATCTCAAAAAAAATAAATTAATGCATCCCACTGCTATCACAGTTTTTAAAAACCCAAAGTGAAAACAAATAACTGTGTCAGACTATCTTTAGCAACAAAACGCAAAAACGATAACGTCTAGAAATATATGTAAAATAATTTTAATTATACCATTTATAAAAGATTTTATTTTTTAAATTACCAGTTCTTTTCATTTTACTATTTCTTCTAAACCAGCCATCTGGCCGCTTTCACCTTACAATGTATGGTATCTATTTTTATCTGATATATTCCTATCTTATTTATTGATTATCTGTCTGGCCCACTGGAATGTAAACTCCTTAAGAAATTTTTTTATCTTGTTCAAAACCCAGAGTCACTACATACAAATGTGTAGGTTTTACACATGTGAATATCATTACAGTTATGCAGTGCACAACCTGCAGAACTGAATATGGTAGGTCTGGCTGTGAACAAATAATTATCAGACATGTAATAAAACGCCAGAGATCTTAACAGTTCTGTGTCCTCCCTAGTGGTGATGCAAACCCTCTCTAGGCATGCATGCCAGGAAAAGCTGTTCCTCAACATTTTCAATTCCTAAATATTCTTTAACATTATGTTACACAAGCATGTACAAATTATTTGCTCTTTGCTATTCCATGAAATCTATAACAGCAAAATATTTCTGAGGCAGAAACCAACTCAACGGAGTTACCTATTAAAGGCCAATATGAATGAATTATAATAGCAGTAAATTTTTAAAGTATTTTTCACCAAAAATACTAAATTGTTTACTATTAGACACATATCAATTATTTTTAAAATAACATGCTGACAGTCTCAAAGAATACTGTAAATCTATATATCATTAATGTAATCCATTTTTATGTTCTTAAACATCTAAAATTATAGAACTACATTTTTTTATAAACTGTCATCTCTTTTTTATTAAAAAAAGAAGATTTTTATGAAAAACCTCTGAGTTTAAATTACTATTATATTCAGGAGTCCCACACCCACTGTTTCCAAACATAGCTCTTTTTATAACAACTTCTGACAATCCTCTAGAGAACAAAAATTCACTTTTAATCAAAGTTAAATGCTAGAACTGTTTCCTGGGAAATTTAATTCAAGGTAAACAATCTACTTGATATTGTCTTATTCACACAAAGCTGTGTTGTTAGAAGAAATGATAATGAAATATAAAACCTTTCTCTTCTAGGTTATTGTTTACAATCTGGACAAAGCTGATAGGCAAAAGAAAGCAGAGAAAGCCAATGTGAAAGGAATGTGTAGGATTAGTCACGCTTCTTCCCAGAAGATAGATGTTGACCAGTAAGACTATCAGTTACTAAACACAGCCCTCTCATTCTACACCCCTAACACAATCTCTTAAAAAAGAAATTACAACTTCCAATCTCCATTTGTCAAGTATCTTGAATTTAAATATACAGGTCTTCACAAATATGAACTAAAATTCAACAAAGTTTTGTCTACTATGTGCTGGACACTAATAGGATAAAAATGACTAGGAAACACTTCTTGCCTCAGAGGAACTTTGCATGCAAATGACAACATTACTTGGCAACAAAAGAATGTGGACACAATGTGAAATCAAGCCGGGGTCCAGCAGTTAGAATCAGCCCTTCCTTGACTACACCAGGGACATACTACTACAAATCATTCTGTCTTATACCCCAGCATCCAGCTATCCTCTGGAAATGCTTCTCCCTGAAGTTTACATCCTTGCTTAGCTATTTCACTCATCTACTCCACGGCTAATCCCTTCATCTCTGCTTCTCAGAAATGGCTCTTTCCAATCCTCCCTTCCAATCTCTACTCCACAATTCTAGTGGCCCAGTCTCAAGCTTCCCCTCCAGTGCTCTCATACCTTCTCAAAGCTGCAATTCTAGTCCTGAAGATCTAGGCAGGGGAAACTGGTACTCACACATTACATCAAGGAAAGACCTCAGAGGTACACACACCAGTGGAGATACCATAGGTTCAGTTCCAGATCACCTCAATAAAGTGAGTCACACGAATTTTTTGGTTTCACAGTGTATATAAAAGTTACATTTACACTGAACTGTAATCTATTAGATGTGCAATTGCATTATGGAAAAAAAAGTACACACTTTATTTTTAAAATACTTCATTGCTAAAAAAATGCTAATGATCATCTGAGCCTTTGGCAAGTTGTAATCTTTTAGCTGTGGAAGTGTCTTGCCTCAATGTTGATGGCTGCTGACTGACCAGGGTGGTGGTTGCTGAAGAGTGAGGTAGTTGTGGCAATTTCTTAAAACAAGACAATGAAGCTTGCTGCATCAATTGGCTCTTCTCTTCATGAAAGATTTCTCTGTAGCATGCATTGCTGTTTGATTGCATTTTACCCACAGTAAAACTTCTTTCAAAATTAGGGTCAGTCCTTTAAAACCCTGTCACTGCTTTACCACCTAAGTTTATGGGATATTCCAAATCCTTTGTGGTTGTTTCAACAATGTTCATAGCATCTTCACCAGGCATAGATTCCATCTCAAGAAACTACTTTCTTTGCTGATCCATAAGAAGCACCTCCTCATCCGTTCAAGATTTATCACAAGATTGTAGCAATTCAATCAAATCTTCTGACTCCACTTCTAATTCAAACTGTTTTACTGTTTCCACCACATCTGCAGTTACTTCTTCCCCTGAAGTCTTAAAACCCTCAAAGGATCAACTTCTTCCAAACTGCTGTTCATGTTGGTATTTTGACCTCCTCCCATGAATCATGAATCACAAATCCCATGAATCAGTTCTTAATGGCATCTAGAATGGTGAATCCTTTTCAGGAAATTTTCAACTTAATTTGACTAGATCCATCAGAGGAATCGTTATCTATGGCAGCTATAGCCTAACAAATGTACTTCTTAAGTAATAAGACTAGAAAGCCAAAATTATTCCGTGATCCTTGAGCAACAGGATGGATATTGTTAGCAAGCAGGAAAACACTGATCGCCTTGTACATCTCCATCAGAGCTCTTGGGTGACCAGGTGCATTATCAATGAGCAGTAATATTTTGGAAGGATTCTTTGCTTCTGAGCAGTAGGTCTCAAGAATGAGCCTAAAATATTCCACAATCTATGCTATGAACAGATGTGCTATCATCTAGGCTTTGTTGTTCCATTTATAGAGCACAGTCAGAGCATATTCAGCATAATGCTTAAGGGGCCTAGGATTTTCAGAGTGGTCAAGGACCATTGGCTTCAACTTAAAGTGAACAGCTACATTAGCCCCTAACAACAAAGTCAGACTGTCCTTCAAAACTTTGAAGCCATGCACTGACCTCTCCTCTGTAGCTAGAGAACTCCTAGATGGTATCTTCTTCCTATATAAAGCTGTTTCGTCTAGCTTAAAAATCTGCTGTGTAGTGTAGGCGCCTTTGTCAATTATCTTAGCTGGATCTTCTAGGTAACTTGCTGCAGCTTCTACATCAGCACTTGCTGCTTCACTTTGTACTTACATGTTATGAAAGTGGTTTCTTTCCTTAAGCCTCATGAACTCAGCTCTGCTAGCTTCAAACTTTTCTTCTGAAGCTTCCTCACCTTTCTCAACCTTCATAGAATTGAAGGAAGTCAGGCCCTTGCTCTACATTAAGCTTTGGCTTAAGAGAATTTTGTGGCTTAATCTTCTGTCCAACCACTAAAACTTTCTCCATAACAGCAATAAGGCTATTTCACTTTCTCATCATCCATTTATTCACTGGAGTAGCATTTTTCACTTCATTCAAATACTTTTGCTTTGCATTCACAACCTGGCTAACTGTTCAGCACAAGAGGCCTACCTTTCAGCCTATCTAGGCTTTCAACACGCCCTCCTCACTAAGCTGAATAATTTCTAGCTTTTGATTTAAAGTGAGAGACATGCAACTCTTCCTTTTACTTGCACACTTGCCATTGTAGGGTTATTAATTGGCCGAATTTCAATATTGTTGTGTCTCAGGGAATAGGTAAGCCCAAGGGGAGGGAGAGAGATGGAGGAACTGCAGGTCGGTGGAGGTGAAGTCAAGTCAGAACCTAGCACTTACTGATTAGGTCGGGCATGTTATATGAGTGTGGGTCATGGTGCCTCAAAACAGTTACAATGGTGACATCAAAAATCACTGATTATGATAATCATAGCAGATATAATAACAAAAAAGTTTGAAATATTGTGAAAATTACCAATGTAACACAGAGACATGAAGTGAGCACATGGTGTTGAAAAAATGGTCCCAACGGACTTCCTTGACACAGAGCTGGCACAAACCTTCAACTTGTTAAAAAAAAAAAAAAAAGAAAACACAGTATCTGCAAAGTGCAATGAGATGAAACACAATTTTTTAAAAAAGTGTTCTTGTATACAACTAACTGGAAAATAAGACAGTGTAAAACTCACATGAAAAGCTCTGCAAGTAGTCCGGGCACTGTGGCTCACACCTGTAATCCCAGCACTTTGGGAGGCCAAGGCGGGCAGATCACAAGGTCAGTAGATCGAGACCACCCTGGCCAACATGGTGAAACCCTGTCTCTACTAAAAATACAAAAATTAGCTGGGTGTGGTGGTGCGTGCCTGTTATCCCAGCTTCTCAGGAGGCTGAGGCAAGAGAATCGCTTGAACCCAGGAAGCGGAGATTGCAGTGAGCAGAGATCATGCCAGTGGTACTCCAGCCTGCTGACAGAGCGAGACTCCATCTCAAAAAAAAAAGCTCTGCAGGTAATATAGTCTGAAATATTTATCAGAGGAATGTCCAAAGCCATACAGTTAAGCGTTCACTGCAAAGTAGGGATTCCTTTTTGGGAGCCACTTACCATGCTCCACAAATCAATCTCACAATAGTCTCAGTGTAACTACACTAAGTATAGTTCTACTTCCTTAGTGGAACTGTAGGAAGTTATAGCCAAAAACTATTCCAGGTTATTTGCCATTTCAATCATTGGAAGTAGCTATAGAGACATGTACTTGAGAACTTCATCATTTACAGTTGAATGATTTTCTAGACCTTCCAAATACTGGATTTTACCCCTTTCATGACCCTTTGCTCCCTATATAAACTTTCATCAATGCCAGAATATTGAATGAAATCACCCTGAAATCAGCCATCATATCAAAGATGGCTACAAGATACATCTCAAACCTTCAGAAAATGGTCTGTGCTAATGAGAAGGCCGAAGTGTCAACCGCAATATGTCTGTATAGGTACCTCAAATGTGACAACAACTAACAAAAAAAACACTCTGGTACAAATAAACTAGTACTGGATGCAGCTAATAAAGCACATGATACTATAATGTTAAATACATACACTAATAGAATTTTCTACAATTCTCTGTTACGAGGTCCTTTGTAAATCACAGGAGAGTAAGTGGTTTTAAGATTAAATTTGCCCATATAGTTAATTGCCACTTCACAGCAAGTACTGTGAATAAAAAATCCAAATTGAGCTGGTTTGGACCTAGTTACAAATACCATTTAAACAGAACAGAAAAAAAGCCTCTATGTTGACAGGGATAACACCAAAGTGGAACACAGGCCTCATACAACCATCTAGAATCTCTCAGTTTCACCTTCGCTTCAGACATACTGAGGATTTTTCATTTGAGTTTTTCTTTCCAGAGCATGTATCACAAACTTCAAAGATAAATTAGTAAAAATACACACACATAATAGCATAGGTTGATTTTATGTTTTTTAAGATGAAGGTTTTAAGGTTATCTCATTCAATCCCCTTCATTTTAAAAATGAGAAAATAAAGCTCCAAAAAGGTAATTCACACATGGCTACATGATATATCAGAGACAATAATTTCTCTGTTAATTACTTATACCTCTGTTCAATACAGTAATCCAAATTTTCAAATGCAATAAGTTATTTTACAAGCCTATCAAAGGAACTTGCTACTTTAAAGACAACTGGAGTACTACGACCACTGTCTTAAGAGAAGGAAAACTGAGTGGGCTGGTTAAGGATGCAGAGGAGGATAAAATCACAGTCACTCTTTGACCCAAAATCAACTTAATTTCCAGAATGCCTAGTAAGCTTGAAGCAGCTTGGTGCAGCTAAGCACAAAGAGCTCAAACATTTATCAAGTCTCCTCTGAAGAGTTCTAAATATGGGGACATCCTAGTGTGCTGCTTTACATTTCTTCCCAGTCCAGACTGCACAGAACAGAACTCTCCTCAAAATATCCCAGAAGGACTTCAGAATCCATTTTTTCAAATGTTTTGACACAACACTGAAAAGGTGCAATTATTAAAATATCGGAAACTATTATATTAATTCAAATATGTTCAGCTACCACTCATTCTTCTTCCTATTTTTAAATGTGGGGATCACTAAGTATCTTTAAACTTAGTGTATTTTCAATTTTTTTTCTCTACAGCCACAGTGAAAGGGGTGGAAAGTTAAAAAAGAAGGAATTTGATTTTTTATCTATTAGAAGGAAGGAAAAGTTTAGGTGGCATTATTATATGTGAAAACTGAACTGTAAAGCATACAGTATGTGCATCTTCACAGGGTATATAATTTCAAAAGGTGAAAAATGTTTAAATAGATTTTAAAATTATTTCTCTGCAAATATCACAAAATATTAAAAGTATAGGCTTGCTATGAAAGTATCTTTAAATGTTGTGTTTCTATTTTTAAAAAATCACTTTGTCACTTGAGAGAAATAAGGTTGTTACTTTTTTTCTATTTTCCCCATTCTCATATCCTTCATGTTTTTCTTCATTAATTACATTGTCCTTTTTCTGAGGGTTTAAAATATTGTGCATATTCATGTATCCGCTGATACATATATTTATGGTCTAGCTCAGCTAATGCATTGGTGAATATGTTCACATAGATGTATATGTATATGCACACACATGCACATAACAAGAAAGATGGCACAGTGGCTAAGGCTCTTTCTAGAGTAAGACTGCTTGGTTCAAATTCTGCTTCCACCACTTACAAGCTTGGACAAGTTTCTTAACCTCTCAGTGCCATAATTTTCTTATCTATAAAATGGGGATAATAACAGTAAGTGCCTCTAGGGGTACAAATAGGACTAAATAAAGATTTAATATTTATAGTGATTATAACAGCGTCTAGCATTGTTAAGTGCCTGCAAATAAGTGTTGAATTTTTTTAAATTATTTTTTACTTTTCTTCATTCTCCTTCTCTTCATTTTCCTCATCGCTTCTACTGCTACATCTTTATCAAGTATTTAACCATCAAATCCAGCCATACAGACAAAATTTATATACTTCCTACACTCAGAAAATAAACAACAGGACACTGTTAACCCTGATGATAATGAATATACCTAAAACAAAGAAGTAAGAGAGCAAAAATGATAAGCAAGAACAGAAACTATATGGCATAATGCAGTGGTCTTCAAATTGGAGTAGATATGCCCCTCTAATTACAGTAGGAAGGTCTGTCCCTTCCTACTGTCCTTCAGCATAATATCTATTGGAGACATTACATTATTCAGTGATACATGAAATACTTTAGACTTACGTTTTTCTTGTAACAGTTATATATTAATCAAGATGCAGGTTTATAGTCTAATGTTGAGCCTTAGAAGATTTTTCTAAGAAACAGCTAGGCATATAAATATATTTAAGGAAATCAATTGCTAGATCTAAACGTCCATAAAAATTTTTCCTAAAAATGACCTATGTGAGAAAGTGCCTCTCAAGTATGATATCCTTTCCCATCTCTCTTCTCACAATTATCCTTCTCTAGATTTATAGGGAAAAAAAAGTCGTGCTCTTACACATCCCCAAGAACACTGCAGGACATTGTTTTGGGCAGACAAACTGTGGGGAGCCAAAAAAAAATGAAATCTCATATATTTTTCCACTACAGGTGCTCTCAGCTTAAGTGAGGACCAGCTCCCCAAGTCAGAAAACATCTTACCATCTTTACTCCTTCCTAGCAATTTATTCCCCCTTTCCTAGAAGAATGAAAAAAAAATAGACACAAACATACATACATACATACATACATACATAAGTTTAAACTGGTTTGGCCTTCAAAGGAACAAAATCATACAAGATCATGATGAATAATAAAGAAGTATAAATGTGAAGACTGAGAATAACGAAACTTTAAAGGACTAATGGAGAATTAGAATTCAAGCACGTTCTCTAAGACATGGGCATTCTCAAATATATTCTAACGTTCTAGGTTTCAGATTACATGATCCCTTTTATGGAGTGCTAAAAGGGCGGAGATTGGGAAATGGGATTAATTAAAGAACAGGGAAGAGGAGGAGCCAAGATGGCCGAATAGGAACAGCTCCGGTCTACAGCTCCCAGCGTGAGTGACGCAGAAGACGGGTGATTTCTGCATTTCCATCTGAGGTACCGGGTTCATCTCACTAGGGAGTGCCAGACAGTGGGCGCAGGCCAGTGGGTGCGCGCACCGTGCGTGAGCCGAAGCAGGGCGAGGCATTGCCTCACCTGGGAAGCGCAAGGGGTCAGGGAGTTCCCTTTCCTAGTCAAAGAAAGGGGTGATGGACGCACCTGGAAAATCGGGTCACTCCCACCCGAATATTGCGCTTTTCAGACCGGCTTAAGAAACGGCGCACCACGAGACTGTATCCCACACCTGGCTCGGAGGGTCCTACGCCCACGGAATCTCGCTGATTGCTAGCACAGCAGTCTGAGATCAAACTGCAAGGCGGCAGCAAGGCTGGGGGAGGGGCGCCCGCCATTGCCCAGGCTTGCTTAGGTAAACAAAGCAGCCTGGAAGCTCAAACTGGGTGGAGCCCGCCACAGCTCAAGGAGGCCTGCCTGCCTCTGTAGGCTCCACCTCTGGGGGCAGGGCACAGACAAACAAAAAGACAGCAGTAACCTCTGCAGACTTAAATGTCCCTGTCTGACAGCTTTGAAGAGAGCAGTGGTTCTCCCAGCACACAGCTGGAGATCTGAGAACAGGCAGACTGCCTCCTCAAGTGGGTCCCTGACCCCTGACCCCCGAGCAGCCTAACTGGGAGGCAGCCCCCAGCAGGGGCACACTGACACCTCACACGGCAGGGTATTCCAACAGACCTGCAGCTGAGGGTCCTGTCTGTTAGAAGAAAAACTAACAAACAGAAAGGACATCCACACCGAAAACCCATCTGTACATCACCATCATCAAAGACCAAAAGTAGATAAAACCACAAAGATGGAGAAAAAACAGAACAGAAAAACTGGAAACTCTAAAACACAGAGCGCCTCTCCTCCTCCAAAGGAACGCAGTTCCTCACCAGCAACGGAACAAAACTGGATGGAGAATGATTTCGATGAGCTAAGAGAGGAACGCTTCAGACGATCAAATTACTCTGAGCTACGGGAGGACATTCAAAGCAAAGGCAAAGAAGTTGAAAACTTTGAAAAAAATTTAGAAGAATGTATAACTAGAATAACCAATACAGAGAAATGCTTAAAGGAGCTGATGGAGCTGAAAACCAAGGCTCGAGAACTACGTGAAGAATGCAGAAGCCTCAGGAGCCGATGCGATCAACTGGAAGAAAGGGTATCAGCAATGGAAGATGAAACGAATGAAATGAAGCGAGAAGGGAAGTTTAGAGAAAAAAGAATAAAAAGAAATGAGCAAAGCCTCCAAGAAATATGGGACTATGTGAAAAGACCAAATCTACGTCTGATTGGTGTACCTGAAAGTGATGCGGAGAATGGAACCAAGTTGGAAAACACTCTGCAGGATATTATCCAGGAGAACTTCCCCAATCTAGCAAGGCAGGCCGACGTTCAGATTCAGGAAATACAGAGAACGCCACAAAGATACTCCTCGAGAAGAGCAACTCCAAGACACATAATTGTCAGATTCACCAAAGTTGAAATGAAGGAAAAAATGTTAAGGGCAGCCAGAGAGAAAGGTCGGATTACCCTCAAAGGGAAGCCCATCAGACTAACAGCGGATCTCTCGACAGAAACCCTACAAGCCAGAAGAGAGTGGGGGCCAATATTCAACATTCTTAAAGAAAAGAATTTTCAACTCAGAATTTCATATCCAGCCAAACTAAGCTTCATAAGTGAAGGAGAAATAAAATACTTTACAGACAAGCAAATGCTGAGAGATTTTGTCACCACCAGGCCTGCCCTAAAAGAGCTCCTGAAGGAAGCGCTAAACATGGAAAGGAACAACCGGTACCAGCCGCTGCAAAATCATGCCAAAATGTAAAGACCATCGAGACTAGGAAGAAACTGCATCAACTAAGGAACGAAATCACCAGCTAACATCATAATGACAGGATCAAATTCACACATAACAATATTAACTTTAAATGTAAATGGACTAAATTCTCCAATTAAAAGACACAGACTGGCAAGTTGGATAAAGAGTCAAGACCCATCAGTGTGCTGCATTCAGGAAACCCATCTCACGTGCAGAGACACACATAGGCTCAAAATAAAAGGATGGAAGAAGATCTACCAAGCAAATGGAAAACAAAAAAAGGCAGGGGTTGCAATCCTAGTCTCTGATAAAACAGACTTTAAACCAACAAAGATCAAAAGAGACAAAGAAGGCCATTACATAATGGTAAAGGGATCAATTCAACAAGAAGAGCTAACTATCCTAAATATATATGCACCCAATACAGGAGCACCCAGATTCATAAAGCAAGTCGTGAGTGACCTACAAAGAGACTTAGACTCCCACACATTAATAATGGGAGACTTTAACACCCCACTGTCAACATTAGACAGATGAACGAGACAGAAAGTCAACAAGGATACCCAGGAATTGAACTCAGCTCTGCACCAAGCGGACCTAATAGACATCTACAGAACTCTCCACCCCAAATCAACAGAATATACATTTTTTTCAGCACCACACCACACCTATTCCAAAATTGACCACATAGTTGGAAGTAAAGCTCTCCTCAGCAAATGTAAAAGAACAGAAATTATAACAAACTATCTCTCAGACCACAGTGCAATCAAACTAGAACTCAGGATTAAGAACCTCACTAAAAGCCGCTCAACTACATGGAAACTGAACAACCTGCTCCTGAATGACTACTGGGTACATAACGAAATGAAGGCAGAAATAAAGATGTTCTTTGAAACCAACGAGAACAAAGACACAACATACCAGAATCTCTGGGACACATTCAAAGCAGTGTGTAGAGGGAAATTTATAGCACTAAATGCCCACAAGAGAAAGCAGGAAAGATCCAAAATTGACACCCTAACATCACAATTAAAAGAACTAGAAAAGCAAGAGCAAACACATTCAAAAGCTAGCAGAAGGCAAGAAATAACTAAAATCAGAGCAGAACTCAAGGAAATAGAGACACAAAAAACCCTTCAAAAAATCAATGAATCCAGGAGCTGGTTTTTTGAAAGGATCAACAAAATTGATAGACCGCTAGCAAGACTAATAAAGAAAAAAAGAGAGAAGAATCAAATAGACACAATAAAAAATGATAAAGGGGATATCACCACCGATCCCACAGAAATACAAACTACCATCAGAGAATACTACAGACACCTCTACGCAAATAAACTAGAAAATCTAGAAGAAATGGATACATTCCTCGACACATACACTCTCCCAAGACTAAACCAGGAAGAAGTTGAATCTCTGAATAGACCAATAACAGGAGCTAAAATTGTGGCAATAATCAATAGTTTACCAACCAAAAAGAGTCCAGGACCAGATGGATTCACAGCCGAATTCTACCAGAGGTACAAGGAGGAACTGGTACCATTCCTTCTGAAACTATCCCAATCAATAGAAAAAGAGGGAATCCTCCCTAACTCATTTTATGAGGCCAGCATCATTCTGATACCAAAGCCGGGCAGAGACACAACAAAAAAAGAGAATTTTAGACCAATATCCTTGATGAACATTGATGCAAAAATCCTCAATAAAATACTGGCAAACCGAATTCAGCAGCACATCAAAAAGCTTATCCACCATGATCAAGTGGGCTTCATCCCTGGGATGCAAGGCTGGTTCAATATACGCAAATCAATAAATGTAATCCAGCATATAAACAGAGCCAAAGACAAAAACCACATGATTATCTCAATAGATGCAGAAAAAGCCTTTGACAAAATTCAACAACCCTTCATGCTAAAAACTCTCAATAAATTAGGTATTGATGGGACGTATTTCAAAATAATAAGAGCTATCTATGACAAACCCACAGCCAATATCATACTGAATGGGCAAAAACTGGAAGCATTCCCTTTGAAAACTGGCACAACACAGGGATGCCCTCTCTCACCACTCCTATTCAACATAGTGTTGGAAGTTCTGGCCAGGGCAATCAGGCAGGAGAAGGAAATAAAGGGTATTCAATTAGGAAAAGAGGAAGTCAAATTGTCCCTGTTTGCAGACGACATGATTGTTTATCTAGAAAACCCCATCGTCTCAGCCCAAAATCTCCTTAAGCTGATAAGCAACTTCAGCAAAGTCTCAGGATACAAAATCAATGTACAAGAATCACAAGCATTCCTATACACCAACAACAGACAAACAGAGAGCCAAATCATGAGTGAACTCCCATTCACAATTGCTTCAAAGAGAATAAAATACCTAGGAATCCAACTTACAAGGGATGTGAAGCACCTCTTCAAGGAGAACTACAAACCACTGCTCAAGGAAATAAAGGAGGATACAAACAAATGGAAGAACATTCCATGCTCATGGGTAGGAAGAATCAATATTGTGAAAATGGCCATACTGCCCAAGGTAATTTACAGATTCAATGCCACCCCCATCAAGCTACCAATGACTTTCTTCACAGAATTGGAAAAAACTACTTTAAAGTTCATATGGAACCAAAAAAGAGCCCGCATCGCCAGGTCAATCCTAAGCCAAAAGAACAAAGCTGGAGGCATCACACTACATGACTTCAAACTATACTACAAGGCTACAGTAACCAAAACAGCATGGTACTGGTACCAAAACAGAGATATAGATCAATGGAACAGAACAGAGCCCTCAAATAACGCCGCATACCTACAA
Organism: Homo sapiens; assembly: GCF_000001405.40. Classification (NCBI taxonomy): domain Eukaryota; kingdom Metazoa; phylum Chordata; class Mammalia; order Primates; family Hominidae; genus Homo; species Homo sapiens. The sequence continues at coordinate 111,450,416 of NC_000007.14, forward strand.
CTATCTGATCTTTGACAAACCTGACAAAAACAAGCAATGGGGAAAGGATTCCCTATTTAATAAACGGTGCTGGGAAAACTGGCTAGCCATATGTAGAAAGCTGAAACTGGATCCCTTCCTTACACCTTATACAAAAATCAATTCAAGATGGATTAAAGATTTAAACGTTAGACCTAAAACCATAAAAACCCTAGAAGAAAACCTAGGCATTACCATTCAGGACATAGGCGTGGGCAAGGACTTCATGTCCAAAACACCAAAAGCAATGGCAACCAAAGCCAAAATTGACAAATGGGATCTAATTAAACTAAAGAGCTTCTGCACAGCAAAAGAAACTACCATCAGACTGAACAGGCAACCTACAACATGGGAGAAAATTTTCACAACCTACTCATCTGACAAAGGGCTAATATCCAGAATCTACAATGAACTCAAACAAATTTACAAGAAAAAAACAAACAACCCCATCAAAAAGTGGGCGAGGGACATGAACAGGCACTTCTCAAAAGAAGACATTTATGCAGCCAAAAAACACATGAAAAAATGCTCATCATCACTGGCCATCAGAGAAATGCAAATCAAAACCACCATGAGATATCATCTCACACCAGTTAGAATGGCGATCATTAAAAAGTCAGGAAACAACAGGTGCTGGAGAGGATGTGGAGAAATAGGAACACTTTTACACTGTTGGTGGGACTGTAAACTAGTTCAACCATTGTGGAAGTCAGTGTGGCGATTTCTCAGGGATCTAGAACTAGAAATACCATTTGACCCAGCCATCCCATTACTGGGTATATACCCCCAAATGACTATAAATCATGCTGCTATAAAGACACATGCACACGTATGTTTATTGCGGCATTATTCACAATAGCAAAGACTTGGAACCAACCCAAATGTCCAAGAATGATAGACTAGATTAAGAAAATGTGGCACATATACACCATGGAATACTATGCAGCCATAAAAAATGATGAGTTCATGTCCTTTGTAGGGACATGGATGAAATTGGAAACCATCATTCTCAGTAAACTATCGCAAGAACAAAAAACCAAACACTGCATATTCTCACTCATAGGTGGGAATTGAACAATGAGATCACATGGACACAGGAAGGGGAATATCACACTCTGGGGACTGTGGTGGGGAGGGGGGAGGGGGGAGGGATAGCATTGGGAGATATACCTAATGCTAGATGACGAGTTAGGGGGTGCAGCGCACCAGCATGGCACATGTATACATATGTAACTAACCTGCACAATGTGCACATGTACCCTAAAACTTAAAGTATAATTAAAAAAAAAAAAAAAGAACAGGGAAGAACAAGAGAATAAAGGAAAAAAGCAGAGAGAAGGCAAGGCAAAATGATTTATTAGGAAAGGAAGAAACCCTTTCAAACAAAGAAATCCTACGTTTTCTCTCGATATATCACTAGAAGCATATGCAAGAAATCAATATATACTTTTTTAAAAGAAAGGATTAAGTAGAAGATAAGAGAAGATACACAGGTCATAGGGAATAAAAAATTAATAGTGCCTTTCCACACAGACTTGAAACAATTCTGGTCACTGAAGGGCAGTAAGGCTGGGGAAGGTATCTCCCTTCCTACTGTCCTTCAGTGTAGTATCTATTGGAGACATTACATTATTCAGTGATACATGAAATACTTTAGACTTATGTTTTTCTAGTAACAGTTACATATTAATCAAGATGCAGGTTTATAGTCTAATTTTGAGCCTTACTTTAGTTTTTATCAGCAACAATCTTGTATAATCTACCATGACTATACATATGCATCAGGTTTAGTAAAGCAATTTATGATACAGTCTCCATATGTGAAATTGAAAGCCAGAAGCTAACTATTATTTTAACAAGCTGTCAAGATATATAGAGTTTTGCCAAAGAAACATTGATTACACTGGTCTTTTGAAAAGTAGATAAAACTTAGAATTCCCTAAGCAAACCATAGTTACACAAAATTGTCCTGAGATTCCTATGAAGCACATGACTCAAATGCTACCAAAATCCTTCATAAGTAAGATTTATTTCCAATAAATTATATATCTCTGTTTTAGAACTCTGATAATTTGCAGCCCATTTTCCAGTAACATGTTTTTATCATTTTCTACTGCTGAATAAAAAAGAAATTAAAGGACAAAGAGAAGATCATGAGTGAACTATCCAAATTTTATTACAATCTTGAAAAATACACATCCGTTGACTTCCTGTTCCTCTGCCACTAAATCTCTGTGGGGAGGTCCAACTTCCAATTCTCTGAAGTCGCAAGGTAGAGGAAATAAAACTAAGGAGCAGGTTGCTATAGCTCTCCAATTCAAAAGCAAATTATTACTCTATTTAATACAGCAATCTACTATAATCTCCTCCAACACTCCTGATCCTCTTTACAGTACTCTTTTCTATAGTACTTATCTCCTAACAAAAAAATGTACATATTTACTATACCTATTATGTCACTTGTTGCTAGAAAGTAAGCTTCAAAAGGGCAGGGATCTACATCATTTTGTTCACTGGCCAATCTCAAATACCTAGAACAGTGTCTGACACATAGTAGGAGCTCTACTGAATAAATAAACTATTACTTTACCAGTATCAAACTCCCCACCTGAGGTAGCACTACCTAAACTACATGTTGTTCCGATTCTAATTGCATGTGATTTTTCTAATCTTCGTGTCATTATCATAGATAAGTGTCCATTGCTACAACTGGAAGTAATCTGTGCACACTGCAGCCTTCATTGAAACCCAGATAATACTTCTGTTCGTAGCTGACCTCATTTTTATGGCATCCCACTGTATAGCTTGCTTCTTCACTCTTATTTAGGCAGTGTCTTCGCAGTTTCCTGCCTTGAATACCTCTTGTATACATTTACCACCTTAATTATTTGCTGTGTACATTTTCCTTGATGCCTTCTCCCCACTATGACAGCAGATTCCCTCTTCTGATTTTCCACTGATCAGCACGGCCCTTCAAAAACCTTCACAAAAGCCCGTTAGAAACAGATTGAGAGACGCATTTGTGAAGCTATTTAACAAATTTAAGTGTCATTTTTAAAGTATTCATTGTAAATTGGAGCATTGTTTCATATCGGTATCATTGGAGCATTGTTTGATATCGGTAACTTGCTTTAAACTGATTAAGCACATGTAAAGATACATGCTACCAATAGAAGAGGATGAAACCGAGAGATCATCTTTATGGTTAATAGGGAGTCAGTGACAGGAAAGTAAAAAGACTGAAGGATGATTTTGGGAAGTCCAGGTAATTGTCTGGTTATCCCTCACCAATGTCTTGATCCAACCCAAGAATCACTCTAACACGGCAAAACTCAATCCTTCCTGTTATTTTATTTGTGGCAAGAGAAAGATCCCTAAAATAAAATGCATTTATAAAATGATTGCCTTATAATAAGCACTCAATAAATATTTGCTGAATAAGTTAATGGATCAATGAGTATTTCCCTATGGTTTGGGAAGTTTAGCCAAATTAAATACCAGACTTTCAAATGTAAAGGGTTACGTCTCAAAAATATACCTCACCCAGCTGATACACATAACACTTAAATAACTGTATCTGCATGCTCAGTAAGAACTTCATGCATTCATATATTTAATACATCATCAAAGCATTGTGAGACAACTTTCTAACAGTGAATTGAAACCATATAAAAAACTTTGGACTTTTTGAGGGTTTTTGGTTTTTGTTTTTTATTAGAGATGGGGTCTTGCTTTGTCAGCTAGGCTGGAGTGCAGTGATGCGATCGCAACTAACTGAAGCCTCAACTTGAAGGTCTCAAGTAATCCTCCATCTCTGCCTCCAGAATAGCTGGGACCACAGGTGCAGGCCACCACACGTGGCTCATCAAGTGACAACTTATTCTCAGTCAAAATTCATGGGTAAAAATAAAGTTAAAATTTTTTATTTTAATTTTGAAAAAGTATATATTTTGTGATCATAGCTTTGATTCTGCTCTCCATCAAATACATTTAATTTTCCATTTCTCCATATTTAAGCGATTAACCCCATTAAAAAATGGGAAACTATTCATTCTCAACTCACTAAAGGAAGTATAAAAGGAATTAAATACAAAGACCCACTCAAATATAGCTAATTTCATTAATATTTCCTGTGTATCATTTCAAAAAAAATTACTAAAAAATATTCCTAAGATTCTTCTTATAATTTTTATAGTTTCATTATTAAGAATTATTGAGATAATTTATTTTAATTAGATGGGCTTTTATAAAGTATATAATCAATAAGTGTTTGTAGATCCCTTAGTTTTAAAGCTTTTTTTTAAGTTTCTCTTTACCCAAAAATATAATCTGGATTAAATTCAATTTACTGACCCAAAGATATAAATGAGAAATTCAAAACCATTAACACTCTAACACAGCTAGATGGAATGATGAATGATTAAGGGAGAAACCATAAGAAAACATCAGGTAATCATCTTTCTAGCATGGTCTGAATGAAATCCTTCCCATGAAATTAAAATTTGATACAAAGTCTATCAGGAAAACTTCTAAACTTTAAGATTTGTCAGGAAAATTGTGAAACACTGAAATATGCAAAATATTAGTGGATGTCCTATCTAGTATACCCTTCCAGATTATCTGAGTCAGTCAGAATATGAGCCTCACATTGTCTTTCTGCTACTTTACAACCATGCAGTTGTAAGACACAGAATAATACAAACAATTCTTTTCCATAAAAATGCAAATAAATTGTGTCCAGTGAAATGAAATGGATAATTGGCCTGTGGCTATTAACCAGTTTTGCGTCTGTTTCACATTCATTTCAGCATCCTTGATTGCCCATATATGTGTGCTCTTAAAATTCTCCTTTGAATTATTTGTAACATCTTACTGATCCCCTCATTAATTAATGAGCTTAATAAAGTCTTTGATACCCATTCTTTTTACATTTGAATAAAAGACATGATTTTAACCTTTCTTTAAAAGTATCCCTTGACAGAATCTATCACTAAAAGTATGACTTTTGATCCACCTTCCATAAACAGGCTTTCTTAAAATTTCCATTAAGTCATAAGTCATCCCATTCAAATTACTCAAAATAAAATACTGCAGCATCAATATTTTGAATCCAAATATGAATGAATCCAAAGCACCATCATTATATGATATAAGTTTACTATTTATATATCCCTAGAAGCAAAAAGGCTGCCAATTAAACTAAGACATAATGCTTTTTTATCAATTAGATTTCATTTTTTGGATATCTGTATCATATATTCCACTGTTCTGCCCCATGCCTCTCATGTAGATAGATGAGTATATATTACTTATCCTTCTAAGCCTAAATCATAGGATTTGGGAATCATCAGAATACCTGAAGTGCATATAACTCAATTAAACTTTGACATTATGACCACATTCACACATGCACAGATAACAACTCCATCAAAACCACCACCTACCCAACATGGATTTTGAGTCCATCAATTCAAAGAAGCATCCCAGTTTCAGGTATGTTCAAATATGAAAAAATAGACATCTTAGAATGCATAAAACACCACAAATATAAGTGCAAAAACATATAGCAGGATTATAAATGGCAAATAGCTTACAATCAGAAAACCTGTCACTAGAGGGTCATCATTTCCTTAAATAGTAACACTAGAATAATCCACACAGACTGCTAGAAATTTATGAATCTTAAAACTGATAGTCAAAATCTCAATGAAGCCAAATAACTCTTTAGGGCAAGAAAAGGTGAGATCCTTGACTGAACTAAGGTTATTCAATCTCTTGTTTACTAAAACAGTGGTAGGGGTGGTTTGGTCTCTAGCAGAAGGGCAAACAAGATGGTATCACATAATGGAGCTGGCTTAAAGCAAAATAATAAAAATGAAAAAACACTCATTCCTCTACTTCTAAGAAAATTATATTCTTCCTTTTTGATGTACTGCTGACATTCCTTTCCTCTCTTCAATCCTAGATTAGTTAACAGCTTGTAAAACTGCTGTTATTATAATGACAATCTCAATCAACTACATCATAAGGCTTTTTGCCTAAAGGATCATCTCTCCAAGTTGTAATCTCTTTGAAGACTAAGGAGACAAAAGTCTCTCTTGAACACTAAGGTCTTTTCCAAATTAAAAACAAAATATTCTAAATATTTATGAACGATATCAATCAGACTTCCTGCTAAATATTACTTCTTAGTTTTTAGCCTTTTGTAATATGTTATAAAAGTTTCCATTGTCTTTGTATTGTTGAAGGCTACAATATTGCCTAGCACATAGTAACAGCAAATAAATGTTGGTAAACTAGAAACTGACTCTCACAGTGGCCTTGATTCTCACAGTTAACCTAGAAGTAAGTACCGCAACAATGTTTATTCCCATTTCATATATAAAGAAACTGAAGGTTGGAGAATTTAGGGTTTTGCTCTAAAATCACAGTTAATAAGTGGCATTGTCAAAACTGAATCCCAGGCCCTTTGTCTCCAAGACCAGAGCAATTCTTACAGTAACAGACTGAACATCCCATGCCTAGATTTCCTTCCCTCTCTCTTCTCTTACCTACTACATGATACTTGACTCAGGATTCTGGTTTGCTGAATTACTGAAACCACATCAACAGTGAGTCAATGGTAATTCTCTACCTGGTTACATTTACATTTTAGCACAGATATTGTAAGATAAGGTGCAGCAGAGATTATTGGAAATACACATATTGACAGTCAGATAGCTCACTTCTAGTGGAACTAGAATATTTAATTTTCCTGTGTCTCAAGTCCTTTATCTGCAAAAGCAGGTGAAATGCAGATGATCAATAAGGTCTTTTCCTAACTAAAAACCTAACATTCTAAATATTTATCAATTATACAAAATCAGATCACCTGCTACATTTTACTTAATACTGGCCTTGAAAAAAAAAAGAAAACTATAAAAACCTGTCTGTTAGATTCTGCAGTGGGCCAAAAACAGAATATATAAACAAAAATTTAAATATATTCCAACCATACTACTTGACTAAGGACACTGTCTGTACCAATTTAAAACTAGAAGGTTTTAAGGATAAATGAGATCTATACAGGCACAATTGTCACAGCAGTCCTTCTAGGTATACAAGATACTGAAACATTTTACTGACCTATAACTTACTTTTTCATACATGGCAAAACTATATTTTTCTCATTACAAATGCCCTAGCTCTCCCCACAAAGTTATTGTGAAGTCTCCAAATATTGCTAATTTGTCCCTTAAAGCAAAAATATAAAACACTTTGTGACATATGAAAAATGTTCACCATGTCCTTTAGTTGCTTCAAGATATAGCATATAAATCTTTGAGTTTCTAAACAGAACCATACTATCTAGATATTTTTGTCTAAAAGATTTAAAGCTTAAATGTGCTACCTTTTTTTCTCTCTTGCAGCTTTCAAGTCACTTAGCCTGCTCCAGTCTCCAAGATATACATTATTTTTCCAATAAATCAATAAATAAAATTGGTATTTTTGACTACTTCTTAGTATAAATCTTGTCTTTGTATCAACAAATGTTCGAGTGCATTTTCATTGTATGACTAAATTTCTATTAAAAATGTAAATAATTTCTGCTTACTCTATCGAGTCTTTAATTAAAAGTGGTTTTTAAAGAGTCAAAAGACTTTGATCAATTTTTATAGAATGCACCAGGGCACGGTGGTTCACGCCTGTAATCCCAGCACTCTGGGAGGCTGAGGCAGGTGGGTCACTGGAGGTCAGGAGTTTGTGACTAGCCTGGGCAACATGGTGAAACCCCATCTCCACCAAAAAATACAATTTAGCTGGGCGTGATGGCGTGCGCCTGTACTCCCCAGCTACTCAGGAGGCTGAGGCAGGAGAATCACTTGAACTTGGGAGGCAGAGGTTGCAGTGAGCCAAGATCATGCCACTGCACTCCAGCTTGGGCATCAGAACAAGACACCATCTCAAGAAAAAAAAAAACTTATGGAATGCTATCATTCTGTCAAAAATAAACATAATATGCTTTCTGTTTTAACAAATGAATAACTTACCATTGTACCACCCTAAGTTACCAGGAAAACTACCCTAAATTACCAATAAAATTGTTCCTCCTATCTTTCTCCTCTGCCTCTGCTCTACTTCCCTTCAAAAAGTTCTTTACTCCACAATTTCCCCAAACAGAAAATTTTCCTGATTCTCCTATCCCTCTGTTCTTTCTGTCACTCTCTTCAAGATCCTTTTCCTCTTCTATCCCACCAGCATCCCCCTTTGATTCTCTGCCTATATTCTCCTTCATCTTGATTCACTCCTTCACAGCTCATCTGCTTCCACAAGATCAACTAACATTTCCATACTGATGAATCCCCAAAGAACATTTTTAGCCTTTATTTTTAACCAGTCTCTGATTCTGTATTTCCAGTTTCCTTCAGGATATGTCTCCTTGAATGACTGGATACACTATTAGAATTCAAAACTTCTAGTTTCTCTACATCCTCCTAATCTCCTTGTATATAAACTCAATACTTGGGGACATATAATTATCCTATGTAATCCTAACAATCTAAAATCTTCACCATTTGCTAGTCCTTACACCCAGAATGAACTATGTTATCTGCTTTATGTCACCACAGGATGCTAAAATGTTATTGAAAATAGCCACTAAAAAATGTAGCAAATGTTTCTAATACAAACTGATGAGTTCACAATATTCTATGAGTAAATATAATAGAGTTCCCTCTATTTTCCTACTAGACATCTGTTTCTGATTTTTCAATATTACAAAGAAAACTGTTATCTTATCATTATACATATTTTCATATTTAATAATATCTCCTTAGTGTAGCAGTCCAGAAGTGAAATTAATGGGGAAAAAAGATAAAAGAATTGTTAAGGTTCTTGATAAATACTGACAAGCTTATTTCCAAAACAATATTATCACAACGTTAGCTCCATGAGTGCAGGAATCTTGTCCCTTGTGCATATGATAGGCACTAGTAATACAACAATGATAAACAGTAAGCATTCAATAAATTTTATTTAAATAAACTAATCAATCAACCAATCAGATCTATGAAAGTACTTACAAATGATAAACAAACATTCCTTTATATCTTTATTATATCATTATACTATATTTACTTACTCCCCCTTTAAGAGTAAACATGTCACTGCTTTGAGCAATGAAATACAAGCAAAAGTGGTATGTGATACTTCTAGTCAAAAGTTTCAAGTGCCATTTATCATGTCCTTTCCCTCTGTCACAGCAACCTAAATGACAGGCAAAAGTTTCTGTTACTATTATATATCATCGATAATTTCTTATAGTAAAATATAGCTTTTCCCTTAAAACATATCCTTTTTACTGATCAGAAATTCACCGGGAACTCCCTCTTCAGTGCAGGGGGATCCTATGGTAGGAGGATTACAAGTGTGCACTGTCATTCCTAAGAAAGAATATGGAGCAATAAAGGAAATTGCTAAAGTCTGGAAAGCATTCTTGGCTTTCTGCTTTGAAATGAAGCTGACTTGGAAAATCAGAGAATTTGAATAAAGTTATCTTAGATTTCAATGAAAGAAAAATGCTTCATGGAGTAGCTCTTTGTATTACTGCACCTCTAGAGGCCCCAGAAGACAACTAAAAACCAGGCAATATGCTTTATTTTGAAATTCAGCTGTGTGGGCTGAGATGTCACCTTAGCATGAGGGTCAAAGGAGTACAGGGAGAGAGGGTAGCCAGAGCCTCAGTCACAAATTGTAACTCACACTTAAACTCATTTGAAATGCAATAAACAAACTAAACAGAATAAGCACACAACTACTTGGGCACTCGAATTGAGTTTTTTAAGAAATTTTAACTGTTATTATCTAAATGCTATTAGATAAGGAATATTTCTTTCACAAATACAGCTGAACACATTGATGTTTAAGAGTTTTAGTGCAAATTCCAAGAACTAAAAGAAAATAGAGGAAGACAAATTAGAAATGAGAAGCTAACTTAATGCCAACAAATTAACCTTTCAGAAAGTTAGAAAGAAAGAACAAAAGAGTCAGGCTATTTTATTATTGTTTTGTTTATACTTCATAAGCAAAGGTATTCGTGGGAGATTTTTTAATAAATGTTTTCCTTGTCTTTTTTTTTAAGTGGTTAAAGAAGAAAAGTTAACTAGGAGAAGATAGGAATGACAGCAGTTATTTGCAAATTTTTCCACAAGGAAAATCCTATCAAAATCCTTCTTTGATATTATTTGTCCTTATAATTTGTTCCCACAATTGCCAAAAAAAAAGATTACAGTCAGGTTGCATGATTATCTAAAGCCCAACATGATGTTCTATGTTTTTATCACAATTCAAGATTACTGCATTTTTCCTACCATAATATTAATTAATGGTCAATATAAAAATATGGACTATATTGAACCCCAGGCAAAAGGAAAAAATACACCCACAAAACTGTAAGACTATGACACTAGTAAATCATTATTCAGCATTTTAGTATAGTTCCTTCTCATATTTTTCCAAGCCATGTTTTTGCTTGCTTATTTGATTCTATATACATGCTTAACCATCTTATTCATTTATTTATTTAACAGCATAATCTTTTTCCATGTTACCATAAACTCTTCACAGGCTTCACTTTAGGTATGGTATTCCATCAAGTGTACATTCCACAATTTATATTTTGACTTAGTGCTGGATAGTTGCTTTCAATTTTTGTACCATTACAAATAATTCTGTTAGGAACTTATTAAACATAAGCCTTTCCAATATTTCAAATTCTTTTCCTAAAATACGTTCCTCACAACTGAATTACTATATATCAAAAACAATAATCAAAATTAAAAGCCAATATGGTATCTGGGATTTGGTACAAAATAATACAGATTGGGGAAGCAGATGGGAGTTCCAAGTGAAGCACATTTAATTTTTTTCAAAATAAAACATTCAAACAAAAAATTAAAAGCAAAAAAAATCATCCTGAAATACACACACACATACACGCACACGCACAGGAACACACATTCTAGCAAAGATGAAAGTATTTTTATGGCTCTTGCTACACATTGCCAAGTTGCTTCCCTAAAGAGTTGTAATCATTTTTATTCCCAATATATAGCTTAAGGTTTATAGTGAAGGCTTTTTTAACTCCTCTTTTCTTTGAAGTCTTTGTTTGTACATTGACTTTGGCATGTCTCTGCAACCTACTGCAAATTTTTCCTATTGAGATATGTTCCTGAGTTTTCACTTTATTCTGGAGACTGGAAATCGCTCTTATGATGCTCTTTGCTCATCATGCAAACTTGATTCCATGTAGAATAATAGTTGGATAACAGTACAATGATTTACCTACAGGAATGTTTTTCATATTGTTTACAAGGCAAAAATACATTTAACATAATGTTTAGTAAAAACTGGAAACAACTGTTTCTGTATCACTTGCAACGTCACAGCATTCCTTCAAAATGTATTTACTGTCATGGAAAAAAATAATTTGCCACTATAATGTTGAGTTTTTAAAAGTAGGCTATAAGATTGTTTGTATGAACAATTCCATTTTATATAGATCATACACACACACGTGCACAAACACAGAGATAAAAAAAACCTGGATGTGTATGTACTATAGTATCTTCTTGGGGAGTTGATAAGTGATTTTTACAAACATCTTTATACTTATTTATATATTTTTATTTTAATAATAAATATTCTAAATGTATAATTTTTAAATCATCAACCAAAGTAAGACTCAAAGTATAACCAGTAATTGTTTGAGCAACTTATTATGTACACATGTCAATTTCCAGCTTGCTTACATAAATAGTCTCCCAATTGGATACATCTTAGTGAATTTATAATCATTAAACAAAGTAATGAATAACATGATCATCACCTGAATAAGATTATTTTTCTTCTAAATTTTCAAAACACAGCTTTGTGCCCAATGGTTTTCCAAAACTGCCTCATATTAACAAGAAAATTTTGGTTCAAAGTAGAGATTAGGAAATTAATGAACCAATGAAACACAGTTAATTACATCCAGAAATTAATGATCAGGATATTAAAACTTGGAAAATATAGAAATAATGGTTTTCCTTTATTAAAAATTTTTTTTGAATTATTGTGAATACATAATAGTTGTATTTATGAGGTACGGGTGACAATACAAGCATACAATGTGCAATCATCAAATCAGGGTAACTGGGATATCCATCATCTCAAACATTTATCATTTCTTTGTGTGATAGAGCTTTTCTTAACTAGAAGTTCAACGATAAAATGTGCTTACAGACCTAACTAAAACCCTATCATGTCCACCTCTAAGAATTCTAATACAGTTCGTCTATAGGGCCCTAGCTCTGCCCCTGCCATTAAGTTTGTGTGACCGATGGCAAGGTCTGCATCTCCAAAATCAGTATTTTACATCAGTTGATTTCTAAGGTCTTCGTGGCTCTGTGGCTATATATACACTTAAAAAGAAACTGAAAACAAATCTGATCAATAAAGAACTTTTTCATGACATATGGTATGTTATTCTGCAGGGTTGCCATAACATAATACCAAACACGAGGTGGCTTACAACAACATAAAGGTATTCTCACAGTTCCGGAGGCCAGAAATCTGAAATTGAGGTGCCAGGAAGGCTATGTCCCTCTGAAGGCAGTAAGGAAGGATCTGTTCCATGCCTTTCTCCTAGTTTCTGGCAGCCTCAGGTGTTCCTTGACTTGCACATGGCCATCTTCTGCCTATATCTCTTCACATCATCTTCCGTGTGTGTGTGTGTGTGTGTGTCCCAATTTCCCCTGTTTATAAAGATACCATTCATATTGGATTAGGACCCATACAAATGACACCTCATTTTAACTTGATTACTTCTGTAAAGACCCAGATCTTCAACTTTTCTGGGGGGGATCCAACTCAACCCATAACATGTGACATGCTGGTTAATCTCTGTTGCCCTCTAAATCCATTCCCTGCTCCTTTCTGCTCCACATCCCAGAGGCTAACCTCTGTGAACTGCATCATCCATGCTTCTTTAATTTCTAGCTTCAAGTTGGCAAATGGGAGGCACCTGTTCAAGATCACAAGACAACAGAAGAGAGAAGGGAGGGTATTTGTTGCCACTCCATACCCCCACCAGGCCACTTTTTTGGTAGCAACTACATTCAGCTATCCACAGTCCTATTTCCCTGTCCACTAGCCCCGCTCCCATAATTCTAGCTCTCACCAGAATGGGTAATTCCATTCCCACCTCTTTTTCCTTCTGCCATCAGGCTATGATGACATCCCACTGTTGCTAGTCCCTGGGCACTTCACTATTGTTCAATGGTTGCATTCTGCACTACCACCCATCCCTCTATAATGAAGTCCATTCATTAAACTCTCTTCATTGTCCCCATTGAATGTACCGTCTGTTTCTCACCAAGGCCCTATCTGGTACACAGGGATAAGTCAATTCTTTAGAGTATTTACATAATTTGTTTATCAAAATTCTAAAAAGTAGTTTAGCCTCAGCATGGCTGCCACAAATTGAGATTTGAAATAATTGGTAGTAAAGACATCACTTTCTGTCATATATACATTTGCTACTGTTTTGCTCCTTTCCTCCTTCACACTTATATCTTAATCTAGAAGGATATGGCAGAGGTCAGGAGCATGGATTGTGAAGGCAGACTGCTTCACTTTGAATCTAGCCTCTACCACGTACTAGATTACATAAGTCCAGTTAATTTACCTCTCTGTACACTAATAAAATGGGCATAAAGGTAATAATATACAAGGCCAGGATTACAGGTATAGCTTACACCTGTAATCCCAATACTTTGGGAAGCCGAGGTGGGAGAATCGTTTGAAGTCAGGAATTCAAGACCAGCCTGAGAAAAATAGCAATTACCTTGCCTCTGCAAAATATTTAAAAATGAAAACATTAGCCATGCATGGTAGTGTTGACCTGCAGTCACAGCTACTTGGGAAGCTAAGGCAGGAGGATTACTTGAGCCCAGGAGCTGAATATTACAGTGAGCTATGACCATGCCACTGCACTCTGCCTGGGCAACACGGCAAAACCATGCCTCATAAGTAAATAAATAAGTAAAGTTTACAAGTCACAGGACAGCTATGTGAAATATATGCCAAATTACTTACATTAATTTTTTAACTATTAAATCAATTAATCTATATAAAGTGCTTAGAACAATACCTGGCTTGTAGTAAGTGTTCTATGAGCATTAGCTGCTATTATTATGATTAATTTTTCCTCTGATGTTTTTCCCTTGACCTACACATTAAGTCACTCTAGCCTCAATCATTTTTACACGGACCCTACCCAACCAATCAAATGTATGCTGGGAATATACAAAAAACACAGCCAACTCTTTTTTATTTTATTTTATTTTTTCCCGAAACGGAGCCTAGCTTGTCACCCAGGCTGGAGTGCAGTGGTGCGACCTCGCCTCACTGCAAGCTCCGCCTCCCGGGTTCACGCCATTCTCTCGCCTCAGCCTCCCAAGTAGCTGGGACTACAGGCGCCCGCCACCAGGCCCGGCTAATTTTGTTCTTGTATTTTTAGTAGAGACAAGGTTTCACCGTGTTAGCCAGGATGGTCTCAATCATCTTCTGACCTTGTGATCCACCCGCCTTGGCCTCCCAAAGTGCTGGGATTACAGGTGTGAGCCACCGCGTCCGGCCAACACAGCCAACTCTTTAAATTTTCCTATGTAAACTACCCATTGTCCAAAAGATCAGTAACACCTGTCACTCCTGCCATAATGGGCTCTCTGACCCCTATATGGTGTACATCCTAAGTCCTCAAGTGTTTTATTTGCTTACGACGTATTTTTGATAATTCTGCTCTCAGTCAAGATTCTGATAAATCATCAATCCCCTACCTGGGCTATTTCAGCTATATGTCAAACACTACACTCCCACTCACTTCCTGGGGTCTATTCCGGCTTTTAAAAGACAGTTTTCAAACCCCTACTTCAGCCAAAGAAATGGTCCTTAATAGTGATTTTCCTCCCAAAATATGTGTACTTAGTTTTGTTTAATTGTTTGGGGATGGGGAGGGGTAGTAGTGTTTGAGACCAGGTGTCACTAAAAAAAAAAAAAAAAAAAAAAAATTAAAAATTAAAAGAAGACATTTATGCAGCCAAAAGACACATGAAAAAATGCTCATCATCACTGGCCATCAGAGAAATGCAAATCAAAACCACAATGAGATACCATCTCACACCAGTTAAAATGGCAATCATTAAAAAGTCAGGAAACAACAGGTGCTGGAGAGGATGTGGAGAAATAGGAACACTTTTACACTGTTGGTGGGACTGTAAACTAGTTCAACCATTGTGGAAGTCAGTGTGGTGATTTCTCAGGGATCTAGAACTAGAAATACCATTTGACCCAGCAATCCCATTACTGGGTATATACCCAAAGGATTATAAATCATGCTGCTATAAAGACACATGCACACGTATGTTTATTGCGGCACTATTCACAATAGCAAAGACTTGGAACCAGGCCAAATGTCCAAGAATGATAGACTGGATTAAGAAAATGTGGCACATATACACCATGGAATACTATGCAGCCATAAAAATGATGAGGTCATGTCCTTTGTAGGGACATGGATGAAGCTGGAAACCATCATTCTCAGCAAACTATCGCAAGGACAAAAAAACCAAACACCACTTGTTCTCACTCACAGATGGGAATTGAACAATGAGAACACATGGACACAGGAAGGGGAACATCACACACTGTGGCCTGTTGTGGGGTGGAGGGAGCGGGGAGGGATAGCATTAGGAGATACACCTAATGTTAAATGACAAGTTAACGTTAAATGACAAGTTAATGGGTGCAGCACACCAACATGGCACATGTATACATATGTAACTAACCTGCACATTGTGCACATGTACCCTAAAACTTAAAGTATAATAAAAAAAATTATCAAATTTAGTCGCTTTTTAGGAAAGGGTAAGGAGTTGGGGAGAGAACATGGGAAAAGAAATCCTCATTGATCTTTGCAAATTATAAACCATCTTTTTAAAGTAAAAATAAACACACACAAAACTTATTTAAAAAATTCCCTTACTTGGCTTAGCAGAAATATACCTCAGTTACGATAACTATAATGAACAAAAAGTGATTACTGTTACTGTATAAAATGGCCCTGAGATGTAGTTATGTACTATATCTGTGTATTTATATAAGTACATTTATCAATACATCAGAAATAACTAGATCTCAAGAAAGGTTCAACTTAGAAATAAGAGTACAGTAGGCCATCCATATCTGTGGGTTCCACATCCATGGATTCAGCCAAAAGCAGATCAAACATATTTGGGAAAAAACTGTCTGTACTAAACATGTACAGACATTTTTTCCCTCTTATTATTCCCTAAAAAATACAGTGTAACAACTATTTACATAGCATTTACATTGTATTAGGTGTCCTAAGTAATCTGGAGATAATTTAAAGTATACAAAATGATGTCCATAGGTTATATGCAAATACTACACCATTCACATCAGGGACTTGAGCATCTTTGGATTTTGGTACAATTGAGAGGTCCTGGAACCAATTCCCCATGGATATGAAGGGACAACTGTACTAAGTATGAGCTAAGAGTAGTAGCAGGAAAGTTCATAAGTAAAAAACCAGATTGACCAAATAGCAGATTAAATCACTGATCAGCAGAAGACCCAAGTGGTCAAAAGCACAGCCCCTGAGGCGAGAAGGCCCTGGTGTAAATCCTCACCCCAGCACCTACTGGGTGACCTTGGGCAAGTCACCCAATCTCTATGTGCCTCAGTTTCCTCACTGTAAAATTACAGTTCTTACCTCACAGTGCTATTGGAAAGATTAAATGAGGTAATATATGTAAAGTATTTAGAACAATTCCTGACACATAGTAAGCTCTTAAAAACTTTTAGTTCTAAAATTTCCAATTCTATATACAGTCCAGAAATATATTCAGTTCTGTAAAGATGGTATTCATTTTAAAGGGAATATTTTGTTGCAGTTTTTGGCTTCTTTTCTCCTACTTATGTGAGTCACACTGCTCATACTCACTTAAGCATAATACAAGTCATTTTACAGAATAAATGTTCAAAGATGGCTGGTATGTATATTGAAAACAATATGCCAACTCCTGAGTTCATGTCTAGACTTCCTCGGGATTACAGAGACGGTAAGGTTAATTACCCTTTTAACTATGATCATTGTTTATTACCTTGCTTTAGTTTTGAGAAAAGGACAAAACATTCTGAGTATATGCAAAAATATTCTAGTTGACAATATATTCATTACTGTTTATGACCTCTAGTATTCTTTCAAATTAAGTAATTAAGTATTTAAACAAACACTCCCGAAGTAGAAGCAAAAATCACTTTCTCAGACTATTTAGCACTTCTTAAAGGTCTCCAAGAAGTAGTACACTCCAATTAATATTTATCCTCTTCCTCAGAGCATCGATGCTTACACTGCCTAAGGGAAACCTGTTGTCAGCTAAGGCAAATGAGGTTAATAACAGGATTTGGCTAAGAAGAAAAATATGTTGCACTTTAGAGAACTAACATCTCATCTCATCTCAAATACGCTAGGAGAATAAAGAGGCCAGGAAACAACCAATTGTAAAAATATTAGTAAATAGGTAACAATTAAAGTCATTCTTTCTCATCCCAACTAGATATACTAATGGCCATAATTACTTTTTACTTACATTAGTATTACCTCAGGGGATCTATTGTTTTCTTATAAAAGTCAGCTGAGCTGTACAGCTTAACCAAGATAATCTGCTATATTAGTTTCCAAGTATAGAAAGCATATGTGTAAATAAAACATACATCCCTCATTGTTACCTGGATGTTATTAACCCTTGCTTCCCAACAACTAAAATATCCACACAGGGATTTACTTACAAAAAAAAAGAAATATGCTTATTAACCTAATTATGGGTATCACATAAATACATTGTATTTGCCCATTTATTATTATTATAGCAAGGCTGTAGGGGCCATACTATCCATATTGGATGGCTAGTTTCTCCCAGTAGCCATCAAGAAGCCTAAAATTTCATCATTTGAAATATTTTTAAGTCTTGACTTTTAGAGGAGAGAGAACTATAAAAGAGAATGTCTAGAGTTAAAGATAGAACAGCAGTCTAGGACTCATATGCAATATAAGAAGAAAATGGAATCAGCAGAAGTTCTAAGCAGGAAAGTGATATTATCCAAATCATGTTGGAAATAAATCTGCTAGCAATGTGGAAAATGTACTAGAGAAAACATATCATAGTCAAAGAAGGAGAGATCTATGTGGCACCTGGACTTAGTAAATGGAGAAAAGAAAAATATTCAATAGATATTTTTCAGGTAGACCCAAAAAGACTCTGTGTCTAACTGGATACAGATGATAAGAAAAACCTAGAAGTTAAAGATGGAAGTGACTCTAACTTTGACTTGTGACTAAATATGATGGCAATAATCAAAATAGTAACCAGAAGAAGAAAAAAAGTTTGGTATGGGCTAGGTTGGGTTTGAGAAGTCTGAGGAATATCATCATACACATATATCCAATGGAGAGCTAAAATTACAGGTATGATGCTTCAAAAAGAAATCAGGTAGGCAAGAAGTTAAGAGCAGTGGACAAAGGGAAAAGAGAAGAGGGCCATTTCTGAGGGCTCTGTTCTGTTCCACTGATCTATATCTCTGTTTTGGTACCAGTACCATGCTGTTTTGGTTACTGTAGCCTTGTAGTATAGTTTGAAGTCAGGTAGCGTGATGCCTCCAGCTTTGTTCTTTTGATTTAGGATTGACTTGGCGATGCGGGCTCTTTTTTGGTTCCATATGAACTTTAAAGTAGTTTTTTCCAATTCTGTGAAGAAAGTCATTGGTAGCTTGATGGGGATGGCACTGAATCTATAAATTACCTTGGGCAGTATGGCCATTTTCATGATATTGATTCTTCCTACCCATGAGCATGGAATGTTCTTCCATTCGTTTGTATCCTCTTTTATTTCATTGAGCAGTGGTTTGTAGTTCTCCTTGAACAGGTCCTTCATGTCCCTTGTAAGTTGGATTCCTAGGTATTTTATTCTCTTTGAAGCAATTGTGAATGGGAGTTCACTCATGATTTGGCTCTCTGTTTGTCTGTTATTGTGTATATCTACAACTATCTGATCTTTGACAAACCTGACAAAAACAAGCAACGGGGAAAGGATTCCTTATTTAATAAATGGTGCTGGGAAAACTGGCTAGCCATATGTACAAAGCTGAAACTGGATCCCTGCCTTACATCTTATACAAAAATTAATTCAACATGGATTAAAGACTTAAACGTCAGACCTAAAACCATAAAAACCCTAGAAGAAAACCTAGGCAATACCATTCAGGACATAGGCATGGGCAAGGACTTCATGTCTAAAACACCAAAAGCAATGGCAACAAAAGCCAAAATTGACAAATGGGATCTAATTAAACTAAAGAGCTTCTGCACAGCAAAAGAAACTACCATCAGAGTCAACAGGCAACCTACAAAATGGGAGAAAATTTTCGCAAGCTACTCATCTGACAAAGGGCTAATATCCAGAATCTACAATGAACTCAAACAAATTTACAAGAAAAAAATAAACAACCCCATCAAAAAGTGGGTGAAGGACATGAACAGACACTTCTCAAAAGAAGACATTAATGCAGTCAAAAGACACATGAAAAAATGCTCATCATCACTGGCCATCAGAGAAATGCAAATCAAAACCACAATGAGATACCATCTCACACCAGTTAAAATGGCAATCATTAAAAAGTCAGGGAACAACAGGTGCTGGAGAGGATGTGGAGAAATAGGAACACTTTTACACTGTTGGTGGGACTGTAAACTAGTTCAACCCTTGTGGAAGTCACTGTGGTGATTCCTCAGGGATCTAGAACTAGAAATACCATTTGACCCAGCAATCCCATTACTGGGTATATACCCAAAGGACTATAAATCATGCTGCTATAGACACATGCACACGTATGTTTATTGTGGCACTATTCACAATAGCAAAGACTTGGAACCAACCCAAATGTCCAACAGTGATAGACTAGATTAAGAAAATGTGGCACATATACACCATGGAATACTATGCAGCCATAAAAAATGATGAGTTCATGTCCTTTGTAGGGACATGGATGAAATTGGAAATCATCATTCTCAGTAAACTATCCCAAGGACAAAAAAACCAAACACCGCATGTTCTCACTCATAGGTGGGAATTGAACAATGAGAACACATGGACACAGGAAGGGGAACATCACACTCTGGGGACTGTTGTGGGGTGGGGGGGAGGGGGGAGGGATAGCATTAGGAGATATACCTAATGCTAAATGACGAGTTAATGGGTGCAGCACACCAGCATGGCACATGTATACATATGTAACTAACCTGCACATTGTGCTCATGTACCCTAAAACTTAAAGTATAATAATAATAAAATAAATAAATAAATAAATAAAGAGAAGAGGGCCAAAAAAGGAACCAGCAAAGCATACAAAGCTAAAACAGAACCAAGAAAAAAGGATGTAATATACAACAAAGGGCCAGAAAACTTCAAGGAGGAAGAATTCATACTGTCCATTTCTGCTAAGAGATGAAGAAACATTTGTATCGTGGCCATTGGATTTAGCAATGAGAAGATTTGAGAATTTTTCCAAAGAGTTTTTGTAGAATATTAGAGATAGAAGTCTGATTTTACTAAACTAAGGCAGTAAGTGACTTAAGGAATTGAAGAGGACTCACAGATATTTCTTCCCAGAAATATCTCTTTCCAGATGTTTGGAAATAAACATCAGTACTCTTTCCAGATGCTTGGAAATAAGAGCAAAATGTACTGATTTACCCGCAAATCTTGACAGATTCTAGGGAATGCAAGTCTCTGTCATTATTGTATAGAAGAGAGGAGAAAACAAAAGGTAATTAAAGCTGACTCTAAAGTCTCTAAATTTGATTCATGGGTATAGATATAAAGATTCCATAACTTTAGCAGCAAGGTCCAATACAGTAGCCAAAAGCCACATGTGGTTACTGAACACTTGAAATGCAACTAGTCCAAACTGAGATGTGCCAAATGAAACCAACACCAGATTTTTAAGACCTTATTTCGAAAAATGTAAAATATCTCATTAATATTTTAATATTAATTACATGTGGAAATATTTTAGATCTATTGGGTTAGAAAATATTAAAATTAAAATTACACTTGTTTCTTTTCTCACTTGTTTCAAAGTGTTAGTAGACAATTTAAAATCACATATATGGCTCACGTTATATTTCTTTTGAACGTCCCTGAACATTCAAAATGTTATCCTCTAGAATAAATACTAAACTGGAAGAACAGGATTCAGAAAGGTTCCATCACAGCCAGCCTATATATATATCATATTAGTGTGAAAGTTAATGAAGGGGACACCCAGGACAACATCATGACTTTAAGAAAATAAAGTCCTAACTAATTAAGTGGCTTACTCAGGTCACCTAGCTACTGGAAACAAAACCCAGACTAGAACCTAGTCCGTGGGTATTTCCTCTATTATTCCACCTCTTGAAATGTCAGTGAAAATTTAACTGTTATATACGATCTTATTCTGTACCACATTCAATAAAATGACTTGTAAAAAAATCTTAAAATCATAATCTCCATAAGAGTATCCTTTGTTCACCAGTCAACTTGTAATTTAACTAATATTGTTAACGTATGTCAACTCACGATTCAGTTTTGTTGTGTTTTACTTTGGGCATGTATATATATACTCTGAATTTATTTCAACCAATTCCACATGAATTTTAAAGAGAATATCCTCCTTTCAAGTACACATCTCTTTAAAAAAAAGTTCTAAGAAAACATATCTGGAAAAGTTCAGAGAAACTACTCTCAACCATTATTATCTGCCATTTGATAGTGGTAACTTACTAAGGCATCATGTTGCTCATTAATGTAATATTCATACAAAATTAAAAGTTATATTCAAAATATAGCTATAGTATATGATGATATACTGTATTTCAAATTCTGGCAAGATTTAAAATCCTGCTTTGCCCAATAAAATCTTCAAAGACACTCAACCATTATGTTGTAGGTAAACCACAGTTCCAGAATCACCAATAATTGTAACCAACCAAAATATTTAGCTGTAATTTCTTCAATATACTCCAACAACTATAAATGTATTTATGCTTTTCATTAAGAAAAGACACAATTATTTAAAAAATTAGTCTTTTCATGCTAACTTTCCATGTGAAATTGAAAAGTAAACATCACTTGAAACTTTAAAACTTAATTTTATGAGACATCTTAATAAGCTAATAACTGTTGTAGTCATGGTAGTTATTTCCTTTGTAGAAATACTGCTCCAAAAATAGTGCTATGCTGAGTGCAGTGGCTCATGCCTGTAATCCCAGCACTTTGGGAGGCTGAGGTGGGTGGATCACTTGAGGCCAGGATTTCAAGACCAGCCTGGCCAACATGGCGAAACCAAGTCTCTACTAAAAGAAAAAAAAGAAAGAAAAAAGAAAAAAAATGCAAAATAGTGCTGATAAAAATGAATGAAGATTATTTGATTAAGCAACATGCTTAATTTTGTACGTATACCCTATATTTATTTTAACAAATAAAACTATTATTGTCATTCCAAAATGACATTATTAAAAATAATAAAAATAAAGAATATCAGCTCCACTTCTTGAATATTTGCTGTTATTTCAATGTTATCACATAGATAAAAGGATGGTGAAAATCTAGCTAATAGAGTTAGCTATGCACAGGGTGACTATGCTTCCAAAGAGGAGCTTTCCATGGCGATCTGCATGTCTTCTTTTCTTTGCCTGGCTGTTTGTGGCCCCTCTTCACATAACTGGAGTTAGTGTATTCATCTATTCCAAAGTTATTCCATCTGGACTCCTATGTGGCAGCCTCCCCCAAAATACAAAATACAAAAAAATACAAAAGTACAGAGCCAGATGTCACTAAGACCTGAGCTTTACCACATCCTTAAAAGTTTTCAAGTTTTCCTTGGTTGTATATGTCCCTTTTTGGCTTACTATATAGCAGATGCTAAGTGTCCCACTGTTGACTGTTCTTAGCAAGGCGTAATCCAGCATGGAGCTACAGAGAATCACTGCTCCTTCAATACTGGCAGACTGAATGACATTGTTGGTGTTTATGTCAACCTACTTCATGTTAAGAATAACTGACAGTTGATAGTCATGACATTGCATAAACATCTGTGGTAGATTCAATATCAATATTCTAGAGAATATTTGCAATAAGCAGCATTTAACAGCATTTGTTCAGCCACTATGGAAAGAAGTTTGGAGATTTCTTAAAGAACTTAAAACAGAACTATCATTTGACCCACCAAACCCATTACTGGGCATATATCAAAAGGAAAATAAATCATTCTACCAAAAAGATGCACACACTCATATGTTCATCACAGCACTATGCACAATGGCTAAGACATGGAATCAACCTAGGTGCCCATCAACAGTGGACTGAATAAAGAAAGTGTGGTACAAATACACCATGGAGTACTACACAGCCATAAGAAAGGATGAAACCATGTCCTTTGCAACAACATGAACGCAGATGGAGG
The DNA here is from genome assembly GCF_000001405.40 of Homo sapiens. Lineage (NCBI taxonomy): Eukaryota > Metazoa > Chordata > Mammalia > Primates > Hominidae > Homo > Homo sapiens. The sequence continues at coordinate 111,474,041 of NC_000007.14, forward strand.
CCATTATCCTAAGAATAAATTAATGCAGGAACAGAGAACCAAATATTGCAAGTACTCACTTAAAAGTGGGAGCTAAACATTGGTCACTCATGAACATAAAGATGGCAATAATAGACACTGGGGACTACTTGAGTGGGGAGGGAAAAAGGGGGAAAAAGGTTGATAAACTAACTATTGGCTATTATACTCACTACCTGGATGACGGGATCAATCATACCCTAAACCTCAGCATCACACAATATACCCAAGTAACAAAGTGCACATGTGCCCCAGAATCTAAAATAAAAGTTGAAATTACTTTTTTTAAAGTCCACAATATGATAAAGTGTGCTAAGGAATCATACCTCCTTGAAAATAACTAAAAACATCACTTCTCCCATTTATAAAGCAAAAGTGAATATTCAAAGATAACTGCAGGAGGTTAAGTTCATTAGCCAATATTCCCCTAGCACCTAAGGCAGTTTTCCGCTTTTTTTTTTCAGTATGCTCTTATTACTGCCTAATTATCCATATTGCTTTTCTTCCTTTTTGTTAAACTGAAATTCACCCAAGCAGTTTAACCTTTCATTTAGAATCATTAAATACACTCCCCTCCCCTCACTGATAATTGGCCTCTTTCTTTATTAACTGATTTCCCCCCTTGATTTATTACAAACCTTTTTTGCCAAATTTGGATCCATTCTGTTAATACATTCTTTACCTTCTTGCAACTCAATTAACACAGTGTCATTGTTACCAAAGCTTTCCTATTATTTCTTCAAGTTCTTATTGCTCTTTAAAGATCATCTAGTAGAATAATGAATTTTTAATAAACCCGGAATATTTTAATGATTCTTACTTAATTCTATGGTAAAATTTATGTGAGACATACTATTCTTCACACTGAAATGTTTCCTACTGTACTGTCATAATACTATACGGTAACTTTCTAGCAATCCAAATACACAAATCCTTGCAATATAACTTATGACTTCTAAAAGTACAGAAAGCCATATTATAATTATCATATCCATAGCTAAATCAAACCAAGCCAGCTTCTTCAACAGCAGTTCCAACATCCATACAATTTTTAATAAAGTGAAACTTATACTTGTGCCATCAGTAAGTATTAATGTAACCTCTGAGTATGAGTAAACCTGTCACTAGATTATGCAAAGGAATAACCTTTCATGGGCCCTTGAGGTTTCTCCTTAATGGAAATAAACAATTTTTTTAAAAGGCATTCCTGTTCTCTTCTTGGAAAGAAATACTTTCCTGAGCTCCAAGGCACTGATAAAATTTGGTGGGTGTCGTTTTAAGGCCTTTCCCTTTCTTATCAGCTACCGACACATTTCCCAGCCTTGCCACCTCTACTCACCAAAACAGTGCCTTTTTTTTTTCTAAAAGGAAAAGAAAAATGAAAGGTATCTACTGACCTTGGATCAAATAAGGTTATGTTTAAGTTTAGTTTAGAGATTTCTTCCACTTTTCCAAGACCTAAAATATGAAGCAGAATATAGACTATGGTATCTTTATTTAGCAAGAACCAGCGGACACTGTGTTTACCAGTGGGAAACACATCTTAAGTTGACAAGAGATATGGAGATAACCAGAACAAAATTAACCATTAGAATATTAAAAACTCTACTCCCAGAATAAATTACAAGGAACAAAGAAACAAAGATTTCTACCACTATCTTATTTTGAGTAATTTTAAATAAATAGGAAAGGATTTTGATCTCATCCTTCTGTAAAACGTCTACCTGCCAACATTTATGTTTGCAATTTTCAATAATTGCAACTACAGACATAATCTTTATAAGTATATATTCATTTGATGTCTTTCACCAATAAAGACCTGGTGTTCCAAGTCTCCTATCTGTTCCAGAATTTCTATTTCATGTGCCAATATAGCTCTTCTTTAAAAAATTTCAAGTCAGTTTTGACTCCAACTTTAAAACTATGCAACATAGTTTTCTGATATCCTGAGGGATTAATTCTTATGTTGAACTTCCTAACAATTCCATTTTGATCCCTAAAGCTATTTTCATGCATTTTTTAAATGAAAGAGACCTTAAAGATCAACTAGTCTGTACCTCTTATTCTGCAGATGATGCAATTGATCCAAGGAACAGTTAAAGTAACCTGTGCAGGGTCACTCAGCCAATTAAAAATGATGCAACTCAAAGTAGAAACAAGATGTCCCAAAGCCTAGACCCATAGTCTTGCACTGAAGAACTGGCAAATAGAGGCTTTCAGATTTGTTTCACAGAAAAGAAAATAATACTTTTTAAATTAGTCAATTATGTAAATAAAATCGGTGTTTTCAAACACTTAATAATCTTTTGTAAAAGTACATTTCCTTGTACATAGTAAACGTGGTTTTAGAACTGTTTGTATTTTTTATTGCTTAAGATGATTTTCTATTGGCACTGTAACAAATTACAGCAAATTTGGCGGTTTAAAATAACATTTGTTTATTATCTAACAGCTCTCAAAGACAGAAGCCTAGTAGGTTTGGCTAGATCCTCTTCTTAAGATCTTTCAAGGCCAAAATCAAGGTGTCAGTGGGACTAGGTCCTTCTATAGAAATCCCAGGATAATCTATTTCCAGGCTCATTAAGTTGTTGGCAAAATTCTGTGTAGTTGTAAGACCGAGGTACTTGTTTCCTTGCTGATCTTTGATTGAAGGTTATTCTTACCTTCTAGAGGCAGCCTGCTTTCCTCTGCCCATGGCCCCTGAATCTTCAAAGGCTGTAACAATGTGTTGCATCCTTCTTGTCCTTTGGATCTCTCACTTCATATGCTGCACTTCCCTAACTACTACTTCTGCCTCTGTTTCTAAGGGCTCATGTGATTGCACTGGACCTACATGGATAATCCAGGATAACCTTTATTTTAAGGTCAACTGATTAGTAGCCTTATTTACATCTGTCCCTTTGGCAATGTAAAGTAACTTATTCATGGATATATCATCTTATTATATTCACTATCCAGGGAATTAGAGCATGGAATCTGCTTGGAAACCAAAGTTCTAATTATTACATTTAGCTCATATTTATTGATGCATCCTTAAGGAAATGTGACTGGTTTTCTACAGATCACGTTGTTCAAACTCTAACAAAATAAATAACTTTGCATTCCTAATATTTATATATCCATTTCCAGGAATGGCTCTGATTGGCCCTGCTTAGGTCCAGTGCCCACCCCTCTACCAACCACCAGGGCTGGCTTCATGGCAATGTGACCAGTGCAGTCACACATAATCCTGGGCTCAGAAGGGACCCCACATTTGGGGCTTAATGCTCTGAAGCTACCAACTTGAAATTCTTAACCCTTTGAATTTGTTTTGTACATGAAGTCCAATAGAACAATTGAGCATGTGCCAGGGGCTTGTTTGTCTGAAAAAGAATGCATTTCTCTTTCATTTTTTAAGAATATTTCCAACAGGTACAACATTCTAGATTGACATTTTTTTTCCTTTTACCACTTTATAGAGATGTCATTCAGTTATCTCCTGTCTTCTATCAGTTGAAAAGTAGGCTATATTTTTGCTTCTTTGAAGGAAATGTCTTTTTTCCTTTGAAGACTTTTATCGGCCGGACACAGTGGCTCATGCCTGTAATCTCAGCACTATGGGAGGCCGAGGCAGGCAGATCACCTGAGGTCAGGAGTTCAAGACCAGCCTGACCAACACAGAGAAACCCCATCTCTACTAAAAATAAAAAATTAACCAAGTGTGGTGGTGCATGCCTATAATCCCAGCTACTCAGGAGGCTGAGGCAGGAGAATCGCTTGAACACTGGAGGTGGAGGTTGTGGTGAGCCAAGATCATGCTATTGCACTCCAGCCTGGGCAACAAGAGTGAATTTCTGCCTCAAAAAAAAAAATAGACTTTTATCTTCTTTGGTTTTCAGTGGTTTGACTGCCATGTGCCCTAAATGTGCTTTCATTGTATTTATTCCAATAGTGCTTTTTCATTCTGTGGATTGATGTCTTTCATTGATTTTAGAAAACTCTTGGCCTGAATCTATTAAGATAATGCTTCTTCCTCAATTCCTACTCTCCTATTCTCCTGGGACTCCAATTAGATGGTAGTCAGCCTTTTCCACTATTATATTATTTACACTATTGATTGTGTGTTCCATTCTTTTATTCCTCCCATGCACTATTCTATATATTTTCTAATTGACCCATCATCCAGTTCACTAATTCTTTCCTCAGCTGTCTAATTTTCTAATAAACTAATCTATTGAGTTCTTCATTTCAGTCACAGTTTTTATTTCTAGAATTTCTTTAAATTATTTTTATGGATTCTTATTCTGTGCTGAAATTATCCACCTTTTCATCACTTTAAAAAAATATTGATCATAATTTTTTTCTGTTTTTGGAGAGAGGGTCTTACTCTGTCACCCAGGCTGGAATGCAGTGGTTAGACCATAGCTCACTGCAGCCATGATCTCCCAGGCTCACATTATCCTTCCTCCCATCTCAGCCTCTGTAGTAGCTAGACTACAGGCATGCAACACCATGCCCAGCTTTTGTTTGTTTGTTTGTTTGTTTGTTTGTTTGTTTTTGGTTAAGTAGAGACCAGGGAAGTCTTGCTATGTCACCCAGGCTGGTCTCAAACTCCTGAGCTCAAGTGATCCTCCCACCTCGGCCTCCCAAAGTGCTAGGATTACAGACATGACTCACCACACCTGGCCAATTACAGTTATTTAATAGTCCATGTCTAATCATTCCAATATCTAGATTACTGTGAGACTGTTTCTATCCTTTCTTGTTTTATATTGTTTTTCTTGGTCCTGGCTTCTAATATGCATGGTATAATTTTTTATTAAATGCCAAGTGTTGCGTATAAAAAAATTATAGAAACTCTGCATGATGTCTCTTGCTTCCAGCAATGACAGACAGTTGAAGTAAAGGCAGACCACCTTAAAATCAAGATTGGGTTTATCAAAGAATACATTTTGATTTTTGTAAGTAGTGGCCTATTTATAGTTCTTCCTAACTCCTAGGATATAGCCCCACAAGAATTCCAATGAAAAGCTTAGAGTGTTTTACCAGGGTCCTTCTTCCTCCTTCCTGAATTTTAGCTTGCAGGCACTGTGAAACTGCCAAAAGTTCTGCTCATCCTGTCACCATCTTAGCTATTGCTGCTTGGTTTCTCAGCTTGGCCTGTGTTGCTTGCAAATTGACAGAACCCAAGGTGAAAAATGACACCAAATACAGGGCTCACTTCAGTGTGTTTCCTTTCATTCTTAGATCTTTAGCTCTTGGTAGTGCTCCAATGCCTTTAGATATATATATTTTTCTAATCCAGTTTTTTTCATTATTCACAGTGTAGGCCTTAGTTTGAAATAAACTAGTCCATTTACAGCCAGAAATAGAAATCAGCCACTGACTGATCTGTGGCCTATCTTTATGTATGCCTCTATATCTTATTAATTCCAAAAGTATTTAAGATAAGTTGACACCCTTATATGACGGTTGATTTGCCTTGTGTTCTATTTCCTGCTTGAAACCTAAACTGTTCACTACTCTAATATCCTAATTAATTTTGTTGTAATTATTATGTAAACTTACATTCAAAATGCTTCTCCTCGATAGCTAAATCTGACTCCTTACATATAATATTTAACGTGTATTTGGGAGGTCCTTTGCAAATGCCGTCTTGTACTTACTCATTTTTTTAAATATAAGAAACAGCATTCTCAGAGACTAGATTATTTCAGAGTAAAAATGAAAACATTTATAAACATAAGCACTAGTATTTAATAGAATGTTGCCTGTATAATTTTGTTCTTTGAAAACTTATAGTTACCTCTCAAAGGATATAAAATTTATAAAACAGGATGAGCAGAAGCTATGTATAACTCCTATGGTTACATTAACACAAAATCTCGGTAATTCAAAATTGAAATTTATTAAACATTTCTAAGATGTAATTTGTCTCTGAACTAAGAAAATGTCTTATTACATAATTAAGTGTATAAGCATTGTGAAGGCAGTTTATCCTACTTTAAAAAATAAATTGCTGTTAAGGACTGTCTTAAGGATACCAACTTTTTTTTTTTTTTTTGAGATGGAGTCTCACTTTGTTGCCCAGGCTGGAGTGCAGTGGCGCAATCTCGGCTCACTGCAAGCTCCGCCTCCCAGGTTCACGCCATTCTCCTGCCTCAGCCTCCCGAGTAGCTGGGACTACAGGCGCCCACCACCACGCCCAGCTAATTTTTTGTATTTTTAGTAGAGATGGGGTTTCACCGTAGCCAGGATGGTCTCCATCTCCTGACCTCGTGATCCACCTGCCTCAGCCTCCCAAAGTGCTGAGATTACAGGCGTGAGCCACTGTTCCCGGCCAAGGATATCAACTTTTTGTATGGCTATGAACAGCATTTAAAAATCAGTTTAATCTATATCAAATAATAAGAATAATAATACCTATACTATCTCATTTTATTTATTTTAAAAATGTCACTTGTACATATACTTAGTAATGACTGCAAATTACTATGGATAATTGAAAGTACCAAAAATAAACTGCAACACAGGATTTCCCTCCCCAGCATTTTACTGTCAAAAAAAAAAAAAAAAAAAAAAAAACTGGAAACCTAGGTACTTCATCCTCCCTAAAGAATCTTTCATAAAAGTCATGGTCTTTCTACATTTGGTTCCTAAATGTACTACATTAACTACAAACTCAGAAAAATGTTTGGCCATAGATTTTAAAAATTGGGAATGAGTACAGATAGAACAGATAAGTATACACAATTATATTTTCCCAGCTCAATTGATAACTGGCTTTTAATACAATTATGGGTCATTATTCAGTATTATTATTACTGTGGCCAAAACATGAAATTCCATTTTTAGCAGGTTCCAATTAATTTCCTTGGTTGGTCAAGGAACCTTTCAAGATTTACAAGCACTCAAGACACAAAGCATCTTTCGTTTTTCTTTTTTCAAATGCTCTATTCTATTTCATCTATTTCCCTTGCTCAAATCTTTATGACTCTTTGTTCATACTTATCGATAGAGAAGCAGCCACCACACTGGCCATCTATCAGAAAGTGGTAATGAGTTTAGCATGACAAAAACCAGCTGTTGAAACTGCTGTATTATGCACACTGTATGTTCATAATACAGTAATATTGCTATTAATGAAGAGACTGCTATGTATTTCAGGAACCACTGTATCAGAAATTCAACTACAGAAATGGGAGTAAAATAAGAGATGTAGACATACCAGGGCCAGAATGACTTCTTTGGTGAGAATCAATGTTATTCAACCATAGCATCGTACCACATTATATGGAGACATTATAGGATGATGGTTAAGACACAGCTTTGATGTGAGGCACTTCAAGCCTTTGCTCTGCCACTTATTAATATTTACTATGTCCTTAAGCAGGTTATTTAGCCTCTCTATGCTTTAGTGTTCTCATCTATAAAACCGGGGATAACAATACCTACTTTACTGGTTTTTCTTAATAAGAATCAAATAAAAGTGAAGTTAGAACTCCTAACCCAGTGGCTAACAAAAAAATAAGCAGTCAATAAACACTTTAAAAATATTATGTTTTTTTTTTTTCTCTCCATAGATTATGTGTCTTTTTCTCTCTGCCTTTGGACCTGATCACTCCGACACTCTTACCAACACCAGGTGTTTATTACCTATCTTTAGAAGTCTACCTTTGCTTCATAGGAACTACCTTAGTGTTTTCCATCTCAGACTTTGGGATTTTATCTTAGTTCACTTCAGACATACTCCAGGGATACAGCAGTGTACAATGGGAAAAGATTTAGACGTAGTGTTATCAAATAGAAATAAAATGTATGTCACATGTGTAATTTTACATTTTCTACTAGGCATATTTAAAAAGGAAGAATCAGCCAGATGCACTGCTTATGCCTGTAGTCCCAGCCACTCAGGAGGCTGAGGCAGGAGGATCACTTAGGCCCAGGAGTTCATGCCCAGCATGGGCAGCATAGCAAGACCCAATCTCATAAACTAAAACTGGAAGAAAAAGAGGAAAAAGAAACAGGTAGCATTTTAGTAATATATTTATTTGCATGAATATATCCAAATTATTATGATTTTAACAAGCAGCAATCACCACATTTCAAGTGTTCAGTAACTATAGGTGCTTGCTATATTAGACAGTACAGGCTTAGAGTCAAATGAATGTGGATTCAAATTCTGGCCTTGCTTTTTACTTGCCATGCACTTGCTGTAAATCTGTTTCATTATGTTAAAAATTACTATCTCCAGATATTGTGAGAATTAAATAAAAACAGCATACTCAAAGCACTTAGCACAATGCTTACTTACAGGCATGCTCATTCAATGAGAATTCCCTCACACCAACCTTCTACTATAGAACTGAACACTGGCTCAATACAGTGAAATCTGTGATCCAGATTAAGAGGAAAGGAAGAGAAAGGAAGCCCCCCATCGTCCTTCCTTTCTAGCTCTCTATAAACTGTGGCCATTTCTCCCACTCACACAGCTCTCCTTCTTTGCTTCCTAGCAGCTATAAATTTGACTCGGTAGACTTATTTCTAGAATCCCTGAACCCTTGTAGTCATGACCCAAGTATGTGGTTCCAAGAAACTAAAAAAAAACCCATGCCTGAAAGAGAAATCCTACCATCTCTTTCTTCTCTGCCCCTGTGGTATCCACCTCCCCAGCTGGCCCTACTGCCTAGTCAGACAGAGTTTCTCCTTTATTCAGGGGTTCTCACTGCTGCAGCTTCCTCAGCCTCAGCAACTGCCATTAACGTTAGTGCTTCTCTATTGAAAGAGAGTCTGGCATCAAACATTAAAGAGGCTGAGCAGCATTCTGCAAAATAACTGGACAGTACCCTTCAAAAGTGTCAATGGCATAAAAGACAAAGATCAAGGAACTGGCATATACTGAAGGTGACTAAAGAGACATAAAAAATAAAAAATGAAAATATGGGATCTTGAGTAGGATCTTGGCCCAAAAAAAGGACATTAGTGGGAAAACAGGTGAAATCTGAATAAGGTCTAGACCTATTCGTCTAATAAGATTAGATCTAATAATATTCTACTGATGTCAATTTCCTGGTTTCAATACTTGAACTATGGTTCTATATAATGTTAATATTAGGGGATTTGTGGGAACTCTCTACACTATTTTTGCAACTTTTCTTCAAAACAAATAAAAGTAAAATTAAGTTAAAACACTTTTAAATGTGATTATTTAGGACTTTATTATGAAAGAACCTCTGTCCCGATGGACTTGTTAAGTGATATATTATTGTGAAATAGTGCAACTTATGTTAAGCCAGGAAGGCCATCACACAGGTTAACGAAAAGTCAATTCCAAGGTATAGAAAATTCACCTTACTCACCACTATGAGTTTGTAAATCACTAAGAGAGTATGATGCCACCTACATATACTATAGTGAGGACTTGATGACAGCAAATCATATTTTGTGCAACCAATAATGTTATTAAATAAATGTAGCTACTGAATAACATACTTAAACAATAACTCCACTGTGACCAACTTTTTACAGAAAGAAAGAGACAGTGAAAAATAAGAAAGATATGCAAAAAAATAATATGCACCCACCTCCCTCTGCCAGATCTCCCATGCTTTAGGAAACAACACTGGTCAACCAACTCTGAACAAAACCCCTTGCAATAGAAAGGACAGTCTGCTTTGCTATATATGTGTTTCTGTAACATGAATTAACATAGACAATTGGTAAGTGGAGAAAAGATTTCAGTGTAATGCAGAAGTTACATTGGTTCCTATGTAATTTTTTTCCCAGATGATTAATGTTTTGCCTTATTAGTACAGGCAACTGAAGGCTACGTATACTAATGGCAGCAAACCAGGAAGGAATCAGTATTATACATTCAGCCTTTCTCTGAGAAGTGCTACTGCAAAGTTAACCCTGATCTTTGTTTATAAATAACTAAATAAATAAAACAAAGTAACACAAAACAATGAGGAGAGCATACAACTCTGGTATCAGTACATTTTGTACAAAGCTTACAAGCTTTTCTCTATTTATGACTTGTAATGATAATGTCTTTCTGCCCTTGCATCCACAGACAGCCTCAACCCTTCCTTATACCACCTACCACCAAGCTATCTTCACCTTTTATGTTTTAAGTAAAACACTACTTTTACTGCAGTTTAATTATTAGAAACTTCATGTCTTTTAAACTGTGTTAGTATTTTTATTGACATTGTTATTGTTTTCATCAGTGCTCTGGTTATAAAGTTGAATAAGCCCTACTGATTTAAGTAAGAATTTGGAAACTGCAAATTTTCCAGAAAAGCACACATAATATTATAGTAGAAATGGTGTATTACCACACATTCTGAATACATTGTCTCAAGATTTTTTTAATATAAAAAGGTTATACTGGTTTGTTTTCAAAGATTACTTATTTATCAATGAAGTATACTGTTAATATCAATTTCTAAACAAAATTACGAAGTGTATTTTATCATCAGCTTTAAATCGAACATTTTAATATACACTTCTGTATGTGTCACACATTTCTTAAATAAATAGGATGTTCCAATGTAGTAACAAAAATTATCATCTATGTTAAAAACAAACTGATGCATTGTATAAGAAAAGCAAATATTCAATATTTGATATAAATTAAATGTATATTATGAACTGCAATCAAACCAACATCAATCTTCTAAAATGAAGCAGTTTCTAAATTGTATGAAAATACATGGATATGGTCTAGAAAGCATGTTTCATCATAAGACTAAAAAGATACTTTTTATTAGGCAGGGTCTCACTGTCACCCAGGCTGGAGTGCAGTGGCACAATCACAGATTACTGCAGTCTCGACCTCCCAGGCTCAATCGATCTTCCTACCTCAGCCTCCCAGGTAGCTAAGAACTACAGGCACGCATCACCAAACCCGGCTAATTTTTGTATTTTTTGTAGAGACAGGGTTTCACCGTGTTGCCCAGGCTGGTCTCAAACTCCTGGGCTTAAGGGATCCACACACCTTGCCCTCCCAAAGTGCCAGGATTACAGGCCTGAGCCACCTGGCCCTGACCTAAAAAAATACTTTAAATAATGCTAAAGAAGAATTTAGCATCAGATTTTTTGTTTCTTTCTCAAAGCAACAATATTGCTTCACGATCATCTGTTGTTAAATATATAATACTAGTAACTAAGCACTCTTTTATGTAAATGGCTCCTCCTAAGAACAAGCACATGAAAGTTTGTGTTATTTGTACATGACAAAGATATAGCACATAACTGAGTCATTAAAAACACAGTTCAGGCCGGGCGCAGTGGCTCACGCCTGTAATCCCAGCACTTTGGGAGGCCGAGGTGGATAGATTATGAGGTCAGGAGATCAAGACCATCGTGGCTAACACGGTGAAACCCGTCTCTACTAAAAATACAAAAAATTAGCTGGGCGTGGTGGTGGGCCCCTGTAGTCCCAACTACTCAGGAGGCTGAAGCAGGAGAATGGCCTGAACCCAGGAGGCGGGGCTTGCAGTGAGCCGAGATCCCGCCACTGCACTCCAGCCTGCGCAACAGAGCGAGACTCTGTTTCAAAAAAAAAAAAAAAAAAAAAAAAAAAACACAGTTCAACTGGAATAGCTATAATTTATATATCAATCCCAATTTGAATAGAATATTTTTGAAGTTAATGTATATAATAAATATCAATCACTATGAATATTTATATAAAATAGTAGTGTGCTCTTTTTAATATACTCCATGATATGGTAGGATACTTTTATGGACCCATGCAACCCTGAATATCAAGCAGCCCTGTTTTATTTTTCAATTATCTATTTAAGTCCACTTGGTTAGAGATAGTCAGCATGTTTCTCACGGGAAAAAAAAAATACTGCACAATTGTCTGCGTATAGTGTGACCTCTTTCACTTGGGTGGGTATCCTTTCCATCACCAACTAAGTGAGGATATAACCTTGTCAAACCAAAGGCAAAAGAATAATAAGCATATGACAGGCTAACCCAGCATGGAAAAGGTTGTTTAGGAGGTTGCAAAAATAGTACTCGGAATGACAAAATAAAAGTACACTTCAAAGAGCAGGTTAATATTTTTAAAAGCACTCAAAACCTGAGAAGCATTTAATCCCCCTCCTTGGATGTCTGCCATACAAAACTCCACTTGAATTTATTTCATTAGTCACTAACGAGATTTGGTTAATATGTTTTCAAATGAATACTGGTAGAATAGTCTGAAAGAAACACATTTATAGAATATCTATTTCCACAAAGCACTAGCCAAAGGTAAGTACAAATAAGCAGATGATGTCTTGCTTTTACCAATTATAAATTACCATCCAACAAGAAAAAAATCCTTCCAATTCAAGAATCAGAAATACAAATGGGAAAAGTATTTACCCAGTAGCAGGTTTTTACTGTCTCCAAATCAAATGGCAGTAACACTGCTACCTTAATTGCTACCCCTAACTGGCATAACAGGGAATCATACTACAACATTTTTATAAGTATTTGAAACCAGAAGAAATTAGACAAGTTTGGCTACAGTCTTCCTAGTGTAAATTTACTTTTAAAGCAAACAAACAAAAATCTCCAAACCATTTAGGCCTGTCCTAGGACTATGTATTATATCATTGTGTCAGTTATACACACTTTGACATTCCTTTTCTACATTAAGACTGGAATGAAATTTTTGATCCTGACCAGTCATCATATTATAACAGTGAAACAGTGCCACCTTTTGGACCCAAACAGAAGCATCCAGTGCTAGTCTTTCAAACTTCCTTTTTCAGTTAAACTCCTGATGTACATAAATGTCAATGATTTTCATGTCATAATTATCACCTTCTAGGAATACTTTTTAATCTATACAAACCAAGAAAACATTGGGGTAACAAAAAAGTTGCTTACCAAGATGCAAAATTTCAAAATATTCCAAAGTAGTACCAAATGCATGTATTTTTAATAATTTCTAATCAACATTTCATTAAATACATTTCACCAAATCCAAATATGTTAGTCAACTAACATATTTTAAATGCAAAAAATTCTTTTTATAGCATTGTTACACTGCAAAATTGATTTTTTAAAAATGCATTGTATTTAACATGTATTCAATTTAATAATTGGCAATATGATATTAACAGTGGATTACCAGTTAAATCAGCATAAGTATAAATAATTTTATATACAAATATAGTATGCTTCTGAGTTACTTACACCAATGATACAATGTCACCACGGTGTACTTCAAAATTCCTCACTTTCCAGTGGTTCAAAAGCACCACATCAGATGACTGGCTCCCCCCAGGATTCAAAGAAGGCTAGAAAATAAGGAGAAAGAGACACTTCTATCATTTGTATTTTTCAATCTTCATGGTTCTTGCACTTCACAGCTCGAGTGGACTGAAATAAAACATTTCTAATACAGTACCTTTCTATAAATTGCTGTTCTAAAGTAACTGCAAATGATGAGTTTTCAAAAAGGCTCACTGGGATTCTTCACAGATGAACCAGAAAAAAATAAATTACCAATGCTTATTTGAAAGGAACGTGTGCTAGACATTAAAATCTTTAGTAAACTCCAATAAAGAGGTATGAAAAGCCTTAAGAATAATATAAAAACATGAGGAAGAAGTGAGTCAAACCTCCTAACAAAATATCCAGATAGGATCTAATTCCACAGTAGTACACATCATTGTTCCATCTGGGGAAAAGAAGAAATAATCCCAAATCACAGTCATGTCCACAAATCTTCACAGTCATATGAAAAACTGAAGGGGGCAAAAGAAAGATGTGATAGGATTACCATTATAAAATGTATGGATTTCCCACTTTGACCTCTCTTTTCTCAAAAGAGCACATATCCTAAGGGTCCTGGTCCCAGTTTGAGCCTAATAAGGGGCTTTCATCCTAGGATTCAGAGAAGTCTAACTGTGCCTGAGGGTTAATGGATCAAGAACTGAGAAACATTTTGTGTAAGAATTTTTCTAAAGGTCAGGAACCATACAGGCACAAAAATTTGACTGGGGAACTATGAAACCAGCATACCTGTCATTTGGACAGGGGTACAGACAAAGCCAATGAATAACAAGCTTGAGGCAAGAACAGGGGGACAAAATAATTAGAAAAGCTAAGATAGCCTTTTCACTGTTTTTTAAATTTTTTTTCATTTTTTATTTCAATAGGTTTTGTAAGAAAAGACAGTGTTCGGTTACATGAGTTAAGTTCTTCAGCAGTGATTTCTGAGATTCTGGTGCACCCATCACCCGAGCAACGTACACTGTACCCAGTGTGTAGGCTTTTATCCCTCACCACCACCCACATTTTCCCCCAAGTCCCCAAAGTCCAATGTGTCATTCTTATGCCTTTGTGCCCTCATAGCTTAGCTCCCACATATCAGTGAGAACATACAATGTCTGGTTTTCCATTCATGACTTACTTCACTTAGATTAATAGTCTCCAATTCCTTTCAGATTGCTGTGAATAACATTATTTCGTTCCTTTTTATGGCTGAGTAATATATATACACACCACATTTTCTTTATCCACTCGTTGACTGATGGGCATTTGGGCTGGTTCCATATTTTTGCAACTGTAAATTGTGCTGCTATAAACGTGCGTGCAAGTACACATCTTTTTCATATAATGAGTTATTTTTTCATATAATGAGTTTATTTTCCTCTGGGTAGATACCTAGTATTGCTAGGGACTGCTGGATCAAACGGTTGATCGACTTTAGTTATTTAAGGAACCTCGATGCTGTTTTTCATAGTGGTTGTACTAGTTTACATTGCCACCAGCAGCGTAAAAGTGTTTCCTTTTCACCACATACACATCAACATCTATTATTCTTTGATTTTTTGATTATGGCCACTCTTGCAGGAGTGAGGTAGTATTGCATTGTGGTTTTGATTTGCACTTCCCTGATAATTAAAGATGTTGAAGATTTTTTCATATGCTTATTGGCCATTTGTGTATCTTCTCTTGAGAATTGTCTATTCATGTCCTCAATCCACTTTTTTTTTTTTTTTTTTTTTTTTTGAGATGGAGTCTCACACCGTCGCCCAGGCTGGAGTGCAGTGGCATCATCTCCGCTCACTGCAATCTCCGCCTCCCGGGTTCATGCCATTCTCCTGCCTCAGCCTCCCGAGTAGCTGGGACTAGAGGCGCCTGCCATCACGCCCAGCTAATTTTTTTTATTTTTAGTAGAGACGGGGTTTCACCATGTTAGCCAGGATGGTCTCAATCTCCTGACCTTGTGATCTGCCCGCCTCGGCCTCCCAAAGTGCTGGGATTACAGGCGTGAGCCACCGCGCCTGGCCTCAGCCCACTTTTTGCTGCGGTTGTCCTTTCTTGCTGATTTGAGTTCTGACTCTCCAATAATGCTACCATGGGAAGTGGCCATTTCTGTGGTGACAGGAAAGGTGCCAAGCTTCCTCTCCGCCTTCACTGAGGGGCTGATGACAGCAGCCAGTGGAGACACAACAACAACCAGGGCAGAAGCAAGGAAAATAGTGAACGCAGGGCAACAGCCAGTCCCTGGAGCAGTAATGACGTGCCTTTTGTTAAAGATTCCTGGGATTATTTGCAGATTTTCTACAAAGCAAGAGTTGACAAATATGTCAAAATTCTGCATGGAGGCTATTATCTTGACACTATTTTTGATCCAGGGTTTTGCAGCTGAAAAATACTGGTTATCCTTGAACACCTCAAACACTTTCAGAACTTTCACCAACTCCTTTAGTGATAATACCTAAATCCCTAACTTAAATTCCCTGCTACTCATTTCACTTAACTACCTGACAAAAAATTCAACAGGATTAAAATGGAATTTGTTATCATTTCAACAAATAAATTTTTTTTTGAGACAGTCTCTTCTGCTTTTCTGCCTCAGCCTCCTGAGTAGAGCTGCGACTACAGGTGTGCGCCACTATGCCCAGCTAATTTTTGTATTTTTAGTAGAGACGGGGTTTCACCATATTGGCCAGGCTGGTCTCGAACTCCTGATCTCGTGATCCGCCCGCCTCAGCCTCCCAAAGTGCTGTCATTACACACGTGAGCCACCACGCCTGCCCTCTTTTTTTTTTTTTTTTTTTTAAGAGGGTCTCGCTCTGTCACTTAGGCTGGAGTGCACCGGCATGATCATAGTTCACTGTAGCCTTGAACTCCTGGGCTCAGTCTCCCAGTTCCAGTTCCCAGGTAGCTAGGACTACAGGTCTACAAGTGCATACCACCACATCCAGCTAAGTCGGGTTTTTTTTTTCCTTTTTTTTTTTTTAGAGATGGGAGGGTCTTGCTATGTTGAGCAGGATGGTCTTGAACTCCTGACCTCAAGCAATCCTCCTGCCTTATCAACCAAAGCGCTGAGATTACAGGTAGGAGCCACCATGCCCAGCCCTTTCTTATTTTCTTACATCCGGGTTACCCTTTTCCCAGTCAACCAGTTTAAAAACTTAGTTGTCTTCTTACTTCTCATCCAACCAGTCAGCAAGCTAAAGGGATCTTTTTTTAATCATAATGTCTTCTACTTCTGGCACGTTTTCTTTCCTCTCTAGTATCATCATATTTCAAGCACCAATCATTATGTAACTCATGCTATATCTACACTAATCAGTCTCTCACCTCCAACTTAGAAATGATTCCATTTCTTTCTAGTTATATGATCTTCAGCAAGTTACTTAACTTCATTATGCCACTCATTACTAGGAAAATGGTGATGAATAATAACTATTATCTAATTAATAATTAAATAATAATAGCCAATACCTACGAAGTACTTACCATGTGTCCTGGTCTAATAATAATAGCCAGACATGTTAAGTGCTTACCATGTGCAAGACACTGTTTAACAGCTTTACAAATATAGTTGACCCTTGAATAACACAGGTTTGAACTGCGTGGGTCCAACAATACACAGATTTTTTTCAATAAAAGTTACACTGAGTGTGCCTGCCTCTCCTGCTTCCCTTTCCCACCTCTTCTACATCTGCCACCCCTGAGACAGTAAGACTAACTCCTCTTCTTTCTCCTCCTCCTCCTTAGCCTACTCAATATGAAGACAGTGAGGATGAAGTCCTTTACGATGATCCTCTTCCACTTAAGAAACAAAAATATATTTTTCTCTTTCTTATGATGTTCTTAATAACATTTTCTTTTCCCTATCTTACTTTATTGTAAAAATATAGTATATAATACATATAGCATATAAAAATATGTGTTAATCTCACTGTTTATGTTAACAGTAAGGCTTCTGGTCAGGAGCAGACTATTAGTAGTTAAGTTGTGGGGTGTGGGACAGTCAAAAGTTATATGCAAATTTTTAACTGCATGGGAGTTGGGTCCCTCACCCCCTCGTTGTTCAAGAGTGAACTGCGCTACCTTATTTGGTAAGATCATTCATTTAAAGTGCTTATGGTAGTTCTTGGCCCATACTTACCTCTCAGTAACTTCTATTATTGATATTTCTACATCACAATTTTAATTTTAAGCAGGTCTGTACTCTCTACCCCCAGGTTCCTCCTATGTCTCTATCTCTAGTGAGGAACAGAGTTGATATGGTAGCATAAGTCCAAAGGGCTTTACTGAGCCATGGTGCTGAGGAATGGAGCTTTTGTCATCACAACAGTAGGTCAGATTATTAAAAGGTGAGCTTTCACAAGGGTATGCTCTCTATCTCATTCATATTTCTCATTCAAATTCTCTATCTCCCTCTTCCTCTCTGTCTTTGACCTCAGTATCCACAGGTCCTCTTCCCTAATTTATTTGTATTCTTTTTCCTATATAACTGACACTGTAAAGGTGACCTGGAGGGAGACCATCTGGGCTCTGGACCATAAAGAGAAAATATTCCTATTGAACTTTCACTGCATTCGTTTTTTTTTTCTTTTTTCTTGCCATAATAGTGAAGGAACAAAAGGTGATTTAATTATTTCTGACTGTTCTCCTTGGTCTCTTTTACTGGTGTTTTTTTTGAAGTTTGTGACCACAACTCATAAGATCAAAAATCCCAAGTTCACCATCACAGCCTATGATTATTTCTATAATAATATTTAAATATGCATTATAATCACTCCCTTGTCTCTCTTTCCAAGAGTCTATAAGCTCTTTTTTTTTCTAAGTTTTGAGAATAAATTATTTCCTATGCCTATATTTTTGAGATCGAGCACTTTGCAGGTAATTAACACATTTTAGTGGAAAGAATTTAAAAAAATCAATTAGTGGAATTTCCAAAGATTTTCAAAATTAACAAGGTCAAAACAAAGATCCTATTCCAGCCCACTCCAGCCCCCAAATATACTTCCCCTCCTTATTTAACAGTAGTACCACTTACCCTATCCCCCATACTAGAAGACTCATAAGTCAGGTCCAGTTTCTAACCCGCTCTTTGGATGCCTCATTATCAGACTTCCCCTCTGTCAAGAATGTTTTTTCCCCACTTGGAAACTTCTAGTCATTTGTCAAAGTCCTTATCTGATGGGGACTCCTCTGTAAAGCCTTTAAAAAGAATAAAAAACATGCTGCAGTTCCCTTAAGGAAATTGGAAAATTATATCTTGGTGTTCCAACAATGGGGATAGAAAAATCCCCACTGACCCAAATTTTAACTTCGTCTTTCCCTTATAGAATCACTCAAATGCCCAACTTTTCTAATTGTAATTGTTAGAACCAAAAGGTAAAGCATTATAAACAAAAGATTTATGCAAGGGAAGAAAACAGAAGGAAGCATGTCTAACTTCCAATAGTGAAGTAAGTATTAGAATCAACAGTCAACACCTGAATGACATTGCTTGATTTTATAAAGGAAGCAACAGAGTTTTCTTTTACCTTTTCTTTCCTCCACAAGTTTAAATTAGCTACTCCCTCATGTGCGCTCCCATAGCAATGCAGGTACTTAATAGGTATCTGCCTACAGATAAGACTCTTCCACTCAGGTGTAAGTTTCTCAACTGCTGAAACCGTGTCTTAGCCATTTTTGTACACCTAATCCCAGAACAGTGATTGGAAAATAATATTTCTATAAAGTCTAAAAGATTAAAGGTTTTTAAAAGCGTATTTAAATCAGATAGTTTCTAGAATATACATTATCTAAATAATGTATACATCTCTTTCAATGAAAACATATTCTAGATAAGTATAGCAATAAATTTTTTGTGTCTCATCAAGTTAGGCAATTTAAGAGTTAGAAATAGTTGAATAGGGCTTTGTTATTCATAATGAAATAATGGTAATCACAACACAATAAACTATCTTGTTTATTTATTAATCTAACACTTATGAATATCAACAAAACATCATAAAGAAAAACCTTCTTGAATTGGGAAGTTGTTCCTATGGCACTATAAGAACCACAGTTTTCTGTACTTCACTAAAAACAAAAGCTTTATTAAAAAGAAAAAAAACAGGCCGGGCGCAGTGGCTCACGCCTGTAATCCCAGCACTTTGGGAGGCCAAGGTGGGTGGATCACGAGGTCAGGAGATCGAGACCATCCTGGCTAACACGGTGAAACCCCGTCTCTACCAAAAATGCAAAAAAAAATTAGCCGGGCGTGGGGGCGGGCGCCTGTAGTCCCAGCTACTCGGGAGGCTGAGACAGGAGAACGGCGTGAACCCGGGAGGCGGAGCTTGCAGTGAGCGGAGATCGCGCCACTGCACTCCAGCCTGGGCGACAGAGCAAGACTCCGTCTCAAAAAAAAAGAAAAAAACAGTGGCCGGTCACGGTGGTTCACGCCTGTAATCCCAGCACTTTGGGAGGCCGAGGCAGGCAGATCATGAGGTCAGGAGATCGAGATCATCCTGGCTCAACACGGTGAAACCCCGTCTCTGCCAAAAAATTAGCCGGGTGTAGTGGTGGGCCGCTGTAGTCCCAGCTACTCGGGAGGCTGAGGCAGGAGAATGGCGTGAACCCAGGAGGCGGGGCTTGCAGTGAGCCGAGACCACGCCACTGCACTCCAGCCTGGGGCGACAGAGCAAGACTCCGTCTCTAAAAAAAATATAGAGCAAGCAATTTTTTCAAATCGATGAAGTTAAACACATCAAGTAGAAATTAAAAGTCATAAATAATAATTTGATATGGCCACAGAATCTGTATTTTCTTGTTATATTGTTAATATTTAAATCCTAGATTCCAAGAGACTACATCAAAATATAACTAACTTAAAATAATAAAGTGTTTGAAGAAATCTCAGAGAATATTTAATCTAGGAGTTTCCACCTGTATCTCCAAGTATTTGATTGTATCAGATATTCCTGCTAGTAGTCACAGTGATTTCCAGTAGCAAAAGGAAAAACACTAACAAAGAACAAAAAAAGCCAAACATCTGCTCTGGACTGAGTAAGAAAGACCCACCCTCACCCAAGGTGGGCAGACACCATACAATTAGTTGAGAGCTTGGAAACAACAACAAGGAAGAGGAAAGGTAAATATTCTCTGTCTGTCTCTCTCAACAACTTGCATTCTCACACTCATCTATTTCTCTGCTTCTACCATGGACCACTAAAGTTAAAAATCAAACTTGGAGAAGTGTTTTGAATAGTCCTTGCCCTAAACACAGAAAACTATGTTCAAATCTTGTCTCCATTTCTTATTAACCATATTACTTTAAACAGATTATTTAACCTGTCTCATTTCCTCATCTATAAAATGGGGACTGACTGCAGGAACACTGATCTCATGGAGTTGCTACAAGAATTAAATGAGACAGTCTACAAAACATTACAGTCATGAAACAGAGTAGCAGTCAACAAATAGGACACTAATGATGATGGCAACAATAACAAAATAAAGGGAAACAATATCAGGTACAGTATCCTTTCCACAAGATTTAAGAAAAATTAAACATTTAAATATTGCCCTGCACATTTCTCATTTTACATAGTAAACTGAAAGTATTCAGGCAGAAAATTCTACCCCTCATTTCTAAATTCTTTGTTGATTGTTTCCTCACTTTTTTAAAGCAAGTAAAGTTAGGATGCTTTTATGTGGGGCCTTAATTGTTCTGCCTCTATAAATTAATCCAAAAAAATTTAATATGCATAATTAGTTATGAATACCTATAAAATACCTAAAGAATTTTACACCCGTTATGTTTTACATTCTTATTTTTAAAACATATACACACATACAGATATATATAAAAACATATGCATTTAAAAATCTAACAGTTCTTAGCTCTGGTTGATGAAATGATTTCCATTTTCTCCCTCCCTACTGCTTACCCCTCCCCACACCTTGTTTTCCTCTGGCTCAGTTGTATCTCACAAATTGTTTTTTATAATGAACATATATTTAGTTTGTATGCTTTGCTCTGACCTAAGTACTATATAGTTCACTCTAAGAAATACAATATAAGTCAGCATATTTCAACAGATGTTAGTAAGTTATGCTAAAGCTAGAAATAGCCAATATCTATCAAATCTGCTTTTGGAACAAGCATAACACAAAAGTTAGGCTTTAATCTTTTCTCTGATCAAAGACTATGCTGAAGGATTTTTATTTGTCCTACAAACAAATATTATTGTCAAGGTATCCTAAATCCTCAGCTTGTGTCTAACCTCAAATCATATGACAGGTTTGGAAGAATTTATCTTTCGGTTTACGAAAATAAAATTCTCCTAGAGAATTAAGCACAGTCACAGTACACTTCCTGTTTTGTAAGACTTAACTGAAGCCATCAATCAATAAATGATATTATTCTGGCTTTTTACTATAAATTTTTTATTCATTTTTTAATTTTAAAGAATCTACAGCCTATGATTCACTGCCTCCAAGATATAAAGAAAGCCTGGTTTTGACCTTACTTCTTTGGGTACAATGCTTTCAACCTTTTCAGGCTTATAAAAAGCACCACTCACACTGGCTACATACAATCTACAACAGGTAAATATCAAACTTTGTGCTTTTAAGTGAGATGGAGCCCAGCTGCAGCCACAAGGACCCAACAGTAGCCCTCAGACTTCTTTTGAAGAACCATTACTTTGAAGACATATCTGTGGAGGCGGGGGCAATAACAGAAGAAACTGAAATAGTACTGTTGATTTAGACTTTTTAACACTGCAGCACTGGCCAAGAAGCATGAAGTAAGTACAGTTAAAGTAAATGTACATTCTGATTAAGAATTATTAGATGTCACACCTTTGAAAGAATGCGGACAATATGGTCTACAATGCCGTCTTTCTTCCCTTGCTATTCAGGGGTCTCCATAATTTGCATGGCTTCTAGAATTCTCAGATTTGTCTCACTAGGTGTGCATAATAAAATAGACTATAATGTACCCAGGTCTGTACAAAGCTGTAAGTTAGAAATGGAACATTCCTTTTATATCATGGGTACTTATTACCCATACCCCTTCTGATGGTTAATTTTAGGTGTCAACTTGACTAGATTAAGGCTACCCAGAATGCTAAGAAAGCATTATTCTGGGTATATCTGTGAGGGAGTGTTCCCAGGAGAGATTGGCCTTTGAAGCACTGGATTGAGTAAGAAAGATCCACCCTCACCCAACATGGGCAGGCACCATGCAATTAGTTGAGGGCTTGGATACAAGAACAAGGAAGAGGAAAGGTAAATATTTTCATATTCTCTCTCGCTCTCTCTCTCCTGACGCTGGGACAACCTTCTTCTCTTTCCATTGCAAATCTTAGAACTCCAGGTCCTCTGACTTTTAGACTCTGGGACTTGAACCAGCAGCCCCCAGGTCTCAGGCCCTTGGCCTTGGACTGAGAGTTATACCATCAGCTTCTGTGGTTCTGAGGCCTTCAGACTTGGACTGAGCCAAGCTACCTGGACCTCCAGCTTGCACATAGCCTATAATGAAACTTCTTAGCCTCCATGATCACATGACCCAATTCCCCTAATAAATTCCCTCTCATAGATAGATACATAGATAGATAGATAGATAGATAGATAGACAGACAGACAGATAAATATCCTATTCGTTCTGTCTCTCCGGTGAGATCTAATTATAATATAATTTCTTAATTTTTCTTTTAAAAGCAAGCCTGTAAAACTACATTAATAAAATAAAAGTGAACATATAACATATTGATTTAATTCAGAATTACACTAGGTTGTTAATTTTTCATTCTCCTAATCTTAACTGCATGTTCTACTATAGAACGCCCCATCAAAGTGTCACAGGCACGCTCACATACTACCTGTAGGAATGAAAATCTTTATAAACTATCAACAAGGTAATTTGCCAAAATATATTTAAAGTCTTAAAAGTGATCTTGTCCTTAGACTTGAAAATGTCACATTTAAAAAGATTTCCTAAGAAACTAATTGGACATATGTGCAAAGGAACATATACAAAGATATTCATAATACATTATTTACAATAGTGAATAGCTTCTTAGTCTTTTAGCTAAAATCAAGTGAATAACTGAGCCAAGCTCAATACCAATAATAGGAAACTGATTAAACCTTGGTTTAGCAATGGTTAAACTTTATGGATATTAAAAAATGATTGTAAAAATTACATTGTGGAAAAATATATATTTGGATATGTCTGGAGAATAAGTGAAAAATGCGACATAGAAAAAACAAACTGCTATGATCCAATTTCAGGAAAGACAGGACGGAAGAAAAAAGGGAAAAACCTTAAAAGAATAAAGTAAAGAAGGAAATTGTGCAGAAAAGAAAGAGAGTAACTTATAATGGTTTAGAAATGCAAACTTCAAAGTCAGAAGCTGGGTTTAAATCTATGCAATCTTCAGTAAGTTATCCCATCTCTCTGATTGTATTTCTTCATCTGTTAAGTGGGCTAACATAGTATCTTCATCATACAGTTGTGGGTGATATTAAATAAACTAATATATATAAAGTCAATACTGTAATGACTTGAACATAGTGATCATTCAATAATTTTTCACTATTAGTATTATATAATAATATATTTAAAATAAATAATTCTGAAAGGTGGTATCAATTATTTATTTTCCACATTTTTCTATGTTTTCTAAGTTTTTTGCCAATCAATATGCAGTGCTTTTATATTAATGTAAGCACTAAGCAATGAATTGTTTTTGAAGGGGAAAGCATCTGATTTTTATATCCTCTTATTACTAATATTTTTAAAGTTTGTGTTCTTTAAACAAGCTCTTCAGTATTTAAGCATCTCTTTAATTCAGGTCGCTACAACTAGATTGCAAGGTTCAAATCTGCAAAGTTTCTGTTTCAATGCACTAATTATAAAATACTACCATTAAATACGTGCATTGTGTTTCCTAGCTAATAAAACATGTTTTGAGATAGCTATTCTAATTTATAGTTCTAATTAACCATATCAGAAATAGATCACATATAGTCAATGAAATATAAAATTTATATAAACATATCTGCATATTAACCTGAAGACAGACTGCTATATATAAAATAAGCCAGCTACACGGAAAAACCCCAGCAAGATACATGCGGAATCTTTAACTTCCTCATAAAACTGAATAAGGCTTTCCTATTCATTGCTAAGTTTTTCTTGCTCAGAACCACTTTTCTGTCTCCTAACCTAATTAAAAAAAAAAAGGTCATAGTAAGGTGTGTAGCACAGAAAGGAAGTGATTCAACAAATAACAAAGATTTTAGGAGGCTGCATGATTCCCTCAGAAGCATGTAACTCCAAAGAGGCCAAATTCCCCAACATATACAATGGTGTAGCAATCTATTCACATGGCTTATATAATATCTGTGAACAAATCTGTGAAGATAATACCATGGATTTTAGATCCTTTAGTTCTTCATTGTTGAACCTGATGCTGCATTATAAGGAAAAAAATAAAAAAGAACCAGTCAGCATCCTAACACTACAAATGTGTATCAACAGGAATTTTGGTACCTGGGTACCCTAAATTACATTGATCAAAGCTATAAGAACAAAGGAGCTCAAATGCATAGGAAACAGCTTATCAAAAGGAACTGAAAAGCATTCTGGCAGATAAAAAGGGGGAAAAAAGGATATATACCTTATATCATTTATCTACTGCTACAAAACAAACCACTCCAAAACTTAAAACAAAAATCATTTATTGGTTCATGATTCCACAATTTAGGCTATGCTTAGCTATGCAATTAGCCAGCTTGTCTGGCTGTGATCACTCAGGCAGCTGCAGCCATGGAGGCAGCAGTGTTCCAGGAGCAAAAACTCCCTCGTGTAAGCATCTACCAAGCCTCTGTTTGCGTATTTGCTGATATTCCACCAGCCAAAATGAGTCATAAGGCCAAGTCAAGAATCAGCATAGGTGAGGATGACATAGAGCTCAGTACCGAGGAGCATGACTCATGGGGGATGGGGTAGACAGGGAATATCAATGTAATAATCTACCAAAACTCTGCCCTCTAGCTCCAATGAATCATATCCCTCACATATGCAAAATACATATAACCCTTCCTAAGAGCCCCAAGGTCTCCTCAGATGTTTGCAATAGGATTCATATCCGTTAATTCATGATATGCATCAGGTCCCAGGTCCCAGTATGGAAGAGGACTCTAGGGTGCAGCTCATCTCAAATCAGAGACTTATGAAGTGAAAAGATAAATTATCTGTTCCCCAAACACCAAACATATAATGGAAAGACAGAAAGAAGATAACCATGGATTTTAAAAAGCAATGAAAAAAGCATAGAAGTCACTTGTCCATAGAAAGCTTAAAATCCAGCAGCATGTGTTGTCAAGGCCTCCCATCTCATGGAGAGAAATGTCCTTTAATTAAGATTCTTTTCTGTTCTCTGGAATGGTTCCCTAATTTATTGGTCTGCATGGCTCTTAGCTCTGCCCTCTGGGCTTTGGGCTCTTTTTTAAAAAGGAGGCCCGGTGGAGCCAAGATGGCCAAATAGGAACAGCTCTGGTCTACAGCTCCCAGAATGAGCGACGCAGAAGACGGGTGATTTCTGCATTTCCATCTGAGGTACCGGGTTCATCTCACTAGGGAGTGCCAGACAGCAGGTGCAGGACAGTGGGTGCAGAGCACCAGGCACAAGCCAAAGCAGGGTGAGGCATTGCCTCACTCGGGAAGCACAAGGGGTCAGGGAGTTCCCTTTCCTAGTCAAAGAAAGAGGTGACAGATGGCACCTGGAAAATCGGGTCACTCCCACCCTAATACTGCGCTTTTCCAACAGGCTTAAAAAAACGGCATACCAGGAGATTATATCCCGCACCTGGCTCAGAGGGTCCTATGCCCATGGAGTCTCGCTGATTGCTAGCACAGCAGTCTGAGATCAAAATGCAAGGCGGCAGCGAGGCTGGGGAAGGGGCGCCTGCCATTGCCGAGGCTCGATTAGGTAAACAAAGCAGCCCTGAAGCTCGAACTACGCGGAGACTACCACAGCTCAAGGAGGCCTGCCTGCCTCTGTAGGCTCCACCTCTGGGGGCAGGGCACAGACAAACAAAAAGACAGCAGTAACCTCTGCAGACTTAAATGTCCCTGTCTGACAGCTTTGAAGAGAGTAGTGGTTCTCCCAGCACACAGCTGGAGATCTGAGAAAGGGCAGACTGCCTCCTCAAGTGGGTCCCTGACTCCCAAGCAGCCTAAATGGGAGGCATCCGCCAGTACGGGCAGACTGACACCTCACATGGCCGGGTACTCCTCTGAGACAAAACTTCCAGAGGAACAATCAGGCAGGAGCATTTGCGGATCACCAACATCCACTTTTCTACAGCCACCGCTGTTCTGCAGCCACCGCTGCTGATACCCAGGCATACAGGGTCTGGAGTGGACATCTAGCAAACTCCAACAGACCTGCAGCTGAGGGTCCTGTCTGTTAGAAGGAAAACTAACAAACAGAAAGGACATCCACACCAAAAACCCATCTGTACGTCACCATCATCAAAGACCAAAAGTAGATAAAACCACAAAGATGGGGGAAAAACAGAGCAGAAAAACTGGAAACTCTAAAAAGCAGAGTGCCTCTCCTCCTCCAAAGGAACGCAGCTCCTCACCAGCAACGGAACAAAGCTGGACGGAGAATGACTTTGACGAGTTGAGAGAAGAAGGCTTCAGACGATCAAACTACTCCGAGCTACAGGAGGAAATTCAAACCAATGGCAAAGAAGTTAAAAACTTTGAAAAAAAATTAGACGAATGGATACCTAGAATAACCAATGCAGAGAAGTCCTTAAAGGAGCTGATGGAGCTGAAAGCCAAGGCTCGAGAACTACGTGAAGAATGCAGAAGCCTCAGGAGCCGATGCGATCAACTGGAAGAAAGGGTATCAGTGATGGAAGACGAAATGAATGAAATGAAGCGAGAAGGGAAGTTTAGAGAAAAAAGAATAAAAAGAAACAAACAAAGCCTCCAAGAAATATGGGACTATGTGAAAAGACCAAATCTACGTCTGATTGGTGTACCTGAAAGTGACGGGGAGAATGGAACCAACTTGGAAAACACTCTGCAGGATATTATCCAGGAGAACTTCCCCAGTCTAGCAAGGCAGGCCAACATTCAAATTCAGGAAATACAGAGAACGCCACAAAGATACTCCTCGAGAAGAGCAACTCCAAGACACATAACTGTCACATTCACCAAAGTTGAAATGAAGGAAAAAATGTTAAGGGCAGCCAGAGAGAAAGGTCGGGTTACCCACAAAGGGAAGCCCATCAGACAAACAGCGGATCTCTCAGCAGAAACTCTACAAGCCAGAAGAGAGTGGGGGCCAATATTCAACATTCTTAAAGAAAAGAATTTTCAACCCAGAATTTCATATCCAGCCAAACTAAGCTTCATAAGTGAAGGAGAAATAAAATACTTTACAGAGATGCACATGCTGAGAGATTCTGTCACCACCAGGCCTGCCCTAAAAGAGCTCCTGAAGGAAGCACTAAACATAGAAAGGAACAACCGGTACCAGCCACTGCAAAACATGCCAAAATGTAAAGACCATCAAGGCTAGGAAGAAACTGCATCAACTAATGAGCAAAATAACCAGCTAACATCATAATGACAGGACCAAATTCACACATAACAATATTAACTTTAAATGTAAATGGGCTAAATGCTCCAATTAAAAGACACAGACTGGCAAATTGGATAAAGAGTCATACATCAGTGTGCTGTATTCAGGAAACCCATCTCACGTGCAGAGACACACATAGGCTCAAAATAAAGGGATGGAGGAAGATCTACCAAGCAAATGGAAAACAAAAAAAGGCAGGGATTGCAATCCTAGTCTCTGACAAAACAGACTTTAAACCAACAAAGATCAAAAGAGACAAAGAAGGCCATTACATAATGGTAAAGGGATCAATTCAACAAGAAGAGCTAACTATCCTAAATATATATGCACCCAATACAGGAGCACCCAGGTTCATAAAGCAAGTCCTTAGTGACCTACAAAGAGACTTAGACTCCCACACAATAATAATGGGAGACTTTAACACCCCGCTGTCAACATTAGACAGATCAACGAGACAGAAAGTTAACAAGGATATCCAGGAATTGAACTCACCTCTGCCCCAAGCATACCTAATAGACATCTACAGAACTCTCCACCCCAAATCAACAGAATATACATTTTTTTTCAGCACCACACCACACCTATTCCAAAATTGACCACATAGTTGGAAGTAAAGCACTCCTCAGCAAATGTAAAAAACAGAAATTATAACAAACTATCTCTCAGACCACAGTGCAATCAAACTAGAACTCAGGATTAAGAAACTCACTCAAAACCACTCAACTACATGGAAACTGAACAACCTGCTCCTGAATGACTACTGGGTACATAACGAAATGAAGGCAGAAATAAAGATGTTCTTTGAAACCAACGAGAACAAAGACACAACATACCAGAATCTCTGGGACACATTCAAAGCAGTGTGCAGAGGGAAATTTATAGCACTAAATGCCCACAAGAGAAAGCAGGAAAGATCCAAAATTGACACCCTAACATCACAATTAAAAGAACTAGAAAAGCAAGAGCAAACACATTCAAAAGCTAGCAGAAGGCAAGAAATAACTAAAATCAGAGCAGAACTGAAGGAAATAGAGACACAAAAAACCCTTCAAAAAATTAATGAATCCAGGAGCTGGTTTTTTGAAAAGATCAACAAAATCGATAGACTGCTAGCAAGACTAATAAAGAAAAAAAGAGAGAAGAATCAAATAGACACAATAAAAAATGATAAAGGGGATATCACAACCGATCCCACAGAAATACAAACTACCATCAGAGAATACTACAAACACCTCTACGCAAATAACTAGAAAATCTAGAAGAAATGGATAAATTCCTCAACACATACACCCTCCCAAGACTAAACCAGGAAGAAGCTGAATCTCTGAATAGAACAATAAGAGGCTCTGAAATTGTGGCAATAATCAATAGCTTACCAACCAAAAAAAGTCCAGGACCAGATGGATTCACAGCCGAATTCTACCAGAGGTACAAGGAGGAGCTGGTACCATTCCTTCTGAAACTATTCCAATCAATAGAAAAAGAGGGAATCCTCCCTAACTCATTTTAGGAGGCCAGCATCATCCTGATACCAAAGCCTGGCAGAGACACAACAAAAAAAGAGAATTTTAGACCAATATCCTTGATGAACATTGATGCAAAAATCCTCAATAAAATACTGGCAAACCAAATCCAGCAGCACATCAAAAAGCTTTTCCACCATGATCAAGTGGGCTTCATCCCTGGGATGAAAGGCTAGTTCAACATACACAAATCAATAAATGTAATCCAGCATATAAACAGAACCAAAGACAAAAACCACATGATTATCTCAATAGATGCAGAAAAGGCCTTTGACAAAATTCAACAACCCTTCATGCTAAAAACTCTCAATAAATTAGATATTGATGGGACGTATCTCAAAATAATAAGAGCTATCTATGACAAACCCACAGCCAATATCATACTGAATGGACAAAAACTGGAAGCATTCCCTTTGAAAACTGGCACAAGACAGGGATGCCCTCTCTCACCACTCCTATTCAACATAGTGTTGGAAATTCTGGCCAGTGCAATCAGGCAGGAGAAGGAAATAAAGGGTATTCAATTAGGAAAAGAGGAAGTCAAATTGTCCCTGTTTGCAGATGACATGATTGTATATCTAGAAAACCCTATTGTCTCAGCCCAAAATCTCCTTAAGCTGATAAGCAACTTCAGCAAAGTCTCAGGATACAAAATCAATGCACAAAAATCACAAGCATTCTTATACACCAATAACAGACAAACAGAGAGCCAAATCATGAGTGAACTACCATTCACAATTGCTTCAAAGAGAATAAAATACCTAGGAATCCAACTTACAAGGGATGTGAAAGACCTCTTCAAGGAGAACTACAAACCACTGCTCAATGAAATAAAAGAGGATATAAACAAATGGAAGGGCATTCCATGCTCATGGGTAGGAAGAATCAATATCGTGAAAATGGCCATACTGCCCAAGGTAATTTATAGATTCAATGCCATCCCCATCAAGCTACCAATGACTTTCTTCACAGAATTGGAAAAAACTACTTTAAAGTTCATATGGAACCAAAAAAGAGCCTGCATCACCAAGTCAATCCTAAGCCAAAAGAACAAAGCTGGAGGCATCATGCTACCTGACTTCAAACTATACTACAAGGCTACAGTAACCAAAACAGCATGGTACTGGTACCAAAACAGAGATATAGATTAATGGAACAGAACAGAGCCCTCAGAAATAATGCCGCATATCTACAACCATCTGATCTTTGACAAACCTGACAAAAACAAGCAATGGGGAAAGGATTTCCTATTTAATAAATGGTGCTGGGAAAACTGGCTAGCCATGTGTAGAAAGCTGAAACTGGATCCCTTCCTTACACCTTATACAAAAATTAATTCAAGATGGATTAAAGACTTACATGTTAGACCTAAAACCATAAAAACCCTAGAAGAAAACCTAGGCAATACCATTCAGGACATAGGCATGGGCAAGGACTTCATGTCTAAAACACCAAAAGCAATGGCAACAAAAGCCAAAACTGACAAATGGGATCTAATTAAACTAAAGAGCTTCTGCACAGCAAAAGAAACTACCATCAGAGTCAACAGGCAACCTACAAAATGGGAAAAAATTTTCGCAACCTACTCATCTGACAAAGGGCTAATATCCAGAATCTACAAAGAACTCAAACAAATTTACAAGAAAAAAAACAAACAACCCCATCAAAAAGTGGGCAAAGGATATGAACAGACACTTCTCAAAAGAAGACATTTATGCAGCCAAAAAACACATGAAAAAATGCTCATCATCACTGGCCATCAGAGAAATGCAAATCAAAACCACAATGAGATACCATCTCACACCAGTTAGAATGGCAATCATTAAAAAGTCAGGAAACAACAGGTGCTGGAGAGGATGTGGAGAAATAGGAACACTTTTACACTGTTGGTGGGACTGTAAACTAGTTCAACCATTGTGGAAGTCAGTGTGGTGATTCCTCAGGGATCTAGAACTAGAAATACCATTTGACCCAGCCATCCCATTGCTGGGTATATACCCAAAGGATTGTAAATCATGCTGCTGTAAAGGCACACACACATATATATTGTGGCACTATTCACAATAGCAAAGACTTGGAACCAACCCAAATGTCCAACAATGATAGACTAGGTTAAGAAAATGTGGCACATATACACCATGGAATACTATGCAGCCATAAAAAATGATGAGTTCATGTCCTTTGTAGGGACATGGATGAAACTGGAAACCATCATTCTCAGCAAACTATTGCAAGAACAAAAAACCAAACACCACATGTTCTCACTCATAGGTGGGAATTGAACAATGAGAACACATGGACACAGGAAGGGGAACATCACACAGTGGGGACTGTTGTGGGGTGGGGGGAGCGGGGAGGGATAGCATTAGGAGATATATGTAATGCTAAATGACGAGTTAATGGGTGCAGCACACCAACATGGCACATGTATACATATGTAACAAACCTGCACATTGTGCACATGTACCCTAAAACTTAAAGTATAATAATAATAAAATTAAAAAAGAAAGAAAGGAGGCCAGGCTCACACCTGTAACCCCAGCTTCTTGGGAGGCGGGAGGATGGCTCCAGGCCAAAAGTTTGAGAACACCTGGGCAACATAGTGAGACTGCCTCCACACACAAAAATTTTAAAAATTAGCTGTCCAGGACTTCGAGGCTGATTGCACCAATGCACTCCAGCCTGGGCAACAGAGCAAGACCCTGTCTCTTTAAAATAATAATAATAATAATAATAATATAAAAATAAATAATAAATTTTTAAAAAGAAATGCTCCTTCATAATAAGGTGGACACACCCCAGAGGTCTCTTTCTAAATTGACCCCATTTTAGTACAAGTTAATTCAACACCCTTAAAATGTTGTAGACTTCCCATTAATCTAGTTGGGGCTCATTCCATTCCCCCCAAAACTACATCCATATCTTCCTTCTTTTTTCTTTTTCTTGCCCTGTCCCCCAGGCTGCAGTGCAGTGGTGCAATCTCAGCTCACTGCAACCTCCGCCTCCCAGGTTCAAGCGATTCTCCTGCCTCAGCCTCCAGAGTAGCTGGGACTACAGGCACATGCCACCACACCAGGCTAGTTTTTGTATTTTTAGTAGAGACAGGTTTTACCATGTTGGCCAGGATGGTCTCAATCTCCTAACCTCGTGATCCACCTGCCTTGGCCTCCCAAAGTGCTGGGATTACAGGCGTGAGCCACCACGCCCGACCCTTAATTTTTTTCAAACCAGATCTTTCTTTACTTTGAAAGTGTCAGGCTGCTGTGGCACAAAGCCCTGAAGAGTTTACAATATATTTTGTCTAATTAAAAAGATATACTAAGTACCACCTTATATCTTTCTGAGGTTTTTTTTGTTTTTGCTTTTGTTTTTGTTTGAGACAGAGTCTCACGGTGTCACCCAGGCTGAAATGCAGTGGCACAGTCTTGGTTTATTGCAACCTCTGCCTTCTGAGCTCTGGTGATCCTCCCACCTCAGCCTCCCAAGTAGCTGGGACTACAGGCGCATGCCACCAAGCCTAGCTAAGTTTTCTATTTTTAGTAGAGACAGAGTTTCGCCAGTTGCCCAGGTTGGTCTCAAACTCCTGGGCTCAAGTTATCTTCAAGCCTTGGCCTCCCCAAGTGCTGGGATTATAGGCGTGAGCCACTACACCCAGCCCTGAGGTCTTAATAAAGAGTCTTCCAGTCCTGATTTGATCTCTACCCGAGGCTATTTCTTATTTTGAGGATCTTTTGCCTGCTAGATACTGGGAATGAAAAATAGTTTTATTTTCCAACCCAAAAAAGTTCTGGGCACCCTATATTTCCTCTAATTTCTGCTATAAGTTCATTTCTCTCTTCCCATATCTTATATAAAGCTATACGAAGCCAGCTGACAATTTCAATATTTTCGCCTGGAAATCTCCTTAGCCAAATCTATAAGATCATTAGGTATATCTTCTATTTTTCAAGTTCTTACAGTTCACATTTTTAAAAAATGTTTAAGTACCATAAAACACAGATCATCGTAATTCCAGTCCGCAGTAACAGATACTTTACTATCTTTCTGTTTTCTATTAACAGTTGTTTGCCATTTGTCCAGCGTCTGCCAACACTCCCCTCACCACATTACCAGCCCCAAACTGCCACCCAGTCCCCAAATCAATGCTACATATTTTAGGTTTTTGTTATAGTATCACTTCACTAATAGTACCAATTTTTGTTTCAGTTATCTCTTGCTTCATAACAAACCACTCCAAAACTATATGTCTAAAAAGAACAACCAAAATGTATCTGCTTGTGATCCTGCAATTTTGGCTTCCCTCAGCTGGAAAGTTCAAGATGGCTTCATTGACATGTCAGGCACTCAACTGGGGCTGGAAGGCCAGGATGCTTCATTTATTCTCCAAAATCTCCGTCATCAGGATAGCCTGAGTTTTTACATGTACCCAGCTCACAAGTACTGACCAAGCTCCTACTTGAGCAGTATTTGCTTATATCCTACTGACCAAAACAAGTCACATGGTCAGAGTCATTGTGGGAGGAAACTACACAAATCAATGAGGGAGGCCTGATTCACTATGGAATCATTACCATAAAAATCTACACATATCTCATACTAAATGAATGGGCCATCCATTCAGCTGACAATCTTGTGACTGTGCTTTCTGTTGATCATTTTAAAAGCTACAGAAATAAAAGATAGTTTATATTTTAAAAAGAAAGAAAAAAATTCACTGACAAAAAAATAAAAATTTTAAAGATAACTAAATAGTCTTAAAAGCAAATGACAAGCTAAAAAGTATAAAACAGGCATTTTAAAAAATAAAATTAAAAAAGTTTACGAAGAAATAAAAATAAAGTTCATAAAATAGAAAAATGTTTAATTAAAACTTAAAAATTAAAAAAAGAACATAATTATAAAATGATATACCCATTGGTATAATATTGTTGTGGTCTTTCTACTCCTTAGCTCAGGTAGGTCCGAGTTCTTGTCGCACAACCAGGAAGAATTAGGCATGCAGACACCAGAGAGTCAGTAAAGTAGAATTTAACAGGCGAAAAAGGAAAGCTTTCAGCCAAGAGAGGGCACAGAGGGTGGGAGGGGTATGGTTCCCCTATCTGAAGGCAGGGAAGTCCCCAGTGTGGCTGGGTCCAGGGCCTTTTATATACTCAGAATGGGGAGAGTGTGTTGATTGGTTTGTGAGTATGCAAAAAATGTTAAAGCAAAGACACCACTCAAAGGTGGGCACGACAGAGTAGAAAACCAATTAGGAAAGGGTAGGTATATGTGAAATAGGTGAATGGTGGGGATCTATCAGAGGAAATCATGCCAAATAGGCAAGTTCTCAATCCAGTCTGAGGATGTAACTTGTAGCTTGGCTTTCAGGCTTTAAACTGTCTTGGGCTTGGAAGGGGGGTTTCACTGGGGACCCACCCTATCTGCCTAGGCATTTGGCTGCTTCCTGCCACTCTCAATATTAGAAACAATAAGCTAAAATTAGCACAAATATATGATAAATAATTTAACAGACAAAGAGATGGGAAATAAAACAAATTTTTTAAAAGTTATAAGACTAAGAATTCAAAAGTTTAGTAAACAAAGGCAATCAGGATTTTCCAAGCAAAAGCAATTACCATGTCTAGCAAATCCCCCAACAATTTGCCCTCACCCAAGACATGGAGCTCTCCTTAAGAAAATGGTTCTCAAACTTTAGTATTTACAGAGTTTGTTAATGCAGATTCCAAGGTCCTCACAAAACGATTCTAATTTCATAGGTCTGAAATGGGGCTCATTAATCTTCATTAATAAGTACCCCAGATTATGTAATAAAAAAGGCCCAAGGACCACAGCAGCTACAAAAGGGTTTTCTCAAACAAGGGACAGACTATGGGGCTCCTTATCCTTCGTGTTGCACTTATTGCTTGAAGTGCTTATGACAAGCCCACATTTAAAATTTCAGAATCAAAAGTTAACATGCTCCACTCCCTTAGTTATAGCTCAATTTGAGCTGTCTCACCCTTGTAAGCTTCCCTCCAGCAATAAAGCAGCATTTTGCAAACTACAGGTCACAACCAATGAGTGAGTCAGAATCATCAATTTAATAGGTTATGACCAGAACAGAAAATATCAGAGGGCATTGCACATAATGATAGTAATTACAATTTAAGTATTGTTACATGAAACTTTTGTTCCAGTTGCATGTATGTGTGTATAGTGCAAAATATATTACTTAATATGAGTCATGAGCAAAAAGGTTTGAAAATCTCTGCCATAAAGAATATGATGAATTTGTCAAGAAGCTAAAAACTTTTTAGGAGAATAGTTCACCAGAAACACCCTCAAAGTCTAAGAAAAAAAAAATTTTAATGATCATAATTTCATTTTATCATATTTCTGTAGGGTTTAATTATTCAGGCATATCAATGCTTCAAAGAAGAAATTTCATATGCATTTATTCCAGCATCCCTCTGAACTAGCAGGTGAGAGGATTATGGTCCCCTTTCTTTTAGAAACTTACAGAGTAGAGTTATTATTAACCCATGAAATTAATAATTAGAGGGCAGTACAAAAGGATTTATAATCATGAGTTAAACTTACAATGCTGTAGGATTTCTAATAAGTGAATGACAGAATTAAAGAAAGTTACATGAAGAAAATAGAGCTTGAGTTTAGACTTAAAGGGAACTTCAGAAAAAGCAGAGGAGAAAAGGTATAATAATGAGTCGTGTTATACAGTCAGAATAGGCTAAATGCTTGTAAAAAGAATTTCAAAAGCTCAGTGGTATAACACAATAGTGAGTGGACTGACTCCACACAATCATTCAGAAACCCAGTTTTTTCGAGCTTGTACATCTACCATCCCCTGCGGCATCGTGTCCTCAACTGGATCCTCTGCTGTATTGTATTATATACATACATATACATAAATATAGATATAGATATTGATACAGATATCAAAATCAGTATAGATATCCTGTATATTATGATGTTTTGACACGTTAAAAAAAACATTCCTAGCTGGGGAGACACTGCCTCTGCCAGACCTAGCCAATTCTTCCAGCTAGCAAGAGCTCAACCAGAAGCATGCCTTTCATATACAAACTAACCAATCCAGAACCATACCTCCTCCAGCCAGCATAACCCTGGAGACAATTTCCTCTGCCTTCATCTTCCCAAGGCCAGGTACCAGGCAACCAGGGACCACCCCTACAGCTTAGAATCTGCCAAAATTATTCAAACTAGCCAGTCCTAAACTGTTCATTCTGCCCTGCCTTGCCTTGCCTTGCCTGCACAGAAACCCCAAAAAGGCTTTGGCCTAGCTGCTATTGTCATCTGCTTCCTGACCACTCTGGTGTCTTTCCCATGTGGCCCCACATACCGTGCTTTACCTTCCTGTCTCTAGGACCTGTAAGTCTAATAAACTTTGTTTTCCTGAGCCTCTCCTCTGTCTGCTCTAGTGGCCATACCTAACTAACCAACTCATAAAAGAATACAAAACATCTGCCTTCAGCCAGCAGACAGAGGAGAGAGCATGGAGGATCACAAAGATTTTTCATGGGCCAGGCCTAAAAATGGCACTTCACTTCCTCCCATTTTCCACTGGCCAGACCTCAGTAACCTCTGATATCAGGAAAGATTAAAAAACAGGACAAGAAATCATCCATTCATCATTAGTCATCCCTCTTACAACTAAAACACCCTGAACATAACACCACACACAAAAATATAGGAGGATCTGCAAGGTGGAAAGAAGATAAACTAGAGGCTAGGAACCACAGGACTTGAGAAATGACACCATCGCTCCCCTGGACTTTCTTTT
Organism: Homo sapiens; assembly: GCF_000001405.40. Classification (NCBI taxonomy): domain Eukaryota; kingdom Metazoa; phylum Chordata; class Mammalia; order Primates; family Hominidae; genus Homo; species Homo sapiens. Next base: position 111,511,285 of record NC_000007.14, read on the forward strand.
TGCTTCTCATATATCCTAGATCAGGCACTAGGGAATCCTGCAACCTGTAGCTACCAACAGGCCAAGCAAAAAAAAGGGCCTGAAGACGTGGTGGCCAACACCTGTAATCCAGCACTTTGGGAGGCTGAAACGGGCAGATCGCTTGAGCTCAGGAGTTTGAGACCAGCCTGGGCAACATGGTGAAACCCCATCTCTACCAAAAATACCAAATAAAATTAGCCAGGCATGGTGGTGCAAGCCTGTAATCCCAGCTACTCAGGGGGCTGAGGCACAAGAATGTCTTGAGCCCAGGAAGCAGAGGTTGCAGTGAGCGGAGATCGCGCCACTGCACTCCAGCCTGGGCAACAGAGTCTCCCTCTGTTGAACAAAAAAAAAAAAAAAGGCCTTAAGAAAAGCCTACTCTCTCTAGCCAAAGGACCAGGAAAAGGAAGACCTAGCAGAACAGAAACATTTTTGCTAATAACCATCCTAATCCAGTCAAACATCAAAGGAAAAACTACCCCACCCCATCCCCCAACACCATGGTGTCAGCAGGGCCCAGCAAGGAGCTGGACTTCTAACCCCACTCAGCAATTAGGAGATGGGGCAAGTAGGCCCTTCACTTCCCCGTATCAGGTGTCAAAGAGGTGGAATGAGAGTGCAAGTGGTGCCAGTTAGCAGCCCACTTTCCCCACCCCAGTTAGTTGAGCAATTTCTTTAGAAGTTAAACATAAATGTACCATGCCACTCAGCAACCCCACTATTACGTATCTGCCCAAGAGAAATGAAATCATGTATATACACGTAACTGTACACAAATATCTATAGCAGCATTACTCACGATAATGAAAACATCAAAACCCAAACATTTATCATCTGGTGAGTGGAGAAACAAAATGTGGTATATTCATACAGAGAATACTTTTTGCAATAAACAGACACAAAATGCTAATACATAGTACAACATGGCTAAACCTCAAAAAAATCTAGTAAGTAAAAGAGCCAGTCAGGAAAAACCACATTAGTATGGTTCTATTTACAGGAAAGGTTCAGAAAAGGCAAATCTATAAATCAGATCAGCAGTTGCCTAAGGAAAGAGATGGGAGTGAGGATTAACTTCAAACAAGCATAAGGTTCCTTTCTCAGGTGATGAAAATATTTTAAAACCGGGTTATGGTAATGATTGCATGACTCCATAAGTTTACTTTTAATACTATTTATTGATATTTTATTATATAAAACATAATTTTTAATAAAAAATTCAAGTCATCCCAAAGCGTTCTACAGATTCAATTGCACTATCTTTAAAACTCTGATGTCATTTTTCGCAGAAATACACAACACAATCCTAAATTCATATGGAACCACAAAAGACCCTGAATAGCCAAACAATCTTAAGCAAGAAGAACAAAGCTGGAGGCATCACACTACTTAACTCAAATGCAAAATTATAGTAATCAAAACAGTATGGTACTAGCATAAAAACAGACATATAGACCAATGTAATAGAATAGAGAATCCAGAAATAAATGTACACATTTATGAAAAATCAATTTTCAACAAAGATGCCAAGAACATACAATGAGGAAAGAATAGGTTCTTCAATAAATGGTGCTTGGAAAACTGAATATCCACATGAAGAAGAATAAAATCAGACCCTTATCTCACACCATATACAAAAATCAACTCTCAATGGATTTTTAAAGATGATGCCTGAAACTGTAAAACTACCTGAAACTGTAAAACTACTAGAAGAAAACATAGGGAGAAAAGCTCCATGACACTGATCTGAGCAATGATTTGTTAGATACGACCCCAAAAGCACAAGCAACAAAGCAAAAATAGACAGCTGAGCTCCTATCAAACTGAAAAGTTTCTGAAGAGAGAAGGAAACAATCAACATGGTAAAGAGACAATCTATGGAATGGAAGAAAATATTTGCAAACCATATATCTAATAAGGGGTTAATGTATAAAATATAAGGTACACAAACAACTCTATAGCAAGAAAACAACTTGATTTTAAAATAGGAAAAAGACCTGTATAGAGAATTCTCAAGACATACAAATGGCCCAGAAGCATATAAAAAATATTCAATATCACTAATTATCAGGGAAATGGAAATTAAATTAAATGTGCAATGAGATGTCACCTCATACCTGTTAGGAAGGCTATTATCAGAAATTCAAGAGATAAATGTTGGTGAGAATATGCAGAAAAGAGAACCCTTGTGCTCTATTGGTAGGAATGTAAATTAGTTCAACCATTATGAAAAATAGGGATATATCTCAAAGAATTGAAAACAGAACTACCAGATGATCTACCACTCTCACTTCTGGATATGTATCCAAAGGAAATGAAATCAGTAAGTCAAAGAAATATCTTCACTCCCATTTCATTGCAGAATTATTCAAAACAGCCAAGATATGGAAGTAACCTAAATGCTCATAAATGGATGAAGGGATAAAGAAAGTGTAGTCAGTGTGGGTGTGGGTTTCTGTATATATATGAGTGCGTGTGGATATTCTTCTGCAGGTGTATATATACACACACACAGTGGTATATATACTATGAAATATTATTCAGCTTTTAAAAAGAAGGAAATCTTGTTATTTGTGACAGTGTGGATGAACCTAGAGAACATTATGTTAAATGAAATAAGCCAGGCACAGAAAGACAAATACTGCATGATCTCACTTATATGGGTAATCAAAAAAAGCTGGACTCACAGAAGCAGAGAGTAGAATAGTGGTTGCAAAGAGCTGAGAAGTAGGGAAAATGAGAAGATGTTGGTCACAGTATACAAAGTTTCAGTTATGTAGGATTAATAATTTCTGGAAGTCTAATGTACAGCAAGGTGACTATAGCTAATAATACTGTATTATACACTCGAATTTTACTAAGAGAGTAGATCTTAAATGTTCTCACCACCAAAAAGAAGGTAACTATATGAAGTAAAGGGTATGTTAATTAGTTTGTGGTAATCATTTCATAATGTCTACACATATCAAAATATCATGTATACTGTTCTCACTCACAGGTGGGAACTGAACAATGAGAACACTTGGACACAGAATGGGCAACATCGCACACCGGGGCCTGTGGTGGGGTTGGGGGATGGGGGAGGGATAGCATTAGGAGATATACCTAATGTAAATGACGAGTTAATGGGTGTGGCACACCAACATGGCACATGTATACATATGTAACAAACCTGCACATTGTGCACATGTACCCTAAAACTTAAAGTATAATAAAAATATATATATATCATGTATACTTTAAATATATGTAATTGTTGCCAGTTTACCTCAGTAAAGCTGGAAAACATCATTACATCACTTACAATGGGTAAATTCAATGGTATATAAATTATACCTCAATAAAAATGTGTTTTAAAAAGTAGATGGACTGGCATAATGAACCACCATGTAATCCATCACCTAGAGCCAACAATTATGGATTCATAGCCAATCTTGTTTCATCTGTAACCCTTCTACTTTTATTCTTGCCATATTATTTTAAAGTACATCTCAGCTATTATGCATTTCACTGCAAATTTTATAATATTCATACTATGAGGATAAGGGTTTTTTTTAACATAACAGCAGTAAATACCATTATCACCCCAAAAAACAATGTATCAAAGCACAAGTGATATAAGTAGTGCTTTGCTTGACCATTTTAGATAATCTCTTGTTGCTTTCTGCTATTTTCATTCTCCTCTCTTTCTTTCAACTACATTTAGTATCTGATAGCTCCAATTTCTAAAGCCTTTAAAGTCTAGTTCGGCTAATGGTTGCTTCTGACTCTCACTTACAGAGCTCATTTTCTCATGCAATATTTTTACTGGGATATAATGTTCATCAAACTTTATCTTTGGGATTCTATAAGGCCTGGTTGCAAGCTGCATGTGCCCAGGGAATTTGGTGCCTGAGGCTGCTCTAAACCCAGGCCACTGTAAATTAATATCTCAGTTTAGGGTTTTTCAGGTGCAGTGAATGTGAATTCAAACCTCAATTCCACATCAGGGCTTTCTCTCTCAGAGCCTAGACAATTTTTCTTACAGAACAGATTTTTGCTTTAGTCTACCCATTTCCTAAAGATGTGTCTCTTCTATGGTCCTGACTTTATTAAGAATTTCTGTTCCAATTTCCTGCCTTCTATGAGCCTATGGCCTTGTCTTCTGATCCCCATGTGGCCATTGAAACCAAAAGCTCTAAATGACCAGGAATTGACAAATATCCATGTGACAGCTACTGACTTTAATGTATACTTACTGCCCTGGAAATGTATTCCCCCTTATTGTGGTCTCTGAGAATTTCCCTTGCTTCCCTGCAAGTTAGTTACACATTTTTAAAGTTTTTAATGTTTTGTTTTTAATTTTTTAAGAGTTTTGCACTGGGAATATTTCAAGATGTTTCATCTGCTATATTTCCAGATAGTCTAATCCCTTCTTATAAACTTTAAAATCTTTAGACTTTTTATAAGAGAAACGTATCTTCCATCAACCTGAGCGGCACAGTTTAAAATCTTTTTCCCCCATTATAACATAAAGCTTAATTTCTATATTTAAGTCCTAAATGTACTACAGAATCATACCAAAATTAAATAACTTACTAAGTACATCATTCCATAAACCAAAATAAAATGGAATAAAACATCACTGTGAGAAGGAATAGTATAAACAGGCACCAAAACAGTGACAAGGCACAACTTTTATTAGTTATTATTTAGTGAAATGGACAGCACTGTCAGAGTTGGTTCAAGCCAGAGTTCCAAAATTCAATGATTGTCTGAGCTTACGTAAAGTACCTCAACTGTCTGAGCCTCAGTTGTTTCAAATGTAAAATTTAGAACTTGAGTCATTTCTTAATGTATTTAAAGCTCTATACTACTATGAATAAAGTGTTAAATTTTAAAATCAGCTGAAGAAAAGCATTAATATACCAATCAGCAAGCATCGTGACTCAGGAAGAATGTACAAGAGTATCAAGAATTAAAGGGGCATGATGTATGCAACCTACTTTCAGATGGTTTAATAAGATTTTTTGAGGGTATATATTCATACACGCATAAATACAGAGGGAGAGGAAGAGGAGGGGGAGGAGGAGGAAGAGAGAGAGAAGAGGGAGGGAAAAAAGATAATAAAATAAATATACTAAAATATTGAAACTGGTGTATCTGGGTAGAGAAGCCATAGGAGTTCTACGCACTACTCTTGCAACTTTTGTGTAAATCTAAATTTACAACAAGTTTTTAAAAAGTGTAATAAAGTTGGTATTTAAATAACAGATATAACCCTGGCTATATAAAACAGAAACACATAGTTATTCTATCATGGGAAGTGAAGAAAAATCCACAAAGGGACATTACAAATTTATCACTCACCAACTGTTTCAGGAACACACGTTTGTTGCTATAAATACAAAGTCTCTATTAATGACAGGTTACAGAACTATGTAAAAACTCATAACTCATCCTAAGGGGTAAAACATCAGGTGAGATTTCTGAGCCAAAAGTAATTTGGGCAGAAAGCACGCAAGTAAGCCAATAAAGCATTCCAACATTAAATCCTGACTTCCTTTGACGTCAGCCCCAGCAGACCAAGGTGAGTGACGACACAGAGAAGTCAGCACAGGAGGAAATGTGTGCCAGCTTGTGCCCAGTATCTTGGAAGTGCAAATTTACCAGGTAACATAAAACTCCATAACTCTATCTTAAATGCTGGTATATAAATCACAATGTATCTCTTTTCTTAAGAGTCTGTATCCAGCTTCTCAGAGTTCAAAATAAGTTACAAGCAATAATGACTGTTGAGTATTATTAAGCTGACTGTAGGTTAAAATTTTTTAAAAAAAACATAGATTGAAAGAGAGCTTGCTTTTTGATGATACTTTTAATTTCAAACTCAGCAGGAAACAAGATAATCACAGGTAGCTGAAAGTCAAGACAATTTAAAACCCATAAATGTATGTTATTGATGAACAAAGACCTCAATGCTAATTAAACTGCATTTTCCTTCATATTCTGTAATTTCCTAATATATTCTGCATACATTATCTCTAAGGTCTGACCTAGAGATACAGTATTGTGTAGCAGTGTTTTCAAGTATTTTTGCCCTCTGGCCATGCAAATGAAAAAAGGAAAATGGTACACTATGTAAAAATTATGTATCAATTGCAAAAAAAAAAAAAGATAATGACACAAAATTATTTATTTTACTTACTTTTTAAAGTCTTAAATCTTAGTTTTAAATGTGGAAAGCATATACCTTTTATCAGGACCAGTGACCCCACTGCAGGAATTCTCACTCAAATAAAATCTAAAACTTTGGCATGAGGTCATTAAACTATTCCTAGGGCACCCTTTTACGCTAAAAGCCTCTGTAAGCGATTAAAGTTCTAATTTGAATAATTACATTCCACCTACATAAATTCCCTCTGTAGTTTCAACTGTATGCAATATCAGTCTTCATTTCCTGAATTAAATTAATGTCGTGTAATGTGGTGCTTCTTTTTTAAAAAAAGAAGTACATCTACTTTCATAGGTAACCTTTCAGCAACCAGTAAAAGTGATTCATGTGCATGAGGGGAATAGGTCAGTATGAATAATCATTAACCAACAATTTGTGCCAGCATTTATTGTGTCGAGCATTGCAAAAGGGACAACTCATATAATGAAATGAATGCAGCTATACGGCTTTATAAAAATCAAATATTTTATAAACTAAATCCTATTTTCCATTGAATTTACCAATGCATCATTAGAAACTTTATTTTTTATTTATGGCTTGCCTTTAATTAGCTGATACTTCCCATGTTTGATCACCCTTATCTTTCTAGTCAAATACTTAATGAATTGCAAATTAATACTGAAAATCCTAACTTAAAAAAAGAACCACTGAGTAGTGTTTAAAAAGTAAATAAGTATTTCTCATAGAGGGAATCTTAAAAACATGCTTCCCCTAATCACAAACCAACAGAATTTTTGAAAGACCGAAAAACAATTCTTACAGCAAAATTTGTTACTCAAAGTGAATTTCCAGTGTAACCAAAACAGTATTTATTCAATAAACCCAAAAGACTAGTATTACACCTCCCTTTAATGAGATTTAATCTTTCGATCCTTGGATATTTCTTAAATAATGTGTCTACCAGTTGCTGAGTGACCTTCAAGAGTGGCTTTTCCCAGAGTAAAGAAAAACAGCTGTGTTCCTTGCAGGATGCTCAGTGACTTCCAGAGATCTCCACACCATGCCAACTATTTCAGTCCTTGAGTCATTAGAGAAATTTAAAGAGAAGAATTTATCCCAATTGTCAAAAATTCTGTTGAACCCCATGACATAAACGTGTTTAGTTGATCAAAGCTGTATAGTAGCAAAGATGTCTTCAAATATGTTGAATTAGTTAATCCCTAAATCTCATTATTATAATTTCTGCTCTTAAAGAATTTAAAGTATGATTTACTGGCATCTAGTGAAACTGTAAATTAAATTATCTATTATACCTAGAGTTGGTCTCAAATTCATGAAATATAGATCCAATTGTAAAAACATATTTTCCTTTCTTCCTAGAATTCCATTCTACTTTGATTCTGAAAATAGCATCCTCTTTCCTCTAGGAAATGTCACCTGTACTCCAATCCCCAATTCCCACAGAACAATGTGATTCAAAGAGATGCTGTCATTTTCTTACAGATCACTTGGCCTAGCCACAGGCTTGGGGTGTGTACTTGTTCAAAGCTGGACCAATCACGGTACCCCATTCTGGTGGCCAAAGTTGATCTGTATAGTTGTATAGATAAGGGCATGTGACCCAAGCTGAATACATCACAGTCCTTCCCCAAGATATTCCACACTGAAATCAAGGCAGTAGGAGCAATCTCTCTCAGGCGGTGAAGAAACTGGGCATGCGAGCTGCCAGCAGCCATGTACCCTGCTATGCAGAGAAAACTGGTCTGAGAGAACTAAGCCAAGATGCAGAGAAGAACTTAAAAAAGACGGAGCACTCCAGCGGCATCCAAGTCCTGGCTCTAGTTGTCCCTGACAACTGTCTCACTCGTGCCTTCCTTGTGTGTATATAATAAGCCTTCCAATAAATCCCCTTTATACCAAGCTATTTTCCTATTACCAGTAGCCAAGGAAACTATACAATATACCAAACAAATTCTAACATAATACATTTGACTTCTTAGGGATAGGGCCTAGGAATACTGCAAGAAATCCTAATACCTCTGCAAATTCAAATATATCTAATGCAAACCTGGGTTTAATCCATGAACCGACATTTAGAAATAACATGATTTAACACTTTCTTCACTGCCTTCTTCACTGGGGATAAGCCTTGTCCTTTCATAAGGCAGTCAAGGTCTTGTGAGCAAGACCTGTATCTTATATTTTGCAATGAATTGCTCTCTCAGCACAAGCCATGAACATAGATGTTCAGTAGGAATATATTAGGCTAAAAATATGAAGATTGGGATATTATGATTGCCACATGATCCTCTGGAATATCATCAGATCCAAAGTAAGGAGATTTTGTGTTCTGGAAAAGTCCTTCTTAGAATAGTGATAGCTGTATAGCAAGACAGCAGTAACAAAATTGGGGGAAAAAAAATCATTCTTAAACTGATTATTTGTTACCAAAAGATACATGCTTGTGAATGGATTCAAAGGGATCCTTGGGACCAAAAAGGAATGTGGGTGGCTGTGAAGAAGGCAGTTTTAATCTGAAATGAAGAATCTGACTCCAAAGCTCAGCAAAGAAAGTCTACGTTTCCCTAAGGATTGAGTCTAAGACAAGGCTGCTAGGAATTCAAGATTAAAGAGGCAACGAATGTAAAATACATTCTATCTTAAACATATTAAAGTGTATTTAAAGCCATATGCCTATAAATCTTTCTTTCTATGTTTACTGTACCCCTACATTAAGATATTTTGGCATTCAAAGTAAGTGACCAGTTTGCTTTGGGCTGGTGATCCACTATGGAGAGAACCTGAAAGACACGGTTGAGAGCAGAATCTTCTGCCCAAGAAAAGGCCCTAACCATGCTCAAATGATGGAAGTAGAATATAAAGGCAGTCCTGTTTTAAAAATGTAGCTTTTCCCAAAGAAGCTAAAGGATTTCCTGACCTTCTGTATCTGACTACCAGAACTCAGGGAGAAGTTCAATACCATAATTATAATAAATAAAGCAAACTAATTCTAACTCCTTAAAGCTGATAACTATGCCCTTAACTAGTTCTAACTGAAACAAAAAGAAAAAAAATTAAGCTGGTTATTCTCTGTATAATTTTGATTTTTTAGAAGCTTATATATTCATTTTAGTTATTTGTTTTATACAACTATTTACCACAACGCATGAACTTAATACATATTGATAATACAGGAAACCAAATCCTATAACAAAATGCAAATTCTGCCTAACTGCTTAAACTTACTAAAAAAGCTAGGTTCTAGACATCAACTTTAGGACAACATAATTTTCTCTAAGTTATTCCAGAAGACTATTTGCATAAAACTTTTGGAAATCTCCACTCCAAAGTTCTTCCACTGTAAACTGCACTTAATCTTTTCAATTAGCAACATGCTTAAAGAACACAATACAATATCTGGGATCAATGGTCTAGACATTTCTACAAACTGAAATCATATACCTATATAACAAGAGAGCAACTGATTGTGACTCAAACCCATCTTGCAACTACACTAATAATTTGGCATTAAAAGGATATTCTAATAGAGCCATATTCACAGAAAACAGTGTCATTTAGTATAATTTCTTAAGAATCTCCATTTAAAATTCTCAGAAAAATTTAAACTACAGACCCAGAGAACTGATAGTTACTTTTATTAACCTCTCCTCTGATTATAATACGACTGTATTAGAAGACCTTAAGAACAAATTCAGTAAAGTAAAATTTCATTTCAATGCCTTTTTATAACCTTTCAGTTCCCAGAATAGGAATAATAATTAGCACTCTCATTTCTAGTGCTTGAAAAACAATGAAGTATGTGCTTTAAAGAACGAAGTTATATCATTTTCACCTGCATCGATGCTCCTTCTACTCTTGCCACACAGGCGACCCGATCCAAGAAAGTCACTGCCACAGGCACCGCCACAAAGAAGCCTTTACAAAAGGCCTTGATGTATCTTTTCACCCACCCTTGTGACTGTGCCATACCTAAAAATACAAAGAAAACAACTATGAAATTAGTCTCAAGAAAGGTGAAAAACAAAGACATAAAAACAGTACATGAAAAGTAAGAGTTACCGAAGGGCAATCTTGTCTCTTAATATATTACACACTCATTCCTGTAACCATTAGAATAAATCTGACTTACTTAAAGTCCTAAAGTGAAATACGTGAACTCAGGTTAATGCTTTTCCACAACTCAAGTCCACTTGCTAACTTCAGTGGGAAATTTCTCCCCACAAAACAGTAAGTTAGAAAAAAACAAGCATTCCAGAAGTAAATTCTTTTCTGTTGCTATTATGATGAAGTTACTCCTTATACCCCTGATATCTGTTCTCTTCTACAGTAATAAAAGTTTCAGTGGAACATGTGGCTGCCCAACTAAAGACTGTTTTCCAGCCTCCCTTGCAGCTAATTGTGACCATGTCACTGGATTTGATCAACAGCATGAGTAGAAAGGATATAATTCTTGGTTGCACCCTGAAAAGGAGGATGCCCTCCCTTTTCTTCCCCATTTTATAACTGTAATACTAACAATTTGGTGGTAGGAGCAGGGGTGGCCATCTCAAACTATGAGATAAAAGCTTCAAGTAAAGATGACAAAGCAACAAAATGGAACGATCCTAGGTCCGCAACACCATGGAGGCACCATACTGTCCTGCATTGCTTACATTTGGACTGTTAAATCACAGATAAATCACTTGCGCTGTTTGTGGTGGCAGTGTTGGTGTTGTTGTTGTCGTTGTTGTTTTTAGACAGGGTCTCACTCTGTCACCCAAGCTGGAGTCTTGGCAAGACTTTTTTGGATAAGACTTCAAAAGCACAGTCAATCATAGCAAAAACAGACAATGGAGATTACATCAAGCTAAAAAGTTTCTGTGCAGCAAACAATCAACGTAATGAAGAGACAACCTACAGAATGGAAGAAAATATAAGGAAACTATACTTCTGACAAGAGGCTAATATCCAAAAACGCATAAGGAACTCCAACAATTCAATAGCAAAAAGACAACCCAATTAAAAAATGCCCAAGAGCTTAACAATAATTTCTCAAAAGAAGACATACAAATAGCCAACAGGTATATGAAAAGAATGCGCAGTCATGAGGGAAATGCAAATCAAAACCACATGGATATCATTCCACCCCAGTTAGAATGGCCATTATCAAAAGGCAACAAGTGCTGGCAAAGGTGGAGCAAAAGGAACCCTTATATCTGTTTATGGGAATGTAAATTAATATGGCCATTACAGAAAAGAGTATGGAGGTTCCTCAAAAAGTTAAAAATAGAACTACCACATGATTCTGCAATCCTATTCTTAGGAATATATCCAAAGGAACTGAAATCAGTATATTGAAGAGATATTTGCACTCTTATGTTTATCACAGCACTATTCACAATAGCCAAGGTATGGAATTAATCCAAGTGTCCATCAATGGATGAATGAACTTTAAGATGTGAGATACATATATATATATTATTTCACCATAAAAAAAGAATGAAATCCTGCCATCTGGTACAACATGGAAAAACCTGGAGGACATTAAGTAAAATAACCCAGGCACAGAAAGACAATATTGCACGACCACTCATATATAGAATCTAAATAGTTAAACTCATAAAAGTAGAGAGTAGAAGGGTAGTTACCAGAAGGTGGGGTAGTTAGTGGGGAGGAGAGGTTGGGGAGATGTTGCTCAAAGGATATATAATTATATTTAGGAGGAATACATTTCAGGACATCTATTGTTCAGTAAGGTGAGTACAGTTAATGGTAAGATATTGTATTCTTGAAAAATGTAAACAGAGTGGATGTTATATGCTCTTACCACAAAAATGATAAATATGTTAGGTAATGCATTTATTAATTAGCTAGATTTAACCATTCCACAATGTACATGTACTTCAAAACATTATGTTGTATACAATAAAACTCACAATGTTATCTGTTCACTCATAAAATAAATAAAAATAAAAATACTCAACCACTAATTCCCTCCCAAATCTTTAACATGTCACAGGAAAAAGATGAATGATAATCTAAATTGGCTAATTCTGAATTACCTACTGTAACTGACATCAATGAGGGCTATATGTATGCAAGGTAAGTAAGACCAGTACTCTTGTTTTTTATACTTTTATCAACATATATTGCACATAACATTCACCCAAACCAGTAATCTTTTTATACCTAATCAAAATAATGTAACTCAGACTAACTTTAGAATATAAGCAATTTAAAAACATGTTTTCATTCAAACTCATCTAACAACTATAATCTTAAGTTAAATTGCTTATGAGTTCACACATCTGGTACTCAAGAAACGTGTTTGGCCCAAGGTACTGATTGTTTCTGCGAGCAGTCTTAACCACTATATTCCTAAAAGAGTAAACCTGCTTGACATGTTTCATTCATTCATACCCAGCTTTAATGTGAGCCCTTGAGTGAAACTAATTTCTCTTCAATGACGTCTTTTGCCTAGAATCAAAACACCTTTACTAACTCATTTTATATATCTCTACAAAAGATTTAATATACTTTTCCAATGGACTATTTTACAAAGATCCCATTTATCATGTACTACCTCCATTAATATAAAAGAATAACCTTGACATATTTATCAAATCAGTACCTTCAAGATGCAAAAGATGCATTTTCCTCAATATTAGATTTCATTAGCTCAGTCTCTCTGAAAACACTTCTAACCACAGGTTTAGCAACACAAACATCAGTCTTATAATAAATTTAAAAACGGAATGACCTCCACATCTATTCTTTTTATTGTTTCCAAAATATATATAAATAAATAAATAAATCCAAAGATTTCAGATTATAAAATATCTGAATCCACAAATAATTTATAAAATGCTCCCATGTACATAGGAAAAAAAATAGTTACTACGTAGAAGAGAAAGGAAACGGCTCAACAGTAAATAATCAATTCCTCTTTGACCAGTTTGATAGCTTCAAAGTTATTTTAAGTGGTCTACACTTATGTTTAAGTCATATACAACTCCCAGATAATAATTCCAGGGTAGTGTTCCCCAAGCTTGCCTTGACTGACATGCTTAAAAATGAAGATCCCCACTCCGACTCAGACCTCCAAAATCAAACACTTCAGGTGATTCCCTTAATAGAGCAAGTCTGGAAAATACTGATATTTGGGTGTTTAAAGGTCAGCTGTTTACTCACTCCTCAAGTTTATTACCTTCTGAAAATGAAAACAGGGGAAAAGTTAGCAAAGAAATATCACCCTGAATGTCTCCTCACATTTAGTTTACCTCCTTACTAGATTAAGAAAAAGTATCTGCAGAACAAACATTGCACAGAAAATGAACACCACTACCAGATCCTACTTTGTAACCTCTACGTGGTTCCATCAGAAAATGACTTCCAGTGGATTTTCTCTTTGCCCCACTAAGGCAGTTCAATCATCCATCCACTCATCTACCCAGTCACTTACTACCTGGCTCATTCATTCTTTCAACCAGTATTTACTAACGGTCTTCCACAAGCACTGTGTTAGGTACCAGGGAATCATAAAACAGTGAACAAGGCCAGTCCCAGTCCCTGATCTTATCAAGTTTTTACAGTCAACTATGGAGTGATAAGGGTCAATCTGAAAATCACATAAACATACATAAGAGTTGTAATAAGTGCTATAAGAGAGATACACAGAGGTCAGGAAAGGTCTTTGAGGAAGAGGCTGAACTGAAAAATGAGGAGAACTTCTCTAGATAAAGAACTGTGGGTAGGCAAGGGTATTCCAGAGAGCAGCCATGTCACATGCCAAAGTCCCTGGGTCAGGAGTGGCCATGTTGTGATGGACAACTGAAGGGAGGCTGGTGCAGATAAAGCACACAGGAAGTGGAAGAGCACAGTGGGACATGAATGGGAGGAGGCAATGTAAATCCCAGAGCAGTTAAGACCTCACAGGCCCCGTAAGGATTTGCAGCAAATGAGAAGTAACTGAAATGTTCTAAAATTGAGGTGAATGATCCTATCTGCATTTTGAAATAATCATCTATCTGAAAGCCTGGATAGGACAAAAATGGATATAGGGAAACCACATTATTCTAGTGGTCCAGGGCAAGAGATGATAGTTGGAGTAGCATGATAGTGGAGATGGATTAAAATGGGCAGATTTATGTATATATTTTGGAAGTTAAACTGACAGGATCTGGAAATAGATGGACAATGGTGGGAGAAGGAAGGAGATAAGAAAGTGTCAAGGGGCCGTGGTAGCCTGTCAAAGCACTGCTATTCTGTTGTTCTCTTGAATTACATGTCAAAATATTTAATACTAAAATTATGCTCATAATTCCATTCCTCAAACTTTTTTTTTGGCAAACAAGCAGATGTGCTCCCTGCCCTCAAGGAGTTACAATATACCAAGGAAGACTGCCCTTCAACAATTATTTCCAATGGATGAGCATTAAAAGGGACGATGGCCCTGAAGCATGACAGCATGAAGCAAGGCTGTCTATTCATCAGAAAATGATCAAGGAAGGCCTGCCCCACTCCACCCCCACCCCCAAAAAATGGCATTTGAGGCAAGACCTCGGCATTTCAGGTAAAAGCAGTAACATATATGAAGGCCTAGGGGCAAAATAAAATGTAGCTGTTTAAGAAACTAAAATAAGTTCAGTTTGGATAGAGTATATACAGAATTTATTACGTGAATTTTTAATTCAGTAAGCATTTATTTGCTATCAAGCAGCAATGCTAAGTACAGAGGATATAAAGATGGCTAAGCATACAGTATAGTACCATTCAAAAACTCTCACTAAACAATACCTTACATTTCAACATACATTTATATGTGCACATAAAAGTATTTAAAATTGAATATTTATATTGTTTTAATTGTTTAATAACCACTCATATGTTACTTGTGTAATTATTAAAGTATACCAAAAGAGGGAAGAAAGCAGCATCAAAATGCTAGCAGTGGTTAATTCTATATGCTAGGAATGGAGACGATTACTATTTTCTTCTTTGAATTTTTGCTGGTTTCTAAAACAGAAAGATGGTATCTGCCCTAGGAAGTCACTATGATATACAGATAATACGGGGTAACACTAGTGTTAATTTCTATCCCATCACAATGAACAAACCACACTCTCACCCCAATCTCTGCTGCTCTAAGTAGTACAAATAACACTGAGCAAGATTCTTTCCTGTTTATGCAGCAATCAATATATTTAACTGACTATAATGTTGTTTATGTAGCCAGTGCAGGCTATCTATATTTCTGGAAACTTCTGGAAAGTTCTGTCAAATATTCGCTACTTTTATTTTAAGAGGCACAGAATGGAAACATGTCTTCTCTTTGCTGTTCATCATGCCCTGCATGCATGGACCTTCACAAAACAGCTGAGGATACCTGCAGGACAGAAACGGAATGCTTCCAAATATGATGCCACAGCTATCTTAGTTATAAGGTAGTATGCATGATTAAAATGTAAATTAAGGGGGAAACATTAATAAAAGTTGCATTAAATTCACATTTCCTGAATTGTGAGCCTCCTCTTCTTTTCCAGTAATGCTCTCCTACATTACTTCTACTCCATGTAGTCACTGGTCCCCAAAAAGGAGCATGGTAATGAGACTCAGGAGACCTGAGGTAGATATCTGTCTCTGTCTATAACCAGTTCCATGACTTTGAACAAGTCACTTCTGGCCTGTTTCCTCATGTGTGACAAGAAGGGGCTTATTTGGGAGGCCAAGCAAGAGGGTCACTTCAGGTCAGGAGTTCGAGGCCAGCCTGAGCAACACAGCAAGACTTCCATCTCTAAAAATTTAAAAATTAGCAAGGCATGGTAGCATACACCTGTAGTCCTATCTACTTGGGAGGCTGAGGTGGAAGGACTGCTTGAGCTAAGGAGTTTGAGACTGCAGTGAGCTATGACTGTGCCACCACACTACAGCCTAGGTGACCAAACAAGACCCTGTCTCCAAAAAGGGGGGGGGGGTAGATTTAATATCTAAGGTTCTTTCTAAGCCAGAATTCTTTATTTCTATAACTTTTTATTGTCTTTTAACTGTTTCTTAAGAACTTTGGCAGATACTAAAACAAACACTGAGATCACTATTGACTAAGAAAAAGTGAGTTGCCTTTATGGTTTGAGACTTTTTTAAGTATTGAAAATAAAAGAGAATTAACTTTTTTTAAACAACTGGTTAAAAGACCCAACAGTGAGGGAGCTGAAACCAGTGCCAATGATGTAAAAGAACATTTTAAATATAGATAAAGACCTGAACACCGTTGCTCTTTCACTTCTCATTTCCACAACCTGACTGCTGACCAGAGCATTGCTACCATCGCCTGCACAACAAAGTCAGGGCAAGTGTTTTTCTGAGAGATTATAAAGGAGCATGTGGGAGATGTCTCAATCTGATATGTGCTGATCCTGCTCCAAGCCAAGGAAGCAAGAGCAATAAAAGCTACCCTGGAAACAAGGTACAAGTGGTTGCTATTTTCAGAGGCTCAAAAGAAAACGCTCAATTCAGTCCTGTTTTATCTGAATTGTGAGGGGCACCTATATTTCATAATAATAAAACACTGTTAAAAGCTTCTATCATGTAAATACTAAAGAAGCCATTCATACATGAAGAAATGAACACAACATTTCTATGTTGTCATATCCAATAATTTTCTTAAAGTTTTATGGCATTCACATATTGGCAAAGTTAATGCACCTCCTTGTCTATGTAAATTGCCAAAGAATCATTCAGATGATCCGGTCTTTTGTTCACACCTTAAATGTTTAAAACCACCACAGTAATAAGTACCTAGCCCCGACTTCCTCTGGGAAAATTTCATCTAAGCAATAACAATCAGGTACTAAAATCACCCCCAGCAAAAAGGGAATAATTTTTATCAGTTACCTCATTCTTCTTGTAACTATGGAAGTCACTGAGGTTCAAAACACTGCTCCTGAGAAAATTATTGCTTAAAATTGTAAGTACACCCAGTTCATTGTTGAAGTGCTTAAACTGAGAATATTTTTTAAATAAGCTTTCAGAATCAAGTGAAACCATATTTGCCACCTGGCATACAGCACTTACAAGTGAGAGTTTCTTGGTGATGCTGACCTCAACCACATAACAACCCACACTGTAAATTTCTCTCCTTCCCGTAACAACTTGTGGCTTGATCATGCATTAATTCATCTAAAATTGTTCTTAAGCCTGCTTATATTTTAGCTTGTACAAAGTCACCAATCACTCATCCATGGCAACCAGGTGGATAAATCCACCACAAGTCATCCTAATTATAAAAACTATTTAAAAGTTGTGTGGGAGGTTTGAAGGTAAGAGGAAAATAATAAGTTATAAAGCAGTATCTTATGTAAAATGTAACCTTTCAATCATCATAAGCCTACACAAAATCAAGATTTTATTTATAAAGAGGAAACCATCAAACTATGAATATCAGAGAACACAAGAGTAGGGATCCAAGCAAATCTGACACACAATTCCTGAATCAGTCAGTATATGTGTACCTACCATGCACCATGGAATTGTGCTAAGAGATAAATATGTGTTATAGAACAAGGTCAGCATGGTCCTTTCTCCACGTAGAGTTTGCATTTTCATTCTTTCAACATTAAGTGCCTACTTTGTGCTAGACACTATGTTAAGACACCAGATTGACCAAGCCATACTTCCTCCCCAGAGGGACCTGTGACAAGGTCACAAGAAACAAGTATATGACCATAAATAATCCAGCTATCATCCTCCACGGATCTTTCTAGCAGCCCCTGGTACCAATAACCTGGCTCGGCAAACAGAGCCTAAGCATGTGAAAAATCAGGAGACATTTGGATACATGTGGTCTAATACAAGGATAAAAAAGAAAAACTGATGAATTACAACAATTTTGGTTCCACTGGAAGCAGATCCTGGCAAGTAATCTATAGAAAGCAATTTAAAAAATTTTTTCAGGACTATCTTGCTCCTTTCACATTATAAGTAAACAATATTTTATAAACAGACACTTAGTACTCTTTAGAACATGAATACCAGTATCAAATTCTTTATCTTTAGTCTTGTCTGACCTAGTAGTTCTCACTTGAAAATTCTCAGGAAAGACCAAAATGGCACATACACAAAAAAAGAAATAAGAAAGAAAGAGGAAAACCAGCCAAAAATAATAAAGGAGGAGAAATGTAATTATGTAAGGCATAAAGTTAGTCATTTTTTGGCAAAGATACCCAATAAAAAAGTCAACACTGATACAATGATGAAGCTAAGCCCTATAAAATTGCTTCTTTCATGGAGATAATTGTGACTTTCTGTTGGTAAACTGATAAGCATCTGGATACTAAGAGAAGAGAGGTTAAAACTGATGTATTCAATCTTAAGTCAGCAATATGTAAAAACAAATGAATTTGAAGGTCATGCTCTAGTACAACTGATGTAGAGAGAAAATACAACCAGGAAACAACTAGGATACAGAAATTCATAAAGGCTTCCTGATTTTTGGTAAGGACTCCTTCAACTTGCAAACATCATGCATTTATGCACACCCTTCCCTCTGATTCAGTGGAAAAGCAGGCCCCATCCTATCCAAGGTGCTCTTCAGAAGCAGCATCAGCAAAGAGGGAAAGTCAGTGAAAACCTGGTGGGCTTTGAATCCAAGACCTCAGTTCAAATCGTGATTCAACAGTGTGGAAATTACTTTATCTCAGTAAGCAAAATTTTTCATCTGTGAAACCTTGCAGGGTTTCCAGAGGTTCAAAATGTTCATATGTGTTTGTTTTCTTTTGTTTACATAAGCATTTGTGTAAAGAAAATGACTAGATCATCAAATAAAGGATATTTCTTCAGATAAAGCACTAGCTATGTCTAAGGAAGAGGACTAGTAATAACAAATCAAAAAAGGATAACAGAATTAAGGATGTCCATTACAGACAATAAACCAATAAAGCCCATCTTCTAGGTGATAAGACACCTAATACATAATCATTTTGTTCTGCTTTGAACCTCATGCTGTTCTAAGATTTGACCAGTTAGGGGCAATCATATGTACTGATATTAACCAGTTAACAAGAATGTATTCAGCACTGTCTTAGGTGTCTTGAGATTTTTTTAAAAGCAAAATAAAAGGAAATATAAGACTTAGTGCCAGAATTGGACCACAGGGATAGATTATATAATATTCATTGAGGAAAGAATAAAAAGGAAGAAAACTGGAATTACAGGAAAAAAATTCATGATGAGAAAGGCTAAAAAGAAAAAAAAAGGAATTAGAATGTAGGTGGTGGGTTTAAAAATGTTCATTATAAAATTCTTAGAATGTTTCTGTATGTTTAAAATTTTTCCTCAAAACTTTGGAAATAAAAGAATAAATTACATCTGTTAAGTCACTCAGATAAAAGAAAAATATAATTAGAATGAAGATGCATACAGCCCATCTGAGATAGCAAGAATGCTGGCCAGATCAGCGAACAGGACCTATATTAAGACAAGTGAGACATAAGACTGAATATTAATTTTTTTTTTTTTTTTGAGGCAGAGTCTTGCTCTGTCACCCAGGCTGGAGTGCAGTGGTGTCAGCTCACTGCAAGCTCCGCCTCCCGGGTTCACGCCATCCTCCTGTCTCAGCCTCCAGAGTAGCTGGGACTACAGGCGCCCACCACCACGCCCGGCTAATTTTGTTTTGGTATTTTTAGTAGAAACAGGGTTTCACCATGTTAGCCAGGATGGTCTCAATTTCCTGACCTTGTGATCCGCCCGCCTCGGCCTCCCAAAGTGCTGGGATTACAGGCATGAGCCACTGCGTCCGGCCTGAATACGAATTTTTCTTGTTTTAGTTGTTTTCTTTTTTTTTTTTTCCTCATCAATATGGACATCTTCATGGCTCCAGTATTTTTGGAAACCATATAAAGCAAAATCCTTTAACAATAATCTAGGACTCTCTAAGAACTGGCTCAGGCCATCCTAATCCTATAAATTATCCTTATCCTGTAACTCCAAATAGACACCATTTAACAGCATTTACAACCAAGGCCTAATCTCAAATTTCAGTTATTAAAATGAAATAAATTCTGCAAAAAGTTTACCATAAAAATTAATAAGACAGTGAATAGCTTTTTACAGGAGAAAAATCCTATTAAATGATAACCATTAGCACGGAGAAGCTTGGTAAGCTTTAAACCCTAATAACCACAAAATTTGGATTTCAACACTGTACTTTATTTTTTTCCAATTTAATAGAAAAGCATAACTGCTATCATTAAGTAGAAGCTAAAGGCAACGTGAATTTTAAGCTAACAATGTGAGGACTTAAATATGTATATAAATGAAACAGACCAGCTACTTATCCATAACCCAAGCAAAGCAATTAGAGGATACTTTTCACCATAAGTCCATTTTTTCTTGAAGTAATAATACAGTGGGTTAGTAAAAGGATATATTACCAGCATCAGGAATACTTACTGAATAGCTAAGAAGAAAATACTGCATTATTTGGCATTTGGGCTGTGTTCAAAATTGGCTTTAAAAAAATTAAGAAGGCCTATAAATGGAAAAAGCACTCTTTTTAGAAAAAAAAAATCTCAAGAACCTTTCAAAAATCAAAACTTAGAAGAAGTGAGATAGGGGAAATAAGAAAAAGGTAGTAACACTCAGAACCTAAAAAAAGAAGGGTACAAAATATTAGAAAGTGGGCATTAGGCAATAACATGAGTAATGGAAAAGTATCACTAGAAACCATGTGACAGCCAGTTTCCAAAGCACGGTCATCCAAGTACCAAGCTTTGCTGTTCCTTATCTACTTTGCTACCTCACATTTTTTCCTACTATCTGACACTGCTTCATATTCACTTCTCTTACACTGCAGCCCTACTTCGGTCTTATTTTAGAATGGTACAAGGGTCTTATTAGGGCTCAACAATAAGCGGAATTGAAAAACTTTTTTAAAGAACATGGTTTCTGGGTCTCATGAAAATCCTATCCTGATCCCTACTCTTCATGCCTCAAATATATTGCTATCTATACTAGAATGCAAATGCCTTTACTAGAATGCCATATCAACTCAAGTCATACTTACAACATGGCTTTTCCTTTGATCAGGGTTGGGAGTAAGGAGTAGGAAGGCTTCTCAAAAGAATCAGGCCACTAGACCCCAAGGGACAAAAATGGAAAGAGAAAGTCACAAAAAAGTAGGACTGAAAAATACAATTTAACCAGCAAACTTATAGCTAGCCCAGGGACTATTACTACTCTTTACAAAATGATAAATACAAAAAAATTAGAAACACAGGCTCCCCCATCAGGAAAGCACATTAAGGCTCCAATTAGTCTGTCAAAAATAAAATCTATTCAGACTATGGCTTGAAGATTTGGAAAGGTGCCCACAGCCCATGTATGGCAGCTGCAAGTCCATGGGGAGTTCAAACAGCAACAGTGCAGAGTCAGTACTGAAGATGCAAGCCAGAGGAAAAGATTTATGCAATTTAAGGTGAAAGCAACAGAAATAAACTCCCTTGGAATGAGTGCTTATGGTCCTTTTAGCTTATAAGTGCAAGTGTACCCACAAACATGCATGCACACTTGCTGAAATGGCAACAAAGGCCAAGTTAGCAGCATATGTTAAAAAAGAAAAAGTAAAAATAAATATATAAATAAATAGAACAGCCAAGAGGCCAGAGTATAAAGCAGCTCATCCTGAGTGGCCTGGAGATAAAAGCAGATGGAGCACAGCATTACCCAGACTCAAGTGTCTGTTGCACAAAAAGTCCAGGTATTATAACGAGCCTGTGGTATTACAGCAAATGGAACTGCGATCTCATTTAGATTATTCTCCACTCTTATATGCCTTGTTTTGATTTCTGCATACTTGCCTATAAATTGGAAGACACTGTTTTAAGATACCTGTGAAATTTCATCAACTGTGGCTAGAGTTGAAATCTTAACTTCAACCTTAAGAGAAACACTGAATCAGAACTACAAAGCTGACCCGCTCCTAAATTTCTGATGATCCATGGAAACTGTGTGAGATAATAAATGTGTTAAGCCACTGATTTGGGTGGTTATTTGTTTTGCAGAAATGACTAATACAATACAAAATGCACAAAAAGACCCAAGGGCGCAAAGAAACTTGGTATTTGATAAAGTCGACATTCATATTGGGAAGAGAAGTTGAATTAACAAGTTATGTTGAAACAATTAGCTACAATTTGGAAGGAGAATAAAATCAAAGCTAGATATTTATTAAATTCATTATAAGAAAATAAATTCCAGATAAGCCAAACATTATATGTAATAAATAGAAATATAAAAATAACAAGAGAAAATAAAGGCAACAGTCTTTTAAGGGTAGAAAGAGGTCTTTCTGAACATTTTACAAAATCCAGAAAACATGAAAGATAAATACTGATAGATTTCACTACATAAAAATCAAAACATACCATAAATAATGTTAAAAGACAATCAGCAGGACATAAAAAATTATAATATCAGTATCTCTAAAATTACACAATTCTTATAAAGTATAAGAAAAAAGACAATAATTTTGAGAGAAAGGTATTTCACTGAAACAAAATATGGACAGTATATAAAGACATAAAAAGATGTACAAACACACTAATAATAAAATCAATATAAATAAAAACAAAGTACTACTTTAGTCTATCAAACTGACAAATTTAATATGGTAATATGTACCAAAATGTTACATGAATATACCTTCTGATGCAGAAACACCACTCCAGGAATTTATTTTATGGATGCAAAGATATGATCAACGATATTCAACATACCATTTTTATTGCAGTGAAAAAATGAAAACAACCAAATGTTCACAAATATGTAAATAAATTATGACATGCATACAGTAGAGTAATCTGCAATCATTAAAAAGAACAATATATCGTTATATTGCTTGAGATTCTCCTCCAAAAAAGTTGGAAA
The DNA here is from genome assembly GCF_000001405.40 of Homo sapiens. NCBI lineage: Eukaryota > Metazoa > Chordata > Mammalia > Primates > Hominidae > Homo > Homo sapiens. The sequence goes on from NC_000007.14 coordinate 111,534,380, forward strand.
ATTGCATTTTTAATATGAACCCATTTATGTGAAATTTTATACACACACAGCATCATCCTCATCGTCATCCTTATCATCATCATCATAGAAAGAGGTCAAATAATAAAGAATATGAACCAAAATGATGACAGTATTTATTTGCAATGAAAGGAATTTCACTTTATGCTTTATATTTTTCCATATTACTTAAATCTTCAGTAATAGGTATTTAGTATCTTTATATACTAAAACAAAATTAATATTACAGTCTTTTCTGCTACAATAGCTATTTCTTAATGTAAATTAGCTCATATATAGGAAAATGACGTCAGTCTTATGTGAAAGCTATGCTGGTTCATACACAATTTTCCCCAGTACATGAAGGTTTTGATTCAACCAAGAGCAAGTCTTCTCCCAATTAAAGTGAAAGTCTCATTTGGTGGCTTCAAGACTTTCCACTGTTAAAGGAGGCTGAGCATACCAACGAAGAAATGCAAAGATATTTTCCCCTGTGTTTAAAATAGAATAAAATCAACAGATCAATATCCTAGAGCAGATTTTCAACTTTGATGAAATTGGTCTGTATTAGAAGTAGATGACTTTAAGGACCTACAACAAAGGAAGAAAACCAGGGTTTCAAGCTAAGACTGATGTGATGCTGGGTGCAAATGCAAGGAGGGAGTTAATAGTGCTCGTTTTTATGACAACTTCTATTTTCTCAGCTCTGTTTACAAAATGTCACTGGTTTCAAATGATCTGTTCCTAGCCCTATTTTCTTTATAAGCCCTAAAATTTTATGGTTTAATTTTGCAGAATTAAAGATTTTTCAGGAATGCATGTATGTCATTAATAGGAGAAATGCCTCTACTATTCTGAGTAAAATGCAGTAAGGTAGAGAAATGTTCCATATCAAAAAGAAACAAAAAACAAAAAAAGGAAGCAAAAAGGAGAAATGAAGGAAGGGAGGGAAGGAAAGAAAGAGGGGGAAAAAGAGGAAGAGGAAAGAAAAAAACTGCACACTTCACTTTGTTTTAGTGAGAGTGTCTAACGAAAGATATTAAATGCAGGGCAAAACAATCTCATTAATATTCTTGATTTATACCACACATTTTGATTCTATATGAGATATATCTAAAGAAATGGTCTTTGCCCCATCGGACACTTAAAATCTAAACAAGGGAGTGAATTAAACAGTCATCAACTATGGTGGGGCAGGAAAAGGGACTAATCCAATTAACTTTAGGACACAGTTATTTAATTATACCCAACCCAAGGGTATAGAGTCAAATACTATAGGCGGTATTTGGGCTGGGAAGTTGGGGGGTGGGGAATGCAAACAGTGAGAGAAACAATTGTGAAACTACTTAAGATACATTGTAGGACTCAGCAAATGAGTTGGGAGAACAGTGGTGACTGTGGGAAAAGGGAGATAAAAATACACAGTGGGAATCAGGGAAGAATGCTGTGGGGCCCTGGAAGCAAAACCATATAGAAGTAGCAATGAGTATATGTAGTACTCAATTCTTAGGGTCTAATACCATTCCCTACTCCAAAGAATCAGCAATCTTCAGAGTAAAGGTTGATTCTGGGGCTGTGGTGGGGAAGGTTTAAGATGAGCCTGAAACATTTTCTTTGGCCACTAAGAAGTGCTTAGAAAAAAGATGGAAGTACATCAAAAGGAGACGGGAGCTTGCCTGGTGATCCCACTGGCTAAATATGAAAAAAATTTGATTACTTATTAAATAAAGTCAGTAATGAGTTTAAACTACTGGAAAAACAGCTTTGAATGTGCTAATTTTCTGAATCTGAGCAATACTTTAAAATATGGGTTTTAGCTTCAAAAGGTAAATCAGGTAATTTCATTTTATTTAAGTAATACCATGAAAATAATGTTACAAACTACTAAGTTAAATACAATATGAAATATTGGTGGTGGGTTGTTTTTTGTTGTTTTTTGGGGTTTTTTTGAAACAAGGTCTCCCTCTGTTGCCCACGCTGGAGTGCAGTGGCATGATCACGGCTCACTGCAGCCTCAATTCCCAGGCTCAAGTGATCCTCCCACTTCTGCCTCCCAATAGCTAGGACCACAGATGCACACCACCAGGCCTGGCTAATTTTTTATATTTTTTGTAGAGATGGAGTTTCACCATGTTGCCCAGGCTGGTCACAAACTCCTGAATTCAAGTGGTCCACCAGCCTCAGCCTCCGGAAGTGCTGGGATTACAGGTGTGAGCTACTGTGCTCCGCCTAAAATATTGTTTTAAAATAAGTCCCCTTTATGATCATTCTCAGAAATTTGTTAGAAAAGAAGTTCCCTTGCACATATAAAAAATTTTTTTCAATTTATAAATTATCCTTCTACACTAATTTCCAAAGAATAATCATTGAGATGAGTTAAAGCTTTTCACTATTCTTTGAATATTATATCAGCATATCCAACTGTTAATTGAATTTGAGATCCACTAGTAAAGCAAAAAGCTTGTGACTTTGAAGACTATTTAAAATGTACAATGTTTTATTAATTATCATTAGTAGTACTATTATACAATGGTTGTACCCTTGTAAGTTTGTTAAGAAACAGCTGACATTGAAATTGTCTGCATCTAAAGGACATGTCAGGAAAAGCAGAGAAATCTTACCAAAAAAAAAAATTGAATCAACATCTCTTCTTTTGGTATTTACCCCTTTCACATCAATAAACATTTACTGAATATCTGCTAAGTGCCAGGCATCATATCAGTTTCTATACCGAAAGAGTAAAGACGTTTCTGTATAGTATCTATATAGATATTGAACATTAAGCATTGTTCTTTGGAATTATTCCAGCCTTGAGATAAGGCTAAAAGGGCCATAAAAATAAAATGAAGAAAGATGGATTTTATAAAGGATAGAGGCAATTGGGGATGTTATGGAAAGACAAACTACACAGCATTTTATACTCTCTGGTTCTTCTACTTTCAGAGAATGACTCTATCATCCAAACAGCTGCCCAAAGGTCAACATGGTAGTGAGCCAAAGTGAGCATTCATGAAAAAAATAGAAATCATCCTAACTTTCTCTTACTTTAAATCGTTCAATAACTCCTCATTTTCTATAGGATAATATCAAGCTGCTTAGATTTAGCATATAAGGCTAATTATGATTAGATTCCTAGTCTCATCACTTCCACTTTTTTTTTTTTTTTTTTTTTTTTTTGAGACAGGGTCTCACTCTGTCACCCAGGCTGGAGTGCCGTGGTGCGACCTCAGCTCACTGCAACCTCTGCCTCCCAGGCACAAGCAATCCTCCCACTTCAGCCTCCCAAGTAGCGGGAACCACAGGTATGTGCCACCACACCTGGCTAATTTTTGTATTTTTTGTAGAGATGGAGTTTCATCATGTTTCCCAGGCTAATCTCAAACTCCTGAGCTCAAGTGATCTACCCACCTTCCCAAAGTGCTGGGATTACAGGTACCAGCCACCGTGCTGGGCCAGTTCCTCTCTTTCACAGCACATCATGCTTCAACCAAACCCACCTCCATACAATTTCTAGAATATGCCACACTTTTACTTGTCTCTGGGCCCTTATACATCTCTCCCTTCTGTCTACATCACTCTTCCCACCTTTCTTTGTTTTGGCCAGCTTTACCCATCCTTCAGGTTAGCTTAGATGTCACTATCAGGAAGTCCACTCCGACTCTCCAAATCTGACTTAGATTTCCTTCCTATGTGTTCCCATAAAACTCTATGCTCCCCCTAGCACAGCATTTATCACACCTGATTTTCTCATCCTTACCCCTAATCAGTTGTGAGTTCTGCGCGAGCAGAAACACTTGTTCACTACTATACTTAAGTGCTTTGCACTTAAGTGCTCAGTGTTCAATACAGTTTCATTGAAGAAATTAATTAACCACTTAGCTGTCCATATAAACTACATCATACTCAGAATGTGATATAAGTTCTGGAGGCCTTGATTGAACAGCACTGCACAACCACATGCCATAAATTTTATGTGTGTGTGTGTTAGTTTGTGTGTGTGGTGTATGTACACACAAATGACTGTCTCCATCTCTTACCTGATAGTTTTACTTCACAGCTGAAGATATTTATGAAGAAAGTGGTTTTTAAAAGAAATTATACTTATGCTGTAAGTATAAATATACACAGAAAGAAATATGTGGGCTGGACACAGTGGTTCATGCCTGTAATCCCAGCACTTTGGAGGCCAAGGCAGGAGGATCACTTGAGCTCAGGAGTTTGAAACCAACCTGAGCAGCATAGGAAGACCCTGTCTCTAAAAAAAAAAAAAAAAAAAAAATTAACATAGCCAGTCATGGTGGCACATGCCTGTGCTCCCAGCTACTCAGGAGGCTGAGGTGGGAGGATCACTTGAGCCAAGGAGATCGAGACTGCAGTGAGCTCTGATCACACCACTGCACTCCAGCCTGGGTGACAGAGCAATGAGACCCTGGCTCATTTAAAAAAAAAAAAAAAAAAAAAAGGCTGGGCACAGTGGCTCACGGCTGTAATCCCAGAATTTTGGGAGGCTGAGGTGGGCAGATCACAAGGTCAGGATGTTCAAGACCAGCCTGGCCAACATGGTGAAACCCCGTCTCTACTAAAAAAACAAAAATTAGCCAGGTGTGGTGGCGCATGCCTGTAGTCCCAGCTACTCGGGAGGCTAAAGCAGGAGAATTGCTTGAACCTGAGAGACGGAGGTTGCAGTGAGCAGATCATGCCACTGCACTCCAGCCTTGGCGACAGAACAAGACTCCATCTCACAAAAAGAAAAGAAAAGGAAGGAAGGAAGGAAGGAAGGAAGGAAGGAAGGAAGGAAGGAAGGAAGGAAGGAAGGAGGGAGAAAGAAAGAAAGAAAGAAAGAAAGAAAGAAAGAAAGAAAGAAAGAAAGAAAGAAAGAAAGAAAGAAAGAAAGAGAACATACGTCGATTACTACATATATATCTGTATATTGAACTTCAGGAAGTTGACTTTTCTGTATTTTTCTTCAATAAATCATAACACAACACTCTTGTCCAAAAGCAGTAAAGATGGATAAGAAGGATCAAGTAACTTTCATAATCCACCCAACTATAAGGCATTAAGAATTTTTTTCCCAATTAACAGCTGATTTTTAGGAAGTGTTTAGTTAGATTTTCTTTCAAAGCAATTATTTTTCAGTCTGTGCTTCATGGTCTCCTAATGATTCCCTGGAGTCTCAAGGGCCAGGGGGAGCAGGTGCTAAGTGAACAGAGTTCTGAACTGCCTCAATCAGAGCCACTCTGCTTTTTATCTGGTTTTTTTTTTTTCAATAATGGAATTCCAACCAAGATTTTCTTTGAAGAAGGGTTCACTACATTAAAATAAGAATAAAAGAAAAAAAGAAAAAGGTTAAAAAACACTGCCTTAAAGAATCAGCAGTGGATTGAGGTTTGCACTATATAATTCAAGCTCTAATGTATTTCATATTTCTTGGTTAGACTAAATTCAACTGTCAGCTTTATAGGCCTTTCTTTGTGCTAAAATGAGAAATACCATTTGAATACAAAAATATCCAGGTAGAGGGAAAACAAAATGGGTTTTTGATAAGTATATTTATTCTCTGATGCAGCTATTTCTAAATTTACTTATTATTTTTAATGGCTTTATTTATGTACCAATCTTCAAGTTAATGATTCATAACAGAACACCAAAATAATCTAATTGAACAACAGAAGCCCACTGTAAATGCCAGCTGCTGCTATGTTTCATATACTGTAAACAAATACCCACCTCATTTTAATAGTTTCTTAGTAGAAAGATTACCTTAAAGGAAAAGATCCACCAAACTCATATTTAAATAATAATTTTAGCTATTTTCGCAATCTAGAAACAACAGGGGCTCCGGGTAACTGAAACTGGGGGTGCTCCATCATAAAACATCCAGAAGACCAGTGGGGTGAATTTGATCTGCTGGTGAACACAATGAAGACTAATAAGCAAAAATGGGCTTCTTCCAACAGAAACCTCCTGCCAACCTGTGCACAACATTGTGCAATTGCAGAACGGCACTTCACTGGAAGTCAGGGAAACACTTGCAATCAAGTCCAGGCTCTGTAACAAGTTAAGTGAATCCAAAACCTTTACAGCTGAACACATAAAATTATTCAAAAGCTCTAACGAGGTGAGAAGCAACCAAACTTGATTTTCATCTCTGGGAAACCCTATATTAGCACTGTAACCCACAAGGCCCTCTTCCACTTCCAAACTCCTCTGGCATTCACTAGCCACACCTTCATTTGGCACCCAAGAGTGTTAGTTACCGTTTTATAGGTAACTCCCCAACTAAGTTGTAAGCCCCTAAAGGGTATACATAGGTCATGTCTCACTCTTTTCTATACATCCTAAAATTCTTAGAATTTTGCTAAGCATTTGCAGATGCTAAATAAATGTATCTTGACTGTTTGTTTAATTGTAGATATGGTTTATATTACCACCCGTTTACAATGTTGATAGTTTCATATGGTTGTGTCAGACGACATTCCACTCCTTTAAATGCCAGTCAGGAGAGTAACGGAGAAAATAAGCGGCCAGATCAGGCTGTATTGACAGCCATGCAACTAATCTGATACTACCTCTCCATGCATGCGTCCCTCCCAAAGACCAAGTGCCCACTCTGTTCTAGGGCTAAGTGTTTTCTGTTCCTGCTATGCTTTGTACCAAGTCAGAAATAAGATTTGGATTCAAGTCTTAGCTATGCCAATGAGTAAGCAATTTGAATAGATGACCTTAGCTCCAATTATCTATGATTCTATGATTCTAACTTCAGGCCTTTACCTTCCAATATCAGAATGGCCCCTCCCTCACAGTACTAAAATTACTTATCTTCCATGATATGTCCCATTATCATCATCAATACACCCATGTTCAAAGGCCATTTCTGACTTCTGCTACAAGGTCAACATACTCATGAAATTATTTACACTTCTAAAGATAACACTGTTAAATTTCTTGTCTGATCTTTACGTCATACCTGCGTTCATTTAATAAACACAAGTGGGTAGTTGGGTAATATGGGAAAAGACACTCATTTAGGGAAGTTTCTAACATATTCCTGCTTTCAGCAGCAAAGATAAGTTATGGCTCCATTTGCAAATAAGCACCAATAATAGTAAATAAAACTAAATTATTTTTATACTGGTCACTAGGAAGGTTGTTTTCATCTTAAACGGCAGCTTAGTAGCCTTGAGAATAATCTGATCTCTCCCATTTTATAAGAAACTTATTTTTATTGTCTCATCAACATCAAATGATATTAGGGAGTTTCACAATGACTGTGACAATAAATGGCTTAGAAAGAAAATTCAGTAACAATTTTGATAGGTTTTAAGGAATATATGAGCTAGATAAAAATATATGAGCCATATAGAGATTTGATGCAATTTAAATTAATATCTACCAGTTTTGAAAAATAAAGTTTCTCAGAACCTAATGTAGCTTTCTTCTGCAAAAAAGACGAGGCATATCACCTAAAAAGACCTGTCCCTAACCAACTGTTATCCAAGTAATTAAAAAGAAAAGTGAAAATTTCACCTCTTCATACATGTTAAGCAAAACCAGCCATAATAAAATCCCTGATGAAAGGTGAGTTTTAAAAATAAAAGTGAGACGTAGGTAACAGAATCCTCCAAGAAATACTTAAAAGGTTAGTTTTCCTCAGCCAAAATCATATCAACATTTTCGTATATTTTGGATATTAACCTCAGTACAAATATTAGATTATCAAACATAAAATATAAAAATATTTGGCTAATGGTATAGTAAGGTTTTGTTTCATTTTTAATAGAGTGATTAGCCATTCACAAAAATCAGTCAATATTACTCCTCCATAAATTATGACAAAAAATATACAAACTCTGAATGAAGCATTAATTGGGAAAAGAAAAAAGCTAAATATTTTTATTGTGAAACTAATAAAATAAAAACCTCAGTCTAGTAGAGAATATACACTTTGTGTTGATTAAAATTTTATATCACTATGTTAAACACAGTAATACTGAAAATTGTTATTTTAATTACCTCATTTAATCTCTACATTAACCTTATTTTTATCCCCATTTTAAAAGATATAAACCGATGCTCAGAGTGCTTAAGGAATCTTCCCAAGGTCAAAGAAACAGTAAGTAGCAGAGCTGAATCCAGATTATTTGACCCTGTAAACTAGGTATTTAAGCACTATGCTACACTGCCTCCAGTTATTCATAACTCCCAATAAATATTCAACACTCCCAATAAAACACAGGGCACGATGAGTTATTGATTTCATAACTGCTACTGCAGCATTCAGATACTACTTATTTGGAAAAGTGTTCTGAATACACAATTAATTCAATCCACTATGTAAAAGGTAAATGTTCAAGTCTCATTCAAATGGAGAAGGGGTAGAAAAGGAAGAAAAGTACAAAGTCTATATGGAACATCAATTAATAAAAAATATTATCAGGGTTGTCTTTAAACTTCACAATTACTGAAGGTCCTTATTATCTTGCTGTCATTTCAGCACTCTCAATTGCCTCTTAGAATTTGAAATTTCACTGTTGAAACAAAAGAAACATAAAATATATGTGCATTCTAAAAAATTCTGCCCTTTTGCAATTTATCTTCTACATTTATTACCTGGATCTTCTAACACTCGACTAGAAACTAAAGCAATCCAACTGTATATACAAAATGTAAAACTGGAAATGCCAGAAAATCAACATGACCTTTCAAATATAACATTTTCCACAATCATTTACTTAATACTAGAAAAACATTTTACAGTATTTAAAGCATAATCTTTATGTGTAATACTTTCGGCAAATATAAAAGCAAATACAGAATAAAGTCAACCACATTTTTAAACCAAAACTGCAATTAATTTTAAACTACTACTTTTTCTCCAGTAGTTCATTATCTATCTATTAAAACATTCATAACCATATTAGTGTGCTCTCCGTTTCAAATACAAAGCTGATGTTAACCACTGTACTAGTCACCTCCTGTACCTGGTAGGGACTGCTAGTATAACAAACCCCTCCCCTGACACCAATTTCCCTATATTAGTTTGCTTGAGAACAAAAATATGTATTGGGCAAAGAAATGAGATAAGCCTTCTCTGTAAGCCAGCAAGACCACTCTTGATTAATCCCCAACGTACTGGCCTCAACAGCATGGCTTCTAACCAACCAGAATCCTCAGTCAAAAATACTTTAAACAAAGATAAAAATTAGCTAGAAGATCATGTTACCCTAAAATTAAATTTTATTTGAGAGCAAATGTATAGCCTTTATATTTTCTGATCCAATCACATCTTTGTTAAAAGCAAAAGATATGTAAATCAACACTAATAGGATGTTAGATTTTCCAAGAGAGAATCACACTTCAGATAAACTACTACTCAAAATCTTTTTTATTCCATAATCAAATAGCAATCCTTAAGAATATACCTTTCATTCCCTTTTGACTACTTTAAGTATTTCCAAAAGAAGCTGAACAGAAAATACTTTTCTTCAGACTTTTTTCCGCACATCTCCTAGCAGGAGAGAAAAATTAGCAAAACAAATGAACTCAGAATCATTAAAAGGTGTGGACAGTGTCCATCTTATAGCTTTAATACCTAAGAATTAGGAAGAAAAAGAGATCAAGGAAATAAAGCGACCAACATAATACCTGGCTGAAGGACAAATTCTATACTTAAAATTAAGTATGGCTCTAAAAAAGGATGAGTTTATGTCCTTTGTAGGGACATGGATGAAGCTGGAAATCCATCATTCTGAGCAAACTATCCCAAGGACAGAAACCAAACACCACATGTTCTCACTCATAGGTGTGAACTGAACAATGAGAACACTTGGACACAGGATGGGGAACATCACACACCGGGGCCTGTCGTGGGGTGGGGGGATGGGGTGGGATAGCATTAGGAGATATACCTAATGTAAATGACGAGTTAATGGGTGCAGCACACCAACATGGCACATGTATACACATGTAACAAACCTGCACATTGTGTACATGTACCCTAGAACTTAAAGTATAATAAAAAAAATTAAGTATGGCTCCTACCGACTCTATGAATTCAGTTCATATTTCTTTAATGCAAAGAGAGAAAGAGCAAAGTTACTGAATGAAGAGATAAAAGTGTAAAACATCAACAAAGCAACTAAATTAGATACCTCACCTATCACAGAGAAAATCAACAAGGCCCAATGAATTTATATGTACACATTTACCTTTGGAATAATACGTCATCTGCTTTTTGTATTCTAGACATGTTCTATTCCATTGACTGGGAAAAATCGAAAAGGTGGCCTTTGTAGCAGAGGACAAACAGAACTCAGGCTTAGTGTAACAGAGCAGCAAAATAAGGTGAGAGAAAAGCAGCTGAGAAGGGGAGGTTTACATTCAACATGTATAAAAATAATGTATATTGGCTTTTTTTTTTTCATGAGGGAAGGAAGGTAACTGGCTACCCTAAGAATGAAGCAGAATCAGCATGGCAAGAAACAAAACAGGCAGAAAATTAAAGGATCCCTGAGAATGGTTTATACCCCAAACAAAACAAAAGTGAGACAAAGTAGAAAAAAGACCAAAACCCAAACTAAGACAAAAACCCCAATCCTCTCTCTTACATTGAGAGAAGCAGAATAAGACAACATCAAGAACAAAATATCTGCATCCAGAAGTCAGACTCACACACACACATACTCTCAGAGCAGCAGGAGAACAAAAGGACAACATATTTTACAATATTAAGATAAAACTAGTACAATTATATTTTTAAATATTAATTTTTTTTAAAAAAGAGAAAGAACAGGTTGGTCAGCTCTGCCCATAGATGCTTCCAAAAAACTCCATAGCAGTCATCCTAATGGATGTGAGACACAATTTCACTAGGCCTTTGATATGCATTTCCCTAATGATTAATGATGCTGAGCATCTTTTCATGCCCTTATTGGCCATTTGTATATTTTCTTTGCAGAAATGTCAATTCAAACCATTTGCCCATGTTTTAATCTTGTTGTTTTTTCTTGTAGAGATGTTCGGAGTTTTTTGAGACAGAATCTTGCTCTGTCACCCAGCTGGAGTGCAGCGGCGCAATCTCAGCTCACCGCAACCTCTGCCTCCCAGGTTCAAGCAATTCTCCTGCCTCAGCCTCCTGAGTAGCTGGGATTACAGGCCACCATTCCCAGCTAACTTTTTGTATTTTTAGTAGAGACGGGGTTTCACCATGTTGGCCAGGCTAGTCTTGAACTCCTGAACTCAGGTGATCCACCTGCCCTAGCCTCTCAAATTATATACTGTGGATAGTAACCCCTTATCAGATACATGAACTGCAGGATTCTTTTTAAATTCATTTCTCTATTCCCTAATTTCTCAGAGTTGGCTATATGTAATGCAGAAGTACATTTTGAGTTGAATATATTTCTTCTTTGTTTTTATTTTTTACCTAATACAAAATTTACAATACTCAAAAGAGGAATACAATGGAAAATAACCTCCATCCCTGTTCTTCAGCTACGAAGTTCCAATCCCCAGAGACATTTTTCATCTTCTTATAATTCCCTCCAGAAATATTCTATGCCTATATAAGAAAATACATTTCTTAAGTCTCCTCCAAAATAATCTATTCATTGTTCTGCATTTTCCTTTTTGATTTACTACATCCTGAAGATTATTACATTTCAGTATATATAAACTGCCTTATTTTTAACAACATAAATATTTCATTATATATACTATAATTTATTTATCCAGTCCCCTAAGGATGGGCATTTGTTTCCAGTCATTGCCAAGAGTATCCTTAAATATATGTTATTTCACACAATTACAGGATCTATAGGATACAATCTAGTAGAAAACTTAAATGCTATATATATTTCAAATTTTCCAAACTGACCTCAATGAAAATTGCACAAATCCATACTCCCATTAGCAATGATCACACTTGCCTAGTTCCCTATACCCTCAATGACACATTGTGTTTTCAAAATTTGTTTCTTTGCCAATTAGGTTTTAAAAAAAGGCATCTCATTAGAGTTTTAATTTTGCATTTCTCTTATTATGAAATATTAATACTCTTTGTATCTTTGTCCATTTTTCTATCCAATTGTTGGTCTTCTTCCCATTGAGTTGTTCGTGCTCTTTATATATTTATGAAATCAGCTGTCTTCCTATGATATGAATTGCAAACATTTTTTCCTAGTTTTTCTTTGCTTTTTGATATACTTTGTTTTCTTAATTCTCAAATTTAGGAACAAAAGTACTTCCACTATGTCTTTGTTCAAACTATATTCCTTATTTTGAATGTTCTTCCCTTCCTTCAAAGGTCAATTCAAGTTGATGTCTCTGCTCTCTCCCTAATCACTCAAGATCACCTTGATTCAAAAATTATTTAGTGAGAGCCTACTGCATTATATTTACAAATAAGTAAATCCAGTGAATTTTGTGATATAGTAGCACACAGCAAGGAAAATTTATAGAGGCCACTAAACATTTAAATTGTATCTGAAAAAATGAGAAGATATGATCCAAATTTTAAAAATGAAACAAAGGCCCAGGTAACGAGAACTTATTGTCTATAAATTAGTCTCATTGGGGTACAGAATGCTAATGTTGTAGTGAAAAAGAGAAAAAGCTGAAGAGGCAAGCAGAGCCAGGTAGGATAGGTCTTTTAGGCCAATTTAAGTAAGTTTTTCTTAATCTAAGGGCAACTAGAAGCCACAGAACCATTTTAAGCAGCAGAATGCTGGTCAGAGAAGAATTTTACAAAGACCACTGACTGCAATCTTGAGTTTAACCAGCACTTCAGTGAACAGAGTTGAAACTGATTCAAATATCAAATATACTCTTATTTATTCAATAAGTGAATTTTAAACCACTATGGAATAGAATGCTACAGAAAGGTGAAATAAGGTACTGTGCTGCTCTACTTCCTTAACTGAGGGCTTGGAACAATCACTGTTGCAAGTCAATTTAAACAACCAGACAATCAGACCATGTTAAAGATGAGACCTCTAATAATAAAAAATCATAGTTGATTCTCACTTTATCATAAAATCCAAAACGGACAAGTATGGGCCCAAATTCATGCAGTTCACTCAACAACTGTACTCTTACTTCTCCATTGTAGGCTAAACAAACTGTCATACCCCCCCCCCCTTTTTATCCTGCTTTTTTGCTTGTTTTTTTTTAATTTTTTATTTATTTAGGTTGGGGGAGACAGGGCCTTGTTCTGTCACCCAGGCTGGAGTACAGTGGTGTGATTATGGCTCACTGCAGTCTCAAACTCCTGGGCTCAAGAGATTCCCCTGTCTCAGCCTCCTGAGTAGCTGGGACTACCCATGGGCACCACCACACCAGTCTAATTTTTTTTTTTTTTTTGAGACAGGGTCTCACTGTGTTGCCCAGGCTGGTGTACAGTGGCATGATCACGGCTTACTGCAACCTCTGCCTCCCAGTCTCAAACACTCCTCCCACCTCAGCCTCCCAAGGAGCTGGGACCAGAGGCACATGCCACCACGTCCAGCTAATTTTTTGTATTTTTGGGAGACACAGGGTTTCACCATGTTGTTCACACTGGTCTCAAACTCCCAGACTCAAGTGATCCTCCTGCCTCAGCCTCACAAAGTGCTGGGATTACAGGTGTGAGCCACTGCACCTGGCCCATCCTGCTTTCAACAGATGACATTAAATGTCCAGAAAGAATTCATGAGATGTTATGACCATTGAATTTCCCCACGTTTAGCCTGGGTAGTGAGAAACCAGTTTCAGGGAGAGAATATTATCTATCAGGGAGAGAATATTATCTATCTTGTCACCCAATTCAATCCTCTAAAATGACCTTCTATGTGCTTGCTACAAAAAAAAAGTTCTTCCAAACAAATACATTCAAAAAATAAAGTTTGTTTGACTGCATGCTTCTCTAGAATGCTTTTAAAATTTTCTTCTCCCCATTCTCAATATCATAAATCAGGTAACACCTAACAGGAATTGTCTGTACTATTTCTTATTTGCTGGTGACAATTCCTTTTTGATTCCCCATGTCTACTTTAGGGGTTAGTGGTTTAACAGTCATTCTTACATCTTTTGTCATAGGATATTCCACCGTTCTGTCTTTAGATATATGATACACTTTGAAGTTAACAGAAGAAAGTAAATTAGTATAAATACAAAAAGTTGATATTACAATATAATAAGCATGTCAATGGTACTAACAGGAGATGACAATTACACCTTTATCTCGAAGTAATCACCATCAACCATTCTCAAACTCAGAAGTGTATAGTTTTTTTTATAATTTTAATTCATTATCATGTCACTTACCATTTTTCTCTAAGTATTTTAAACTATAGGGACATTTTGATTGAAACTAGAATTGTATTCAATACAACACCTCCCTCAGGAATTTAACTTTACAAGCCTATTTCTATTCTCTTCCCAAGAATCTTTCCATCTAATTCTACCTTGCCCTCGTGGCTTAACCCATACAGAGACTGGTCATAAGTGCTTTAGAATCTAGCATTTTCTTCCTACAAACAGGAAATAATGTGTCTCTGACACTATCCAAAAATGTGGCAACATAATTTATGCTTTTGGAAGGAAGACTAACATCTCAAGCTGACAACTAGGTAATAAATATGATTAAGACCCAAGCACACAATGAGAATATCCCAAAGGGTATACCTTTCAGAAGAAGACAAGGCTTAATCAGTGAGACATTTTCAGCAAAAAATACAGTCATTTTTTTCTCAGATGCTCCTAAATAACCATCTTTTTGGCAGTATTGACTTGTTAGCCCCAAATCATTATTTCCCTTCTTTACTATTAATCTTCAAAACAAAAAAATTTAAGTCTATGATAGTAACCAAGTCTGACTCATTAACCGAACAATTCCCCACTATTCTCTGAGTTTAAATTCACATAGGATTCTTACAAACAGCTTATGAAGTCCTCAAAAATAACCCATGAAGTATGTGTTATCTCTGCTTTCCCAGAAGGAAAATGAAGTTCACAGACAAAAAGTGACTTGTTCATGTTCACATAGGTAATAACAGAGCTAGCACCTGAATAAAGATCTTACATATCCTTTTCACTATATATCACCACTTTAACATCTGGATATTTATATTTAAAGCCTATTTTTTAACTTTTAATATAGAAGTTTTAACTGAATGTTTAGAGTATTAGCATAATGTAGTCATATACATCAGACAGGTCTCAAAAAATCTTCTAATATGTTGTCATAATCCACATACTCAGACTACAGGATGTCTCTTAAACATGAGAAATAGTAAGATTCTGGCCACGTGTGGTGGCTCACACCTGTAATCCCAGCACTTTGGGAGGCCAAGGCAGGTGGATCATCTGAGGTCAGGAGTTCAAGACCAGCCTGGCCAATATAGTGAGACCTCCATCTCTACTAAAAATACAAAGATTAGCCAGACATGGTAACACATGCCTGTAATCCCAGCTACTTGGGAGGCTGAGGCACGAAAATCACTTGAACTTGGGAGGCAGAAGTTGCAGTGAGCCGAGATCACGTCATAGCACTCCAGCCTGGATGACAGAGCGAGACTCCGTGTCAAAAAAAAAAAAAAAAACATAGTGAGACTCATAAAAAGCACAAGCTAATTCATTTATAAACTGATTCAAACTGCCCTCACATAATAACAGTGCTAAATAGTTATTAATATTTAACAAAACTAAATAATAATTATTCAGTATTTAAATCTGACACTAAAAAAAACTCTTATTCAAGCAACTATTAAACAAATAAGCTCCTGGGAAAATACCAAGATCCTTAGTAAATAATCTGCAATACCAATAAAACTAAAAATAAAGGCCAAAAAGGCTACATACTGTATGATTCTAACTCTATGACATTATGGAAAAGGCAAAAACATTGGAGACAGTGAAAAGATCAGAAGTTACCAGGGGTTAGGAGAAGGGAGGGATGAATAAGCACAACCCAAGATTTTTAGGCAGTGAAAATACTCTGTATACTATAAGCATACATACATGGCATTACACATTTGTCCAAACCCACAAAATGCACTACACCAAGAATGAACCCTAATGTAAACAATGAACTTTGGGGGATAATGATGTGTCCATGTAGTTTCATCAATTGTAGCAAACGTACCATTCTGGTGGGGGATGTTGATCATGCAGGAGAGGCTATGCATGTGTGAGGGCAGGGAGTAAATGGGATATCTCTGTACCTTCCATTCAATTTTACTGTGAACCAAAAGACCCTAAAAAAAAGTCTATTTTAAATAAGGCAAAATATCTGCGGCAATCTTAATCTTCTCCTATCAATTATTACTTCACAGGTCCTCTGTTAACTATTTAGTAGAAAGCATCCTTGGCTGTCAATGCTAACCTTCTGCACAGCTCTTATTTACACACACATTGCTCCTCATAACATCTGCTCTGCCCACTGTAGCCTGCTTATCCTCTAATGGTCATCAGTATACTGAGTCCAAAGACAGGGAAGGAGTCAGGTACAAATGAGATGGAGAAGACAGGTAGTGGGGCTAAGGAAGCAAAGAACTGCTAAAGAGGGAAGTCAGCAGATAAATCTGCAGGAGAAAATCTGCAGCAACAAGGAGAAAAGAATCCTGAGTTGATACAAATTTGTTTATTGGTTTACATAATGGGAAAATCATATGAAATGAAATTATCCTAAAATACAAAACATGATGACATTACAAACATTTCCCTTCTTTAAAAAAAAGTCTTTGCTGTATACAATTCCGTAACTAGAACTTGATAATCTGTTTGCAATGTGTCCCCCAGCGACAAGCAAGATGATTTTTCAAAAGTTGACTGTAAATGCTACATTTTTCAAAGGAAAGATATATAAAAGTGTGTGTGACAAAGACCTATGTCTCAGAATAACTTGGAAAAAAGTACAAATATTAAATTTTTATGATTTATTGCCTGAAAGAAAGTTGTACACTTTTATATTCTGGGTATTCTTAATCTAAGAAGTCAAGAACATACTATGTATTACCAAACTGGGCAAGAGTTCAATGAGATTCTGAAAGTTATACCTAACGTACTATGTATTACCAAAAACATACAATATGTTTAGTAACAAATAGTATGTTAGGTATGTTAGGTATGACTGTTAGAGGTGTGTGTGTGTGTGTGTGTGTGTGTGTGTGTGTGTGGTCACTTGCTTGCTTTGGTCATCGGTGAGGAAGCCAGGCTAAGCAACTAACAAAGAGTCCAAATATCTGAGTCATTTATGAGAGGCTAAGGGCTCCAGTGGCAAATCAGGGACCTATAAGACAGGCTCAAAGATGGTTCTGGCAGGATCCACCACCACCATCACTACCACCTCAGCAAAATACAACCTTCTTCATCTGAAGTTTCAGGGAAGCACAAAGGCTCGAGTTCTGCCAGCAGTCCAGCTCAGTAAACACTGATTAAGCACCAGTGAAGTACAAAGCATTAGGTTAAAGGTGATAAAAGACACTGAATAGGAGGAAATATAGCCCCTACTACCTTAAGAATTTTCCAGTAAAAAATATGGTAAGACTATAATCCAGGCAAGGTAGAGCAAGTACTAAAAGAGAAATACAAAGAAGGCATTCAGAGGTTTCCTCAAGGAGATGCTCTAGAATGAAACCTGAGGCTATTACTCAGATGACCAACAAGTTCATGCTATAGCCACTGCTCGTTTATAATTTTCTCCCATTCAATGTACTACTTCTACACCAGAGATGTGAGAAACTTGAAAAAGGCTATTTTGTTCTAGCTGATTATTAAAGGGGGAGAATTCTTGAATATAAAGTAAGATATAAGGTAAAGCAAGCAGGAAAGGATTTGGAGCAAGGTGTGTCATAATGCTAACATGGCACAAAGCAAAATAATTCAACTTCCATTCAGTTTTACTGGTCAAAAGGAATAGCATCATTTTTGTTTTGTTTTGTTTTGTTTTGAGACAGAGTCTCACTCTGTCACCCAGCCTGGAGTGCACGGGCACAATCTCTGCCCACTGCAACTTCCACCTCCAGGGTTCAAGAGATCCTCCTGCCTCAGCCTCCTGAGGACCTGGCATCACAGGCATGTATCATCACACCCGGCTAATTTTTGTATTTTTAGTAGAGACAGAGTTTCACTATGTTGGCCAGGCTGTTCTCAAACTCCTGACCTCAAGTGATCCACCTGCCTCGGCCTCCCAAAGTGCTGGGATTACAGGTGTGAGCCACCATCACTTCTATAACACATTTATATGCTGCTTTAATGGTTTACAAAGGACTCTCACATAAATGCTTACAATGAAACTCAAAGCAATCCTATGTCAGGTAGAGACTGTTATCCTCTCAGAGAGCCTACCCTCACAAGACAGTCCACAATGATCCTTGCCTCATGTCCTTGTGTAATCCACTCCCATACTGAATCAGGGCTGGTCTGTAGAACCAATTGAATACATCTGAAATGATGGTGTATGACTTCCACAGGTAAGTCATAAAGGGCACTGCAGTTTCTACTTTGGCAGCTTGAATCTCGGGAAAGTCATCTGCCATCTCATGAGAATAGTCCCACGGCAAGCCCATTGTGGAAAGGAACCAACCTGCCAACACCAACTGGCCAGCCAAGTGAGTAAGCCACCTTGGAAGTGAATCTTTTAGCTCCAGTGATGCTCCTATAAAACTTCCACTCCTGCTGATATCTGACAGCAACCTCCAGAGAACCAAGCAAGGACCCTCAAATTGCTGACCCACAGCAACCATGAGATAACAAACAATCATTGTTGTTTTCAGCCACTAAGGTTTTCATGTTACAAAACAACAGAGAACCCAATTTTACATATGAGGCTCAGAGAGGTTAATTTACCAATTATCATATAGGAATGAGTAGAGAAAACAGATCTGGAACCCAGTCTTTAGGCTTTAGGTTCAATTTGTCATTAAACAATACCACTTTCTTCTCAACTAAAATAAGGTATAATACTGTAAGGATGATCATTCCTACACGATTATATGACTGATACTAGTATGTCAAGCTTCCTACAGTACAGAGACACAGTATATGTCCCTGCATTCTTAACGAATATAATGGGAATCTCCAAAATAAGTCCATTTGTGGTGCTCCATTGTGCTCTGTGGAGTTGTTACTATTTTCTGGAAAATGGCTATTTTTAATGTGCATATCATGAAAATAAACACTTAACACATTTAGAGAATTTTAATACTAAAATATTACTGACACTGAGACTACACACTTAAATCTTAATTACAATAAGCATCTGTGTAATTTTAAACAATTAGAATATATCAGACAGGAAATGCTCAACTGCTATTTCTTTAAGGTTCTGCATTTTGGCTTTAGGTCTTCAACCTTGTAGCATTACACAAATGTAGTAAAATATATCATCAAAATGCTCGTGATGGTAAAATATTAAATCAAAATCCATAAAGTAGTTCCTATCTTACAGGACAAGGTAGCCAGCTCTTAAGCCTGTCCACTTCTGGAGAAGGTCAAGAGAACATTTTATTGTTATAATCACATCTGCATATAATGTTCCTTCACACAAATCTCCTCTTTTGAGCCATATAACTTTGCAAAACAGGTAGGCAGGACGGGTATACTACCATCCTATTTTTCAATGATGGCCTTAGAGAAGTCTCAGTAACTTAACTAAGGATACGTAACTATTAAAAGGAATTCAAGAATCTAATCTACAATTTTTTAGCTCCAAATCCCAGCCTTTTCTTCTAAGCCATGTTTTAGCCCAGTGGTTCTCCACCCTGACTGCCATGAGGACACCTAAGATGCTTTGAAAATATCACTGCCTGGACCTCATCCCCCAGATACTTGATATAATTGCACTGGTTTGTGTTAGCTGTCTAATATATAATAAACCAGTGTTGGTAAATTCACAGAAAGTTTATATCACAAGGGAGAAAATGCTGATACGTCTATATGTAAACTGAAACATATTAACCCCCTAAGAACTCCCTCAAACACAAAAATATCTTGCAATAAAATCACGCAGAACAAGAAGAAAGGGAAGATGAGAAACCCAAGCCCCTTCTGCTGCTATCGTGGGGCCATTAAGGAATATTTTATTCCCCTAATCTTACTCCCCGAACCTCACCATGCCATATCTCAAGCTATAGCTCAGGTATCACCTTTTGTGAGACCTTCAGGATCACAAAAATAATGAAGTCCATTTTTTGCATCTATCTTACCTTGAACTCTATCATAGCACATATTGTCCCTCAAAGCATTGCTTTATTTTTATTTTATTATTATTATTATTATTATTTGAGATGGAGTCTTGCTCTGTCACCCAGGCTGGAGTGCAGTACCACATTCTCGGCTCACTGCAACCTCCACCTCCTGGGTTCAAGTGATTCTCCTGCCTCAGCCTCTGGGATTACAGGTACATGCCAGCATGCCTGACTAATTTTTGTATTTTTAGTAGAGACGGGGTTTTGCCATATTGGCCAGGCTAGTCTCGAACTCCTGACCTCTGGTGATCCACCCACCTCAGCCTCCCAAAGTACTGGTGCTGCTTTATTTATATATCCATTTTTCTCACTGCCCTGAGGGGTCCTTAACCCATTTATGCTGGAGGTTGCAAATTTTTTTTGTGAAAAATCAGGCCTTGGCGATGACCTTGAGAAGTAGGATATAAATAACTCCCACTAGCTTAGCGCTCCAATAATGGAGCACTAGGCATAAATGCATTAAGATCAGATCCCTATGTTACTCATCCTTCCTGCCATATATATCTTTGTATCCAGGGCCTTTACCATAGCAGATATTAATACATGTTGGCTATGCTGAATGATTTTTATGTTTGTTATCATTATTTCCTCCATTCTCCTAGCAGACACTCCTGTGAAATTTTTCAACTTTTAATAAAGGAAAATGGAGTTTTTACGCACAACTGGATTAGGTTAGAGAATAATGTATGCAAAAGGGCCAGACGTAGTGAGAGCAAGACAGCAGTGAACTGTGGGGCAGGAAAGAATAGAGTAGAAAGGACATTTAAAATTCATATCTGACAGTTGGGGTCAGATATGAATTTTGCAAGCCGGGAAGGAGTAGGCAAACAAAGCGACAACCTAATCTTCATTCACAAAAAAAAAAATATGACAAGCAAGGAATCAGGCAACTGTATTTTCAACATCTCCCTTTCTATGGTGTTTCTAACTCACAGCATACAGACATGTTGTTTCTCTCTCAAAAAATAAAATCTGAAGCAGTGATATGATTTCACTATGTATTTGACTTTTTTTTAAGATTCCACATGTGAGATAATACAATATTTTTCTTTCTGCATTTGGCTTACTTCACTTAGCATAATGTCCCCTAGGTTTACCTATCTTATGGCAAAAAGCAGAATCTATTTCTTTTTTAAGGCTGAATAATATTCCATTCTATATATGTACTGCAGTTTGATTTTCTGTTGTCTTTTGTTGGACAGTTAGGTTGTTTCCATATATTCACACCCATCAAGATGGCTACTACCAAATAAAACAAGAGATAAGTGTTGGCGAGGGTGGGAGAAAAGAGAACCCTTGTATACTATTGGTACAACCATTATGGAAAAAGTAGGGAGGTTCCTAAAGAAATTAAAAATAGAACTACCATTACTTCTATTTTGTACCAATTAGCCATCCCTCTTCTGTGTGCATGTATATATATATATATATACATACCCAAAGAAAATGAAACCGCAACCTTGTAAAGATATCAGTCGGAATTTTTAAAAGCTCTCTAGGGGATTCTAATATGTGTGCATACAGAGATGGAGAATAAAACAGTGATCCCAGGGGAGGGGGAAGGAAATTGAGATGTAGGTCAAAGGACACAAAGTAGCAGCCATGTATAATGAAAGAGTTTGGGAACTCATGTACAGCATCAGTACTATATAATACTGTATTGTATTCCTGACTTTTGCTAAATGAGTAGATTTTAGCTACTCTTGTCATACACACAAAAATGGATAACTATGTAAGATGATGGATGTTACTATGTCTCACTACAGTAACCATTTTACTATTTACATGTATTCCATAACATGTTATTTTCCTTAAATATACACAATAAAATGTATTAAGTAAATACCCTGACTGAAGAACAATTATCTCCTAAGAGGGACCCAAGCATATCTACTCTCTATTCTCATGTCCAGCCCCCTTCAGCCTCATCTCCTATTCAGTCCTTTACCCACAGCACGATAGCTTTACCTCCACCACTACAATGAAACCAGTGACTTCTAACAGTCATTGATGATTGTAACTTTACAATCATCATCATACTTAATGGCCACTCTCCTTCAGCATCTTTACATCTTTCTCTTTTATGGTTTCTCCTTTAAATTTTTACATTCTCTAAGACTAATTTTTAGCCCTTTTCTCTTCTCTTTCTATACAATTCCTCTATGTACTTTTATCCGTATCTATGGATACTTCAGTTACTCTCCATATGGTAAGAACACACAAATCTGTTTCTCCAGCCTTTGCAATCTCTTGTGATGTTCCAGGATCCTATATCCAACTGCCTTCTAGACATCTCACACTTGCCAATGATATGCCCTGCGAGCATGTTAAACACAGGTCCAAAGTTGAACTCATTCTCTTCTCCCTCATACCTTCTTCCTCTTCTCTTTTCCCACTCACAACCCAGAAACCTAGGAAGCATTCTAACATTCTCCCTCTCCCATATCTTTTACATTCAAACAGTCACAAAGACCAGCAAATTCTCCCTCATCTTACTTTTCCTAAACATTCTCACTTCTCTATTCCCACTACTTCCACCTTTATCTAAGCTTTCAACCTCTCTTATCCCTACTGATGTACTGTCCTTGAAAGCTTCCAGTCTTGCCATGACCCCACACCCAACCCCACTCTACCCTCAATCTACCCAGCACACTGCTTTCAGTGATCTTCCATGACACTCACAATTCTTCAGTGGCTCACTACTACACATGGTATAAGAAGTGTACCCTGAACTGGCTATCCAGTTTCATCTAGGAAGTGTACCCTGAACTGGCTAACCAGTTTCATCTCCTTTCACTCCTGACCTTGTCCTTCACACTCTAATATAACTGACCTACATATAGTTCCCAGTATACACTATGTTCTCGTAATGCCACACAACTACTCATGCTGTTAGCTTTACCTAGAAATGCTTTCTATTGCTTGTCAACATGCCCACTCCTACTCAGTTTTCAAGTCTCAGCTCAAACACAACCACTACTAAAACCCTTACCTGGTATTGCAGGCAGAGATCAAGAGCTCTTGCTAGATTTCATTTGTACTTGTACCTACCTCTGTTATAGCAAATAGCATACAGTATTTGAACTATTGGTCAAGATATCTGTAGTCCTACAGACTATAAGATCCTTGGTCAAAGATGACTTTTCATCTTTATATCCTCCTAACTAGTTCAATTCACACAGTCACTAGTTCCATGTACATTACTAGCTCAATGCAGATAGATATACTAAAAAAAGGAGGGGCGAGGTTAATGAATAAGGTACGAGTCAATGAAAGAACAAGAAAATCAACTGGACTTTGAGTATAGAAAAAAAAACACCAGATCTTAAGAACGTACAGACATCTTTAGTACAGACATCTGTTACTGTAGTACAGATATCCATTACTAAGTCCTAACCATTAAAAAAAATAGAAAAATATGGTTATTCAGGTAGTATGAAGATGACAAAGAAAAAAACTTATTATTGGACTAAGTAGACATTAAGAAGGTAAGAGTTTCCAGCGGAACAGTTGACAAAGATCAACAGAGAAGCCAGAGAAAAAGATGGTTCTTTCTAGGAAACAAGTAATTCATTGATCTAAATTCATGGACTGAGCAAAAGACTGCCACCTTTCTCTCAGTTCACAACCCCTCTCCTTTGTCATTATTCTGCATGACCCCTTCTGAGTCCTCACTACCAAATCCCCAATACCATGGGTAGTTCCCCTCCAATGGAGCCACAGGTCCAGGCCAGTGACTTAATCTGGATGCAAGGGCAAGGGATAGAAGGGTATCTTTGTTCTTGTGTCTAGGACTTTGAGGAAAAATGAAACAACTATTTACTGAGAATTTATTTTACGGCAGATTCTGTGCCACATTACACTCACTCACTGAATTTCACAGTAATCATAAGTAATTATCCCATTTATAGATGAGGAATTTGTGTCCAAGGTCAACAGTTAAGCAATAACAGGCCCTGCCTGAAAACCTAAGAATGACAACCTCCAGAGCTTTTTCTATACCCCTCACTACCTCAAAATGGAGGGAGACGTGGTCCAGCCATTCTAGGTTGGCACTCAGGAGACACTTACCTCCAAAACACTATTATATATGTTGATTAGAGTCTACAGTACCACTAATATATAATAAGCACACAATGAGTTTAAAAAGCTTTCCTTAGTACCTTTAGGAAAGTAAGTACTAGATTTCCTGGGGTTCTGATCTGGAAATCTAAATGCTATTTATTCCTATAAGTACATTGTTAACTTTACAAACAACAGACTTGAAAATGAACTTGTGGAATACAATGGGTTCTTAAGTAAGGCTTTTCTTTAAGAATATTTTCTTGCTTCCACAAAAAATACAAAAGCCACCAAAGATAGAATGATTTTGCCTTGTTAACTTGTAAGAACAATGACACTAGAAGAAACCTATGGGAAATGTGCTTATCTGACCAGGTGCTCATTTTCGGTGGGCTGTCATTTGACTAAAACATCATACTAAACCCTACAGACCACAGCTTATGAGAGAAATGCCACAAACTATAGCAGTACAGTTAATATGCCTATAATCTACTGACAAAACATACTCCTCAGTAAAGTGAAACCAGATGTCTGGTGTGAAATCAGATGTCTGTGAACTTGTCTTTCTCAGTTTCCAGAGCAGTATCAGATATACTAAATACACAGCTAAGCTGTATATTAAATCCACAACTTGGCAAAATCATGACAGTTTGGACATGAAGCATCAGCATTTTTATTGTAATCCTTATAAACCAAAGACATTTCCAAAATGGAAATCCTAAGTTTAAGTACTCAGCTAAATACAGTAATATGTCTTTCTCACTTTAAGAATAGTGTCAGGGCTTTTTAAACACATTATAGAAATTCTTTCCCTTCATTTTTCAAGCTGACACTCTTTATCCAAGGCTGTGGAATGATCTGATAAGGCCACATCAGGTGTCAGTCCTCGTCCCAGAAATTCTAGGATCAGATACACCAGGTGAACCCCTGTGAAAAGCAAATCCCAGGGAGGCTTAACAGCTATAGGAAAGTTAGGCACTACATGGCTTTCCACAATCAAAAGGAAGATCATAGGAAAGTAATGGGTGACCACATAGAAAAACAGGGAGGGAAATTTAAAAGTAAGTACTTCTATGCCAGGCACTGTTTTTTCACACATTCTTTTATATATACTCTTTGTTCTGTTTTGATGGATAAGAAATCAAGCAGCAGAGAAATTTTAATGGCCCAAAGTGACACAGCTAATAAAATAAGAGCCAGAAATCAAGCTCATGTCCAAAAGACTGTAAAAGTCATGCTACTTCTACATGAAGTTGTGGGGTGGAGTGAGGAGGGGTGGTAAATAGCCAAGAAGAAGGAGAAAAAGAAAGAAATTTACAATTTTATCAAATAACAGTGAAATATATATATATAAAACATGTATTATGTTCCACATATGTTCCATATATAATACGCAGTTAAGATGTATACATGTTTAACATATACTTAAGCTGCATATTTAGTATGTGTATATATGGAACAAAAAGTTGAAGAAACAAGTATCAAATTGTTAAGTGGTCATCTGAAAGTGGACTCATAGGAAACTCACTTATTGCCTTTTATACCCTCCCAGATTTAATTCTAAATAACTTTTTTTTGACTTTTTATTACTCTTATAACCAGAAAAAGACAAAGAACTATTCTAGCTTAGATCTTTTAAATGAGGCTAAATGCACAGAAACCCATGCAAGTTAAAAATGGTCTACTTTCGAATTTATTTTTCTAAGTACATCATCCTTTACACTCTCCATGATTCCTAATATTAGGTCCTTCTTATGGAACAACTACAAAAGTTATCCTCATCTAATTATTATACTCGTACACTGGAAAATGACTATAACATTATTCATTATAGGAAACAAATCATCAAGGTCAGCCATCCTTGTAAGTTTATTACTGAAAGTACTAGAAAGGCGGAATAATAATTCTGTTCTCCCACAACACTGTATAGACCTGCAAACCACTATGATCAGTAGTACAGGGAAAGTCTTGTAAATTAACATGTAACTATTGAGAAAATCCACAAAACTGGTGAAAGGCCTACCCCAAAACAGCCATCTCCAATACAATCTCATCATTCTCACCATCCTACTTTTATCAAAGTGCTGATAAAAGTGCGTAGCACATGGTAAGAGAGAATTAGCTATTGAATCAATGAAGGAACCCATTATCAATAAACAATCACTTCCTGTTTTCCATAAATTATGTGGTCACCTATCACTTGAGCACAAACAAATAGGCACGTTCAGGACACAGGCAGCCAGTATCAGAATAGGCAGCCTATCACAGAGGGCAATTCTACTTTTCCTGTGTAAGAATCCAAGAATGCAGTTTTACTACATTCCTGCTTGTAGCTAATCTGAATTTCAACTAATTTAAAACGGTTATTTATATGTGACATATAGGATGCATAATGAGCTCCCAACCTTGTGAGAGGAGCTGTGTTTCATTTCACCATACAGGGGAGAGGGAAGCAGTGTATTAAAGAAGTGATAGAAAAGTCCCACAGAAGAACCAATGAAATAGACCACACTGAAAATCACAGTAAGCCTCAGAGAACTTCAGTGTCCTTTTTGGCAACTTTTCAAAAGTGAATGGAATGCTTGCCAGGAGGTACCAAGAGTGAAAGCCCAGAGAAAAAGGCCCAGCCTGGTCATCTCTCTCCCCTCAAAACATCTTCTTCTGTAAGCTTGAGAGATCCCAAAGAACTTCAACACTTGTAATCTTGTTACTAACTTTATGCTTTGGGGTCCTAAAGGATTTTTTCAGGAGTACCCTTTTAAAATGTAAACATCCCTAGGGGGGTTACTGTTCATTATCAAACAGGACCTGGATTCTTTAGTGCTATGGTCTCAGGGATTAGTCAAAGCTGGCTAATAAGATAGGGGCCGGAGACAGACAACTAGAGAGGACCAATGTTCCAAGGTAAAAACAGGTAAAGGGGAAGTGCAGTTTTCTGTCGGGTCAAGGGGCTAAAAGGGATCCACATGCCCAAGCTGTTAAACTCTATAGACTGTGTGAGGCTGAAAACAGTCCGGGGCCTGGAGCCTGTGACTTTGAAGGTGGGTCCTCCAGTTCCCGATGAAAAGGTAGAATCTGGGCCCAAGTTCCCCACGAGCAGTTCTGGACATCTAGCCCTTCTCTCTCTCGCTCGCTCTCAGGATAAAGTCCTAGGTCCTTCCACCCCTGACCATTCCTTACTTACCCTTTCTCCCGCTCTTCCTCGGTGAGAAGGGGTAAGTGGTTATTTTGTGCCCTCGCCCAATTTGGCCAAAACCCTAAAAGTAAAAAACGACAGACAGACACGTGCTTTAAAATCATGTTGTTCAAGCCTGACGCTCTCCCACCACCTGCCCAACACTTCCAGGCAGAAGGCAGCGCGCCCCCACAGCGCTCCCTCACGGCCAGAGCCGGGGGCCGGACTAGGCCCCTTTGTGAGGACTGGGAGAGGGCGCGTTGTTGGGGCGCCGGCTCGGCGGGGAGGAGCGGGCCAGCTCCGGGCCAGGTGTGCCGCCTGTGGCGCCGGTTTCTCAACCTAGTTAGCCAGTGGCACCAAGAAGAGGACTAGGCTGGGGTGGCCGCCGCACGCGCCTCAGATAAACACGCGCACGCACACATGCTCGCGATCACGCAGGACTCGCGGCCGCGCACCCCTCCGCCTCCCGGCAACGCCCGCCCCGCCGGGGCCGGGGCCGACTCCCAGGGAAGGGTCCCCAGCCCAAGAGACCACCAAGGGTCGGCGGCTACGCGCCCGCCGACCCCTGCCAGCCTCACAGCCCCCCACCCGCCGCCGGACGCCGGGCGCCCGCCCTCCGCACCCGCTGCGCAGCTCAGCCCGGGGGAAGTCCCCGCGCAGACCCCGCCCTCCGCCGGCGGCAAGCTCCGCCCCGCTGCCCCGTCGCGCGCTGGCCGCCCGAAGCTCCGCCCCCGGCGGAAAACTGGTCTCTGGACCGCCCGCCCAGGTCGGGCTCAAAATGCGGCGTGGATCTGAAAGGATCAAACACAACACTAATTCAGCAAGCTATTATTGAGCACTTGCCCTAAGCTCAGCAACGTACTAATGGGGGAGACTACAATAAAGAGCCGAAAAGTCTATGAAACTGTGTCTTCAGCTCTTCCTCTTGTTTTAGAAGCCAGGAAACAGAGAACCCTCACAGTTACTTAAGTACAGGGCAGTAGTGGCAAAGCACCTCACTAGCGATCTCTGGGCAACTCTTCATTTCATTTTTTCCTACTCATGAGCACTCAGGAAAACTATTCAGTTTTGCTGCCTCCAGGTAAAACAAAGTGAGTAACACAGGACAGGCGGTTTACTTGAGAGAAACGGGAATTTCATACTGAAGCTTTTGCCCTCAAATGGTACAAACTCTTTTTTTTTTTTTCCTGAGACGGAGTCTCGCTCTGTCGCCAGAGCGACACTGCAATCTCCGCCTCCCGGGTTCACGCCATTCTCCTGCCTCAGCCTCCCTAGTAGCCGGGACTACAGGCCCCCGCCACCATGCCCGGCTAATCTTCTTGTATTTTTAGTAGAGATGGGATTTCACCGTGTTAGCAAAGATGGTCTCCATCTCCTGACCTCGTGATCCGCTCACCTAGGCCTCCCAAAGTGCTAGGATTACAGGCGTGAGCCACTGCGCCCGGCCGAATGGTACAAACTCTTAACTGGGTTATTACAACCTACAAAGAAACCTTCTTATCCATGTTATTAATTATCCTAATTCAATGTGGTTTAAAATGTTGATGAAAGTACCCAAATCATGGTGCTCCAACAAGCTGGATGCCAACCAGGTACTCGTAAGTACTTGCAATTACAGGTGCGATATTTTCATTCCATATCATCCCAAGATGCCCTTCCTTCACGTGAAGCAGCCAGAAAGATCAACTACCAGATTCCGCATGATTGAGGAATTGATAAATAGAAAGGGAAGACCGAAACCGGCCAAATTTTCCCTTCGAAGTGAAACTTGAGAAACTTGCGTGCATTTTACCTGAGTTCCTTTCTCAGCAGATAAACTGTCAGACCTCCCAGATAGTGTCAAGGAAATGCAACTTTCCAGAACACTACATCTGGACAATGAGGTGCATCTGCTGCCTGTTCACAAACTCCTCTTCCTTACCCCTCCATAATTCCCTGCTATAGAAAGCCCTAACTTTAGTCTCCCTAAGACATGTTTGAGACTGGTCTCCCTGCCAGCATCACCTGCATTAAAGCCTGTCTTCCCTGGCAATACTCGTTGTCTCAGGGACTGGTTTTCTTTGCTAGGAGCAACCCAACCTAGGCTGAAGCCCAGGCATTTAGCAGCAGTGGCACCTAGAAATACTGAACAGACATAAAATACTTTTTTTCTCCTTTTCTTACTCCTCCAGTTGTATCTTCATTATTTCTGTCTCTATTCTCCCTCTAGATACTGCCAAACTACTCTGTGCACTTTCAGATCACTTAATACTAATGTAAATAACAGACATTCTGGCACTCTTGGTTCAAAATTTATTCTAAAGGTTTAAGAATCTACTCAGGGTCTTAAATAGCCTGATAACTAAAATTCCAAGAGTTTCCTAAAGAGAGCAAAATTGCTCTCCTGTGAAGGGGATATGTCCCAGTTTTTCTTACTTGTCACTGAAATAATTACTGCAAAGTAAGCTCTTTTCGGCCAGTGCTTAAGGACTTAATTTCAAGAGCACTTAGGTGACAGGACCACCCTCATCAAATAGCAGTCAAGAACTATTTGGTACCATGACCCCAAATTGAATGGAGCTCCTGGTCACTAGGAACTGACAGTCTGGGATGGAATGTAGGTGAATAAACAACAAAGACAGGTGTTTATGGCCTTTATTGTATTGGGAAGTCAATAAACATACAAAAAGAGTTGCTAGGTCTGGCCTGATTTTATCACTAAGATTCATCAAGTGTACTTAAAAAGAAGCTAATATCTGGAAAGGGCAGAACTATGGTATATTAGTCAGGGTTTCCTAGAGGGACAGAACCAATAGGATAGACATATAAATATAAAGAGGAGTTTATTAAGTATTAACTTACATGATGACAAAGTCCCACAATAGGCTGTCTGCAAGCTTGAGGAGCAAGAGAGCCAGTCCGAGTCTCAAAATTGAAGAACTTTGAATCCGATGTTTGAGGGCAGTAAGCGTCCAGCACAGGAGAAAGCTGTAGGCTGAGAGACTAGGCCAGTCTCTCCTTTTCATGTTTTTCTGCCTGCTTTATATTCACTGGCAGCTTATTAGATGGTGCCCACCCAATTAAAGGTGGGTCTGCCTTTCCCAGCCCACTGACTCAAATGTTAATCTCCTTGGCAACACCCTCATAGACACACCCAGGATCAATACTTTCTATCCTTCAATACATTCAAGCTGACACTCAGTATTAACCATCACATATGGAGACAGTAAAAAGATCAGTGATTGCCAGAGGTCACAGAGGAGGGGGATATGAAGCACAGATTTTTAGGGCAGTGAAACTATTCTGTATGATATGATAATGGTGATGCATGTCATTATACATTTGTCCAAACCCATAAAATATACAACCCAAAGAGGGAGCCTTAATATAAAATCTCAACTTTGGGTGATAATGATGTCAATGTAAGTTCATCAATTGTAACAAATATACTGCTCTGGTACAGGATATTCATAGTCAGGGAGGCTGTGCAGATGTGGGGTACAGGAATATATAGGAACCCTATACTTCCTGCTCAATTTTGCTCTGAACCTGAAACTGATCTTTGGGAGAAAAAAGTTTATGAGAAAAAGAAGCAGCAGTTAGAGCATCCTATTTTATTCTAATTTATCAATTAAATTCTAAGCTGAATATTTGGCTTTATGTATCTAGTTCAAATATATTTGCCTTGTCTCCTTATATATTAAAGCAGACCTCTATTTGTTGTTAATACCATCAGGGGAAAATGAATCATAAAGTCCTAACTAAGGTACAAATTTAAACTATAGTTAGGCATCAAATCTAATGGTCAAAGAGATATTTAAACAAAGTTAAAATAATTAAGTTTACAGATTCCACAAATATAGATATTAAAATATATTCCTATCTATACATACTTACCATTGGTAAGCAAATAATAGAAGGTATCATAGAGTAGCAGTTCTCAAACTACTTTTTGATCTCAAGTTCTCTTTACATTCTTAAAAATGATTGAGAACTTTAAAGAGCTGTTGTTTATGTGGGTTATATATGTCCATATTTACTGTATTAAAATTTAAGATAGAAAAATGTTAGACATGTGTTTGCTTAATTTAAACCCATTACATGTTACTGTAAAAGTTATTTTTATAAATAATGACTACTTTTTTTCCAAAAAATTAGAGAAAAGTGGCATTTTTAACATTTTATAAATCTCTTATTATCTGGCTTAAGGAGAGCACTGGATTCTCATATTCTGCCTCTGCATTCAGGCTGTTGTGATATGTTGTTATACCTAAGATATGAAGAAAATTAACTGTCATACGAATTCATAGTTGAAAAAGAGAGGACCTTACAAAGCTCCGGGAAGGGTTTCAGTAACCCCTAGGTGTTCTCAAACCTCACTTGGAGAATTACTGCCAAATGGCCTTTTGCATTTCATTTGTTTGAATGTCATATATTTCCACACAGGCTTCTGTTAACACCTGAAATTATAGCCCTTTACTTATTTCAAGCTAAAACTCATATTTGTCAGCTCATATCAAACCATGACATTTCAATAAAGTTTTTAAAAGCTTTTACTATAGCAACTCTGATGAAATTGATATTATTATTTGAATTGATATGAAAACACTTGAGATTTCATTTATATCCTTCATCTCAAACGTTTTGGAAAATTTTGAATATAAATTGTACCATCTGGAAAAAATGTAAGATTGGTATATAGTTATTAATCCAATTTTAGGTATGCTTATAACAAGGTATATCCCCTTTTATAAAAATAATTTAAAAGCGAGCTTAAAACAAAAACAAAACAAGCAATTACAGTTTTATTTATGAACTAAATACTTGATTCTAAACTTACTACCTTGGAATAAAATTTTAAATATATAACCTTTCATTTTTATTACAAATAAAAATAATGTAAATCATCCAGTTTGGGGTTTTTTAATACAATTTCCAACTAAAAGAAACTAGAGCTGACCAACCAAATGTCTGACTTCAGATCTGGGTCAGGTTATACACAAGATGAGCATAGGATAACTTGTCCCACAAAGCCGGGAATCCATTAACAACAAAATGTGTCAAAGGGACACAGAAACCAATATCAAATAGCTCCTTTGGCCAAAGATGGACAATTTAAGCATCAAAAAAAGTAATGGATGCAGTTGTTAGAAACATACTGAATATATAAAAATTCATGAGTTCTTAATGATGTTCCAAAAAGGGGAGGTCAATAAAAGGAAAAAAAAAATCCACTGGACACTATTGCAAGTAGCTAGCATTAAGCCCTTATTCTAAAATTGTCCATTAAAAGAAAATAATTCAAATTTTCTGATGTATCTTTCCTGATTAAACTATATATCAGAAAACCAAATTGGTGTTGAGGGAAAGTTGTTTTTTATAATAAATATGAAACAACAGAATTGGAAACCCACCATTTAGCAATCTTGCATTTAATAAATGATTCAGGCAACCATCATCAATGGATCAAACCAACAGATGAAATGTTCATGAGGAACTTCACAATGGAGATCAGACCGTCACTACCTCAGCCTAATAATCTGTCATTACAAGTGGGACTCCAGACATTGTGTGCTTCCTGATCTAATGCCATCTGAAGCACTCAGCACAACTATGAAATGTTATCACCCAAAAAACATGAATGGGATCTAATCAAGCCTTAAAACTGACTTCTCACTTACAGGCTTACAAAAAACATGAGGGTTACAGGAATAAGTTAAATGACACCACAAAGAGGCTGGGCGCAGTGGCTCGCACCTATAATCCCAGCACTTTGGGAGGTCGAGGAAGGTGGATCACTTGGGGCCAGGAGTTCAAGACCACCCTGGGTAACATGGTGAAACCCTGTCTCTACTAAAAATAAACAATGAGCCAGGCATGGTGGTGCGTGCCTATAATCCCAGCTACTCAGGAGGCTGAGGCAGGAGAATCGCTTGAACCCGGGAAGCGGAGGTTACAGTGAGCCAAGATGGCACCACTGCACTCCAGCCTGGATGACAGGGTGAGACCCTGTCTCAAAAAAAAAGAAAAAAAGATGCCACAAAGAAGGAAACAGGTAAATCTAGAATGGAGTAGAATGGAGGACACTCTCTAGGACAATTGATGTAGTCTCTACAACAAGTTAATAACTGGACACACAGGAGAGGGAATGGGTCAGGAGAAGCCTAGGTTAAAAAAAATACAGCCATGAAATGTAAGATGTGAACCTTTATTTGGATCCTGATTGAAACATCACAACTATAAAGACTTGTAAGACAATCACGGACATTTAACTATGGACTGGTGTTAGATGATACCAAAGAAATATTATTTTATTAGGTGTAATAATGGCATTGTGATTATGTAAGAAAATGTCCATAATTTTTGGAGAGGCATTCTGAAGTATGTTGAAGTTAAATGACATACTCTCTGGAATTTACTTTATACTTCAACATAAAAAAAAAGAAGGAAGAAAAAGAGATAGCATAAATAAGAAAATAAAATGGATAATTATTGAATCTAGATGATGAGGGGAGTTCTTTGTACTTTTCCATGGTTTTCGTATATGTATGAAATTTTGTATAATGAATATTTAAAAATATAAGTGACGGCCGTAGCTCAGATTTTCTAGAAAACAGTGCCTGAGACAAGCTCACATGTTAAAATTTTCTTGGGGGTTGCAGTACTAGAAAAGCAATAATGAAGGAAAAGGGAGAACAGAGGCAGGGACAGAGGGAGGAAGATCCATGGTGGTATGTTTCCAAGCTGATTATAGCATCCCAGTACATGCAGTTGGTTGCTTAGTCACACAGGACATCTCAAGAAGGCTGTGTGAAACCACTGGGTAACAATCCTCCCTCAGGAGGGGAAAGGTTAAGGCACTTTTTTTAACTGGATCCTTCCTGCCTTCTGTCTCTCATTCATCAATGTTTGTTCCATAAAGCAGGGCAAGCATGTGGGGGAAAAAAGGTTGGGGGCAGGGAAGTGAAAATGGGTTTTATGAAGTGACTGAGATTTGTTTAATCTCACAATGTAGAATTTAAACAAATCAGTGACTTTTGGGTTTAGTGAAGACTTACCTATAATTTTAGCCTTTTTGAACTAGAATAATCATTCTGCTTGACTTTCTTATTACATCAGTAAATAATTTATTCAGGTCAAAGCCATTATTTTTGATTAACAGAAATCACAGTCACATAAATGGCTACAGAAACTAAATATAGGAGAAGGGTTCTACCACAGTGACCTGAACATTTGCATGCGCCCTTGCACATCTCCACAAAGGCCACATCAGCAAGACTTGACTGCAGCTGATCTAAGTCATGGTGGAATTCTGTTGATTCTCCTACAACATGAGATCATGAGAGGCTTGTTAAGAGCTGACCCAAGGCCATTTCTCATTCACCTCCCAGTTTCTCATTGCCTCCTGTGTTTTGAGGAGGTATGACACTTTCTGCCTCATTCTCCCTAGAATACAGCCTCAGGCTGTAAAACTGCTTAGCTGAAGCATGACATTGGTTCCTCAGGAACAGGGTGCCCTATCATCCAGGTTGTGGTCATCTGGCCTCCTTTGTATCAGTGTCACCCTGTGCAAGGGATACCAGAGCTGGCATCTTTGGCTACTCTTGCTTTTGCTTTCCAAGTAAGTAATAAACTGTCTGAATCTAAAAATGGCAACTCATTGTTTTCTTACTAGCTGAATCTATCACCCTTGCCTTACCTTGACAAATTCTAGGCAAGAAATTTTTACTTTCCTTAATGCTAAAGAGGTCCTTTACTCTTTCCTCTTTGTATTTTGCTCAGCCTACAAAGTTAGTAGCCAGTAAACAAACTGATATGAAAATATGAAAGACTTAGATTCACATTTTTAGAAAGAGTAACTGTTCTCTAAGTATTTTAGGATAATTTTTGGCCAACAGTTAAAGGAGCCTTCCTTCTCCTGGCCTTGCCTTCAAATTAATTAATAGGCTATTCTTACAAGGCAGGTCAAGATTCAGTCCTCTTAAAAAATAAAGACCAATCAGAAGGATTTTCAACAAAGTCCCTTTATTTTCTACTCACACTTAAACACTATAGTTGGTAGGGTTCAAAAAGTCTGGGAAAGAGGGAGACGAAGCAAGATGGTGAAATACAAAGCTCCACGAATCGTTCCCACTAACCCACACCAAGTTAACAACTATCTACATGGAAAAAAACACCTTCATAAGAACAAGAAATCAGGTGAGCACTCATAGTACCTTGCTTTAACTTCATAGTGCTGAAAGAGGCAACAAAGAGAGAAAAAATAGTACTGAATTGCCGATGCCACCCCCTATTCCTCCCCGACCCCAGGAGCAGCATGGTGTGGAGAGTGTCCTTGGGTGCTGGGGGAGTGAGAACACAGCAATTGTGCGGCGTTGAACTCGGTGCTGTCTTGTTAGAGCAGAAAGGAAACCCCAAACTCAGCTGGTGTCCACCCACAGAGAGAACATTTAAACTAGCCCTAGCCAGAGGGGGACTTGAGTGCCTGCAAACCTCGCCACCCAGGGCTACAGCTGTCTGTCTCCAAGTAAACTTGAAAGGCAGTCTAGGCCATAAGGACTACAACTCTTAGGCATATCCTAGTGCTGAAGTAGGCCCAGGACAGTGGACTGGTGGGGCATGTGACATACTGAGACACTGGATAGGTAGTCAAGGAAGTGCTGGCCTCACCCCTCTCCTAACCTCAGGCTGCACAGTTTGCAGCTCCAAAAGAGACACCTTCTTCCACTTGAAGAGAAGAGAGGGAAGAACAAGGAGAACTTTGTCCTGCATCTACGGTACAAGCTCAGCCACAACAGGATGGGGCACCAGATAGACTTGCAAGGCTGCAAGGCCCCTGTTCCAGGCCCTAGTTCCCAGAGAACATTTCTAGACACACCCTGGACCAGAAGAGAATGGCTTCAGGTAACAGCCCAGCCACAGTGGGTAGAAAATCAAGCAAGCTCTCGAGGTCCCTGATTCTAGGATTTTACTCTTGAACAGCATTTCCGGACCTGTCCTGGGCCAGAGGGGTGTCCACTACCCTGAAGGGTGAGTCCCAGGCCAGGCAGCATTCATGACAAGCTGACTTAAGAGCTGTTGGGCATTAAGGGAACATCAGTGGTAGTCTGGCAGTACTCTTCATGGCCCAGGATGGCAGTGGCTATAGGGTAAGGCTCCTCTGCCTTTGGAAAGGGGAGGGAAGAGTGGGAAGGACAGCATCTTGTGGTTTGTTTAACAGCTCAGCCACAATACAATAGAACACCAGGTAGACTTCTAAGGTTTTTCACTCTAGTCTCTGACTCCTAGACAATGGCACTTCTGTACCCACTGGTGGGCTGGGGGACCTTCCCTCCCTGAAGGGAAGGACACAGGCCTGGCTGGCTTTGCCATCTGGTGATAGTAGAGCCCCAGGGTCTTCAGCAAACATAGGCAGTAGCCAGGGGGTGGTTATAGGAGGCCTTGGTCAAGTACCAGTGCTCTGCTGGCTTCAGGTCTAACCCGGCACGGTCTTAGTGGTGGTGGCCACAGGGGTGTTTGTGTTACTCCATCCCTAGCTTTAGGTGGCTTGGAACAAAGACAGAGGCTGTTTGGGAGAAAGTAAGAAGAAAGGAACAAGAGTCTCTGCCTTGTAATCTAGAGAATTCTCCCAGATTTTGTCCAAGGCCATCAAAGCAGTACTCTGTGAGTCTGCAAGAATCATAGCATTACTGGGTTTGGGGTGCTCCCTGAAGTACATCACAACACTCACGTCCTTGTAGATCACAACACCCAAGTCCTTTCAAATATCTGGAAAGCCTTCCCAAAGATGGCTATAAATAAGCCCAGACAGTGAAGACTATAGTAAATATCCACTCTTCAATGCCCAGACACCAAAGATCATCTACTAGGATCAACACTATTCAGGAAAACATGACTTCATCAAATGAACTGAATAATGCACCAGGGATCAATCCTAGAGAAACAGAGATAGGTTGAAGAAACTCAAAAACATTCAAGATAACACAGAGAAGGAATTCAGAATAATATCAGATAAATTTAAGAAAAAGATTGAAATAACTAAGAAGAATCAAGCAGAAATTCTGGAACTAAAAAATGCAATTGGCAGACTAAAGAATCCATCAGAGTACTTTAATAGCAGAATTTGTCGGGGAATTTGCCCTGATATTCACGTAGGTTCTTTTCTATTTTTCCGAAGTGTCAGCCAGTTTGAGAAATAAAGGGACAGAGTACAAAAGAGAGAAATTGTAAAGCTGGGCATCCGGGGGAGACATCACATGTCGGTAGGTTCTGTGATGCCCCACAAGCCACAAAAACCAGCAAGTATTTTTTAAGGATTTTCAAAAGGGGAGGGAGTGTGCGAATAGGTATGGGTGACAGACATCAAGTACTTAACAGGGTAATAGAATGTCCCAAGGCAAGTGGAGGCAGGGCGAGAGCACAGGACCACAGGACCGAGGTGAAATTAAAATTGCTAATGAAGTTTCAGGCACCATTGTCATTGATAGCATCTTATCAGGAGACAGGGTTTTGAGATCAACCGGTCTGACCAAAATTTATTAGGTGGGAATTTCATCTTCCTAATAAGCCTGGGAGCGCTATGGGAGACTGGAGCTTATTTCATCTCTGCAGTTTCGACCATAAGAGACAGGCACACCTTGCGGGGGCTGTTTATAAGCCTAAAACTCCAGGCGTGTATTCTCTTTCTCAGGGATGTTCCATGCTGAGAAAAAGAATTCAGCGATATTTCTCCCATTTGCTTTTGAAAGAAGAGAAATATGGCTCTGTTCTGCCCGGCTCACCAGCGGTCAGAATTTAAGGTTATCTCTCTTTTTTCCTAAACATTGCTGTTATCTTGTTCTTTTTTCAAGGTGCCCAGATTTCATATTGCTCAAACACACATGCTCTACAATTTGTGCAGTTAATGCAATTATTACATGGTCCTGAGGTGACATACGTCCTCCTCAGCTGACAGGATCAGGGGATTAAAGTAAAGACAGGCATAGGAAATCACAAGGGTATTGATTGGGGAAGTGATAAGTGTCCATGAAATCTTTGCAATTTATTTTTAGAGATTGCAGTAAAGACAGGCATAAGAAATTATAAAAGTATTAATTTGGGGAACTAATAAATGTCCATAAAATCTTCACAATCCACATTCTTCTGCCATGGCTTCAGCCGGTCCCTCCTTTTGGGGTCCCTGACTTCCCGCAACAAGAATTGATCAAGCAGAAGAAAGATTTAGGGAGCTTGAAGACAGGCTATTTGAAAATACAGCCAAAGGAGACCAAAGAAAAAAGAAAAACCAATGAAACATGCCTACAGGATCTAGAAAATAGCTTCAAAAGGGCAACTCTAAGAGTTGTTGTTCTTAAAGAGGAGGTAGAGAAGGGAATACAGGTAGAAAGCTTATTCAAAGGGACAATAACAGAGCCCAAACCTAGATAAAGATAACAACATCCATGTACAAGAAGGTAATAGAACACTAAGCAGATTTAACCCAAAGAAGACTACCTCAAGGAATTTAATAATCAAACTCCCAAAGGTCAAGGATAAAGAACAAATCCTAAAAGACTGGTGGCTTTGCATGGTGGCTCACATCTCTAATCCCAGCACTTTGGGAGGCCAAGGCAGGCATATCACTTGAGGTCAGGAGTTCGAGATCAGCCTGGCCAATATGGTGAAACCCTGTGTCTACTAAAAAAAAAAAAAAATTAGCCAGGCGTTGTGGTGGGCACCTGTAATCCCAGGTACTTGGGAGGCTAAGGCAAGAAGAATCACTTAAACCGAGGAAGTGGAGGTTGCAGTGAGCCAAGATCATGCCACTGCTCTCCAGCCTGGGTGACAGAGTAAGACTCTATCTCAAAACAAAACAAACACACACACACACACACACAAAGCAAGAGAAAAGAAACAAATAACATATGACGGAGCTCCAATACATCTGGCAGCAGACTTTTCAATGGAAACCTTGCAGGCCAGGAGAGAGTGGCATGACATATTTAGAGTGCTGAAGGAAAAAAACTTTAAACCTAGAATAATATATTCAGTGAAAATATCCTTCAAACATGAAGGAGAAATAAAGACTTTTCTACACAAAGAAAAGCTGAGGGATTTCAGCAATACCAGCCCTGTCCTACAAGACAAGATGAAATGCTAAAGAGACTATTTCAATCAGAAAGGAAAGAACATTAATGAACAATAAATAATCACCTGAAAATACAAAACTCACTGGTAACAATAAGTACAGACACAAAAAAAAATGTTGTAAAACTGTAACTGTGGTATATGAACTACTCTTACCCTAAGTAGTTGAAGACTAAACAATGAACCAATCAAAAATAATAACTATAACAACTTTTCAAGACATAGTAAGTACAATAAGATATAAATAGAAACAGCAAAAAGTTAATAAGTGGGGAAACAATGTTAAGTCATAGAGCTTTCATTAGTTTTCTTTTTGTTTGTTTATGCAAATAGTATTAAGTTGTTATCAGGTTAAACATAATGGGTTATAAAATAGTATTAGCAAGCCTCATAGTAACCTCAAGCCAAAAAGCATACAATGTATACACAAAAGATAAACAGCAAGAAATCATATCACCAGAGAAAATCACCTTCACCAGAATACAAATAACACAAGGGCAGGAGTAAGTCTTTACTTATCAAAATTAACATTGTATGTAATAGACTAAACTTTCCAATAGAAAAACATAGAGTGGCCGAATGGATGAAAAAACAAGACGCATTGATCTGTTGCCTACAATAAACACAACTCAGCTACAAAGACACACATAGCCTAAAAATAAAGAGATGGAAAAAGATATTCTGTGACAATGAAAACCAAGAAAGAACAGGAGTTGCTGTACTCATATCAGGCAAAGGATATTTCAAGACAAAACCTAGAAGAAACAAAGGTCAGCATATAATGATAAAGGGGTCAATTCAGCAAGAGGACATAACAGTTTTAAATATATATGCACCCAACAGTGGAGCACCCAGATTCATAAAGGAAATATTATTACCACTAAAGAGAGAGATAGACCCCAAGGCAATAATAGCTGGAGACTTTTACACCCCACTTTCAGCAGAAAGACAGATCTTCCAGATAAAAATCAACAAAGAAACATCAGATTAATAGACATTTACAGACCATTCCATCCACGAGCTGCAGATACACATTCATTTCCTCAGCACACGGATCATTCTCAAAGATAGATCCTATGTTAGGTCATAAAACAAATATTAAAACATTCAAAAAATTGAAATAATATCAAGCATCTTCTCTGACCACAATGGAATAAAACTAGAAATCAATAAGAAGAATTTTGAAAACTATACAAATACATGGAAATTAGACCATGTGCTCCTGAATGATGAGCAGGTCAATGAAGAAATTAAGAAGAAAATTGAAAAGTTTCTTGAAACAAATGATAAAGGAAATATGACATACCAAAACCCATGGGACACAGCAAAAGCAGTACTAAGAGGGAAGTTTATTTATGTTGGTGCAAATGTAATTGTGGTTTTTGCCATTAAAAGTAATTAAAAGTAATGGCAAAACCACAATTATGTTTGCACCAACCTAATAACTATAAGTGCTTAAATCATAAAACAGGAAAACTTCAAATAAGCAATCTAAGGATGCCTCTTAAAGAACTGGAAAAGCAAAAGCAAGCCAAATCCAAAATTAGGAGAAGAAAATTAGTAGAAGAAAAGAAATAATAAAGATCAGAGTAGAGATAAATAAAATTGAAATGAAAAAAATACAAAAGACCAATGAAATAAAAAGTAGGTTTTTTGAAAAGATTAACAAAATCGACAAACCTTTAACCAAACTAAGAAAAAAAGAGAAAGAAATCCAAATAAATAAAATCAGAAATGAAAAAAGAGACATTAAAACTGATACTACAGAAATTCAAAGGCCCATTAGTGGCTACTATGAGCAACCAGATGCCAATGAATTGGAAAATATAGACAAAATGAACAAATTGCCAGATACATACAACCTACCAAGACTGAACCAGGCAGCAATCCAAAACCTGAACAGACCAATAACAAGTAACAAGATTGAAGCCATAATAAAAAGTCTCCCAGTAAAGAAAAGACTGAGACGTGATGGCTACACTACTGAATTCTATCAAACTTTTAAATAAGAACTAATGCCAATCCTACTCAAACTATTCTATAAAATAGAAGAGGAGAGAAGACTTCCAACCTCATTCTACAAGGCCAATATTACCCTGATACCAAAAGTAGACAAAGACACATTTAAATAAATAAATAAATAAGTAAGTATAAGCCAATATCTGATGAATATCGATGAAAAAATTCTCAATAAATTCCACGACCAAGTGGAATTTATTCCAGGGTTGCAAGGATGGTTCAACATGTGCAAATCAGCCAGTGTGATGCATCATATCAACAGAATGAAGGAAAAAAACCACATGATCATTTCAATTCATGTTGAGAAAGCATCTGATAACATTCAAAATCCCTTTATGATAAAAACCCTCAAACAACTGGGGATAGAAGGAACATGTCTCATCATAATAATAGCTATATATGACAGACCCACAGCAAGCATCAAAATGAATAAGGAAAAACTGAAAGCCTCTCCTCTAAGGTCTGGAACATGACAAAGGTACCCTCTGTCAACAGTGTTATTCAAGTTATACTGGAAGTCCTAGATAGACCAATCAAACTAGAGAAAGATGTAAAGGACATTCAAATAGGAAAGGAGGAAGTCAAATTATCCTTGTTTACAGATGATATTATATTTGGAAAAACCTAAAGACTCCACAAGAAAACTATTAGAAATGATCAACAAATTCAGTGAAGTTTCAGGATATAAAATCAACATACAAAAATCAGTAGCATTTCTATATGCCAACAGTGAACAATGTGAAAAACAAATTTAAAAAGTAATCCCATTTACAATAACCACACATAAAATTAAATACCTGGGAATTAATTTAACCAAAGAAGTGAAAAATCTCTATAATGAAAATGATAAAACACCAATTGAAGAAATTGAAGAGGACACCAAAAAAATGAAGAAATATTCCATATGCATGGATTTGAAGAATCAATATTGTTAAAAGGCCCATACTACCCAAAGAATTACAGATTCAATGCAATCCCTGTCAAAATATCAATGGCATTCTTCGCAGAAATAGAAAAAACAATCCTAAAATTTATATGGAACCACAAAATACCCAGGTTAGCCAAAGCTCTCCTGAGCAAAAGGAACAAAATTGGAGGAATCACATTACCTGACTTCAAATTATGCTACAGAGCTATAGTAACCAAAACAGCATGGTACTGGCATAAAAACAGACACAGAGACCAATGGAACAAAATAGAGAACCTAGAAAAAAATCCACACATCTACAGTGAACTCGTTTTTGACAAAGGTGCCAAGAACATACACTGAGGAAAAGACAGTCTCTTCAATAAATAGCACTGGGAAAACTGGATATTTAAATACAGAAGAATGAAATTTGACCCCTATCTCTCACCGTATACAAAAATCAAACTGAAATGGATTAAAGACTTAAATTGAAGACCTCAAACTACGAAACTACTGCAAGAAGACAGTGGGGAAAATCTTCAGGACATTGGGTTGTGTAAAAATTTCTTGAGCCATACTCCACAAGAACAGGCAGCCAAAGCAAACATGGGCAAAAGGGATCACATCAAGTTAAAAAGCTCCTGCACATCAAAGGAAATCAGCAGAGTGAAGAGACAACCCACAGAATGGGAATAAATATTTGTGAACTCCCCATTTGACAAGGGATTAGTACCCAGAATATAGAAGGACCTCAAACAACTCTATAGGAGAAAAAAAAATCTAATAATTCAATCAAAATATGGACCAAAGATGTGAATAGACATTTTTCTTTATTTTTTATTTTTTTACTTTTTTTTAAAATTATACTTCAAGTTCTAGGGTACATGTGCACAATGTGCAGGTTTGTTACATATGTATACATGTGCCATGTTGGTGTGCTGCACCCATTAACTCATCATTTACATTAGGTATATCTCTTAATGCTAACCCTCCCGACTCCCCCCACACCACGACAGGCCCCAGTGTGTGATGTTCCCCTTCCTATGTCCAAGTGTTCTCATTGTTCAATTCCCACCTATGAGTGAGAACAAGCGGTGTTTGGTTTTCTGTCCTTGCGATAGTTTGCTCAGAATGATAGTTTCCAGCTTCATTCATGTCCCTACAAAGGACATGAAGTCATCATTTTTTATGGCTGCATAGTATTCCATGGTGTATATGTGCCACATTTTCTTAATCCAGTCTATCATTGATGGACATTTGGGTTGGTTCCAAGTCTTTGCTATTGTGAATAGTGCCACAATAAACATACGTGTGCATGTGTCTTTGTAGCAGTATGATTTATAATCCTTTGGGTATATACCCAGTAATGGGATGGCTGGGTCAAATGGTATTTCTAGTTCTAGATCCTTGAAGAATCGCCACACTGTCTTCCACAATGATTGAACTGGTTTACAGTCCCATCAACAGTGTAAAAGTGTTCCTATTTCTCCACATCCTCTCCAGCACCTGTTGTTTCCTGACTTTTTAATGATTGCCATTCTAACTGGTGTGAGATGGTATATCATTGTGGTTTTGATTTGCATTTCTCTGATGGCCAGTGATGATGAGCATTTTTTCATGTGTCTGTTGGCTGCATAAATGTGAATAGACATTTTTCAAAAGAAGACATACAAATAGCAAACAGGCATATGAAAAGGTGCTCAACATAATTAATCATCAGAGAAATGGAAATCAAAACTACAATGAGATATAATATCATCCCAGTCATAATAGCTTACGTCCAAAAGACAGGCAATAAGAAATGCTGGTGAGGATATGGAGAAATAGGAATCCTTATACACTGTTTCTAGGAATGTAAATTAGTACAACCACTGTGGAGAACAATTTGGAAGTTCCTCAAAAAACTAAAACTTGAGCTACTGTGTGATTCAGCAATCCCACTGCTGGGTATATACCAAAAAGAAAGAAAAGCAATACATCAAAGAGATCTCTGCACTCCTATGTTGGTTGCAGTACTG
The DNA here is from genome assembly GCF_000001405.40 of Homo sapiens. Taxonomy (NCBI): domain Eukaryota; kingdom Metazoa; phylum Chordata; class Mammalia; order Primates; family Hominidae; genus Homo; species Homo sapiens. Next base: position 111,578,891 of record NC_000007.14, read on the forward strand.
TTTATAATAGCTAAGATTTGGAAGCAACTTAAGTGTTCATCAGCAAGTAATGGATAAAGAAAATGTGGTACATATAAACAATGGAATACTATTCAGTCATAAAAAAGAATGGAATCCAGTCATTTGCAACAATATGGATGGAAGTGGAGATCATTTGTGAAGTGAAATAAGCTAGGCACTGAAAGACAAACATCACATGTTCTCACTTATTTGTAGAATCTAAAAATCAAAATAATTGATCTCATGGAGATAGGGAGTAGAAGGATGGTTACCAGAGGCTGGGAAGTGTAGTGGGAGGGTTGGGGGAGGTGGGGATGGTTAATGGGTACCAAAAACATTAGTTAGAAAGAATGAATAAGGCTGGGTGTAGTGGCTCACACCTATAATCCCAGCACTTTTGGAGGCCAAGGCGGGCAGATCACTTGAGGCCAGGAGTTCAAGAGCAGCCTGGCCATCATGGCAAAACCCTGTCTCTACTAAAAATACAAAAATTAGCCAGGGTGGTGGTGCACAGCTGTAATCCCAGGTACTCAGGAGGCTGAGGCATGAGAATCACTTGAACCCAGGAGGTGGAGGTTGCAGTGAACTGAGATTGCATCACTCACTGTATTCCAGCCTGGTGACAGAGGGAGACTCTGTCTCAAAAAAAAATAAAAGAAAAAGAAAAAGAGAAAGTACCCTAAAACTTAAAATATAATAATAATAAAATAAAAAATAAAAATAAAAAAAGAAAAAGAGAAAAGAAAAAGAATAAGACCTACTATTTGATAGCACAACAGAGTGACTCTTAAGTCAATAATAACAAACAATTGTATATTTTAAAGTAACTTAAAAAGTATAATTAGATTGTAGCTCAAAGGATAACTACTTGATGGGATGGATACAAAAAGTTTATAGGAATAAATAAAGCAAATTTTGAACTAACAAAAAAAGATAGGAAAAGCTAGAATAAAAAAGAGAAGCATCAAAGATCAAGCTCCATAGACATGCCCTACTCAGATTTTCACAGGTAGGTGATCTGCCTCTGTCTTTTATATACAAGATGATTGATAATGATGTTAACCAATTACAACTTTGCCTTTCTTATTTGGTACACTGAGAGGCAGGGTTCCTCTCTTCTTTTATAAGCTTATAATAAAGTAGAAAACAGAAAAATAAGTGAGGGCAAAACATAAAAGCTAGTGAATATCTCATCTTTTTCATTTCTTTATCACAACATATGTAGATTATCTCTTGGTAATGGAAATACATAAGCCTTGCTAAATGACTATCCTAGTAATAGTTGACCAAATCCTTAGATCCATGAATGAAGGAAGCAGTTATGTAGGAGACCCGGGCCTGCCTCACATTTTGTCCAGGGATTTCCTGGTACTCTACAGTGGGGGTAAAAAAACGGGGGGGACTGGTTTTGATTGACTTTTTATTGATAATCCTGAGATATCTGAAAGAATTCCTTAAATTATCTAATGAATTAGCCAGATAACAATTACAAACCAGCAATTTATAGTAACTAGTAATGGGAGAAACAATTCAAAATAAAACCACACATGGTAAAAATTTGTTGAAATAAAAACCAACCCAAGATTCATATCTTCATATCTTCTTAATAACTATAAAAACCAAAAACACTGAGAGAGTAGATTTAGCTGGAATAATAAACACAAAATAATGAAGCAATGGCTAAGCCTGCACATGATCAAAATATATTATTGACTACAGTTAACAAATTCTATTTTCATTCATCTGAGAATGTCTTTATTTCCCACTGATTTCTGAAGCAATATATTTTCATCAGATAGAATTGACAGTTCTTTTCTTTCAGTACTTGAAAATGTTTTGTTATTAATACTTCCTTTTCGCCTCCAGATGAGAAATCTGCTCTCACTCAAATTGGTGTACCCCTCTATAAGTTATGTGCTGTTTCCCTCTGGATGCTTTCAGTACTTTATTTGTCTTTACTATTCAAAAGTTTAATTGAAATGTCTTGGCATGGATTTCTCCTATTTGGGGTTCACTCCATCTCCTATTGTGTCCGGAATTGGTGAGTTCTTGGTCTTACTGACTTAAAGAATGAAGCCGCGGACCCTCGCAGTGAGTGTTACAGCTCTTAAGGTGGCGCGTCTGGAGTTTGTTCCTTCTGATGTTCGGATGTGTTCGGAGTTTCTTCCTTCTGGTGGGTTCATAGTCTCGCTGGCTCAGAAGTGAAGCTGCAGACCTTCGCGGTGAGTGTTACAGCTCTTAAGGCGGCGCATCTGGAGTTGTTCCTTCCTCCCGGTGGGCTCCTGGTCTCGCTGGCTTCAGGAGAGAAGCTGCAGACCTTCGCGGTGAGTGTTACAGCTCATAAAAGCAGTGTGGACCCAAAGAGTGAGCAGTAGCAAGATTTATTGCAAAAAGCGAAAGAACAAAGTTTCCACAGTGTGGAAGGGGACCTGAGCGGGTTGCCACTGCTGGCTTGGGCAGCCTGCTTTTATTCTCTTATCTGGCCCCACCCACATTCTGCTGATTGGTAGAGCCGAGTGGTCTGTTTTGACAGGGCACTGATTGGTGCGTTTACAATCCCTGAGCTAGATACAAAGGTTCTCCACGTCCCCATCAGATTAGTTAGATACAGAGTATCCACACAAAAGTTCTCCAAGGCCCCACCAGAGCAGCTAGATACAGAGTGTCAATTGGTGCACTCACAAACCCTGAGCTAGACACAGAGTGCTGATTGGTGTGTTTACAAACCTTGAGCTAGATACAGAATGCCAATTGATGTATTTACAATCCCTGAGCTAGACATAAAGGTTCTCCAAGGCCCCACCAGAGCAGCTAGATACGGAGTGTCGATTGGTGCACTCACAAACCCTGAGCTAGACACAGGGTGCTGATTGGTGTGTTTACAAACCTTGAGCTAGATACAGAATGCCGATTGGTGTATTTACAATCCCTGAGCTAGACATAAAGGTTCTCCAAGGTCCCACCAGACTCAGGAGCCCAGCTGGCTTCACCCAGTGGATCTCCCACCAGGGATGCAGGTGGAGCTGCCAGCCAGTCCCGCGCCATGCGCTTGCACTCTTCGGCCCTTGGGTGGTCGATGGGACTGTGTGCTGGGGAGCAGGAGGTGGCGCTCATCGGGGAGGCTGGGGCTGCACAGGAGCCCACGGAGGCAGGGGAAGGCTCAGGCATGGCGTGCTGCAGTCCCGAGGCCTGCCCCGCGGGAAGGCAGCTAAGGCCCGGCGAGAAATCGAGCGCAGCGCCGGTGGGCTGGCACTGCTGGGGGACCCAGTACACCCTCCGCAGCCGCTGGCCCGGGTGCTAAGTCCCTCATTGCCCCGGGCCGGCAGGGCCGGCCGGCTGCTCCGAGTGCGGGACCCGCCAAGCCCACGCCCACCCGAAACTCCAGCTGGCCCGCAAGTGCCACATGCAGCCCCGGTTCCCGCTCGTGCCTCTCCCTCCACACCTCCCTGCAAGCTGAGGGAGTGGGCTCCGGCCTTGGCTAGCCCAGAAAGGGGCTCCCACAGTGCAGCGGTGGGCTGAAGGGCTCCTCAAGTGCCGCCAAAGTGGGAGCCCAGGCAGAGGAGGCGCCCAGAGCGAGCAAGGGCTGTGAGGACTGCCAGCAGGCTGTCACCTCTCATTATATCTATAGGTTTATATCTTTTGCCAAATTTAGGACATATTAACAAATTATTTCTTCAAATACCTTTTCAGTCTCACTCTTTCTCCTGTACTTCTGAAACTCCAATAATGCAAATGCTAGCTCTTTTGTTATTGTCCCACAGGTTCCTCAGTCTGTTCAATTTTTTGTTCTAGTCTATTTTCTCTATTGTTCAGGTTGGGTAAATTGTTATTATCATTATTATTATTGTAGAGACAGGGTCTCTGTGTGTTGCTCATGCTGGTATAAAACTTCTGGGCTCAAGGGATTCTCCTGCCTGAGCCTCCCAAAGTGCTGGGATTACAGACATAAGCCACCACACCCAGTCAGGTTGGATAAATTCTATTGATGTGTCCTGAAGTTCATCAATTCTATCTTTAGTCATCTTGACTCTACTATTGAACCCATCCAGCAAATTTTTTATTTCATTGCTTTATGTTTTAGTTCTATAATTTCTATTTGGTTCTTTTTTAACTTATTTATTTGCTGAGATATTTTATTTTTTATTTGTGTCAAGAGAATTTGTAATTGCTGGTTAAAACATTTTTATAATAACTACTTTAAAATCCATATTAGATCGTTCCAACATCTGATTCATCTTGATTTTAGCATCTGTTGATTTTCTTTTCTCATTCAAATTGTGATCTTCCTGGTTCTTGGTATGAGGAATGATGTTCAATTATATTCTGGATATTTTGGATATTATAGTATAAGACTCTGGATTCTATTTAATCTTTTTTAATCAGGTAGGCCTCCTGTTGGGGTGTAGCAAGAAGGCAGGTGATTTTGTATGTTTGGTCTCCCAGTGGGCCCACCAACACCTTCCAGACAAACATGCAGTACTTATTCATCCTGTCCAGATGTCTATGGGGGGGCGGGGTGGGGGGCGGGGGGGAGGGTATTCATTTTCTAGTGCTGCCATAACAAAATGCGACAGATTGGATGGCTTAAAAAACAGAAATTTGACCAGGCGCGGTGGCTCACACCTGTAATCCCAGCACTTTGGGAGGCTGAGGTGGGCGGATCACAAGTTCAGGAGTTTGAGACCAGCCTGGCCAACATAGTGAAACCCCGTCTCTACTAAAAATATAAAACTTAGCCTGGCATGATGGTGTATGCTTGTAGTACCAGCTACTCGGGAGGCTGCGGCAGGAGAATTGCTTGAACCCGGGAGGCAGAGGTTGTGGTGAGCCAATATTGCGCCACTGCACTCCAGCCTGGGCAACAGAGTGAGATCCGTCTCAAAAACAAACAAACAAACAAACCAAAAACAGAAATTTATTTTCTCACAGTTATGGAGGCTGGAAGTCCAAGATCAAGGTGTTGACAGGGTTGGCTTCCTCTGAGGCCTCTCTCCTTGGCTTACAGATGGCCACCCACTCACCGTATCCTCACATAGTTGCCCCTCTGGGTACACATGCCACTGGTGTCTCTATGTGTGTCCTTATCTCCTCTTCTTATTAGGACCCCAGTCAGATTGGATTAAGGGCCACCCTAATAACCTCATTTTAATTTAATATTTCTTTTAGGAACTATCTGTAAATACATTCACATTCTGAGGTACTGGGGATTAGAGCTTCAACATATGACTTTAGGATGGGAAACACAATTCAGCCCACAACATGTGAGTTGGAAGTTCAGCTACCCCTTGCCCTGTTGACACCTTCCCAGTCAAAGTGAGATATTCGCTCACACCTCTAAGTTCAGGTGCCACTAGAAAGGTGGAAGCAGATGATTGATTCACACCATTTTATTACAGCAGGATTGGGGTAGAAATTAGGTTCTCAACTCTCTGCTGGGCCTCCCTGATGCCAGAGGAGGAGAGGGAGACAAGCAAAGTGCCAACTATCCCTGCCTCTACCGCTTTGTTCTGTCTCATTGATGCCAGGTGGAAGTGAAGACTCAGCAACCCACTGGGCCCTGCCTACATGGAGGTGTGGGGGTAAGTGGAGTACTGACCAGACTTGAGTCACACGACCCAGTTCAGTTGTTGATGCTGGATGGGAGTGGAGTCTCAGCTTCCTATTGGTTACCACTGACACTAGACTGAAGCATAACTGTGATGAGCCCTGCATCCCACCGTCTCTTTGAGTCTCACTGTGGGTGCAAGCTCAGCTCATTGCTGCACCCTGCCAACACAAGGTGAGGGATAGAAAACCAGATCCCTGCTCAGCCAGGCAAAGCCACCCTGAGTGGGATCACAGTGCTGCTGCCTGCCTCCAGTGAGTGGAGTAAAAAATCAGCCTCCTGTCCTATTCTACTCAAACTTTGAGAAAGGGAGGGTGCAGTTGTTACACTGGTATTTGCCCTGAGTAGGGCAGGTATCGCCAAAAAGTTCTGGCTACGGGGAACGAACAGGCTCATCTTGGGGCTTTTTGTGTATGTTTGTTAGTGGCTCCAAGTTGAAAGCTTCTGCAGGACCCTGTCTGGAATATATGAGAGGCAATAAGGAAATCCAGGGAACTCAGTGCCATGTCATTCCTTGGGTCCCCAGGTTCCTAAGTAGTTCACCTTCTTCTTTTCAGTGTTAGAGTCTTCCTGTGCTTGTTTGTTGAGTTATGGCCAGGGTTTTTTTAGTTGTAAGAAAGAGGGTCTGGGAGGAATGAGGCTACTTCCATTTGCCCAGAACCAGAAGTCCTCCTTATAAACACTTTAATAGAAGAAATGCAAAGAAGATAGGGATTTTTATGGAATATTCCAACATAAAATCAGCAACTGATCTAAAACCTGAATTATCAAAAGGAATATCAATTTCTAAAACCAGGGCAAGCTGACAAAATAAAGCTGAGCTATATAAAGGTATGTGTGCTGTAATACTCAACTTCAAGATGCTTTTGGATGAGCTCAATTCAACTAACATCAAAACAAAAGGAAATAAATTTTTCTACATTCGGAATATTTGTCACAAAACAAAGACCAACACTATCAGATAGGGCAATTCATGTTTTGTGTGTTTTAAATTTTTATTTTAAGAATAACTTTTAAATATTTGTAACAGCTTTCAATTTTTTAATTGATTTTATTTGGTGTTAGTGATACTTTTTTAGTTTTTTCTATCATCAGGTATAGATCATTTTTACATGTTATTAAAATACATAATCTCATCAAATGCAGTTAATATTGTATTTTTATTTTTATAGAAAACCTCTGAAACTTTTAGCATAATTCTATCATCAAAAATGACACACCACTATTATTGTGGTCACTTATCAAAATTTGAAAACACAGGCTCAGCACAGTGGGTCACGTCTGTCATCCCAGCACTTTGGGAGACAGAGGTGGCTGGATCACTTGACGTCAGAAGTTCGAGACCAGCCTGGCCAACATGGTGAAACCCCGTGTCTACTAAAAATACAAAAATTAGCCAGGCGCGTTGGTGCGTGTCTGTAATCCCAGCTACTCAGGAGGCTGAGGCTGGAGAATCACTTGAACCTGGGAGGTGGAGGTTGCAGTGAGGCAAGATCGTGCCACTGCACTCCAGCCTGGGCAACAGAGCAAGACTCTGTCTTTAAAAAAAATAATAAAAACATGTAAATATCACAAAAAAAAATAGGATGAATTCTGTTTTGAGAATTCCCAGGAATTTGTATTTTTTTTAACCTGAATCCTGAAGATATTTGTCAGGGATTTAGAAACACTATAAAAGGCAAATACTGTCCCAATTACCTTATTAACAAAGACTTTTTCTTTTTCAATGATCAAGACTTAATCAAAATTGTTTTTATCTCTTCAGTTTATATGTCCAGACTTACTTGGTTATTACAGGCACAGTGATGCAGTGAAATCATGACCTATACCTAAACAGCCTGAAAATATTCAGCCTATAAAAGAAAAGACTTAGGTGAGAATTTAATAGCTGTCCTCATAAACTTCGAGAGCTCTCCTGAACAAGAGGGATTGCATTTGTTCTGTATGACCCAAGAGGAAAGAATTAGGATAAATGAGATGAAGTTACAGGAAAGAAAATTTTGACTTACTATATATATCCACTTTCTAGCAACTAGAGAATTCTGAAATGAGAGCAGACTCCCTCAAGCAATAGTGATTTCTTGTCAAGGTAAAAGGCTGGACGACCATTTATCGGGGATATTATCAAAAAGACTCAGTGTTTGTGATTTTTTTTTTTTGGTGTGTATCATCTCATTTTGTTCTCCAAGTGACACACATAGAAAATGTATTTAAATGGCTATGTATGAATGAAAATAGTAAAGTTCAGAGGGTATATTAGTTAGGATTCTTTGTAAATTATAAAGCAATTTGAGCTAGCCTGAGCAAAAACAAAATACAGTATAAGAATAAATGGTATTTCACAGAACCTAAGGCCAGTGTAATGCAGCTGTCTCTAGGGTCGGACTGAGGCCAAAGCTCTCTCTCTCTCTGTATCTTCACCCTGTTTCTCTCTAACAACTGCTTTGTTCTCTATTTCTGCAGATGTATTTTCTATGCTTCCCAACCACATAATGGGTAGGAGATATTTATGCCACAGATCCCCAATTTACATCTCTATCATTCAAGGGACCAGTCCAGAATGATTGGGTGCCTAAATTATTCTGGACTTTATGCAGCCAATTAATCACATTATTCTCCCTTCTGAATGCTAAGCCAATTAAGAAATAGCCACAGTAAAACTGGATGGGATAATGTGGCTTAAACTTGAGGCCAAAATGTACTTTTCTGCAACTTTCCTTTGCCTTTGAATTGAATTCAGCCAGTCCAGGCAGATATCCAGATTGCATCTCAGGAGATGGCCTGATCTGGCGGCCTGACCTGACGAGCTTATCAGATGGGAAAGACGTCCAGGAGGTGAGCACATTGCACTTGCACATATGCAAAAGGAGAATAAAGGATCTGGTCAGACATGTGCAATGACCCTTTACTGAAACCTACTAATTAAGTAAGTCACTCCACCAACTCCCTCAGGGTTGAGTTGCTGAAAAACGGAGATAAGGGCAGAAACTTTCCTCATAACATTTTCAAAGATATTTTATACGATGGACTAAGGTAGGAATGTGCAGATGGGAAGAGAATAGCCTTCCCGCAATTACCAATTCTTATTTCTGGAGATAGGGAAGTTAACTCACCCACTTTGAACCAGTTATTCATCTACGTCCAATCAATTATGGTTTTAGGAGAGTCTCTCGATGCATAAACAGCATGGCCAGGGGACAACCATTACAGATAGGACAGGCGATTTTTGGTAAAAGATGGCTAGACAGATACATGAATAAGTACACTCAGAATGCATACACTTCTTCGTTTACATTATAAAGTTATTCTTGACTCATAATATCCAGCTACCTCACGTTCAAATGCAAATACACACAAGTACACACACACTCATTCACACATGCTCTGCAGTGGAGGACTACCCAAGTAATGAGTGGATAATCCATTACATTAGGAAGTGATGTTGCCTTGAGGTCACTGCTCTTCCTGTGTAAAATTTCTGGATGAGGTCCATTTCCTCCCCGAATCCAGTTTTAATTTTGTTCTCATTTTCTTAAAATTTAGAGATTAAATTACAAACGTAACCACTCTCAATATATCTAATATACAACACTTGGGGAAATGGCCATATAGAGAAATAGCGACGGAAAGAAAGCTCCACATAGTGGTCACTGGTCTGTGATTTATTCTGCTGGACAGTGGCAGTTTGAAAAGCTTGAAAGAACAGGTGACTTATTTGGGCATAATTTTGACTCACTCCTTTGGCGTGTTTCTTGACCCTATAGTGAACTTTCAGTTTGTGTTATTTCTTCTTTGGATTGTGTCTGAAAATTTCCTAAGAATTGACTCTTCTGGTATGAGTCAACTATGGGTCCCTTTCACCAGATTTAGTATTTTTCACTGACATTTTCATTCTTGTAAAACATTTCTGGTTGGCTCTCACATCCATTTTGGACTCCATTTGCTAAAATCCAGCACCACAAATCTTGTTAGGTCATGCTCCAAATTGAATAGCCAGGACTTGTTCACTCTACTCAGGCGTATGTTCTGTTTTGTTCGTTTTTGAAGTAAGTCTGAAGGTTTCACCATCCATATGGTCTTTAATACATGAATTAAAAACTATAAAATTAGCTGGGCGTGGTAGCAGGGGCCTGTAATCCCAGCCACTCAGGAGGCTGAGGCAGGAGAATCCTTTGAACCTGGGAGGCAGAGGTTGCAGTGAGCCAAGATCACACCATTGCACTCCAGCCTGGGTGACAAGGAAAGATTCTGTCTCAAAAAAAACAAACAAACAAACAAAAACTATAGCCTGGCCGGGTGCAGTGGATCATGCCTGTAATCCCAGTACTTTAGGAGGCCAAGGTGGGAGGATCACTTGAGCCCAGGAGTTCAAGACCATCTGGGCAACATAGCAAGACCCCATCTCTAAAACAACAACAACAAAAAAAACTATGGCCTGATACGAGGTAGCTAGCATAACAGAACTCCTTCCTTTCTTATCAGCTATGGAAATATTGTCCCTATTCTCCTATTTTAGCTAGTGAGAAGGACTTTGGAAGGATGGGGGTGGGAGGTAGAAGTATGGTCAGTCTTTCTCCACTCTTCTGCTTCTTCCAGGATATTCCCATTCCTGTTTCCAGGATCTTGCGTTTTCTTGGTCCAGACATTTATTTATCCTAACTACAAAAAGGAGAGTCAACTCAGAACTTGACTACTGCAATTCACATTTCCTTGATTTATTTCTTCATCAGTACCTCAGCAATTGATTGATTAATTGATTGAGACAGTCTTGCTGTGCTCACTGGAGTACAGTGGCATGATCTTTGCTCACTGCAACCTCCACCTCCCAGGTTCAAGCAATTCTCCCTTCCCCAGCCTCTCGAGTAGCTGGAATTACAGGTGCCTGCCACCATGCCCAGCTAATTTTTGTATTTTTAAGAGAGACAGGCTTTCGCCATGTTGGCCAGTTTGGTCTTGAACTCCTGACCTCAAGTGATCCGCCCGCCTTGGCCTCCCAAAGTGCTGGGATTACAGGCGTGAGCCACTGCACCCGGCCAGCAATCTATTTAGAAGCTCAGATTTTCTCTCTGTGCTTCCAGTCAAGCAAATCTAAGTTGGTTTTTTTCTTCTGCACCTTATACTGACAGCTACAAAAAATAGATATATACTAATATTTTCTACCAAGGCCCCCCATGGCTTGGTGGAGAATGATCTGAGATGTAAGAGACAATGAGCAGGTTTTCCTACTTACTTCAATATTGCAGAAAGACTGTAAGTTTCTATCCTAAGATTGGGGTGGTAGGTGGGAGTGTGAGGCTCCTCCCAATCTGACACCTGCCTTAACTTCACTCATTTTATATTTTCTGATTAAGAATCTGTTACTCCGAACCCTATCACAGGTAGCACTTTGTATATTAAATAAGATTCTCTGTTGCCTTAAGCTGTATGCAACAGAAACTGTATCGAGCCAGCCTAAGCAAGAAAAGAATTTAAGAATTCAGAAGGGCACTCAGGCCTAAGAAAGAGATAGAAAAGTTACCAGATCTTTCTTCATCTCTCATATCTTCTTCTCTCTGCATGTTTGCTTTATTTATTTATTTTCTCTGAAGTTAGGCTTTCTCTGTTTCTCTTTCCACATACCAGGTAAGATCATGGTCACTCAGCAGCTTCCAACTTCATATGTCTTTTCTTTGAGAAACCAAGGGTAGTATGCCAAAACCATTGTTGGTTTTTTTTCAGATATGTCCAGGGAGAAAATCTGGTTGACCAGTTTGTCCTTATAGTGAACCTTCATCAGTGGTGTGTGTTCAATATCAAAACATCTTTCTAATTATAAAGAATCTTCAGTTAGGTGAGCAGATATTTCATCTCCCCACCTTTTGGTTCCTAAAACAAAGACATGTGACCCAAGTCCCACCAATATGATGTTTTTGCCTGGAACTTTATCAAGTGATACACACAATTTGGAATTTTTCTATGGCTGTGGCACCAATGGCAGTGGCTTCTGGTTCTGGTGGCAGTAGTGGCTTCCAGCATCTGATGATACAGTGGTGACTGCTCGGCAAAGACAGCAGTCATGTCCTAACCAGGTTCTTTCTGCAGCATAATTTTAAATGTCCTGAGTTATGGCCTCCCTTAATTATTGCTCATTTCTTTCCAAGCCCAATCTTCAGTTCTTCTCATTGATTCTGTGAGCGTTCCTAAACTCTTCTAATAATGTTTTTTTTCCTCAAATATACCAGAATGATTTTATGTTGTTTACAACTAAGAACTTGCCTATATTCTAATGAGCTAAACCAGTGGGTAGGGGCCTTGTAGAGCAAACCTGATTGTCAGAGGTCTACCCCTGTGAACAGGAAGAACAGTTCCCAGAGAAGACAGAATCAGTGGACATCCCAATAAGTGTCTTTTTGCATTAATATTGGAAAAGTTGTCCAAGACCATAGAAGAGCTGAATATCAGAACTTTAAGAAGAATCTGCACATCTCACTACTCAATATAGGATTTATTCCTTTGTCCCAAGGATTAATTTTAATTCTTGAATTAATAATGGATGGGGATACCTAAGGTTATTATAGAAAGGCCAACATAAGCCCTTCACAATCTCAATAATTTGCTATTTCACCAAACTGAAAAACCTATTTCAAAAAAGAAAAGGCTGAATTCAATTAAACAACCTGGTTCTTTCAAAATAACTGGTTACCTAATTAAACCTTACTATTGCCTTAAACTTTGTAAACATATCTTAAACACTACTATGCTAAGATGGGGCAGAGGAATGAATTACTGATAAAATTCATAGTTAATTGAAAATGATATCAAAAACATTTTAATACTTTTCACCACATAATAAAATAAAAACTGTGTGATTTGAGTTTTTATCTCCTTTTATGGGCCTGTTTAATTTCTGTAAAGGAGCTTTGAAATTAAGCAAAATAGAAAGGGAAATAGTAATTTGGATAATCAGTCCCAAATAAACAAGAATTGCTAATTGCATTTCTTGTACACAACTAGGAGTAAATTCAAAAACTGAAAGTAAATTGGACATGATGCTCAGAGAGTATCCTTGAGCATGAGTAACTAAAATTAACCAGAATTTTAAATAAACTGGGGACTCCTAGACTTCTGAAGACATGAATGAGGCTATTAGAACTCTCTTTCTCCTACTCATCCATTAGCAATGTCGGGAACAGTTCATAAAAGATTAATGTTTAAATGCTTAAGAATATATATTTGAATACCTTGAAAACACCAAGCAATGCTTTTTAAATTAATTGATAAGTCATTTTATACTTGTGATGTAGACTTAGACTTTTTTGTAGTAACAAGCCAGAAAACATCTATCCTTCTGAGAGATAATATGTGAAAGAATTGTAGAAGAAATGAGAAAGATGATTAGTAATCCTGTATTGCTTCTTGAGACAGCAATTCTCTCGTAAGTGGAAACTTAGGCAAGCATCAGTGATGAGAAATAGATACATTTTACTCTTTACTTCATGGTTGAGAAGTGCCTGTAATTCACCTTTCAAATAAGAGGCAACATGTATAGCATAATCCCACAGTATTATGAAATTTTGGAGGTGAAAGGGACCTTGATGTATCGGTAAGCTATTGCTCTATAACAAGCCATTCCCAAAACTCAGTGGTTTAAAACATTTATTATTGTTCAAGCATCTACAGATTAGCTAAGGGTAGGCTGAGCTCATCTGGGGTGATTCTGCTCCATGTGTTTCTCATTCTCCATAAACCACAAACAAAATAATAATAATAATAATAATAGTATTTTTTTAAGTTCTCACTTGTTGAAGGCTTACTATGTGCTAAAAGCACTTTAAAATGTTATCTCCTTTACTTCTCACAAAAACATTATGAGGTAGGTACTACTAATATCCTAATTTCACAGATGAGGAAACAAAGAAGGAATTTCCCCAAGCTCAAGAAGCTACTGTATGGTGAACCTGGAGCACACAGATGAAGGTCTACCTGACACTAAACTTTATGTTCTTAATCATTCTGTTATATTCTGTTTCATGAAATTTACTATTCCATTTTCAGAGAGTTCTAACCACTAAGAAGTTATTCTTATATTCAGTGAAATGATTTTCTCTATAACTTTTAATCACTGATCTTAATTTGGCCCTTGAGTACATACAGGATAAAGATAATAATCATAAATTAAATGATATAGTAAAAGTGCCTGACAAACAGAATGTGTTCCACAAAAATTAATCTAAGTCAGCCCCACAATAGGCATAACAGTCGTTAATAAAATGTTCAACCGGGCAGGGCCAGAATTATTTGCAGTTTTACCCAGTTGGCACTTATCCTATTATACAGAAAACTATCCAACCTAGGATAAATACAATGTTTAAGTCCAGATATACTGTGTCTATAACATTTCCTTTATCTATCAGCCTAGTAATCTTGTCAAAAAGGAAATGAGCCCTAGATTGAATAAGCAACAGACAATTAGAATTTAGAGGGTAGAGAGGAGGTAAGGGAACATTAAATAATGCTTTTTAAAATTAATCAGCATATATTTTATTAATAAGCAAGCAGGCAAAACCTAGTAAATGTTGACTTTCTTTCTATTTGGAAAAAATTTAATTTGTTCAAAGGTAAACTTTTGTTTATATTATAGGTTTACCTAAGCTGATGAGAGAACTGAGTACATAATACCTATTGAGGATAATAAACTTGTTAAAAGATGATTTTCAAAATGACAAAATACAAATATTAAAAGAGCATATGTGAAAATTTTTATTTAACTCATTAATTAATGAAGGACCCTGTAAGATATTACAAGCTATTCAAAAAAGAATAGAAACAGTCATATGTAGGCAAGCAGGAATGTTGAAGTAAATGTGCTAATATGTGCAAATTAATAGATCCTATAGGTACTAAATTGTAATGTTTGGAATCATCTTTTCTACAGAGAGGAAATCAATTATATCTCTATGATAAAATTCATTAGCATGTCTATGGAAAAGAATAATTTGCATTTTACTGTCAGTCAATTTTTTACAACTTCCTGAGTTGTAAAATAGCTCAGTCAAGGGCAGTCCAAAGCACAGGTTCCAACAGAATCAGATAACCTTACCTTGGAGAGTAAGCCAGACAGTGTCAGACGTTCCAGAACACCCAGAATTGTGCCCATTCAAAATTCTTCACTAGTCTTCCTGACAAAGTTTCTAGAAGAACATCAAGGAGAAAAACTGGGGGAAGTGCTGATTACATGAAAATGTACACTGGTTGAAACGTTTTACAATTTTTTAAAAACATATTATTTGAGACTCTTTGAGAAAAAAGATAATCCCGGAAAATCATGAAATTATTTTTTTTTAATTTTTTTGTCACATCCTTCAAATAAACTGTTAATCATGATATACAAGGTCAGATGGAAATTGAAAAAAGGAAAAATTAACGTTTTTTAATATACCCTCCCATTTGTCTGCCAAAATTGTATTTAAAAGTAGTGTTATATAATTAATGATATTTTATATTTTCAGATGATTGCTAACAAGCCAAAGAAAAAAATTTCCCTGATCGTATTTGGAATTAAAAAAATCATTGATTGAATGAACTAGTAATATTTTATTTAGCATTTCCTTGTATTTAGAGTGGTAAGAATTTCTATGTCAGCTCTGTCCTCTGCATTGACAAATCAGAAGGTCCTGAATCCTCTTTACTCTGTTATGAGATCATAAAAAAGAAATTAAAAGTCAATTGCTCTCCACTGAAAATCCTAGAATTGAGAATCAAGGAATAATCTTCTCTTCCAACCAAAGTCCCTGTGTGACTAAAGATCAGTGTAATTTTAAAATGTGGCAACTTGTATATTAAAATGTCATATAGAATTTTTAAAAATCTTTTATTGAGATTCAAAAATAGACAAAGAAAATATAATAATGGCTAATAAGCACATAGAAAGATGTTCAACATCACTGGTTATTAGGGAAATGCAAATCAAAATCACAATAAGACACTACTTTACATCCATCAAAATGGCTATTGTTTCTTAAAAATTGAACACACTAGGCATTAGTGAGTGTCTTACTTCGTTTTGTGCTGCTGTAATAAAATACCACAGACTGGATAATTTATAAAGAACAGAAATTTATTCTCTCACAGTTCTGGAGGCTGAGCAGTTCATGATCAAGGGACTGGCAAGTTAAGAACTGGTCTCTCTGCTTCCAAGATAGTGCCTGGAATGCTGAGTTCTCTGGAGAGAAGAAACGTGGTTTCCTCAACTGACAAACAGGCAGGAGAGAGAGAGAACCTACTCCTGCAGGCCTGTTTTATAGCAGCATTAATCCATTCATAAGGGTGGAGCCTCATGACTTAAACACCTCCCATCATGCCCTATCTCCCAACACTGTTGCCTTGGAGATTAAGTTTCAACATGAGTTTTGGAGTGGACGAAAACATTTAAACCATAGCAATAAGGATGTAGAAAAATTAGAACCATCCCATATTGCTGGTAAGAATGTAAAATGGTGCAGCCACTATGGAAAATAGTATGGCAGCTCCTCAAAAAGTTAAACATAGAATTACCACATGATCTAGCATTCTATTTCTAGGTATATACCTAAAATAATTAAAAGTAGGGGCTCAAACAGATGCTTGTACAGCAATGTTCACAGCAGCATTATTCACTTGTAGAATTTAAGACACTCTACCCCAAAATACTTATTTAAGCTGAAAGAATTTGAGAAAACAGCAGAATCAGGAAGGTCACCCTCACTTTACTCCACCCTTCTTTTCTGAAGCAGGTCATAAAACTTAGGCAGGATTTTCTGACCTTCCCTTGAAGCAGGTCATAGCACCCTCATGTGAGAGGTGCCCTCTCTAATACCTGGATAAAGCAGCCAAAGACAGAGACACGAATAATCTGAACAGGCAGGCCTTGCTAAGTTTCCCCAAATTCATTACTGGTAGATTACACCCACTATGTCCAAGTCTACTTCTCCACGTCTATACATTTATTCATCAAACTTGGCATAAAAGTACACATGTTTAATCTGCTTCTTTGGGTCTTCATTGCCTTATGCAGGCTCCCATGTCACATAAAACTTATATTGAATAAATTCATATGCTTTTCTCTTGTTGATCTGCATTTCAGCCATGAACCTGGGATAAGTGAGGAAATACTTCTCTTCCCCTATATCGCAGTAGGCAACAGGTAGAAACAACCCAAATGTCCATCAACAAATGAATGGATAAACTAAATGTGGCATATACATATAATGAAATATTATTCAGCCTTAAAAAGGAATGAAATTTTGTTACATGCTACAACATGGATGAACCTTGAAAACATTGTGTTAAGTGAAATAAGCCAGACTCAAAGGGACAAATATTGTGTAATTTCACTTATATGAAGTACCTAAAATAGTCAAATTCATAGAGACAGAAAGTAGAATAGAAGTTTTCAGGGACTGAGAGGAATAGGGATAGGGAGTTATTGATTAATGGTCATAGTGTTTCTGTCTGGGATGATGAAAGAGTTTTGGAAATGGAGAGTGGTAATGGTTGCACAACAATGTAAATGTACATAATGCCACTGAACTGTACACTTAAAAAAGGTTAAAATGATAAATTTTATGTTATGTATATGTTATCGCAATGAGGAAAAAAATCACTAGTTGGAAGTCAAGAATGTTTTAAAGCTTTTTCAGAGCTCCAAGTGTTACAGGAAAGGGATCCCGATCCAGATGCCAAGAGAGGGTTCTTGGATCTCAGGCAAGAAATAATTCAGGGCGAGTCCATAGAGTAAAGTGAAAGCAAGTTTTATTAAGAAAGTAGAGGAATAAAAGAATGGCTACTCCATAGACAGAGCAGCCCCATGGCTGCTGGTTGCCCATTTTTATGATTATTTCTTGATGGTATGCTAAACAAAGAGTGGATTATTCATGCCTCCCTTTTTTAGACCATACAGGGTAACTTTCAGATGTTGCCATGGTATTTGTAAATTGTCATGGTGCTGGTGGGAGTATAGCAGTGAGGACAACCAGAGGTCACTCTCATTGCCATCTTGGTTTTGGTGGGTTTTTGTGGGTTTTGGTGGGCTTCTTTACTGCAACCTGTTTTATCAGCAAGGTTTTTATGACCTCAATCCTGTGCCATCCTCCTATCTTATCCTGCGACTTAGAATGCCGTAGCCATCTGGGAATGCAGTGATGTTGCGGGAAGTCAGGGACCCCGAACAGAGGGACCGGCTGAAGCCATGGCAGAAGAACATGGATTGTGAAGATTTCATGGACATTTATTAGTTCCCCAAATTAATACTTTTATAATTTCTTTTGCCTGTCTTTACTGCAGTCGCTGAACATAAATTGTGAAGATTTCATGGACACTTATCACTTCCCCAGTCAATACCCTGTGATTTCCTATGCTTGTCTTTACTTCAATCACTTAATCCTGTCAGCTGAGGCGGATGTATGTAGCCTCAGGACCCTGTGATAATTGCGTTAACTGCACAAATTGTAGAGCATGTGTGTTTGAACAATATGAAATCTGGGCACCTTGAAAAAAGAACAGGGTAACAGCAATGTTCAGAGAATAAGAGAGATAACCTTAAATTCTCACCACCGGTGAGCCAGGCGGAACAGAGCCATATTTCTCTTCTTTCAAAAGCAAATGGGAGAAATATCGCTGAATTCTTTTTCTCAGCAAGGAGCATCCCTGAGAAAGAGAATGCGCCCCTGAGGGTGGGCCTCTAAAATGGCCCCCTTGGGTGTGGCCATCTTCTGTGGTCGAGCTGTAGGGATGAAATAAGTCCCAGTCTCCCATAGCGCTCCCAGGCTTATTAGGACGAGGAAATTCCCACCTAATAAATTTTGGTCAGACTGGTTGCTCTCAAACCATGTCTCCTGATAAGATGTTATCAATGACAATGGTGCCCGAAACTTCATTAGCAATTTTAATTTCGCCCCAGTCCTGTGGTCCTGTGATCTCGCCCTGCCTCCATTTGCCTTGTGATATTCTATTACCTTGTGAAGCATGTGATCTCTGTGACCCACACCCTATTCATACACTCCCTCCCCTTTGAAAATCACTAATAAAACTTGCTGGTTTTACAGCTCAGGGGGCATCATGGAACCTACCGACATGTGATGTCTCCCCTGGATGCCCAGCTTTAAAATTTCTCTCTTTTGTACTCTGTCCCTTTATTTCTCAAACCGGCCGACACTTAGGGAAAATAGAAAAGAACCTACGTGAAATATTGGGGGTGAATTTTGCCCAATATCTGGCTGAATTTTCTGCGATACAGCACAGTATGTTTCAGCCTTATTTTACCCAGCTCCTATTCAAGATGGAGTTTCTCTGGTTCACATGCCTCTGACACAAGCACTCCAAACTGGTTTCCATTTCAATTTTCTCTCATTATTTTATTTAATTAATAGGCATTTATTAAGAGCTTTTTTTGCTAAACACTGTACTAGGCACAGCAAAAAAATTCAAAATAATAAGATCTTTTTTTCTCTGAAATCCATCATTTAGCTCTTCCTAAACTGGGATTTAAGGAAAGCTGTTTCTTTTTTTATGGTTTTGTTTCTTTTTGTTGGGATGGGTTGTTCATAGGTGTGCTGAAAGGAAAAACATTTTTCCTCTTTGCAAATAAATGAGTGTTTAATTATTAAACAAAGTTAAATGGATTTTTTTAACTGTGAAGACTTCCCATAACCTTTAAAATGCTAATGTATTTTTTGAATCTACAAGACTGGATTTAGTAAGTGGCATTCCTAAGCTTATTTAATCAAGAATTCTTTGTCTCTCAGAGCCCAATTAATTAACATCTCCCTTTGTACTGTGGCTGCAGAAGTTGAGCTATGTGGTGGATTCTTTTTATACTGGGCTAAATGTATTATACAATCTGTAATTATGGTATAAATGTGTATTTTGTTTTATCCCTATGTGTTCTAGAATGTGAGTATGATTTTAAAAGCATTTTTAAATTTAAAAATGTAGATTAAACATTAGAGACAATAAAGTCATTATAATTTCTTACCTCAATTTACCATTTTTTTTCTCCTTTAGATAGCATTTATTATTCTGGAAAAAGGGATATTCTTGTTTTGGGGAGAAGGATTTGCTAATGGAGATTTTGCAGAAAACTGTGATGCTGACTGTGATATGTAACTTGTGAGCATTTTTAATAAGAAGAAACATAGAATGCCAGTCCTTATTCTTTTCTTGATAAAAGAATTCCTACCGAATTGTATCCAATCAATAGCTTTAAGGACTTGTGATTTTCTCTCTGCCTTTGAATAATTGCAAATTTTTGATGCTAATTCTTACTCCATAAGTTTAAACGTCCCTATTTTTCCGATTACTAAACTTATACTTTAAGTCACAACCTACAATAATATGCAGACAATCCCTGACTTACGATGGTTTGACTTATGATTTTTTGACATTATTATGATGTGAAAGTGAGATGCATTCAGTAGAAATACTGTTGTATCCATACAACCATTCTGTTTTTCACTTTTAGTATACAGTATTCAGTAAATTATGTGAGACATTAAATCCTGTATTATAAAACAGGCTTTGTGTTAGATGATTTTGCCCAACTGTAAACTAAAGTAAGTGTTCTGCACATGTTTAAGGTAGGCTGGGCTACATTGTGATGTTTGGTAGGTTAGATATAATAATGCATTTTTGCCTTACAATATTTTCAACTGTTGAAGATTTATTGGGACATATCCCACATTGTATGAACATCTGTATTCCTGCATCCTCCATATATTCCTTTTTTTTTTTTTTGAGATGGAGTCTCACTCTGTTGCCCAGGCTGGAGTGCAGTGGCATGATCTTGGCTCACTGCAACCTCCACCTCCCCTGTTCAAATGATTCTCTTTCCTCAGCCTCCCAAGTAGCTGGAATTACAGATGTGCACCATCACACCTGGCTAATTTTTGTATTTTTAGTAGAGACGGGGTTTTGCCATGTTGGCCAGGCTGGTCTCGAACTCCCAACCTCAGGTGATCCACTGACCTCAGCCTCCCAAGGTGTTGGGATTACAGGTGTGAGCCACCGTACCCAGCCCTACATATATTCTTAATTTTGTGCTTTTCCTTCAAAATTAAACACAGTAGAACAATTTAAGTAAAGCTAAAGATATAGCAAATTTGAGCCTATTTCATGATTTTAATATTGGTCTCAGTTATATTTTCATTAGTAGTATCATTTTCATGTGTCTAAAGTATCACGTAAAATGCATTAGAATATTTAAGTAATTGCACAGGCATTACAAAGGAATAAAAATGATAAAATTGCCAAGATCAACCAGCTGGTCATCAGGCAGAAGCACCCCGTGATACTGTGAAATACTTGGTTATTGGTGAAGGATGAAAGTCTAGATTCAGCATAGGAAAGAGAATTGTTATGTGTATATGTACACTGGATGGAGGTGCTAGTTGTTTGCAAGTCAAGCATTCTAAAGCCTAGGACTGCCTGAACTAGAGCAACAAATAACAAAGTATCAGAGTTCAAGGATTTATTCTGACCGGATGATTTTGGAAACCTTCCTGGACAACACATTGGGCTGGGTTCTGAAGAATAAATAGGATTCCCACAAATTTTTCCAGACTGAGGAGAGAGGCTAAGATGTGCAAATAGAGGGTCTATCTAGGAGTGTAATTTTGGAGTGCAAAGTATAGAGTGCGTAAGGGATAGTGAAGTAAATTAAACTAGAAAAAATTATTGAGGCCAGATCATTAGTACTAACAAATTTAGACTTTATTCTCTAAGTAACTGAGAGCTGAGGAAAGTTTTTGAGCAGAGGGCATGGTTTGTGTTTCAGAACAATTACTCTGGTGGGCCCATAGGGAGCAGATGAGACTGGAATGAGGCAGGGAAGCTAATTAGGATGTTATAATTGTCTAGCAAGAAAAGATGAAGACTTGATTGACTGTCAAGGAAACAATAAATAGGAGACATTTTGAAAAAATTAACTGAGCTTGGTGAATAAATCAATTAGAAATCCCTTTGGATGCAAGAAACAGAATTTCTTTTGAACAGAGTTGAACATACAGAGCCTTACTTTATTCAAGTAGATGCAGATAGATGCAGATAGATCAAGTAGATGCAGATGAATCTACTTTATTCAAGTAGATTCAAGTAGATGCTGCTGGTGTTGGTGCAGAGGCTTGACAATATCAGTGACATCATTTCTCAGCTCTCTTGGTTTTTCTTTCATGTTGTTGAACAACCGTCTCCTCCACGGCCTACTTTAGGTGAGTGATTGGCTGGAGCTGAGTCACATGGCAGCCTCTAGCTACAGTAGAGGCTAGGAAGGTGGGGAATAGTAGTGTCTTGATCACCTGAGACTGATCATGGTCTGTAACTATGGGCTGATCACACTGTCCTTTTGAAAAAACATTATTAGCATGGAGTACATGGGCATTGGATATTAGGTGAACAATTAATAGAGTTTGCTACAGTAACTAATTGGCTATCGGAGTGCAGTGGGTTGAATAGTGTCCTTCCAAAATTCCTGTCCACCCAGAACATTAGAACACTACATTATTTAAAAATGTGTGTTGCAGATACAAATAAAGTAAGGATCATGGTGAGATCATACTGGATTAGGGTGGAACATAAATCCAAAAAGACTGTCTTATAATTACCAAAGATAAACAAAGACAGATACTATTAAAGTGATAAAGACAGGTTTTGTTTTGTTTTGTTTTTTTTGTCTTTTTTTTTTTGAGACAGAGTTTTGTTCTTGTTGCCCAGGCTGGAGTGCAATGGTGCGATCTCGGCTCACTGCAACCTCTGCCTCCCAGGTTCAAGTGATTCTCCTGCCTCAGCCTCCCAAGTAGCTGGGATTGCAGGCATGCACCACCACACTTGGCTAATTTTGTATTTTTAGTAGAGATGGGGTTTCTCCATTTGGTCATGCTGGCTGGTCTAGAACTCCTGACCTCAGGTGATCCACCCACCTCACCCTCCCAAAGTGCTGGGATTACAGGCATGAGCCACCGCACCCTGCCTAAAGACAGGTTTTAATTAGTAATTAACTATTGCAAAAGGGAAGAGAATCCAGTATAAACTGAACTCAACTTTGATTTGTTTTAAAGAGAGAATGAGAGAATAGGAAAGGGGAACGGTAGGGACCAGAGTCAGGGAGTGGAAATTTACAAAAAGTGAGAAGACGAGTGTCTTAGTCTGTTTTGTGTTGCTATAACAAAATATCACAGACCAGGTAATTTATAAAGAAAAGAAATTTATTTAGCTCATG
The DNA here is from genome assembly GCF_000001405.40 of Homo sapiens. Classification (NCBI taxonomy): domain Eukaryota; kingdom Metazoa; phylum Chordata; class Mammalia; order Primates; family Hominidae; genus Homo; species Homo sapiens. Next base: position 111,601,723 of record NC_000007.14, read on the forward strand.
GTCCTGGAGGTGAAAAGTCCAAAAGCATGGTGCCAGCATCTGGCAAGGGCCTTCATGCTGAATGATAACATGGTAGAAAGTATCACATGGTGAAAGAAAGCAGGAGAGTTTGTGTACAACTTCAAGCCGTTTAAATAATCAACATTATTCCATTAGTGAAGGTGGAGTATCAATGACTAAAATAACCCCCATATGGCCCCAACTCCCAAAACTGTTGTATTGGTATTAAGTTTCCAACACATGCACTTTGGGGGACACATCTAAACCACAGCAGTGAGTTGGCCCATGTAAAATCATCTGAGTTTGCTAACTGGTACTGGTCAAAGTTAGGCTCCTACCCTCCCAAAGAGGCAAAAAGACAGGGGCCCTATCTTCAGGTGTTGGCCAGAACAAACAATATGTTTTTTGGGCAGCCTTGAGCTTTCCCAAGCAGGAACTTAAAGAGACTGGAGTGGTGATACTAAGGATGGGAACTTGAGCTGTCAGAAACTATACTAATGTTTGTTCAGACTTTTAATGAGAATGGAGGAGGAGGCCAGGCATGAAGGCTCACACCTGTAATCCCAGCACTTTGGGAGGCCAAGGTGGATGGATTGCTTGAGCCCAAGAGTTTGAGACCAGCATGGGCAACATGGTGAAACCCCATCTCTAAGAAAAATATAAAAATTAGCTGGGTGTGATGACCTGTACCTGCGGTCCCAGCTACTCAGGAAGCTGAGAGGAGAGGATCACTTGAACCTGGGAGGGCAGAGGTTGCAGTGAGCTGAGATCGCACCACTGCAATCCAGCCTGGATACCAGAGTGAGACACCATCTCCAAAAAAAAAAAAAAAAAAAAAAAGACAGAGAGAGAGAAAGAGAGAATGGAGGAATGGAGGAGGGACATTGTCGTAAGAGACAAAGTTAAGAAGGCTATGTGAAAATGAAGGCAGAGATTGGAGTTATGCTGCTACAAACCAAGAAATGTCAGAAGTCATCAGAAGCTGGAAGAGACAAGGAAGGATCCTCCTCTAGAAACTTTGGAAGGAGTGTGGCTCTGGTGACACCTTGATTTCTAATTTCTGGCCTCCTGAACTGTAAGAGAATAAATTTCTGCTATTTTAAGCCACTCAGCTTATGATAATTTGTTATAGAAGCCCTAAGAATCTACTACATGGGGTGAAGGAGAGGGGGAGGTATCTAAACATAATAGCCTGGAAGAGGATATTGACAGGGCTCAGAACATGATACCCCAAAGTATGGCGCCCTGGGATGCTGAGTACTTTGAGCTGAAGGACATTGGAAGGGCCTCAGAAGCAAGTCTCTCTAAACATTTCTCACTCTCCTGTCTCTCATCCTTTTTTCTCCTCCAGGTGAGTCATAGAAATCAGAATCCCTCTTCCCCAAGGTGGGTCATAGAAATTAGAACCCCTCTCCCACAAAACAAGCCATAAAACCTGGAAAGATAACAAGGGCCTTGCTGCATTCTGGGAGGAAGGAATTCTACATGGAGAGACCAAGAAGAATCTAAACAGACAGGTGTTACTGAGTATTCCCCTTCAGTCTATTACCATTCCATCATACCCTTTTGGCCAATAACATTTCTACATGGCTGTCCATTCTTCATAGAATCCAAGCATAAAAACAATTTTTTCCTTGGTCTTTGGGTCTTCATTTCTAAAGGCTCCTGTGTCAAGTAAAACCTTTTTTTTTTCTTTGAGACGGAGCTTCTTGTTGCCCGGGCTGGAGTGCAATGGCACGATCTCAGCTCACTGCAAACTCTGCCTCCCGGGTTCAAGTGATTCTCCTGCCTCAGCCTCCCAAGTAGCTGGGATTACAGGTATGCACCACCACACCTGGCTAATTTTGTATTTTTAGTCAAGATGGGGTTTCTCCACGTTGGTCAGGCTGGTCTCGAACTCCCGACCTCAGGTGATCCACCTGCCTCAGCCTCCCAAAGTGCTGGGATTACAAGTATGAGCCACCACGCCTGGACCATAAAACTTTGATTAAATAAGTTTGTTATCCTTTTATCTTGTTAATCTGTCTTTTGTTATAGGAGTGTCAGCCATGACTCTTACAATGGGTGAGGGAAGGTATCACACTTTTCTGCTCCTACAATATTAATACCATGAGTAGAACATGTTGTCTGTGAGACATTTAGGAAATATTCATATGAGGATGTTAGGCAAGAATTGGGATTATGGATTTAGAATTGAGGAATGAAGTAAGGAATAAAGAAACTGCAGGGAAAAGAAAAATAAACTTCACCAAGCAATAGTTAATAACATAAGATAAAGTATAAGTTAGTATTTAATTGACCACTTGAACACAATTCTTTCCCTCTTATTTCCAAATTCTATTCCTGTGTAGCAGGAATAGAAGAAAAAGCCAGCATCATTGAGGGTTAATGAATTTGGCCTATAAGGGCTAATAAATATCTACAAACAAACTTTGGAAAGAGTCATTAACAGGACTTTGATTTCCCATTTGCCTTAGTAGCAAATTTAGCAGCACTTTTTAAACTGCCTCATGGATGACTATCTCCATTAGTTTTTTTTTTTAATAAGAAAACAGTAAACACTATGCATGGTAGTGTTGTATCCTCAGTGCTTCTAATATAATTTCTTCATATTTCTAGTATTACATTTATCTCACTGCATTCTAATTATTGTTCTGTCTCCCCTGCTAGACTGGGAGCTTCTTAAAGGTAATGCACCATTTTTATTCATATTTGTATTTCAATTACTTGACACAATATTCAGCACTTAAGCAATTTATGTAATAACTACTGGATGGATTGTAATAACAATAATAGTTAAGGATGCAGATCTAGAGCTAGTTTAGTTGGGATAAATCCTGGCTTTACTGCTTATTTGTTTTGTGACCTTGTGAAATTACTAAACCTCTCTGTGCCCCAGTTTTTTCATCACAATGTGAAATAATAATAAGACCTTTGTCTTGGTCAATTTGGGCTGTTCTAACAAAAATATTATGTACCGACTGGCTTAAACAACAAACATCTGTTTTTCGTAGTTCTGTGGCTGGGAAGTCCAAGATCAAGGTGCCAGCATATTCAGTATATAGTGAGGGCTCTTTTTCTGGTTAGCAGACAGCCTCCTTCTTTCTGTATCCTCATATGGCTGAGAGAAAGAAAGGTCATCTCTCTGGTGTCTCTTCTCATAAGGGCACTAATCCCGTAGTGAAAGCTCCACCCTCATGACCTAATTACCTTCCAGAGGATCCATCTTCAAATATCATCACATTAAAATTAGGGTTTTAGCATTTGAATTTTGAGGACATACAAACATTCAGTCCATAGCAAACCTCCTCAAACAATTGTTGTGATAATTAAATAAATTAATCTATTTAAAGCACTTAGAAGATTGCTAGACATACAGTAAGTGCTCAATACACACATATATGTTATTGAATTATTAAATAGAATAATGCCTCTAGCATTCATTACTGCTGTTCAATTTTGTCTTCATTGTTATTTTATTTTATGTCTTCCTGTGTAATTCCCTTGTGGCAATTTCATAATTGCTATAGCTTTTTTTGTTTGACCCTCCACATCTCATGTTCAAATTTGATCCCCATTGTTGGAGGTAGGGCCTAATGAAAGCTGTTTGGGTCATGGGGGTGGATCCCTCACAAATATCTTGGTACCGTCCTCTGGTAATGAGTGAGTTTTAACTCTATTAGCTCCCATGAGAGCTGGTTGTTAAAAAGAGCCTGGCACCTCCCCCTGCATTCTCTCTTGCTTCCTCTCTCACCATATGATCTCTACACATGCCAGCTCCCCTTTGCCTTCCACCATGAGTGGAGGCAGCTTGAAGCCTTCATCAGAAACAGATGCTGGAGCCATGCTTTCTATACAGCCTGAAGAACCATGAGCCAGTTTATTTATAAATTACCCAGCCTCAGGTATTCCTTTATAGCAACATAAATGAACTAAGACAATAATCTACAAATTCATTTACTTGATTACTGGCAAATTACTCCCATGAGAGTGAGAACGTTTTCTGTGAAGTTCTCTACCCATTCCATGCATAACACAGCATCTACACACAGCAGAGATTAGTAACAGTTTGTTAAAGGAGTAAATTGATCCACTTTTACCTTCTGTAAAGACCAATTTAAATCTTTCTTATATTGCTAACACTGAACCTCCTGGTTCAAAGTTAAAAAAAAGATAAGGCGCAGTAACAACAGAGTTTCAGGAAGATCTGGGAAAGAAAGATTTCCTATTATTTTTTATTTATTTATTTATTTTTGAGACAGATTCTCACTCTGTTGCCCAGGCTACAGTGCAGTGGCATAATCTCGGCTCACTGCAACCTCTGCCTCCCGGATTCAAGCGATTCTTCCACCTCAGCCTCTCGAGTAGCTGGGACTACAGGCACGTGCCACCACACCTGGCTAATTTTTGTATTTTTTAGTAGAGACGGGGTTTCACCATATCGGACAGGCTGGTCTCCTGACCTTATTATCCACCCACCTCAGCCTCCCAAAGTGCTGGGATTACTGACGTGACCCCCTGCACCTGGCCTATTTCCTATTAATTCTAGGACTAACTACCTGAAAATAGGATAATACCTTGCATCACTACATTAATATACTCATTTTTATTGTCCCCTGTTTCTGAGAGTAACAACTTCAAATCTCCTACCTTCTTTCCTGACTTTGACTTCCTATACCGTCAGCTCTTCAGGGCAGTCTTGACATTGGAATAATAATAATAACATCATGTTCTTAGACAAAGACTGATCCACTCTCAGAAATCAGGTTAAAGGTTATTTTATGTGATTCTTTTTTGTTTTAATATGATTTATAAAGAGGGAGAGTCAATGTTGAAGAATCAGCTATTTTAAAATTGATCCCTCTACTGGAGTACTAAAAAGTATTTGTGAAATGAACACGAATAATCTTTATAACATTAAACATTGCAAAACCCAAATGCAAAATAGTCCTATTTAACATAAAGTCTTTCATATTGTTCTGTTCTGCCATCCTTCTATACATTTGCCCAGACAGGACAGCAACAAGGAAAGAATATGTAAACACTAATCATTTCTAACTTGCCATCTGTGACAGTTCACTGTGCTGAAATTAGAAAGGATGGAATCACTTTTCCATTTCCTTAAGGTCACCAAGGACAGACAAGCTCAGGACATACTGTATTTGTCAGAAGAAAAAGAGATGACTGGTGAGGTGGCAGTGACAAATCTGTTCTAGGTTCAGCTCATTTTACTGAAGAATGTGTGTCCCCTTCTGACATTTATCAAAAGAAATTCAATTTTATAAAAAGAAGGATGTCAAATAATAGTACATTGCTAACACTCATTTTGTTGCTGTCAGAAGGGCAGATGGGGGCAAAAAGGGAAAAGGGTGGATGGAAGAGAAAGTTATTCCAGCAAGAAACAAACAAAGTCATGCTAATAATACACTTATAGGCTTGAATATATTTCTGATTAAAACACCTATTTTTGAGATCCATCTTAGTGCCTGGCTCACACTTTAGAATACCAGTTTTCACTTCTTCCAGACAGAAGGAACGACACAAAGCAGGTTGATTTGTGGGTTTTGTGTTTGTTTTTGGTTTTGTATTTTGTTATTGTTTGAGTGCCATTCTGCTGCACCAGGAAGGAAAGAAAGCTAATGAAACCTGGTAAAACCCCAGGTACAATGACATGCACCCTGTGGGCATGCAATCAATAGTTCTTATGGTGATGATGATGTTTTTCTCTGGCAGAAAAGGGTATTTTGGGTCAAAAAATAACCCAAAAGTTGTGACAGAGGTAACGGAAAAATAGAAGTCAGATTAAAATCAAAGGAAGAAATTCTAACCCAAAAGTTGTGACAGAGGTAACGGAAAAATAGAAGTCAGATTAAAATCAAAGGAAGAAATTCTATCAGGAGACTAATAATGAAGCTGACAATATACTGTAACAAGTAATAGTGTTTTACCATACTGCATAAAAATATTGGATTAAGATACAAATTAAATCTCTTTCTCAGTGAGGGTTTTCTGCAGAACATAAACAATTAAGCTGCTTTCTGGAGAAGACAGGAAACTTGATTAACAGATCCAAAAAGACAGCATAGGGAAGATGGGTTTAACACTAGGAGGTGAAACACCAACTGTTATCCAAATTGACTTTTCCAGAAACGTTGGATAATTTCAATCAAGGACTGAAATATACTCTTTTCTTTTTAAGCGTCAGTGTTCTCTGGACTTAAACAAGTCAAAGGAGGTTCTTATTAAATAAATGCTACTGGTGCATATGTTCCAGTCACAGTCTCCTGAGGTGAGTATGGAGACACTACAGAAAATTGAACCATGAAATAGGGTTTTGTGTCTCTATACCAAAATTTCAAATATCTGGAGGTGTCCTAGCTCATGGTGGCTAAGCAGGCAGCTTGTGGGAGTACAGGAGGCTACAGGAGACGCCAGGAGTAAAACGACCTATTCTGAGTCCTGTAGTCTCTGTAAGGTGCCTATTTGATGCAATCTAAGACAGTCTTATTTAGAATAGGGACCCTTAGAAGCTGCTAATATAAGTCAAAGAAACAAATACTTCTGTGCATTTTTCCCCACAAATAAGGGATTGTCCTAAACCTCTAAGCATTAAACCAGGAATCCAGTAAAAACCAGGCTTATTGTACTCCAATCCCCAACTCACGTACTGTCTTAGAGATTTTCAGACACAAGGTGCTAAAAGTTATATAGCATATTTTAAAATTTATCTGTTATCAAGTGCCTTTCATTGAACAAAAAAAAAATCAAATTCAATAGTACATAAACAAGATCTTTCTGCTCCTTCTTGGAAGATTTTTAGGAGAATTAAAGTCATAGAGACAATCATCTACATGCCATTAATATTGTCATCTTCACATATTATTACCAGTATTATTACCAGCACAGCTTTCAAGGTTTGAAATTTTGCATTGGGCTGGCCTTAACATTTGGACAAATCCTTTTTAAATATAGGGAATAAATAATAAATTTAAAAATAAAATACGTTAATATGCAATTTTTTTTTTTTGAGACTGAGTCTCACACTGTCACCTGGGCTGGTGTGCAGTGGCACCATCTTGACTTACTGCAACCTCCGCCTCCCAGGTTCAAGCAATTCTCTTGCCTCAGCCTCCCAAGTAGCTGGATTGCAGGTGCCTGCCACCACGCCCGGCTAATTTTTTGTATTTTTTAGTAGAGATGGGGTTTCACCATGTTGGCCAGGCTAGTCTTGAACCCCTGACCTTGTGATTCTCCTGCCTCGGACTCCCAAAGTGCTAGAATTACAGGCGTGAGACACTGTGACCAGCCAATATGCAAAATTTTAACGCTTTAAATTAGAGGTCAGCAAACTTTTTTCATTAACAGAGAGTAAAATATGTTCTGCTTTCCATTCCATACACTCTCACACAACTAATCAACTCTGCTGTTGCAGTACAAAAGCAGCCATAGACAATACAAAAACAAATAGGGGTGGCTGTGTTCCGATAAAATTTTCTTTACAGGCCTCTGCCTCTGCCTCTGCCTCTGCCTCTGCCTCTCCCTCTCCCCTCTCCCCTCTCCCCTCTCCCCTCTCCCCTCTCCCCTCTCCCTCTCGGTCTCCCTCTCCCTCTCTTTCCACGGTCTCCCTCTGATGCCGAGCCGAAGCTGGACTGTACTGCTGCCATCTCGGCTCACTGCAGCCTCCCTGCCTGATTCTCCTGCCTCAGCCTGCCGAGTGCCTGCGATTGCGGGCGCGCGCCACCACGCCTGACTGGTTTTCGTACTTTTTTGGTGGAGACGGGGTTTCGCTGTGTTGGCCGGGCTGGTCTCCAGCTCCTAGCCGTGGGTGGTCCGCCAGCCTTGGCCTCCCAGGGTGCCGGGATTGCAGACGGAGTCTGGTTCGCTCGGTGCTCGGTGGTGCCCAGGCTGGAGTGCAGTGGCGTGGTCTCGGCTCGCTGCAGCCTCCATCTCCCGGCCGCCTGCCTTGGCCGCCCAGAGTGCCGAGATTGCAGCCTCTGCCCGGCCTCCACCCCGTCTGGGAGGTGGGGAGCGTCTCTGCCTGGCCGCCCATCGTCTGGGACGTGGGGAGCCCCTCTGCCTGGCTGCCCAGTCTGGAGGGTGGGGAGCATCTCTGCCCGGCCGCCATCCCGTCTGGGAGGTGGGGAGCGCCTCTTCCCGGCAGCCATCCCATCTGGGAGGTGGGGAGCGTCTCTGCCCGGCCGCCCATCGTCTGAGATGTGGGGAGCGCCTCTGCCCCGCCGCCCCGTCTGGGATGTGAGGAGCGCCTCTGCCCGGCTGCGACCCCGTCTGGGAGGTGGGGAGCGTCTCTGCCCAGCCGCCCCGTCTGAGAGGTGAGGGGACCCTCCGCCCGGCAGCCGCCCCGTCTGAGAGGTGAGGAGTCCCTCTGCCCGGCAGCCACCCCGTCTGGGAAGTGAGGAGTGTCTCCGCCCGGCAGCCGCCCCGTCCAGGAGGGAGGTGGGGGGTCAGCCCCCCGCCCAGCCAGCCGCCCCATCCGGGAGGGAGGTGGGGGGGTCAGCCCCACGTCCGGGAGGGAGGTGGGGGGGGTCAGCCCCCCGCCCGGCCAGCCGCCCCGTCTGGGAGGGAGGTGGGGTCAGCCCCCCGCCCGGCCAGCCGCCCCGTCCGGGAGGTGAGGGGCGCCTCTGCCCAGCCGCCCCTACTGGGAAGTGAGGAGCCCCTCTGCCGGGCCAGCCACCCCGTCCGGGAGGGAGGTGGGGGGCTCAGCCCCCCGCCCGGCCAGCCGACCAGTCCGGGAGGGAAGTGGGGGGATCAGCACCCCGCCCGGCCAGCCGCCCCGTCCGGGAGGGAGGTGGGGGGGTCAGCCCCCCGCCCGGCCAGCCGCCCCGTCCGGGAGGTGAGGGGCGCCTCTGCCCGGCCACCCCTACTAGGAAGTGAGGAGCCCCTCTGCCCAGCCACCACCTCGTCTGGGAGGTGTACCCAACAGCTCATTGAGAACGGGCCGGGATGACAATGGCGGCTTTGTGGAATAGAAAGGGGGGAAAGGTGGGGAAAAGATTGAGAAATCGGATGGTTGCCGTGTCTGTGTAGAAAGAAGTAGACATGGGAGACTTTTCATTTTGTTCTGTACTAAGATAAATTCTTCTGCCTTGGGATCCTGTTGATCGGTGACCTTACCCCCAACCCTGTGCTCTCTGAAACATGTGCTGTGTCCACTCAGGGTTAAATGGATTAAGGGCGGTGCAAGATGTGCTTTGTTAAACAGATGCTTGAAGGCAGCATGCTCGTTAAGAATCATCACCACTCCCTAATCTCAAGTACCCAGGGACACAAACACTGCGGAAGGCCGCAGGGTCCTCTGCCTAGGAAAACCAGAGACCTTTGTTCACTTGTTTATCTGCCAACCTTCCCTCCACTATTGTCCTATGACCCTGCCAAATCCCCCTCTGCGAGAAACACCCAAGAATGATCAATAAAAAAAATAAAAATTAAAAAAAAAAAGTTAAAAAAAAAAAATTTTCTTTACAATAACAGCATAAAACTTTGGCTTCAGGTCACAGTTTGTTGACCCCTACTTCATATTATCATGTCCCCCCCACCCCCATTTCTTTCATTCACCTTCTATCACAGAGTCACAGCTTTGCACTCACAGTGTAGCCAAGTTGTAGCTACAGACCAAACATTGTAAAGAAATACCTCCGGGGAACTTGAGAATAAGTTAAAACTTGTGCTAAATCATGAGTGAAATATACATTGGGAAACACAGTTAACAACCCATTCCCCAACCTGCTTACTGGGCCATCTTTCTAAAAATGCAAATTTGATCCTGCAGCTCCCTAGCTTAAAAGGCTTCACCTGCAACAGAAAGCCCTGGCTTTTTAGTTTTTCACCATAGGCTTATTTATGGCTGGTCCTGCTTTCTTCCCCTCCTTATTTCTTCTCATCCCTTCCTTCTCACATTCTATGCTTCAGCTACATAGAAGGACTTATAATTTCCAGAATGATACCTGCTCCCTTGCCTTTCAACCCATACACTTATTTTTTTTTTTCTTCTTAGATGGAGTTTCACTCCTGTCGCCCAGGCTGGAGTGCAATGGTGCGATCTCGGCTCACCACAACCTCCATCTCCCATGTTCAAGCAATTGTCCTTCCTCAGCCTCCTGAGTAGCTGGGATTACAGGTACCCGCCACCACACCTGGCTAATTTTTGTAGTTTTAGTAGAGAAGGGGTCTCACTATGTTGGCCAGGCTGGTCTCGAACTCCTGATCTTAGGGAATCTGCCTGCCTTGGCCTCCCAAAGTGCTGGGATTACACGTGTGAGCCACCATGCCCAGCCAACCCATACACTTGTTACTCATTCTCCTTGAAGCACTCTTCTCCACACATCCTTGGCCTTGCCAACTCCTTGAAGGCTGAGCTTAGGTGTCTTAAGGACTTCAACTCCCAGACACTTCTGTATACCTGCGTTATAATATTTTTACTGCTGGCTGTGTGTGGTTGCTCACACCCGTAATCCCAGCACTTCGGGAGGCCAAGGCAAGAGGATTGCTTGAAGCCAGGCATTCAAGACAGCCTGGGCAACATAGTGAGACCCCATCTCTACCAAAAAATTAGAACTTAGCTGGGCATGTGGTACATGCCTGTACTGCCAGCTACTTGGGAGGCTAACATGGTAGAATCGCTTGAACCCAGGATGTCAAGGCTGCAGTGACTCGTGATTGCACCACTGCACTCCAGCCTGGGTGACAGAGCAAGATCTTGTCTAATAATAATAATAATAATATTCTTACCACTATCTACAGATGATTACTGGTGCAGATAAATTTAAAATTCTTCTTGGCCATGTGTGGTGGCTCACACCTGTAATCTCAGCACTTTGGGAGGCCGAGGTGGGCGGATTGCTTGAGCTCAGGAGTTCAAGACTAGCCTGGGCAACATGATTAAACCCTGTCTCTACCAAAAATACAAAAACTTAGCCGGGCATGGTGGCACATGTCTGTGGTCTCAGCTACCTGAGAGGCTGAAGTAGGAGTATTGCTTGAGCCCTGGGTGGTAGTGGGGAGACTGGAGGTTATAGTGAGCTGAGATTGTACTACTGCACTCCTGACTCCAGCCTGGGTGACAGAGTGAGATTTCATCTCAAAAAATATATAAAAAATAAAAAATTTAAAATCCTTGAAAGCTGAAACTGCATTTTCTTGTAAGCACATGATATCCCTCTTAGGGTCCTGCTCCCCCATCCCCTGAGCATGGGAATAAAGAAAAAATCTTGACTCCCTTTAGGGGAAAATTCCAGGCACCCCACTATCCTTGAGAAATAAATAAATAACCCACTAATCAATAAGGTAATAATAAGCTTAAACAATAGCCACCCAAGTAATCTAGAGTCATAAAATGTTTGGTTCCCTATAAAAACTAAAGATAACATCTTGACATATTTCCCTGAGTTGTTTTTCAGAAACCTGTACCCCCACAAGATGGAAAATGCTGACCACTGTCACACAGACCTCAAATAAGGGAGAGCTAAGGACTGAACTCTAATCGTTGTCCCTTGTTCTAAATGTCTTCATGAGGGGCCTGGAGAGGGTCATCATGCCCATAGATCAAACCTTAACATTCCTTTCTTCTGACCCCAAGTTTTTAGACAAAGCATTGCTTCCCTAACCAATTGTAAATCAAATAATCTGTGAACCTCTCTATGACTTGTAAGCCCCCACTTCCAGATATTCTGCCTTTTGAGGCAAAACCAATGTGTAACCTCCATGTATTGAATTACATATGATTTTGCCTGTAACTTCTGCTTTCCTGAAATGTACCCCTTCCTTTAAAGACCCTTGCTTGTAAGCCGTGGGAGAGTTTGGGTCTTAAGTGTTAGCTGCCCAATTCTCCTTGCTTAATGCCATGCCATAAATGCCTCACTTTCTCTCACTGCAAATCTTGGTGTCAATGTTTGCCTTTGCTGCACCAGGTGGGCTGACCAAAGTTGGGTTGGATAACACATGGTATCTGGTACATTGAGAATAATCCCTAATGCTTATTAAATGAAGCCATCAATTATTTAATGTCTTTAATAAGCTTTTGGCCTTTCTACTTCAGAATATAACTTTAGTTATTCCCAGCTATGGGCAATTTATTTTCTTTTGCATATTGTCTATAAATGATACCCAAAGAACTAATAGGAAAAAAAATTATTAGTCAGTTAAACAGGTAATTTAATATCAAACCATAGAGGAGGAAAAATAATTGTCTCTCTACCCTTCAGAGTTCGTAGCTGAGACTCTGAAGGTTAACAGGAGAAAAATAAATAAAAGATGAATAACGTGTGTACCTCCAGTATACATGGAAGGCATACTCAGCGAAATCTGAAAGAGTAAAATCTCCAGGCTAAATCTCAAGAGATCTCAAAAGGGTTGTTTAAACTTCAGGCTTATACCATCCTTTGTTGAAACAAAAAGAGAAGTTTATTGGGAAAGGCTGATTATGGGAGATAGGAAGAGTACAGTATACAAGAACAGTTTGTTATGCAAACTTAAGTCAGTCCCTTCTCCATTGATTAAGAGTATCTTGGATTTAGTCATTCTCTTCCTGGTACTAAGAGAGAGAGAGACACCCTTACAAATAACGATTTTCTTTATAGACATAAATTTCTCTTACAAAAGGGTACCTTCTACTCTAGTTTTCAGAGCTTCTCCTGTGTCTGCTGTTTCCCAAAATAATTCAATTCAAAAAATTCTATGTCAAAGAGGCTTATTTGGGGTGGTGTATTCTGGTCTTTTACAGTCACACTTTGAGATGACGTGTTCTGAACGCCATCAATATAAAAATCTTCTTAACTTGATTTAAAATTTTTTTCAGGTTGAAATTAGACATATAGCTTTATGTTGTCATTATTGTTTTGTTTCTTTAGAGTGTTAACTTAAAAGGAAGAAGCTGAGGAAAATTAATATATGTAGAGAGTTTCTTTGGGCCAAGCTTGCAGATTGCAACACAGGAGCACAGATTGAAGTTGCCCTGAATATAATTCAACAAGCAGTAGTTACAAGTGAAAAAAAGTAGTTAAAGGCAAAAAGGGGAGACACAGAGTGGGCTGATACAAAGTTGCTTGTCAGGAATTCTCATTGTTTCATGGAAATGACGTGGAGTAGTGATTGGCTATACATTTTTGGCTATAGTGTGTGGGTTATAGTGTCTGGTGTGGCATTATTAGCTTAATTTATAGCTACTTGTAGCAATAGCAAGCAGTTTCAAGAGATTAATATATAGCTCAAAGTGGGAAATAGGACATTATTGCAGTCTCATTTTAATGTCTCTTTGGGCCTGGTAAGTACTGTCTTCTTTTTTTTCTTTTTTTTTTTTTTTCTTTTTTGAGACAGGGTCTCACTCTGTCACCCAGACTGGAGTGCAATGGCACCATCTCGGCTCACTGCAACCTCTACCTCCCAGCCTCCCAAGTAGCTGGGACTATAGGCATGCACTACCATACCGTGCTAAATTTTTGTATTTTTTTGTAGAGATGAGGTTTCCCCATGTTGCTCAGGCTGGCCTTGAACTCCTGAGCTCAAGCGATCTGCCTGCCTCAGCCTCCCAAAGTGCTGGGATTACAGGCATGGGCCATCGCACCAGGCCAGGACCTGATAATTAAAAGGCCTCAGATAAAAGTTCTTTTCTCAAGAGACAATCTTAGGACCACTTGCTGCATTATCTATCAGTATTAATAAAGCCACTTTACATTTACCCTATAAGTGGAAATATTTTCTCAACTAATCACTTAACAGCCAGGTTTTATTTGAGAAGCAATTAAACATTTATGGGGTCTACAGAAGATATGAACAAATGCTATATAAAGACATCCCTAATAACAGACTATAGGAAAAAAATTGTGCTTTAATGCATTATCCACATACAGCATGTCACTCTGGGTTACTAGATTTTAGCCTTTCATGATCTTTGCATTTTATTGCATATTTATTTTATGACTCTTTGCAAGTTAAAAGTGACAAAGACCCTCCCCTTAGGCTCCTTTGAATCTTCTTTTTGACTAACTCTCACTCTTGGTCTCATCCTTGCCCCACCTAGTCTAGTTTTAGCAAGAATCCTCTTGAATCAATATGGCAAAAATCCCCTGCCCTTGGCATGTGATCACTATTGATGACTGATTAGGTTCCTCTTACTTCATCCTCTATATCTTTTCACAGTGGGCTGCCTTCAGCAAGAATCCTAAGTCAGTGTAGCCATAATCCCCATAGTCTTGATGTTTCCTCTTAGTAATTTTCTATCCTCTGATCTCCGCCCTTTACCTTGGCCATAAATCCCCACTTTTTCTTGTTGTATTAAGAATGGGATTTCATTCTATGCTGAGATCTCTTTTTCCCTATTGCAATAATTCCTGAATAAAATTTGCTTTTATCACTTTAACTTTCTGTCTGGCTGTGGTTTGCTTTGACAATAGACATGCATATTCTGTCTTACAGAGTGGAGTTCAATCGACTTCCCATCTCCTATGGGGGAAAAAAACCAGTTTTGCCTCTATTTGTAATTCCATTTCTTTACTCCATAGAAATGTGTGACTTTGGCCGGGCGCGGTGGCTCACGCCTGTAATCCCAGCACTTTGGGAGGCCGAGGCGGGCGGATCACGAGGTCAGGAGATCGAGACCATCCCGGCTAAAACGGTGAAACCCCGTCTCTACTAAAAATACAAAAAATTAGCCGGGCGTAGTGGCGGGCGCCTGTAGTCCCAGCTACTTGGGAGGCTGAGGCAGGAGAATGGCGTGAACCCGGGAGGCGGAGCTTGCAGTGAGCCGAGATCCCGCCACTGCACTCCAGCCTGGGCGACAGAGCGAGACTCCGTCTCAAAAAAAAAAAAAAAAAAAAAAAAAAAGAAATGTGTGCCTTTGAATTTTCCTTTCAACCAATTATAATATCTACCCGCCTTCCTTACTGAATGAGTAAAATAAACATTTTAACACATGCTTATTTGTATGCCCACATGACAGTCATGATCTTACCTTTTCTTTTTTCTTTTTTTTTTTTTTTTTTTTTGAGACGGAGTCTCGCTCTGTCGCCCAGGCTGGACTGCAGTGGCGCAATCTCAGCTCACTGCAAGCTCCGCCTCCCGGGTTCACGCCATTCTCCTGCCTCAGCCTCCCGAGTAGCTGGGACTACAGGCGCCCGCCACCACGCCCAGCTAATTTTTTGTATTTTTTTAGTAGAGACAGGGTTTCACCGTTTTAGCCAGGATGGTCTCGATCTCCTGACCTCGTGATCCGCCCGCCTCGGCCTCCCAAAGTGCTGGGATTACAGGCGTGAGCCACCGCGCCCGGCTGATCTTACCTTTTCTAGAAAATTATCTTTTAACAATTTTGGAAGTTCCACTGAAATGCCCAGTGGATTTACCTACCAAAGCCAGGTAACCTTTGCAGGCAGAGAAATGCACTTCATGGGCAGTGTAAGCCCAGGTAGATCTTTTCTTGGCTCACAGAATTGAATCCAAGATGGCAAGAAAACCTTGCTCACTCTGTTTTTCTCATTCTAATTCTCCTCTATACTAATTTTACATTTTTGGTTTTGGGTTGTTTACTGTCAGTAAGTTAGTCCCCGTTGCAGGAAGTAATGGTTGGGAATTCACTTTTATGATCTGATTATTTGATGATCTCTGTAAATGAATTAATAGTTAACAGAGATCTCTGCTAGGTGAGAGATAGCAGAGAATCTAGTGGGTTAGTCTTTTCTGTTTATCTGTTTTCTATTTTGAACTCTTGCAGAAACCAAATTAATGTTTTAAGAAATCAAGTTCAGCTGGGTGCAGTGGCTCACGCCTGTAATGCCAGCACTTTGGGAGGCCGAGATGGGAGTATCGCCTGAGGTCAGGAATTTGAGACCATCCTGGCCAACATGGTGAAACCCCGTCTCTACTAAAAATACAAAAAAAAAAAAAAAAAAAAATAGCCGGGCATGGTGGCATGTGCCTGTAATCCCAGCTACTGGGGAGGCTGATGCAGGAGAATAGCTTGAACCTGGGAGGCAGCGGTTGCAACGAGTGGAGATTGGGCCACTGTACTCCAGCCTGGGCGACAAGAACGAAACTCTGTTTCAAAAAAAAAGAAAAGAATTCAAGTTCACATAATTTAGATAAATTTTTGGCAAATGATACAAGCTTAATATTATTGGTTTAACAAAAAATACCTATGTCTTCTTTGATTTACTAGAGAATGAGAATAATATAATGTAGGTGCTTATGCTACTTGGGTATGTTTTTCCTAATCTTAAACAGGTTAATAGATTGAATAAGCTTGCCTTACTTCTACTTCATGTTTAAGATGTTTATAAATATAAATTTATATTTACTCATACTGAATCATTATTGTGATAAACTTTATTTCAACAATAATTATGTTTTGTGTATGTCAGCTTCAGGACAATTTTCAAGGTCTGTAAGTAACTTAAAACCTTGGACCAATGGTAAGTTGAGTTAATTAATGGAGAATCATTAGATAGACAGACAGTATTTCAAGATAGTAAGATAGAATACTCATTACTACTCATAATTTCAAGTTTATATCCCTTTACTTCTTATTTTCATAAGACTATCTCTTTGGGTCTGTACTGAATGTGCTGCTCATTTCTGCCACTTTGGGGAGTGTATAAAAATGATATGTGTGGCTAAGGCAAGCTGTATTGTGTGTATTCACAAGTTCTGCTAGTCTGCTGCAAAATGCTGGTGTGACAGTGAACAATTATCCACTCTCCAGGTCTCTCTGTGAAATAGAAGTGTGTTACTTTGGCTAAAAGTTATAATGGATATGTGGCTTTGGCTATATTTAGGAGCCATAGTTTCTGACAAATACAGCTGTGTATTTCCATTTTTTGAGGAAAAGAGTAATTTTGTCCCAAAGGAGTGGAGTATTTTTGGTCTCCAAACCCCCTTGTGCTCTTCAAGCTTATTGAGAACCACAAAGAAATAGAACTGCCTTTGAGATTTCCCAAAGGACTCCCATAAAGTCACAAAGATTTGTTCTTTTGCCTTCTAAAAAGGCAGATGTTAAAAATAATTAGGCTCATGTAACATTATTAGGGCTAAAAACAAAAAACTTATACTGTAAAATATGGTGCCTTGACAAGTCTTTTTTTTTTTTTTTTTTTTTTTTGGAGACAAGGTCCACTCTATCACCCAGGCTGGAGGGCAGTGGCATGATCTCAGCTCACTGCAGCCTGACCTGCCAGGCTCAAGAGATCCTCCCACTCCAGCCTCCCAAGTAGCTGGGACCATAGGCACATGCCACCATGCCCAGCTAATTTTTGTATTTTTTTGTAGAGATGGGGTTTTGCCATGTTGCCCAGGCTGATCTTGAACTCTGAGCTCAAGCATCTTCCCAACTTGGCCTCCCAAAGTGCTGGGATTATAGGCATGACCCACCATGCCCAGCCTCTTGACATGCTTTGAACTAAAAAACCAGCCTCAGAAACAAAGTCTCTCTGACTTTCTCCCACCCTCACCCTCTGTCCCCCAATCTCAGTCCTCTGCCTCTCTGAAAGCACAGGGAGAGGCTTTCTCTCAAGTTCATTTATGGGACTGCAGGAAGTTCCTCCAGACAGAATGCAATTGTCTTAGGTCTTCTCCCTGTAATCTCAGAAAACAAAGAAGGTTAACTTGCTGGAATGATGACTAGATTGGGCACCATACCCAAAGCCCAGACAGACTTTCTCCCAGGCTATTGTTTGTTCTTCTCCCCTAAAAATCATTTACTTTTCCTCTAAAATTGCATACATCCCCCACTCCTTCTCCCCTATGAAGAGAGTATTTAAACTTCAACCATCTGGCCCTTCTTTGAGTATCACACTTTGTGTGACTCCCGTGCACTTGCACGTTAATAAATTTTTATGCCTTTTCTACTGTTGATCTGTCTATTGTCATTTTGTTTTATAGGCTCAAATTCTTGAACTCCCAGGGAGTGGAAGAAAACTTTCTTTCATCCCTACAGTGTGTTATTATTAATGAGTTACATAGAAAGAGTTGTCGAATTAAAAAAGATACTTATGCTTCCCTAGATTAAATTTATATGGGTAAAATCATCACAAACATTTTACAAACTAAAATCCATATGTGAAGTTCCTAGAGATTTGTCAATGCCTTCACTGCCTATGACATGGTTCTATTTATCAGAGTTCAGGTGTAGCTCTGCCTGATAATAGACAATAGACAATAGTATACAGTAGACAGTCATAATTTCAGTTATTTTTGGCATGCCAGCTTTGTTAAGATATAATTCACACACAACACAATTTAACCATTTAAACTATACAATTCAGCCAGGCATGGTGGCTCATGCCTGCAATCCCAGCACTTTGGGAGGCTGAGGCGGGAGGATTGCTTGAGATCAGGAGTTTGACATCAGCCTAGGCAATATAGGGAGACCTCCTCTCTACAAAAAATTTTTAAAAATCAGCCAGGCATAGTGGTACATGCCTATAGCCCCAGCTACTTGGGAGGCTGATAGGGGGATTGCCTGAGCCTGGGAGATCAAGGCTGCAAGTGAGCCATGATCATGCTACTGCACTCCAGCCTGGGAGACAAATCAAGGCTTTGTCTCAAAAATACTAATAATAATAATAATAATAATTAGGTGTATAATTCAATGGTTCTTAGTATATTCAGTTATGCAACCATCACCACAATCAATTTTAGAACATATTCTTCACTTCAAAAAGAAATCCTGTAACCATTAACAGTCATTCTGCATTTCCCCACTAACCACCAACCCAGAATTGCCTATTTGGGACATTTCGTATAGATGGAATCATGCCATATGTGATCTTTTATAGCTGGCTTCTTTCCCTTAGCATAACATTTTAAGGTTCATTTATATTTTACCATGTATCATTACTTCATTCCTTGTTATTTGCAAATATTATTCCATTGTACAAATATAACTTTTTATTTATCCACTCATCAATTGATAGGCATTTAGATTGTTTTCACTCTTTGGTTATTATGAATGCTGATGCTATAAAAATTCATTTACAAGTTTTTGTGTAAACATGTTTTCATTTCTCTTGGGTATATACTTAGAAGTAGATTTTCTAGGTCATATGGTAATTCTATGTTTAATCATTTTTATGGCAACCCTATGTTTAACTATCAGATTGTTTTCCAAAGTGGCTGCCCCATTTTTCAGTCCACTAGCAGTGTATGAGGGTTTCAATATCTTTATACCTTAAACAACACTTGGCCAGGCACAGTGGCTCATGCCTGTAATCCCAGCACTTTGGGAGGCTGAGGCAGGTGGATCTCTTGAGCACAGGAGTTTGAGACCAGCCTGGGCAACATGGCGAAACCACATTTCTACTAAAAGTACAAAAAGCTAGCCAGGTGTGGTGTCATGCGCCTGGAGTCCCAGTTACCTGGGAGGCTGAGGTGGGAGGGTCACCTGAGCTCAGGACGTTGAGCTGTGATCACAGCACTGCACTCTAGCCTGGATGACAGAATGAGACCCTGTCTCAAAAAAACCGAAAACCAAAAACCACTACAACCAATAACAAAAACACTTATTATCTGTCTATTTGATTACAGCATCTTAATGGGTATGAAGTGCTATCCTATCACCTTGAGATTTACTTGTTTTCTTTTCTCCCTAATGGCTAATGATGTTAAACATCTTTTCATGTGTTTATTGGCCATTTATATATCTTCTTTAGAGAAATGTTAATTCGAATACTTTGCCCATTTTGTACTTGGGTTATTTTATTGAGTTGTAAGACTTCTTTATGTATACTAGGTACAAGTTCCTTATAAGATGTATGAGTTGCAAATATTTTCTCCAGTTCGTGGATTGTCTCTTCACTTTTTTGATGGTGTCCTTTGAAGCATGACTGTGGTGAAGTCCACAATTTTCTAATTTTTCTTTTGTCAATTGTGTTTTTGGTGTTACATCTAGAAAGGCTTTGCCTAACCCAAGGTCACAAAGATTTATACCCTACATTTCATTCCAAGAGTTTTATTGTTTTAGCTCTTACATTTAGGACTCTGATCCATTTTTAGTTAATTTTTGTGTATGGTTTGAGGAAGAAGTTCATCTTTATTCTTTTGCATGTGCATATCCAGTTGTCATATTTGAGAATGATGCTCATTTTACCAAATATGACCATGTTCCTATAAGTAACTAAGGTTGTAAACTTCATGAAACCAATGCTTGCAATGTCCTGTTGGGTAAGCTCACCTGGTACCTGGCTTATAGGTTTCCCTGCCTTCCAGGTAGGTTTAGAAGGTCACTTTCTGGCAGGTCCAAAAGTCTTAGCATCTTTGGGGGACCTGGAGAAGAAAGCAATTTGTCTCATTTATAGGAAATGCAAGGAAATCTGATGATGAGTTCTTACCTTGGTTTCTTAGCCTCATGATAGTAAATAATGAGAGGTTTTAAAAGCCCATTCCGAGATTGCTTATAAAAACTTCCAGCAAAGCAAATTTAAGGTCTCTATGGTAAAGGAATTTTCTTGCTACACCTGTATATATAATCAGGCCAGATCTGTCAATGTTGAGAGAGGAGGAAGGGAGAAACCAGTTAGGCAGCAGTTAGGGTGGGTCCTCTGTTGAATTCTTTCAAACAAAAGAACAGCCTGAAAAATCAAGCTGCAGGCACAGATAAGGGAACTTGCACAGGGGCTTGCCTAAGACATACCCACCGCTGCACAGATAAGAAAGGCTACACAGGTGACTTGCCCAAACATTCCCGCAATGGAAAATTTCGTCCTCTGACACATGCACAGTGAAGGGAACAAAGCAATATGGAGTAATTCAAGCTAAAGGCCTGCATGCACACTAGGTGGATGCAATGGGGCTACCAGAAATTTGTGCCTTATGGAAATAAAATGTCCAGCCCTCATCGGTTCCTATAAAAGGCTTTGTATTCAACTTTGAAAACAGCAATCCTCTTTCAGGCCCCCTCTCTGCAGCGGAGAGCTTTCTTTTTTAGCTTACTAAACTTTTGCTCCAACCTCACCCTTGGTGTCTGCGCTTCTTAATTTTCTTGGTCATTACACAAAGAACTTCCTGTGATACTTTGGGCAATGAGAAACTGCTACATTGTGGTGCACTGGGGAGACTGTAACCATGTGTATCTTACTTTGTGATCAAGAATAATCTTTCGAGGGTTATTTTTTATTAAAAGAGGAGAGACTATACAAAAAAAAATTGTGTTTCAATGGAAAACTATGGATTATCTACATACAACACGCCTTGTGTTACCTAATCTAGACTTTCTAATTTTTCTTAGAGACAGGGCTTTGCTCTGTTGCCCAGACTGAAGTCAAGTGGCATGATCATCACTCACTGCAGCTTGAACTCTTGGGCTCAAGTGATCCTCCCACCTCACCTCACCTAGGACTACAGGGATGTGTCACTATGCCCAGCTAAGTGTTTGTTTATTTGTTTTGTAGATCTGGGGCCTCTCTGTGTTGCCCAGGCTGGTCGTTAACTCCTGGCCTCAACTCATCCTCCCACCTCAGCCTCCCAAAGTGCTGGGATTACGGTTGTGAGCCCCTGTGCCCAGCCAGTCAGATTTTAGCCTTTATAATCTCTGAGCTATTTTACAACTCTTTGTAAACGGATAGACTACACATTCTGTCTTGTCTGATAGGGTTTCAATGAACTTATCTCCCCTCTCAGGGAAAAAATACCTTTGCCTCCATTTGTAATTCCATTCCTTTATTCCATATAAATCTGTACCTTTTGACTTTTCCTTTGATCCAGTGTAATATTTGCCTGCTTCCCTCATCAAATAAGTAAAATCTTTCACACATGTTCATTTTTTATCTGTATGAGAGTCATGATTTTACCTTTATTTCAAAAGTTATCTTTTAACAATACATTACAAAGTGGGATAGAGATGAAATCAGATAAGAGAGAAAAAGACCCATGAAAATGCATAGGTTTAGGATGTACCTCATTTGGACTCTGCAGAGACAATGAAACAAAGTCTCAAAGAAGTTGATTTGCCGAAAGATACAACCAGGAAATGGGGGTGAGATAAGGGTGAAGGGTAAACAATAATTAATGGAAAAGAAATTAAAATGACACAAAACATGTGAATAAATGCTCAATCCCATAATGCTCTCAAATCCTTTTTTAAAAAGACCTATCATTTTTCATTTAAGAGAGTGGTAAAGAAATAGAAGTGTGGTACTATTCAGGGCTGGTAAGTAGGTAGCAGGAATAGGCGCATTTCTGCTTTGTGAATAAGGGAGCAGGATACACTCTTTAGGAGGCTATTTAATAATATTTAAATACAAGTATCCTTTAAACCAGCATTTCTACTTTTAGATGTTTAATTGGTGAAATGCTTGCACAAGTATGTGATGATATATGTTCAAGGATGTTCATTTTCAATATTGTTGTAATAGAAAGCTTGGAAGCACCCTAGATTTCCATCAATAAAGGACTGTTTCAGAACTCTGTATCTAGAATGGTGCATTTTTTGTTTAAAAATATACATATAGTGGTCATCTTAGAGGGATGGGACTATAAAACTTTGTACTCCACATTTTTTGTTTTACATGTTTGTATTACTTTTGCCATATTTTTTAAAAAGTAAAAATATACCTATAAGAGAATCCAATCTTTTGAACTTGGTACAGTATCATATAAATGAACTCATTTTTTCAGTGCACCAATGGAAGCTTCTCAGTGGAGGTGGAGAGGGTTGTAGAACAGCATTCTGAATTGGACCTCCATGAAGTAGGGCATAGTCATTACTCACTAGTCACTAAGAACATTTTCTATGGGATGTGCACAATATCCAGACAAGAATTTTAACAAGATCCACACATGCTACTTGAGCCAATGAAACACTTTACTTAATCAATTAACTAATGAAGGTTTTAGGGCAAATAACTACGACTGAAGAATTGATGAACTATAGAATGTAGGTGTATGTGTGTGTCTTTTGACTGTAGTTCCCACTGAAGAGTTGCCGAATGATGAATTAATGCTAAATGATCCAGATACACATCATATAAATAATTACTTATAAATATTATTCAAATGAAATTTATCTACTTTAAACAGCTATTTGTGCAGTTAATTGATTTTAAACTGCATATACTTCCAATTTCAAAATAGGCTGATTTGAAGTAGAGTCTTCAGTAGGGGCGTAGCATATTATGATTTTAAAAATTTAAATCTTATGTTACACTAAAATGCTGTAGGAAATAGATTTGATCGGGCAACCAAACCGATGTCATGGGTCACTATTCGTAAGTACCATGGCAAATAATAATGATTAACATTTACCACAGACTTATTGCATAGAAATAATTTCTGTAAGTTATGCCTCCAAGCAACTCAGTGATGTAAGTAATGATTTATCCTGGCTTAACAGAAGTTAACTAAAGATACGGAGGGAGAAAATGAGGCCAGGGAGTTCTCTGGGGCCTCTTTTATAAGGGTACAATCCCATTCGTGAAAACTCCATTTCCATTACCCAGTCCTATCCCAAAGACCTTGCCTCCTAACACCATCACATTTCAGGTGAGAATTTTGCATAGGCATTTGGGAAGGGAGGACAAAAATATTCAGTCCATAACAAAATTCCTCATTGAGGTTGTGTGTATTGACTAGATAAAAGAAATTCAACAGTTTCCATCCCAAATTTGTTTGCTATCCAATATAGATAGCTTGGTTTTTGTTTTGAGACAGAGTCTTACTCTGTCACCCAGGCTGGAGTGCAGTGGCACAATCATAGCTCACTGCAGCCTTGACCTTCTGGGATCAGGTGATCCTCCCACCTCAGCCTCCTTAGTAGCTGGGACTACAGGCATGTGCCACTGTGCATGGATCTTATTTATTTATTTATTTTTGTGGAGACAGGGTTTTGCTTTGTTGTCCAGGCTGGACTTGGACTTCTGGCCTCAAGTGATTCTCCTACGTTGGCCTCCCAAAATGTTAGGATTACAGATGTGAGCCACTGCACCTGGCCTCATAATTTCTGATTTATATTCACAATAAAGCTAAAAGAGGAAACACATGTATTGTGGAACAAAAAGCACACAAAGAAGCTGTTTGAATGTCTTTTTAAAATTTTTACTTTTCAATGTTTTTATTGATGTGAAATATTTGAACATATTTATAGGATACATGTAATATTTTGTTACATGAATAGAATCTGTAATGATCAAGTCAGGATATTTAGGATATCCATCACCATCAGCATTTTACCATTTCCATGTGTTGAGAATGTTTCAAGTCCTTACTTCTAGCTATTTTGAAATGTGTAATACATAATTGTTAAATATAGTCACCTATATCACTATAAAATATTAGAACTTATTCTAACTAACTGTATGTACCCATTAACCCATCCTACTTTACTTCCCCCCACGCACACTCACAGATAGTTCCCAGCCTCTGATAACTGTCATTCTACTCACTACCTCCATGAAATCAACATTTTTATGAGCATATGAGTACATGTGATAATATTTGTCTTTCTGGTTTTTGTTTTTGTTTTGAGACAGGGTCTCACCCCGTAGCCCAGGCTGGAGTTTAGTGGCACTATCACAGCTCACTGCAGCTTCCAACTCCCTGGGCTCAGGTGATCTTCCCCCCTGTACCTCCTGACTAGCTGGGACTACAGGCACATGCCATCATGCCTGTCTAATTTTTGTATTTTTTTTTGTAGAGATGGGGTTTTGCCATGTTGTCCAGGCTGGTCTCAAACTCACGGGCTCAAGTGATCAGCCCACCTTGGCCTCCCAAAATGCTGGGATTACAGGCATGAGCCACCACACCTGGCCATATTTATCTTTCTGTGTCAGGCTTATTTAACTTAACATAATGACCTCCAGTTTCATCCATGTTGCTGCAGATGACATTATTTCATTCTTTTCTATGGCTGAATAGCATCCTACTGTGTAAATATATGACATTTTCTTTATGCATTAATTCATTGGTGGACACTTAAGTTGATTCCCTATCTTTGCTATTGTGAATAGTGCAGCAATAAACACAGGGGAGTATGTATCCCTTTGATATGCTGATTTCCTTTCTTTTGGATAAATACCCAGTAATGGGATAGCTGGACTACAAGGTAGTTCTATTTTCAGTTTTTTGAGTAATCTTCATACCATTTTCCATAATGGCTGTACTACCTTACATTCCCACCAACAGTGTATGAGAGTTTTATTTTCTCTGCATTGTCACCAACATCTGTTATTTTTTGTATTTTTTATAGTCATTTTTACTGGGGTAAGATGATATTGTGGTTTTGATTAGCATTTCCCTGATAATTAGTGATTTTGAGCATTTTTATTATACCTGTTGGCCATTTGTAGGTCTTCCTTGGAGGAATGTCTATTTAGATCCTTGCCCAACTTTTAAATGGGGTTGTTTGTGTTTTTGCTGTTGAGTTGTTTCAGTTCCTTGTATATTCTGGATATTAGTCCTTGTCAGATAAATAATTTGCAAATATTTTCTTCCATTGAATAGGTTATCTCTTTGCTCTGTTGATTGTTTACTTTGCTGTGTGGAGCTTTGTAGTTTAATATAACTTCATTTGTTAAGTTTTGGTTTTGTTGCTTGTATTTTTGGGGTCTTAGCCATAAAATCTTTGCTTAGGCAAAAGTCCTAGAGTATTCCCCGCTATGTTTTTTTCTAGTTGTTTTATAGTTTAGGGTCTTACGTTTAAGTCCTCAATCCATCTTCATTTGATTTTTGAATATGGTGAGAGATAGGGGTTTAATTTCATTCTTCTGCATATAAATATCCAGTTTTCTCAGCACCATTTATTGAAGAGGATGTCCTTTCCCCCAGTGCATGTTCCTGGCACATTTGTCTAAAATCAGCTGTCTATAAATATGTAAGTTTATTTCTGGGTTCTCTATTTTGTTCCGTTGGTCTGTGTTTTTCTTTTTATACCAATATCATGCTGATTTGGCTACTATGGCCTGATAATATATTTTAAAGTCAGGTAGTGTGGTGCCTCCAGCTTGGTTATTTTCATTCAGAATTGCTTTGGCTATTTAGGCTCTTTTTTGGTTCCATACAAATTTTAGGATTTATTTTTTTCTATTTCTGTAAAGAATGTCATTGGCATTTTGATAGGAATTGCTTTAGTAGTATGGTCATTTTACAATATTAATTCTTCCAATCCATGAGCATGGAATATCTTTACGTTTGTTTGTGACCTTTGCAATTTCTTTCACTGGTGTTTTGTAGTTTTCCTTGTAGAGATCTTTCACCTCCTTGGTTAAATTTATTCCTAGTTTTTTTGTTTTTGTTTTTGTTTTTGTTTTGTCATTGTACATGGGATTTCTTTATTATTTTTCAGCTAATTCATTATTGACATTATAAGGTATATAGAAATGCTACTGATTTTTGTATGTTGATTTTGTTTTCTGAAACTTTACTGAATTTGTTTATTTGCTCTAGGAGTCTTTTGAAGGAATCTATAGGGTTTTCTAGATATAGAATTATGTTGTCAGTGAACAGAGATAATTTGGTTTCCTCTTTTTCTATTTGGATGCCTTTTATTTCTATCTCTTATTTGATTGCTCTGGCGAAGACTCCCAGTAGTATGTTGCATAGAAATGGTAAAAGTGGGCATCCTCGCTTGTTTTAGTTCTTAGGGGAAAGGGTTTTAGTTTTTCCCCATCAGTGTGTTAACTGTGGGTTTGTCATACATGGTCTTTATTATGTTGAGGTATGTTCCTTCTGTGCAGAGTTTGTTGAGTGTTGTTTATCATGAAGGGATGTTGAATTTTATCAAATGCTTTTTCTGCATCTATTAGGTGATCATGTAGTTTTTGTCTTTTGTTCTGCTGAGGTGATATATCACATTTACTGTTTACATATGTAGAACCATGCTTGCAATCCTGGGGTAAATTCCACTTGATTGTGGTATATTATCTTTTTGAGGTGCTGCTAGATTTGGTTTGCTAATATTTTGTTGAGGATTTCTATGTCTACGTTCATTAGTTTATTGACCTGTCATTTTCTTTCTGTGTTGTGTTTTTGTTTGGCTTTGTTACCAAGGTAATACTGGTTTTACAGAATGAGTTAGGGCAAATTCCCACCTCTTCTCTTTTTTAGAATAGTTTGAGGAGAATTGAAATTAGTTCTTCTTTATAAGTTTGGTAGAATTATGCAGTAAAGCCATTATGTTTTCAGCTTTTCTTTGTTGGGAGACTTTTAAATTTGTTTTCAATCTCATTACACTTTATTGATCTGTTCAGGTTTTCTATTTCTTCCTGATTTGATCTTAGTAGGTTGCATGTTTCCAGGGATTTATCCATTTTCTCTAGGTTTTGCAGTTTGTTAGTGTGTAGTTGTTCATAATAGTATCTGATGATCTTTTGTATTTCTGTGGTTATCAGTTGTAATGCCTCCTTTTTATTTCTAATTTTATTTGGGTCTTCTCTCTTTCTTCACTGGTCTAGCTAGTGGTCTGCCAATATTATTTATCTTTTCAAAAAACCCACTTTTTGTTTGCTGATTTTTTTGTATATTTTTAGTCCCATAGGTTTTAGTATGCTATGTTTCCATTTTCATTTGTTTCAAGAAATTTTTGGCTTCTTTCTTTCCTTCCTTCCTTCCTTCCTTCCTTCCTTCTTTCTTTCTTTTTTCTTTTTTTGAGACACTCTCACTCTGTTACGCAGGCTGGAGTGGAGTGGCACAATCTCGGCTCACTGCAACCTCCGCCTACCAGGTTCAACCAATTCTCATGTCTCAGCCCCCCGAGTAGCTGAAACTAAAGTCATGTATCACCACATCTGCCTAATTTTTGTATTTTTAGTAGAGATGGGGTTTCACCATGTTGGCCAGGCTGGTCTCGAACTCCTGGTCTCAAGTGACCTGCCCACCTCAACCTCCCAAAGTGCTGGGATTACAGGCACGAGCCACCATGCCCAGCCTGATTTGCTTCTTAATTTCTTTGTTAACCCAATGGTCATTCAGGAGCATATTGTTTAATTTCATGTATTTGTACAGTTTCCAGAAACCCTCTTGTTTTTTATTTCTAGTTTTATTTCATTGTGGTCAGAGAAGATACATGATATGATTTCAATGTTTAAACATTTGTTGAGGCTTGTTTTGTATTCTAACATATGGGCTATCTTTGAAAATATTCCATGTGCTGATGAATGTGTACTCTGTAGCTGTCAGATGAAAAGCTCTGTAAATGTCTGTTAGGTCCATTTGATCTAAAATATGCAGTTTAAACCCAATATTCCTTTGTTGATATTCTGTGTAGATAATCTGTCAGTTGCTGACAATGGGGTATTGAAGTCCCCAACCATTATTATATTGGAGCCTATTCCTCACTTTAGAGCTAATAATATCTGTTTTACATTTCCAGGTGCTCTTGTGTTGGGTGCATATATATTTAGACTTATTACATCCTCTTGCCCAGGCACGGTGGCTCACACCTGTAACCCCAGAGCTTTGGGAGGCCAAGGCAAGAGGATCACTCAAGACTAGGAGTTACAGACTAGCCTCAGTAACATAGTGAGACCCCATCTTACACAAAATTTTAAAAAATTAGCCAAGTACGGGGCATGTGCCTGAGGGTGAAGTGAGAGGATTGCTTGAGCCCAGGAGGTTGAGGCTGGAGTGAGCCATGATTGTGCCATTCCCTTCCAGCTTGAGTGACAGAGCAACAGAGCGAGGCTCTGTCTCAAAATAAAAAAAGAGAGAAAAAAGATTTTTATATCCTCTTAATGAATTGATATCTTTATCATTATATAATTACCTTTTGTCTCTTTTTGCTGTTTTTCACTTAAAGTCTGTTTTATATGCTATAAATATAGCACATTCTGCTTATTTTTGGTTTCTGTTTGTGGAATATTTTTTCCATCCCTTTGCTTTTAGTCTATATATGTCTTCACACGTGAAATAAGTTTCTTGTAGATAAGACATAGTTAAGTCATGTTCTCTTACCCATTCATCCAGTCTATATCTTTTAGGTGGAAATTTTAATTTGTTTACATTCAAGGTAACTGCTGATATGTGAGGACTTATTCCTGTCATTCTGTTAATTGTTCTCTGGTTGTTTTGTATATCCTTTGTTATTTTCTTCCTCTCTTATTTTTTATCTTTATGGTTTGGTGATTTTATGTAGTTGTAACATTTGAGTCCTTTCTCTTTCTCGTGTGTGTTTTCTCTATTCATTAGTTTTATACTTTCATGTGTTTTCATGATAGTAGATATGGTCCTTTTGCTTCCAAGCACAGAACTCCTTTATGCATTTCTTGTAGGTCTGGTCTAGTAGAGATGAATTGCCTCAGCTTTTCCTTGTCTGGGAAAGTCTTTATCTTTTTCTTCATTTATGAAGGATAATTTAGCTGGGTATAGTATTCTTGAGTAGCCATTTTTTTCACTTAGCACTTTGAATATATCATTCCGCTCTCTTTTGGCCTGTCATGTTTCTGCTGAGAAGTCAATTTTTAGTCTGGTGAGGATTCTCTTATATGTGACTAGGTACTGTTCTCTTGCTGTTTTAAAATTCTTTCTTTGTCTTTGACTTTTAACAGTTTGGCTACAATATGACAGGAAAAAGCCTTTTTTTGGATTGTATCTGTTTGGGGATCTTTGAGCTTCCTGTATTTGGATGTCTAAATCTCTTGCTAGAACTGGGAAATTTTCAGCTAATATTTTGTTAAATAGGCATTTCTATGGCATTAACTTCTCCTTGCCTTCTGGGACACAAAACATTTGGATATTTTGTCACTTATGATGTCCCATATATCAGATAGCCTTTCCTCATTCTCTTGTATTCTTTTTTTTTTTTGTCTGATTGGATTATTTCAAAAGACCTCTCTTCAAGTTTTTCAAGTTTCTTCTGCTTGATCTAGTCTATCATTGAAGCTCTTGATTATATTTTTAAATTTTATTTATTGAATTCTTCAGTTCCAGGATTTGTTTAGTTCTTTTTTATAGTGTCTATCTCTTTGGTGAATTTCCCATTCATATAGTGAATTATTTTTCTGATTTGATTTCTTTGTATTGTTCATCTCCATTCTTTTGTATCTCACTGAGCTTCTTTAATGTTATTTTTAATTTCTCAAGCATTTCATAAATTTCTCAAGCATTTCATAAATTACTATTTTTTGAAATCTGTTGTTGGAAAATTATTATGTTCCTTTGGAGGTTTCATATTTCCTTGTTTTTTCATGTTTCCTATTTCCTTTTTTTTTTTAGATGGAGTCTTGCTCTTGCTGCCCAGGTTGGAGCACAGTGGTGCGATCTCTGCTCATTGCAACCTCCGCCTCTCGGGTTCAAGCAATTCTCCTTCCTCAGCCTCCCCAGTAGCTGGAATTACAGGTGCCCACCACCACACCTGGATAATTTTTTTGTATTTTTAGTACAGACAGGGTTTCACCATGCTGTCCAGGCTGGTCTCTAACTCCTGACCTCAGGTGATCCACCCGCCTTGGCCTCCCAAAGTGCTGGGATCACAGGCGTAAGCCACCACGCCCAGCCTCCTATTTCCTTTCATTGACATTTGCACATCAGGTGTAACAGTCTCTTCTTCTATTTTTGGATTGGCTTTTGCATGGGGAAGACTTTTTCCTGTAGGTGAATCTATGGTGTTGGTTGGGTAGGGCACTTTTGCTTTGATTCTGGGTGTGTGCAGTAGTGCAGGCTCATAGGAGTTCCTCGGCTATAAACTCAGTCAGTGGTGTTTGTGATTTTCTCAGTAGCTTGGGCTCTGGTTGTTAATGGAAGCTGTGGTGAGGTTTTTCTGGGGACAGGACAACCCTCAGGCTTCCAGGTGGCACTTGCTGGCCGGTCTTGCTTCCTTCTTTCTTTCTTTCTTTCTTTCTTTCTTTCTTTCTTTCTTTCTTTCTTTCTTTCTTTCTTTCCTTCCTTCCTTCTTTTCTTTTTTCTTTCTTTCTTTCCTTCTTTCTTTCTTTCTCTTTCTTTATCTTTCTTTCTCTTCCTCTTTCTCTCTTTCCTTCCTTCCCTTTCTTCCTTCCTTCCTTTCTTTTTCTTTCTTTCTTATTTCTTTTTTTTTTTTTTTGTCTGTGATGGTCTAAGCAGGCCATTCCCTAGGTCCCCAGGTGGCACATGCAGTTGTGTGCTGGTGGTGGTGGTGATGGAAGGCTGGGCAGGCCCATCTTCAGGACCCCACGAGGAGTTCCCAGATGCCAGTAGTTATGAATGAGGCAGGGAGATGCCCAGGCCTCCAGAGAGCATGCTTGGTTGCTGGTTGCTGGTTTTCTAGGCCTGTTGTTAGGCCCTTTGCTTGTGTGCATGTGTTCCCAGGGCAACTGTTGGGGTGGTGTGGCCCCAGGCTCCCAGGTGGTGTGTTTGGGGCACTGAGGGGCCAAGCCTGGTAAGATGGGTCTGTTTTTAGGTGTCCTGTTGGCCCACTTAAGTGTTGGCTTTAGTGGGTGGGGCAGGGCAGGCCCCCAGGCCTCTGGAAGGTATGATAGGGTGCCAGCAGTGGCAGGTGTTCTGAGGCTATTATTAGGCCCCCTGCTGGTTTGCATCCTCACCTGGGTGACTGATAGGATGGGCTAACCCCTGGGTCCCCAGGTGGAAGGTTTGGGAACGGGGGGGTGTGGTTCCAGTCTGGGTGGGCCTATCCTTAAGCTCCCCATTGTTGCGTATGGCCACAGGCTGTGGTGAGCATTGTGGGTCGATCCCCAATTCTTGGGCAGTGTGCTCAGGCAGGGATAGTAGCAGTGGCAGTGGGCAGTAAAAACCCATCCTGAAGGCATATGCAAGTGTGCAGTAGCCCTGCTAGGGATGGGGGTGCTATTTGTGGTAGCCATCCCAGGAAGGTGGGGTTCAGACTCTGGACAGTATGTACTTTGGCTCCCAGTAACAGCAGTGGCTGAAGCAGCTGGCAAGGATAGCCCGGACTCCAGGCATAAGCAAGTGCATGGCAGCCCTGCTGCTGGGGAGAGCATTAGGGTTGCTGTTTGTGACCACAGCTTAAGGTAGATGGATTTCAGACTCTGGGGTGTAAGCACTTTGGCTCCCTCCTCCCTGGTGTGCTGCACCTCTCTCTCCCCAGTGTATAGGACACTGTACGGGCTAGATTGCTGGGGATCCTGCTGTTCTACTGGTTCCAACTGGCATCTCACCTCTGTAGCCCTTCTGGTGGATGTGGGGAAATGTCACTGGGACTCCAGGGAGGTGGAGATGCAGGAGCTGTGGGGCACTGGGACAGGATGTAGCTTGGTGGAAGTTGGGCTCTCAAAATGGTGTCATGCTGCAGCTGCCTGGGAGTTAGGAGACGGGGTGGTGTGAGACCCACTATGAGCTCCCTCTCTGGAGCAAAACTCTCTCATGGACTCTAGGGAGCTCCTCATGCCAGTCTCAGGGCCTGCAGGGCTTGAGGAACTCTCCCATGGCTAGTATTACAGGAATCTGTGGTAAGGATGTGGACCACTGGGGATCTTGCACTTCCCCTTTCCTTGCACTGAGGAGCCTCTCTGAGCTCCCAGCTGATCCTGGCTGGGCTGTCGGTTTCACCTCTGGCTCCTTCAGTGCCTCAGGTGTTTCTTGTCACTTTGTTAAATTCTAGCTTTCTCTCTTAGATGTTCTGTTCCAAGTGTGAGTATCTACTCACCATTTTGGTTCTTTGTGGAGGAGCTGAGTGTCTTGTGCCTCTAGTCAGTCATCTCAAAACGTCACTGCTCAGACTTCTTTTTTTTTTTTCTTAAATAGAGACAGGATCTTGCTATGTTGCCCAGGCAAGTTGGTCTTGAACTCCTGGGTTCAAGCAATCCTCCCACCTCAGCCTCCCGCAGTGCTGGGATAACAGGCATGAGCCACCACACCTGGCCCAAACTTCTCGAGAGTAGTAGTGTTTGACTTTTGTCTTCTGTGGTGTAATTATTCTCTAATAGCTTGGGATTGAACTCTGACATGATAAACAGTGAGTGTATGCTACTGAGAGACCAAAAAGATTGGAATAGTTCACAAAGGGATATAGGAGACTCTATTTCCCAGGAGGTCCTGAACAAAGATTTACCCACTTAGAGTAAGTATAGGCAGGGATACCCTTGAAGCTAGAACACTAAGAGGTGGCACTTATATGACTCTATTCTTGAGAAAATTTATTTTTTCCCCCTCGTGGTTGGTTATAACATCGAAATAGTTAAATGAAACTTGCTCTGAGTTGTTATTTGTCTGCCAC
This sequence comes from Homo sapiens, assembly GCF_000001405.40. Classification (NCBI taxonomy): domain Eukaryota; kingdom Metazoa; phylum Chordata; class Mammalia; order Primates; family Hominidae; genus Homo; species Homo sapiens. The sequence continues at coordinate 111,634,814 of NC_000007.14, forward strand.
CCTCCCCTTTAGAGAAACTGATTTCTGAATAATTTCTCTTGTACATGCATTTTAAAGGTGTGTAATTAACTGGTAACAGGTTGTTAGGTAGCTGATGAGGTGTGAAGTAGCCACTAATTTGTTTTCTTTATTTACAACTTTCCCTGCTCTTGAAGATGACAGCATGATGTTTTTCATTCCCTGCTTACTTCACCAGATTGAAAAGTGATTTGTGAAGCCATTTTTAATCCCTCAAATTCCATTAAAAAGGAATCTCCAAGGGAGTCTTAATCAAGACATAATAGACACTAAAATGTGATCACACAACAGCACTTCTAATATGGCCCTATTTCAACTATAATGTTAAGCGTTTGCCTCCAGTTTACTGAACTCAGCCCTAACACTGACCTACAACTTCTGAAATGAAATAACCTCTATGCAGTTGGCAATTACTTTATTGTAAATGTTTGCAGCTAACATACTTTATTGCTTTAGAATTTAACATATACCCCAAAGGGATAATTCGTTACCAAATTATTATAGTATTATCAGTAAAATAGTTTGCTTTCCCCTTCAAATTGCCTTTTCCCCTACTTAATAATATATATAATTTAAATCAGTTTAAGAAATTAAAATGGAAACATAATGAAATGAGAATCATTAAAAACACCACACTAGAATACTGAAAATGAAGCTGAAACAGAAATGGCTAAATGTAAAATTTGTATGTAACCAAAAGGGGTAATTTGAAACCAGGGAGCATATTGAGTTATTGGATGAGTTTGATGAAAATAAAAACTCTGTCCTTGAAGTTTTAAAAATATTACCAAAAGTAAGCTACAGAATATGTAAAGAATATATCATGGAGAACTCCCCTTCACCCTTGAATAGACAGTTAACCAACATGCAACAAAGCACAGATGTTAGATACGTGGCAACATTTTCCTTTCTACCTGTCAGAGCCTACATTAATACTTCCATCGAGAACATTGTGGCCTCCAGGATACTATTTTCAAATGTAGATATGTCTCAGAGCATCAATGCTACAAGTTGCTATGGTGATCACTTTTGTATGATAATAACCAATGCTCACTGAGTTTTTGATTTATGGCAGGCACTGTTTTAAGTGCTTTATAGTATTAACTCCTTTAATCTTCACAACAATCCTATAAATCTCATTAGGACTCTAAGAATCCTATTAGGATTCTTATTTTATAGACAAGGGAACTGAGGCCCAATTTTACAGTTAAAAGTAATTTGGCTAAGGTTACATAGTGTTGGAGAAATTAAAAACAAAATCTCTTCCCAATCTCTCAGCAAAGAAAGAAGAGAAAGGTAACAGTTTTATTATTGAATAAGCACTAAACCAGAATGTGATGCCCATCACAGGCAATATGCTAAGAGATTGCAAAGACAGAAAGAAATCTCAGCCTTTTCCATAGCCAAGCAGATACCAGATACAACCCATTACATACATGTTTTCTTTTCTCTTTTTTTTTTTTTTTTTTTTTTGAGATGAAGTCTCGCTCTGTCATCCAGGCTGGAGTGCAGTGACATGATCTCGGCTCACTGCAACTTCTGCCCCCTGGGTTCAAGTGATTGTTCTGCCTCAGCGTCTCAAGTAGCTGGGACTACAGGCTCCCATCACCACACTCAGCGAATTTTTGTATTTTTAGTAGAGATGGGGTTTCACCATGTTGGCCAGGCTGGTCTCGAACTCCTGACCTCAAGTGATCCACCCGCCTTGGCCTCCCAAAGTGCCAGGATTACAGGCATGAGCCACCATGTCCGGCTACATATATGTTTTCAAGATAAATAATTATAGTAAGAGGTCTGTCAGCACTATTTGTCACACATAGTTATCCTCATTTTACTTGATATTTTGTGGTGTTAGCTAATTGGCTTTATCCAGAAGAAAAAACAAGCATCTCATCTCTTTATAATAGGAGGTAGTTTTGCAGCTTGGAGCAAGGTATCTACCAAAGTTAGGCTCCTACCTTCCCACAGAAGACAGGGGTACTATCTCCTCTGATGTTTACATTTCAAAGAGATGGCTCCTAGGTCTTAAAAGTGACAAAAGGCCTATCATTTTCAAATGGAATTTTATACATTTCAAAGAGAGGAGGAAGTCCTTACAATTAGAAGGGTTTTTGTTTTGTTTTGTTTTGATAAATGCTTTAAGAAGAAGGAGAGGATGAAAAGTCTCTTCCTTTATTTTCATTTTTTTCTTTCTTTTCTCTCTCTGTGTGTGTTTGTGTGTGTGTGTGTGTGTTTTGTTTTTTTGAGACAGGGTCATACTCTGTCACCCAGGCTGAAGTACAGTGGCACAATCATGGCTCACAGCAGCCTCGAACCCCTCAGATTCAAGTGATTCTCCCACCTCAGGCTCCCGAGTAGCTGGGACTACAGGTGCATGCCTCCACACCCAGCTAATTTTTGTATTTTTCATAGAGACAGGGTCTCACTATGTTGCCCAGGCTGATCTTGAACTCCTGGCTTCAAGCAATCTGCCTGCCTCAGCCTCCCAAAGTGTTGGGATTACAGGCGTGAGCCCCTGCATCTGGCCTTATTTTTAATTTGCATTTGTCCTTACAACAGATAATAAGTAGTGGAGTTAGGATTTAAGATAGTCTAGCTTTAATTTTTTTTTTTTTTTGAGACAGAGTCTTGCTCTGTCACCCAGGCTGGACGCAGTGGCATGATCTCACCTCCACCTCCTGGGTTCAAGCAATTCTCCTGCCTCTCAGCCTCCCGAATAGCTGGGACCACATGCACGTGCCACCATACCTGGCCAACTTTTGTATTTTTAGTAGAGACGGGGTTTCACCATGTTGGCCAGGATGGTCTCGAACTCCTGACCTCAAGTGTTCCACCCATCTTGGCCTCCCAAAGTGCTGGGATTACAGACATGAGCCACCACTCCCAGCCACTTTAAAGCCTTTTTAAGAATCCTATACTATGCCATCTTTGTAAGCTTCCTACTTGGAAGCCATTGAACAGAGGCAATATACTGAGGAAATTAATATATTCACTCAACACTTACTTAATGAGCACCTACTATGTACCAGGCACTTTGCTAGTTATTAAGGATATAATTATGAATAAAACAGACAACAGTTTTGCCCTCATGGAACTTAGGGTCTAGGTGGAGAGACTCATATTAAACAAATAGTTCTTCAAGGTTATCAAACAAAATTATGAAAACTGAGAAGAATGAAAAGTATAAAGAGTTTTGAGAGCATATTAAAGAGAGAATGTCAACTAGTCCAGGTGGTCTTGAGGGCTATTTAAGTTCAAAATAGGAGTTTTGATGAAGAAGAAAGGAAGATAACAAAAGGATAATTTGAGGTATAAAGGAAAACAAAAAAAATCTCAGGACCCCTAAACTTCTTATTGCAAAAGAGGTTAAGCTGCGAGGCTGAGTTAGGCAACACCCTCTTCCAAATGAACAGCTGTTACTAACATGCATCAGCCAGATCCCCATGGAAAGATAAAAGGCCTCAAGCATCTATGAAGGGCTGCCCCCACACATCATTCATAAGTTCTTTGCCGGTCTCCTATAAACAAGGACATGCCAATTTAACTTAAGGTCTTCCTAAAATTAAAGTCTGTTCAGTTCCACACTGATAGTGTAGTACAAGTTTATCTTCCCAGGTGCAGAACAAAGACAAGACTCATTTCTCCACCTAGCCAGTGATGCCTGCATAACTGAATCTTCCTTTACTCCCTTTTTCTCTTCAAACCTTCACCTTATCTTATGTAAAATGTAGATTGACCAGGCACTAACCAAAGTCCCCCGGGAATGTAACCATTCGCCCGACCTCCTACCTGCCCCTCTTCCTACACTCCTTCCCAACTTTAAGAAAATGTATAAATACGAAAACTCTTGAGAGTCTCTTTGGAAAAAACAGCCACAGATGTGTCTGTGGCTTGTGTTTTTCCCAGACGTGCTTAAAGCTGGCTTAATAAACCTTGATGATTGAGATTTGTGCCTCATTTTGGTTGTCCCAGCTTTGGGGTATTAGATTGGGAGGAATAGGATTAAAAAGTAGGAATGCTACCAGGCACAGTGACTCGTGCCTGTAATCCCAGCACTTTGGGAGGCTGAGGCAGGCAGATCATGAGGTCAGGAGTTTGAGACCAGCCTGACCAACATGGTAAAACCCTGTCTCTACTAAAAATACAAAAATTAGCCAGGTGTGGTGGTGTGTGCCTGTAGTCCCAGCTACTGGGGAGGCCGAGGCAGGATAATCGCTTGAACCTGGGAGGTGGAGGTTGCAGTGAGCTGAGATCATACCACCGCACTCCAGCCTGGGTGACAGAGCAAGACTCCATCAAAAAAAAAAAAAAAAACAAAAAAGTAATGCCACACTTTGAACACTTATTCTGCCGGACTGAAATAATATCATTTGATAGCACACATAGAGGTGGAAAAGGAATGATCCTTTTCCTCCCCATCATAAAGCATCATGGCTGATGCCCCAGTTTGGGTGCTCAGAAACAGATGCCCCAAAATATGAGACTCCCCCATCTCAAAAAAACAAAGTTGGGCACTGTTGATTAATATTTTAAATGCTTACTCATTATTTTTCTAGTTTATTCCTTTAATATTTTATTTCATTTTTTATTTACACAAGTAGTTCATAGATATACAATTTACACAAGGTGCTACAGATTGAATGTTTGTGCCCCCCTCCATTCATATGTTGAAATCCTAGCCCACAAGGTGATGGCATTAGGAGGTGGGGCATTTGGGAGGTGAATAGGTCATGAGGGTGGAGCCCTCATGAATAAGATTAGTGTCCCTATAAAAGAGGCCAGGAGAAATCCTTCACCCCTTCCATCATGTGAGGACACAGTGAGAAGACATCCATCTTTGAAACAGGAAGAATGCATTTCACAGACATTGAATCTACTGATAATGTTGATCTTGGATTACCCAGCCTTCAGAACTGTGAAGAATAAATTTCTGTTATTTATAAGACTCAGTGCCCTTATAAAAAGTCCCCACAGGGACAAAGACAATAGTGTTCTTTATTTATTTAGTAGAGACAGGGTCTCACTATGTTGCCTAGGCTGGTCTTGAACTCCTGGCTTCAAGAGATCCTCCTGCCTTGGCCTCCCAAAATGCTAAGATTACAGGCACGAGCCACACCTTGCCAACAGTGATATATTTTATCTTACTTTTTTCCCCACTCTATTCAGGAACTTCTCTGTGATTCCAGATGTTCAAAGTATTTCATCACAGCTTTATTTGTCTTAAATCCAGATGTCTTTCGTTAAATGAAAAAATGAGCAACCACCAACAAGCTGAGATTATCTTCTTCCAATGAGCAATGAGTCAGAACTGGGCTGGACTTTCAGTGATCCTTTTAATTTTATTTTGTTTAAATGCTATTGGGAGTAAACCCATGAATGCACTGTGACCCCAGAAAGGCATGAAGGGCAGGAGAGGAAGAATTAGCTATGAGCAAATGGGGAAGGCAGGCAGTGAGCTGCTTTGCATTAAAATTCTAAAAGTTGGTTGTGGCAGGGGACAAGTGCCCGGAGAGAAAGAGAATGTAAGGGAAGTGAGCCAAATAATAATTTCTCTCAAACCTAGCAAAAATTTGACTGAGATTTATGAGAGTTTAAAGCCCTCCCTCTATGCTTACTCCATGTCTCTTTATATAATTTTTTTTTCTTTTTGGTTTATGTCCCCCTTCCCCCTTGGATTTAAGCTAAATTTAGACTTTCTTTAGGATTAAAACAAGCTTAATAAAAGTTCTTGGAGCAGGATTTTTGGAGTGAGAGTTTAAAGGATTAATTCACCTGTCACGTGACTGCTATATAGAGGAGGATCACAGAAATGTAATCACGAGTTTGCATTTATTATTGTCAAACCAGGAAGACCCCTTGCCTGAACCGTTATATAATACTTTCTAAACTATAATTTTCAAAAAGGGACATTTATGACTCTTGCCAAATATAAAATATAGACATGTCACACATTTCCTTTTTTTTCCTTTAACTCATTAATTAATCAGAGAACTATTAAGATACTGAAAACAGTTCAGACCAGGTGCAATGACTTACGCCTGTAATCCCAACACTTTGGGAGGCCGAGGTGGGCAGATCACTTGAGGTCAGGAGTTTGAGACCAGCCTGACCAACATGGTAAAACCCTGTATCCCATCTCTATTAAAAATACAAAAATTAGCTGAGCAGGGTGGCACTTGCCTGTAGTCCCAGCTACTTAGGAGGCTGAGGCAGGAGAAGCACTTGAGCCTGGGAGGCGGAAGTTGCAGTGAGCCAAGATCACACCACTGTACTACAACCAGGGCAACAGAGTGAGACTCTGTCTAAAAAAACAAAAAACAAACAAACAAAAAAACCCAAAAAATTCAAATAAAAATTTGAATAACAGGTATGTGTGTATGTAGGATACCAAAAATGCTGAAATGAACTTGTTAATAGGTGCATACTGGTTAATATTTTATAGGTCTTAAAATGTCATGTTTGGGGATTATCTCTTCTAAAAGTTAGAAATCAATTGCAACTCTACCAGACAAAAATTTTTATTTGCATTTTTTTTTCTTAGACAGAGTCTCATTCTGTCGCCCAGGATGGAGTGCAGTGGTGTGATCTCGGCTCACTGCAGCCTCTGCCTCCTGGGTTCAAGCGATTCTCCTGCCTCAGCCTCCTGAATAGCTGGGACTACAGGCGCGCGCCACCATGCCTGGCTAATTTGTTTTGTATTTTTAGTGCAGATGGGGTTTCACCATGTTGGCCAGGATGGTCTTAATCTCCTGACTTCGTGATCTGCCCACCTTGGCCTCCCAAAGTGTATTTGCATTTTTTTTTTTTTTTTTTTGAGACAGAGTATCGCTCTGTCACCCAGGCTGGAGTGCTTTGGTGCGATCTTGGCTCACTGCAACCTCCACCTCCCGGGTTCAAATGATTCTCCTGCCTCAGCCTCCTGAGCAGCTGGGACTACAGGCACGTGCCACCACGCCCAGCTAATTTTTGTATTTTTAGTAGAGACGGGGTTTCACCAGGTTGACCAAGATGGTCTCGATCTCTTGACTTCGTGATCCGCCCACCTCGGCCTTCCAAAGTGCTGGGATTACAGGTGTGAGCCACCACACCCGGCCATGTGTATTTGCATTTTTATGGAAAAAATATTTTGTATTACTACAGAAAAGAAACATTTGGGTTGTCACCAGGTTTTTTCAACTTAACTATTTTCCCTATAGGTTGTGAAACAGTCTAGTCGATCAAAGATTATTTAAGATACAATATTTTTTGTGTGTAAAGGAAACCAAAAACATTTTACCCCAAAATATACTTCTTTGACATATTTCAAGATGGTTATTCAGAGGCCCTGCAGACAGGAATAGTCTAGCATAAACTAAACTAAAATCCTAAACCTCCCCAAATGACTGAGTGGGCCACCTCTTGGCCAAGGGGACCCAGAGAAGCCTGAAAAACTGAACTCCTGGTCATGATGGGATGAGAGTGTTACAGGTAGTTAGGTCTGAGTGGGGCAGGAGAGACCTCTTCCCTGCACCCATTAGAAATGTCGGATGGTTCGGCAATTATCACATTGCCTCTCTAATAGTGATAAATTGGCTATTTCCTGAGGGTCCACACCTGTCAACATTAAAGTATTAATTAAAGGCAGACCCCAGGGAGAAGAAACTTCCTGGGCATGCACATTAAGAGTCAAAAATGGCGAAGTATGATCTTCCGGGTACACTTCACTGTAAACAGGAAGAAAGCCTCAGATGGGCATGCATACAACTTCCTAAAAACACTGCGCATGCTCACTTCCCAAGGGTAAGGAGGGCTCTGCACATGCTGGCAGCCAACCCTAAGGGAAGAATCATGAGAAAGAGGCAAGCCTATGAAAGTCCTAGGATCACAGTTAAAACAGAGCACTGGACCTCTCTCTACTCCTCATGCACCCTCCTGGATCTCTTCCAAGTGAACTTTCCTTTCTTTCCTGTTCTAAGGCCTTTTAAATAAACTTCCACTCCTGCTCTGAAACTTGCCTTGGTCTCTTTTTCTGCTTTATGTCCCTCAGTTGAATTCTTTCTTCTGAGGAGGCAAGAATTGAAGTTGCTGCAGATGCGTAGGGATTTGCTGCTGGTAACTCAGGGTAACTCAGATCTCTTCCACCACTAACAAGAGGTCAGGCAAGCCTCATTATCTCCTCCTTCCTTTGGAGTTCAGAAACATCATAACACTAACAAAATGGACTTTTTTTTTTTTTTGAGACGGAGTCTCACTCTGTTGCCCAGGCTGGAGTGCAGTGGCATGATCTCGGCTCATTGCAAACTCTGCCTCCCGGGTTCACACCATTCTCCTGCCTCAGCCTCCCAAGCAGCTTGGACTACAGGCACCCACCACCACGCCCGGCTGATTTTTTGCATTTTTAGTAGAGACAGGGTTTCACCGTGTTAGCCAGGATCGTCTCGATCTCCTGACCTCGTGATCCACCTGCCTCGGCCTCCCAAAGTGCTGGGATTACAGGCATGAGCCACCACACCCGGCCCAAAATGGACTTTAAGTTAATAGTATCTTAACTTAAAATATTCCTTTCTGTTGACTCCAAATTTTTAGACAAAACTTTACTTCTTTAACCAATTGCAAATTGGAGACTCTCTGAACACACCTATGACCTATAAACCCTCGTGTCAAGATAATGCCACCTTTTTGGGCCAAATCAGTGTCTAACCATTTATGGATTGATGACTTTGCCTGTGACTTCTCCTTCCCTAAAATGTATAAACAGAGTTGTAACCTCACTTTGAGTGAGGACTGCTCACTCAAAGCTTCTTGGGTTTGTGTTTTTTCCCAGGCCATGGTCATTCCTATTGGCCCAGAATAAACCTCTTTAAAATATTTTACAGACTTTGGTTTTTCTGTTAACACCTGAAAAGCTGCCTTTTGTAAAGGAGATTTGCATCTGTGGAGAAAATTGACATTGGTGAAATAGCCAGGCTTTCTCCGAGGCTCCCCTCCCTTTTCAGGATCTAGGACAGATGAACCAAACCACAGGCTATCAACTATTCTTTCTGAAAGCAGCTCCAAAATTACCTGAGATATTTCACCTGCATAAGATGGCCTTTGCTTGACATGCTTTTCCGCTCTTCATTCTCCCATAACCTGTGACACCACCTTCCACAGAGCCCGGAGAAACTTGGTCCCAGGCCCTTGGTCTTTGGGCTCATTCATTTTCCCTCAAAATCATATTTACTTCTATACCTCCCCATCTCCCTTCTCCCCAGTGAAGAAGATATTTAAACATCAAACATCTGTCCCTCCTCCGAATTCTTTGAGACAAAGTCTCATCCTGTCACCCAGGCTGGAGTGCAGTGGTGCGATCTCAGTTCACTGCAACCTCTACCTCCCGGGATCAAGTAACTCTCCTGTCTCAGCCACCCGAGTAGCTGGGATTACATGCATGCACGACCATGCCTGGCTAATTTTTGTATTTTTAGTAGAGACAGGGTTTCACCATGTTGGCCAGGCTGGTTTCGAACTCCTGACCTCAGGTAATCTGCGTACCTCGTCCTCCCAAAGTACTGAGATTACAGGCGTGAGCTACCACGCCCAGCCCGAATTCATATTTTGTATGACTCCCATGCATGCCTGTGCACACAGTAATCTGTTATGCTTTTCTCTGTGGGTGGCAAGCCACTCAGGTGCCGAGGCAAGAGACCGAGGGCACGAGCTGTTCCAGTATAATAAAATATATAAAATAAGAAGTTATACTAGATATAAATCTTAGATATGATTATATATGACTATCATTAATCATTAGTTTGTAGCAATTACTCTTTATTCCAATATTATAATAATCCTCGCTCTACAATCATAACCTAGGAAAAACCAGGCCATACAGAGATAGGAGCTGAGGGGACATAGTAAGAAGTGACCAGAAGACGAGTGCGAGCCTTCTGTTATGCCCAGACAGGGCCACCAGAGGGCTCCTTGGTTTAGCAGTAACGCCAGCATCTGGGAAGACGCCCATTGCTAAGCGGACCGTGGTCTAGCGGTAGCGTCAGTGTCAAGGAAAAACACCCACTACTTAGCAGACCAGGAAAGGGAGTCTCCCTTTCCCTGGGAGAGTTTAGAGAAGACTCTACTCCTCCACCTCTTGCGGAGGGCCTGACATTAGTCAGGCCCGCCCGCAGTTATCCGGAGGCCTAACCGTCTCCCTGTGATGCTGTGCTTCAGTAGTCATGCTCCTAGTCCGCCTTCATGTTCCATCCTGTACACCTGGCTCTGCCTTTTAGATAGCAGTAGCAAATTAGTGAAAGTACTAAAAGTCTCTGATAAGCAGAAATAATGGCGTAAGCTGTCTCTCTCTCCTCTCTCTCTCTCTCTGCCTCGGCTGCCAGGCAGGGAAGGGCCCCCCTGTCCAATGGACACGTGACCCACATGACCTTACCTATCATTGGAGATGGCTCACACTCCTTACCCTGCCCCTTTATCTTGTATCCAATAAATATCAGTACAGCCTGGCATTCGGGGCCACTACCGGTCTCTGCGTCTTGGTGGTAGTGGTCCCCCGGGCCCAGCTGTCTTTTCTTTTATCTCTTTGTCTCATGTCTTTATTTCTACACTCTCTTGTCTCCGCACATGGGAAGAAAACCCACCGACCCTGTGGGGCTGGACCCTACATTTCTCTCCTGAATCTGTATTTTGTGACAGAGGTGTAGGGACCAAGGGACAACTTCTCCTTTGGTCTCTGAAGGTACAGTGAAAAATTAACTGACAAAAACCAGATTAACAGGAGAAAAGACATACACATTTATAAATATGCATGGAGGGAACAATCATAGCATGATTACCCCATCACACAATGAGGTACGGATGGTTATACAGTTTTTCTTAGGGGAAGGGAGATGGATAATTTTAGGGGAATAGCAAATAATTTTTAGGGGAATTCAATGAACTTGAAGAACATACAATGGTCTGAGATGAAGTTTGTTGGGTTTGCAGAGCAGACAATGGCTTGTGACTAAAGTCTATCCAATTGTGTTGACAGGCTTTGGTGTTTCAGCTAACGTTGCCCAGGCTGGTCTCAAACTCCTGGCCTCAAATAATCCTCTTTGGCTTCCCAAGGTACTGGAATTATAGGCACCAATGCACCTGGCCAGTGACCAACTTTAACAGTTAGCATTTGAACTTTGGTAGTTAGTACTAGAATGTTAAATATCTTAAAGTGATTTTTCTCCAAAATTTGAACTTGATATCATCTCTATAGTTTAAAATCCTTCAAATAGCTTCTCATAGTATTTCAGATGAGTAATACAATGTTTTAACTGAGTCAGCCTATTTTTCTAGCTTTATCTTCCAACCATTGCCCTTGTTCACAATTTGAGGAGTGGAAAGATGGGGAAGGGGAGGGCAAAGATGCGTCAATAGTAGGTTGCATCACTGCACTGTTCCCTCCTCTCCCTCCTCCTCGGATAGCATCTAAAACAGGTAAGTATCAGCATATCGACTGGAACTCTCCAAATTCTACCTCTACTCCTTTCAGGAAAGAGACGTTCTCCGCACACATATCAGCTCTGGAGCTTCTTGTTATGTGGGATGATTTTAGGGGGAAAAGTGAGTCCTACTTTTCCAGGGTTTTTTTTTTTTTTTTTTTCTCTTTAGGGGAAGCTTAGTCCATTGTGTGAGTCTATAGTTATTGGGTAAACTCAAATATCCAGATTTATGTCAAATTTCCATATATATTAAATGGAAAAAGTGCCTCAAAATGTTACCATACTCAAGCTGTCCTAATTCCTAACATTGAAATAAATCTTATTTTTAAAAGGTAATCCTGTTTTAAGTAAAATGGATTTCACTTTGGACACACCTTAGTGTAAATTCATTGATTCATTAACAAGCCCCAGTTACATTCCTAAGACCACACGGCTTTGTTTCTGCTTCCACCTAGTTCCCACACACAAGGCAATCATCACAACTCTTATTGTACCCACTAATTTTCAATGGAAGCCAGGAGTGGAAGCCAAAGACACTTCTCTCCACTGCTCCCACGGAGACATACCATATGGGCGTGTGTGTGACATGGGTGATTCAAAAAACTGCTGTGCCCCCAATCTGATATGCTTTGCCAGAAAATGGGTCCCATTTTTATAAATTTCTATTTATGTGAATAAAACCTGAGAGAGGGGCACATGGAATTGGGGAATCTGTGGGTTGGGGTTGGTGAGAAGATGGGGAAAGGGCTTTAACACAGGGTGTTGCTCAAATACATTAAGCCTGGACAGGACATCGAAGTAAGGGGGATTGATGAACGCTGGCACCTGGGAAAGGAGAGGCACTTAGAGAGGGTGGTGCCTGCAGAGAGAAGGCTTTTGCAGAACATCCAACATTAACTCAGTCCACTTCACACTTTAAATAAGAGCCAGTGTTATTCACTCCCAGGGGTGTTCTTAGTCTGAAGAGAGCAGTTCTGTGAACATAGATGAGGGAGAAAAAGAAAAAAACCCTGTATCTTCCTACATTGGAAAAGGGAGGTCCACAAGCTTTACCAAAGGGACCAGTGGCTCAAAAGATAGTTTAAGAATCCCTGAGTCTTAGCGATTTTCTCATTATTATGTACTTACAATACTATTTTTTTCTTATCAACAATCTCTCTAGAGACTTTTTCAATTTATTCTTTTAATAACACTTTATATTTTTGTGGCTCTCTGTATATGTCTTTTGATATACTTCTTACAAAGTCTGTTCTGGTTTATAGGGACTTTGAAAGAATGGGCTACCTGGAGAAAAATATCCGCAGACTAAGGTACAGCTAAGGACAAGAGCCCTAATTTCAGTTTAGAACATTGTGATGGACTTGTTGAGAGCATTTATGGTGCATTCAAAATCTGCAAAAAGGCCAGGTGCAGCGGCTCATGCCTGTAATCTGAGTACTTTGGGAGGCCAAGGTGGGAGGATTGCATGAGGCCAGGAATTTGAGACCAGCCTGGGCAACATAGTGAGACCATTTCTAGAAAAAAAAGAAAAGAAAGAAAGAAGGAAAGAAAGAATGAATCTGCAAAATATTTTACCAACACACCCACCAGTTTTGCCCAAATGCCAGAGAAGAAAGAAAAAGAAAAGATGAAGGCATTATAAACACGACGGTGTGCAGCATTGCTATCATTTATCTCAGGCTGCTCAATACTAGCCTCAATTCATCTTCTCCCAGGAAGGAATGTTTGTAAATTGCATCAGAATGGTTCTGGACTATCAGGAATGCTGGGCGGCCTGGACACCTGGAAGCAGTTAGAGAAGCTCTCATTTGCAATGTCTTGTTGGTTTCTTATTCTTGAATATATTAGCCAAGGGGGAAAATGCCCAGACATTTGTGCTCACAGCAGTACGTGATCACATCTCTTTTTGCATGAAGTATTTTAAGAGGGAAGTGATTTCTTTAAGTGCCTGATTATATGAAAGTTGTGTATCTGTCATCAAGAGGTCATAACTGAGTGTTGGGTTAACTTTCTGCTGCAGTTATTTTTAAGCATTTCTACTCGATATTCTTCCAGTTGTGTAGTTTCACATTTTAATGGAAACAACACAGCTCAAAACACATCAAGAATATTTTAGGCCGGGCGCGGTGGCTCACGCTTGTAATCCCAGCACTTTGGGAGGCCGAGGCAGGCGGATCCTGAGGTCAGGAGATCGAGACCATCCTGGCTAACACGGTGAAACCCTGTCTCTAATAAAAAAGTACAAAAAATTAGCCGGGTGTGGTGGTGGGCACCTGTAGTCCCAGCTGCTCAGGAGGCTGAGGCAGGAGAATGGCGTGAACCCGGGAGGTGGAGCTTGCGGTGAGCCAAGATCGTGCCACTGCACTCTAGCCTGGGCAACAGTGCAAGACTCGGTCTCAAAAAAAAAAAAAAAAGAATATTTTAGTGATTAGAGAGCAAGTTTAGATTATATTTGTCTATGCATTTTGGAAATGGTAGAAAAAATGTTTATTCTCTGCAAGACTATTTCATACTCTGTCAAGAATGTTCAAGAAAAAAACAGTTTTCTTTCGTTTCTAAATAATCAAATAATTACTGTTCACTTATTTTCTTGTCTAACGTAAAATATATAAACTGGGGTAAAAAATGTCAGTGCAAAAGGCTTTTAGATTGTCTATCATTTTTTAAGTTTTCCTAAACCTTTTTATATCAAATTAATACATATCCTAAGATATAAATTTTACTTGATAATATAAGAAATTTTCTTTATTGTTCAGATTACTTAGTTTATTGCTATCTTTATTTATTGGCAGATGGCTAAAATTTGAGAAATGTTTAAGAATTTAAAACACCTGTAGATGAGACATGATTAAATTTAACTCCTTTAGGCTAAGAGAAGCCTATTTTCTAGATTACCTTTCCAAATACACTTCCCCAGGATCCTAGAACACAACTTAGTGACATTTCAGAGAGTTAACAGGAACATTGAGTAACATTGTTAGAAGTGTAAAAATCAATCAAGAAATCACTCACTTTGGGTTGTCAGGTTCAAAAGATACGTGAGTTCAGCCAAAGCCTACTTGTAAGAAGCCAGTAGATTGCTCTCTTGCGAGAAGCATATGATTCTTTTCCAAGAAAAGTTGAAATGGTGTATTAAATTGCTTTATTTTTTATTTAAAGTAGATCTCCTCCATTAAGGCTCCTTTGAGTAACATTCTAAAAGTGAAAAGAAAGCTTTGTATCGGAGACTATTCTTATTAAAAAGAGTAATATAAATATTATATCCCAAAATTCTAGGGTTACTGGGATGGGGTGGAGATAAGGCCTAGGATATGGAGGCAGTTTTCACTGGTTACAACTAATCAGGCTGGGCTTGGTGATTCTGTTGGGCAATTTTGTTTTATGTATTTTTATAGACCAGAACTAAACATTTTAGGAGGAGGAGGAGGAAGAAGAGAAGATAGGAGAATATCATTAGACAAGCCCAGCCACCTAGGTCAACATACAAACTAATTAGAGTAGCCAACTTCCTCAATCCTACGCTGTCTTTCAAAAAGCATTAAAATCTTCTCCCCCATCCACTCCCATGAAAATATTTTGTCACCTGGTGAAGCTTCCACATTTTTCAGTGAGAATCTCCTAAATGAAGAAGATAAAGTATTTTTTTCAGTCACTTCCAGACGAGAGGATTTTATTCAGTTTTCTTTTCTCTTTCTTTCTTTCTCTTTTCTTTTTTTTTTTTTTTTTTCCCAGGGTCTCCCTCTGTTGCCCAGGCTGGAGTGCAGTGGTGCAATCATGGCTCACTGCAGCCTCGACCTCCCAGGCTCAAATGATCCTCCCACCTCAGCCTCCCAAGTAGAGGGGACTATAGGTGCATGCCACCATGCCTGGCTGATTTTTGTATTTTTTTTTTTTTTGTAGAGACAGGGTTTCACCATGTTGCCCAGGCTTTTATTTTCTGTGGTTTACATTTCAAAAATGATAGGGTTTGTAGGGGTGGGGAAGGTGTTTTTTAAATATAAAATACATTTTTCAAAATCCCCTCCCCCCCACCACATAAAACAAGATAAAAGACAAGCATCTCTCTACTAACTGACTTTAGAACCTGACATTTCCACATTAGTTCAATCTTTGGATTAAGGCAACAAAGGGATCCTGTTTCAATGTAATTCTACTGGTACTTTTATAGATGTTTATCAGATTGGTCCAAATGCCTAGTACGGTTCACATTTGAAAAGAAAACCAAGGTACAACTCAGGTAGGGCTGCTTGGTGAGGGCTACCTTAGATAAGGCACCACTGAGAGGGTCCCAGGCAACTATGGAAAGACGACTGGGGAGTCCCCAAAGAGGGGTGGCTTGTGCCTTGTTTTCTTTTATAGCTTTGACATTTGTGTAGTGCCTTGAAGGACTGAGTTATATGTGACAGACTTTTCTGCTTTTCCCTGGAGGCTCCAAAATAGTCATCTGAGACGGAGTAAATGGAACCAGCTGATATGGATTTATAACTCATTACAAATCTGGCCTGCTACTTTTTGCATTATTGGATGTGTTTCACTAGGTCTGTTTTCTGGCAGATGTCTGGCATGAAAGGCTGACTTCCATTTTTGCCAGCGTTATTTCCTGCCTTCCTTTCGACTACAGGACTTACAAACATCTGGCAGAGAAAAGGCAAACACAGTTATGAGTCACAATGTAGAAAGTCAACAGTAGGCCCAACTCATATTCTTGTGTATCCTACTTTGTGTAATAAGGCGCATTCAAAATTCTAAAAACCCACACTATTTTAAATCAAATAATATTCTGCCATTGACTTTTGGTTTTTTAAGATATATGGTCCTATACAACATAAATCTTGAAGATTTATGTTCAAAACATTATGAAGATCTATATATTTAATAGAAAAATTAAACTTTATAATAAAATAACAGCAACAAAAGGTTAAAAATATTTTAAAAAACACAATTGCTATACCAAATGAAAAAGTGGCTATTGTCAGCGAAGAATAGGAAAGAACACATGTTTTTTAAATGTTCTCAAAGAACAATTTTTCTCAATGTACAATTTATTGTCCCAGTTTATTTAAATATTGGCTTTTTTCTTATCTTATCTTATCTTTTCTTTTCTTTTTTGAGACGAAGTCTTGGTCTTGTCCCCCAGGCTGAAGTTCAATGGCGCGATCTTGGCTCACTGCAACCTCCGCCTCCTGGGTTCAAGCAATTCTCCAGCCTCAGCCTCCCGAGTAGTTGGGATTATAGGCACCTGCCACCACGCCCAGCTAATTTTTGTATTTTTAATAGAGATGAGGTTTCACCATGTTGGCCAGGCTGGTCTTGAACTCCTGACGTCAGGTGATCCGCCTGCCTCGGCCTCCTGAAGTGCTGGGATTACAGGCGTAAGCCACCGCGCCTGGCCTATGGTTGGCTTTTTTCTAGGCATCTTTAAACTAAATTTAATAATGGCTGACAATAGCACAAAAACTCCAAACCCAACCAAACAACAGACAGACAGACTCCACCCCCATTTGAGAATTTGCTCTACTGCAAAGCACTATGCTAAGAGATCTAGACAGATTGTTCTGTTTTATCCTTACAACAATTTACTATTATTATTGCTGGTGAAAATGTAGAAGACATACAGAGGTATGAATTTGAAGTACTAATGAGTCATTCTGCAGTATTTCTCAGTGAATATTGCTCAGACCACCTACACCAGAATCATCTGAGACCCTTGTTAGATATTCATTTTCTTGGGTCCCCAACACTCAGAAATTCTAATTCAGAGGTTTGAGGTAGGAATCTGGAATTTACTTAAGAAGCACTTTGAGTGATTCTGATACACAATAAAGTTTGAGATCACTTGTGAATATTCATTGTTAATATTAATTGTATACTTTTTTTTTTAAACGGAGCCTTGCTCTGTCATGCAGGCTGAAGTGCAGTGGCACGATCTCGGCTCACTGCAACCTCCTTCTCCCAGGTTCAAGCAATTCTCCTGCCTTAGCCTCCCAAGTAGCTGGGATTACAGGCGTGTGCCACCATACCCAGCTAATTTTTGTATTTTTAATAGAGACGGGGTTTTGCCATGTTGGCTGGGCTGGTCTCGAACTCCTGACCTCAGGTGATTCACCCACCTTGGCCCCCCAAAGTGCTGGGATTACAGGCATGAGCCACCACACTCGGCTAATGTATACATATTTTAACATAGAAAAGTATAAGTAAAATGGCCCATGCTTCCCCTCTTGGCATAAAAATAAAAATGTGTATTAGACAATTAAAGTAAAACAAAAAGTTAGAGGTAAAGGCTCCCCCTTTGCCACGCCCTTCATCCTAACACACACACACACACACACACACACACACACACAAAATCTCCCTCACCCCTAAATAACTGTGATTAAGTTTCTTGTTACCCCCTAGGAAAATGTTAGCATTTACGTAGATATACTTTGTATCAAGTGAATCATACTATGTTTACTGTTGTGCATCTTAAAACTTACTACATATGACTCAAGATCTGTCTATGTAGGACATATAAAACCCTAACTCATTCATTTAAACTGCTGCATAATATTTCATTAAATCTACGTACTAAAATTTAATTATTTCTTACTTTCAGTTTTTTTTTACTATTATAAACAGTGTTTCCATGAATATTTATATAGAGCTATAGATATCTCTCTTGGTTGTGCTATCGCTTTAAAAGTGTAAATTGGGTATTATAATTACCTAAATAGAGACATCTATGTTTACTAGAAGCCTAGAGCCTTCATTTAAACTTATTTCTGCAAGAATGGAAAGAAAATTTCTTACCAAAGTTCATATTAAAGCAGCTAATTAGTGTTTTATTTGAGTTGGCTTAATTGTAGAAACACAGAGAACCCTATCATTTATGAATTTAAGAGGACTACAAATGCAAAAGAATGAATAAAATTAATTGGAATAAGGCAAAACGGAAGAAAATGGAGCAAATGTAGCAAAACTCTAAGAGAAAAAGGATTAGAGAAGATTCAGAAAGTAAAATTTAACTGAGAAAGAGGATTATTAGAAGGAAGACTATAAAAGCAACTGTATTAATTCATTTTCATGCTGCTGATAAAGACATACCCAAGATTGGGCAATTTACAAAAGAGAAAGGTTTCATGGACTTACAGTTCCTCATGGCTGGGGAGGCCTCACAATCATGGCAGAAGGCAAGGAGGAGCAAGTCACATCTTACATGGATGGCAGTAGGCAGAGGGAGAGCTTGTGTGGGGGAATTCCCACTTATAAAATCATCAGATCTCAGCCAGGCATGGTGGCTCACGCCTGTAATCCCAGCACTTTGAGAGGCCGAGGTGGGCGGATCATGAGGTCAAGAGATCAAGACCATCCTGACCAACATGGTGAAACCTCGCCTCTACTAAAAATACAAAAATTAGCTGGGTGTGGTGGCTCACACCTGTAGTCCCAGCTACTTGGGAGGCTGAGGCAGGAGAATCACTTGAACCTTGGGAGGCGGAGGTTGCAGTGAGCCGAGATCACACCACTGCATTGCATCCTGGGCAACAGAGCGAGATTCCATCTCAAAAAAAAAAAAAAAAAAAAACCCATCAGATCTCAGGAGACTTTATTCAGTATCATGAGAACAGCAAGGGAAAGACCTGCCCCCAGGATTCAACTACTTCCCACTGGGTCCCTCCCACAACACATGGGAATTCAAGATGAGATCTGGGTGGGGACACAGCCAAACTATATCTGCAACACAGTAATCTGCAGTGATTATTTCAAACATACCAAAGTTATTCAGTGTATGCATTTGTTCATGCACTAATTTACTCAATGAATATTTATCATTCGGCACTGTGCTAAGTTTGAGGATATAGGGAAGGAAAGACATATTTCCTACCGGCAACGAGCTTACTGTTCATGGAAATACAGATGCAAAAAAAAAAAAAAAAATCAATTGCTTTTAAAAAGCAGAAAAATAGTGTTCCTGACAAAGTCTAAGATGTTTTCAAAGAAGAGGTTTCCAAGTTGCATCTAAGGTAGAAGTAACATGTGCTGCGTCATTGAGGAATATAAGAGCAGAGTGGGTTAGAAACCCACATGTAGTTCGTGTTGCCACAGTGGAAAGCATAAGGTGAGAACTGCAGCAGTGAGAGGTGATGTCGCTAAACAGGAGCTGATGCTAGATAGGGACACAGGGCCAGATCCTGAAAGGTTTCGTTTGCATGCTAGAAAACTGAGATTTTTATCCTGTGAGCAATAGGGAGCAGCCAAGAATTTTGAATATAAATTTAACATAATCAGATTCACGTTGTAAAAAGCCCTCTGGAGACTGGGTGGAGTTGAAATAATCTAGGTCACAGATAATGAGAACGTGGTGATCTCCAGTAGTTATGGGGCTAGGCCAGGAAATGAGAGGACTCCTAACAGGCAGACTCACAGCGTCTTGGCCATTGATTGGATGGTGAAGGGAGGTGGGGGAAATAATTTATGACATTGCCAACACTGGGGAAATGGATGTCTGATAGTATCATTCTTTGAAGTAGGAATTAATGAAAGGGGAGCAGATCTTTCCAAAATCTCTTTTAGATGTTCTCCACCATATCAGAGGCAACACTCTTACACACACAAAAAATCATCACTTTCCCTTGACTAATCTGAAAATTTATAGGTAATATAACCTACTTATATACATATTTAAAAAACTTTAATACAATAGCTCAACAGTAAGATAAAGTATAAATAAAAGGAAAGTAATTGAGGACAAAATATATTAATACATAAATGTTCAGGCATGACTACATAAAGGCATAATGAAGAAGTCAGATGTGTTTGCCTATATGTGAAGTCATTGTTAGTGTCCCAACCACAGGTGCAAATCAACACACCTCTGTAATGCATGTCATAAAGTCTTGGAAAAGAGCTGTGTTAGTTCATTCTTGTGTTGCAATAAAGAAATACCTGAGACCGGGTAATTTATAAAGACAAGAGGTTTATTTTGGCTAACAGTTCTGCAGCCTTTACAGGAAGCATGGTGCTGGCATCTGCTTTTGGTGAGGGCCTCGGGAACCTTCCACTCATGGTGGAAGGCAAAGGAAAGCTGGCATGTCACATGTGGAGAGAGGGAGGAAGAGAGAGAAGAGGGAGGTCCTAGACTCCTTTAAAGAACCAGATCTCACATGAATTAACTGAGTGAGAATTCACTCATCACCCAGGGAATGGTACTAAGACATTCATGAGTGATTTACCCCTATGATCCAATACTTCCCACCAGGTCCCACTTCCAACACTGAGGATGAAATTTCAACATGAGATTTGGAGGGGACAAACATCCAAACCATATCAAGAGCTTGTCTTGGTTGCAGTATTGGAGAAGGCTCCATAACACTGTTGACATTTCAGCTTGGCGTTTCAAGAAGGAATATAATTTTGAAAGGCAGAACTAGAGGAAGAAGAAAGGGGTGTTCCCAATACAGAGAACAGTACAAATGGGGAGAGAAAAAGGAAAATACTGGGTGTTCTTTGGCTTTGGCTTTGGCTACGGCAGAGGTTGCGTGTAGCTGGTGTACGAAGCTGGAGAGATGTGTTCCCGCTAGTACAGGGAGGGCTTCGAAAGTGTACCAATGAGTTTAGACTCTAATAATCCCACGTGACCTCTTGCTTTGGTAGGTTGTTTGCATTCATCATCATCAAGAATAATTCTATTTTCCCATATATATTGAACTGATTATCTTTAATCTTTCCCTGACCAAATTATCTCAAATTCTAAAGTGATGACATACAAATTAATGATATTTTGTTTTCTAAATTGATAATGCTGCTTTAAAGAGAGTTTGAAGGTAATGACTACATATAAAAATAGATTTCATATAAAGTCAGGCTTGAAAGGATCAAATAAAGTATTTGGTGCTTTTTCTTCTGGATAATAATCTGTGAAGAGGACATTTATTATCTCTGCTGGTAGTGATATCAGAGGGAGAGTAAAAAGCATGTAGATGATAGTGCCAGGCTGAGAGAAGAGAATAGATTCCACTGGACAACTTCCTAAGGGAAGGTGCATGTTAACATTCTATCATTTAAATCACAGAAGTTTTCTTTTGAAAGTATAAAGATGTATTATATAATAATATTTAACAATCCTAAGAGGTTTGTTAATTATCCTTGCTGAAAGACAACAGAGATAAGTTTCGCTCAAGCAATATTCTTCTGAGAAAAATGGACCTCTGTCTCTCCCTTTCTTATTTTGTTTTATTTTAGCCTGAAGTGTCCCATTACGTTTTCAATGCCTTATATCTACCTTCTCTTCAACTGTCCATTTGGCTAAGAATTCAGCCCACAGGAATCAGGAATAGGACATTTAAAACTACTTCACGCATTTTAAATCTTATAAATAATTGAGATACAGTTGATGGTTGCTAGGCTGCAGTTGAATTCCATTTCATCCTATCCCATTATAATGTAATTTAGGTTTGTTTAGTTGTTGTTTTTTTTGCTTCTTTTTAATCCTATAGGGAAAAGTTTTTGATGATTGAATGCTGTATTTGATAGTACCTATTATCAGGCAAGGACTTTGAGATATTTCATACCGTTTCTTTTCATATCTTCAAATAAAAGAATGTGTGAAGTTCCCATGCTAGCCACACCACGGACAACGTTAAGGAGAATGAAAATGAGCAGGGCCTGAAAGTTGCTTTCTTTGGTCCCAAAGTGACTCTTCTGGACACCCAGAGGTAAGGGCACTAAACTAAGTTACATCAGTTTATCAGGTGGAAATCAACAACAGGTGAATTAAACGTCAACAGTGAAACACCATTGCATCTTGTTCTTTAGCCCAGGAACTCCAGAAGGATTCCATCTTCAGAGGGCAACTCTGATTGGTGGTTACGTGTCTAAAGCAGGAGTCTGCAATCCACAGCAGGCAACTACAGACTAAAGTCTTTGGATCATATCCAGCCAGTCACTTGTTCTATAAACAAAACTTTATTGGAACACAGCCATGGTCATTCATTCCATATTGTTTATGGCCGTTCTTCCCCTGTAACAGCACAGTTGGGTAGTTGCAACAAAGATTGTGTGGTTTTCAAAGCCTAAAATGTTTACTATCTGACTTTTTATATTAAGTGTTTGCTGTGACCCCAGGTCTAAAATATTAGGTTATACAGGCTGCTGAGGCCCCAACTAATCTCAGAAAAAACACATGCTATGATTGATTTTTCTTCTGTTTGCCATGTTCATGGAGGAGGAGTGCCATGTATTTATCAGCCCTGCTTTTTCCCCTTCCCCAAGTAAGAGCTGCATGATGGAACATAGAGATGTAAAAGAATAGATACAGCATCAAAACTAGGAATGAGTAGACATTGAATAGTATTTCAAAAGAGTTGGTGGCAGCTATTTGGGAGGCTGAGGCAGAAGTATTACATGAGCCCAGGAGTTTGGGTCTGCAGTGAATCATGTCACACTACTGCCCTCCAGCCTAGGTGGCAGAGAGACAGATCCTGTCTCTAAAAAAAAAAAAGAAAAAATAAAAGAGTTGGTAGCAAGGATGCAGGAAGTGATGTCAGGGAAAAGTGATGAATTGTCACTGGGAATCATTGAAAAGCTGTAAAACCAAACCTATCATTACAAATATAAGCATATTAAGTTTAGTTTTCTGTTCTATGGATTGAATTATATTTATTGGGAATATAAAAAATTCGGAAGAAAACTCTATGACTTTAATAAAGGGAAGGAAAGAAGGCATAGTGGTAGGAAAGAGCTCACCTTACCTTTAAAAAGAGTGGCTCTCTCTTTCTCTGTATCATCTTTCACATCCATACACATATAGTCACACATTCAATCCTTCTCATTACACAAAGCTGTGGATATCCTGGGAATAATGACACTTATTTGCATTGAGATATTGGAGCCAGAACTGGAATATATCTAGTTATCTAGTTATTTGTTTGAAGTGAGCTTAAATACAGTACTTGTGAATGGGAAAAGGGAATATTTTCATGACTCTGTAGATCCTACAGGCATATTCCTATACCTCAGAAAGTCAGAATAGAACCTAAGAAAAGACAATCTAAAAGTGTCTTAATATTTTTAGAATATGGCGTTAGGGATGCTTGTTAGTTGAAATGCAAAAATCTCAACTTGTGGAAAGATACAAATGATCCATCGATTAGAAAATTAACAAAATAAGAGCAGTTGGGAAGTCAGCAATACGCCTTGAGGAGGAATCCGGCTAAATAAATTTAATTTCTTTCTTTGGCACCCTGACAAAGAGGAAGCAATAGATATAATATCTCCAGACTTCAGTAAGGCTTTTGAACCATTTCACATGACATTTCTTTTCAACAAGCTGGTAATACATAGCTTGGATCATAGTGCTGTCAAGTGGCTGAAGAGTTGCAATCAAAGAGTAGCTATCAGTGACTTCTTGTCATCCTGAGAACATTTATCAGGGGGTGTCCATCCATAAGGGCTGGTTGTGGGCCAGAGTTATCCACAGGGTGATGAAAGTAAGAGCAAGTTCAATAAATTTGCTGATAACACCAATCTGGAGCAGCTGCTTACACCTGGCAAGATGGGAACAGCTTTCAATGACCTTGTTTAAGCTGGGCTGGTAGAGTGAGACGATCTCAGAGCCAGGATACCTGGCCAAGACACAGTGGGCAGATTTTCTATGCAGGAAGACTTATGGCATGTTGCAGTAAAACTGGGCAGTGTTTTATTTCTAAAATTTTCTGAAGCACTATAATTAATTAACAATTCTCTATGATGCCAAGTGGTTTAGAATTACTTTTATTATACTAGTTTCCCAATTTGCAAAGTAGAGACTCAAAAATCTTGTCTCATAATATTATTTTGAATGTTAAATAATCTCTGGAAAGTACCTAACAGATATTGAGTGCTGAATGTTAGTTTCCTTCCTCTTCCCTATTTTCCCACCCTGTTCTAGTGGGACCAGCACTGGGAAGAAAAAGCCCTAACTACAATACAGAAATTCAAAAGAAAAAAAGAGACAAAAACAAAACAAAAGAAACAAAAACATTGGCATTGAACCTTAAACCACACTCTGGCATACCTAAATATTACTGCTTAATTAATAACAGTTTAACCGTCAAGTAGAATACGTTTGAAAGGATATTTCAAATTTATACTAGTGGTTATAAGATTTTCTAGAAGTTCACCTTCAGCAATTATGGAAGGTGGAGAATTATTGCTTTTTTTACATGGTAGATCCTAAAAAAGGTTAGTTCCTGCATGATGGGCACTCAATAGCTACTTGTTTTATTGCCCTGTGTGTTGTCAGAGAAATGTATTAAAAGTATCAGCACTTGATAATAACTCTAAAGCAGGTGCTCTTAACTCCCTTGGGAATTTGATATTCCTTGAGAACAAGAAACAAAAGCCAGTGCAACATTTAGATCACAGTTTTACTCACAGGTCCTTATCTAAGTCTAGGTAGAGAAAGGCAAGATAAGTCTTAAGTTGTTTTCCCATTAGTAAATGTGACTGGACAGACCCTGGTACTTGGAGCAGGAGAGTGACAGGTTAAGTAATGGGAAAGCTGGCTGAGGTTCATGGTCAATGTCTTGCAAAAATAAACTAAAAGATATCTTAGTTGTAAATACCTTCTGCCCAAACAAGATGATGTGAAAAGGATCCTGCTCCAAATTCCTTAAACTCAACTGAGGAAAATAGAGAGCCACAGTCAGAGAACAAAGTTTCTAGCCTATTAACGCTCTCTCCCTTCATCCTCACGCTCAGCTTATTGCTTTTATTACACTGAAACCCATTGACTAATCAAAAGGGAGCTTCCAGGCTGGGCGTGGTGGCTCACGCCTGTAATCCCAGCACTTTGGGAGACCAAGGCGGGTGGATCACTTGAGCTCAGAAGCTGGAGACCAGCCTGGCCAACATGGTGAAACCCCCTCTCTACTAAAAACACAAAAATTGGCCAGGTATGGTGGCACGTGCCTATGGTCCCCAAGATGGAGTTTCGCTCTATCACCCAGGCTGTAGTGCAATCTTGGCTCACTGCAAACTCCACCTCCCCATTTCAAGTGATTCTCCTGCCTCAGCGTCTGGAGTCACTGGGATTACAGGTGCCTGCCACCAGGCCTGGCTAATTTTTGTATTTTTAGTAGAGATGGGGTTTTGCCATATTGGCCAGGCTGGTCTCAAACTCCTGGCCTCCAGTGATCCACCTGCTTCAGCCTCCCAAAGAACTGAGGGCCACCATGTGGGGCCTGAGTTTCCTATATTTTTGTCTACATTTCCTCTTGTCTGTGTCACTCTTTAATGTACTGTAATTAGTCTTTTTTTCCCTCTGCTATACTCAGACTCCTATTAGCAAGATACTAACAACCTCCACATGGATAACACCAATGATTAATTCTCAGTCCTTGTTCTAATTCACCTGCCCATAGATCACTTCCCCTTATTTGAAGCACTTCCTTCTTTTTTCCTCCTAGACCCCATTTTCTCACTGGCAGCTCCTCCTCAGTCTTCTTTGCTTGATGCTTCTCTTCTTGACCTCTAAACATTGGTACATCCTAAGATTGTCCTCAGACGTCTCCTTTTCAATCTCTATGATTACCCTCTGGGGGATTTTATCCAGTCTCATGATTTTATAAACCACCTACTCACTGACAATTTCCAAATACATATTATCAGCTCAGATCTCACTCCTGAATTCCATACCTCTCTATCTAACTGCCTTCTTAATATATCCATTTAGATGTCTAAGTGACATGCAACATAACATGTCCAGAACTAGATCCTTGGCCCATACCCCTAATTGTTCTTTCCCAGAATTTTCCATCTCAATAAAGTCAACTTCATTCTTCTAGTTGTTCATGTCAAAAAACATGGAGTTGGCCTGGCGTGGTGGCTCACGCCTGCAATCCTAGCACTTTGGGAGGCCGACGTGGGTGGATCATGAGGTCAGGAGATCGAGACCACCCTGGCTGACACGGTGAAACCCCGTCTCTACTAAAAATACCAAAAACAAAAAAAATTGCCAGGAGTGGTGGCAGGTGCCTGTAGTCCCAGCTACTCAGGAGGCTGAGGCAGGAGAATGGCGTGAACCTGGGAGGCGGAGCTTGCAGTGAGCCGAGATCGCGCCACTGCACTCCAGCCTGGGTGACAGAGCGAGACTCTGTCTCAAAAAAAAAAAAAAAAAAAAAAGCATGGAGTCACCCTTGACTTCTCTATTTTCAGCCATGTCGGCTCTACCTTTGAAACATATCCAGCCTGACTACTCCCACTATCATCATTTCCTGGTAGAATTTTGCAGTAGTCTTCCACCAGTTTCTCTCTCTAACCCCCGCACCAACCTCTCCCCAGCCCTAACACACATACTCTAGTTTCCAGAGTAGCCTAAGGAAACCTACTAAAACTTAAGTTAAATTATGTAAAGTTTCTGCTCAAAACACTCCATTTTCTTTCCATCTCATTCAGAACAAAATTCTGTCTTTTCCCTGATGCACAAGGCCCTGATCCACACAGCCCAGTTCTGGGAACTTATCTCTGGCTTCATCTCGTACCACTCTCTCTCATTCTGGTGTCTCCATTCTGGTGTCTCCATTCAGAATGGTGTCTCTCATTCTGGTGCCCTCCTTGTATTCCTCTAACATCCTGTACACACTTCTGCCTCAAAACCCTTGCCCTTGCTACTCTGAGTGTCTGGAACTCTTTTCATTCATCAATCTGCATGACTTCACTTCATTTAGGTCCCTGCTCAGATGTTACATACTCCAAACACCCTACATAAAATTGCTCAGATCTACGTCATCTCATCATTCTCCATCCTAAGGTAGGGTAACTGCTTTAGTTTTATTCTTAGCACTTATCACCATCTGACTAACATACGTTTATTTGCTTGTTGTCTATCTTCTTCCACTAGGATATAAACTTCATGAAAGCAGGGATCGTTGTCTCTTTTATTCACTTTATCATGTCAGCACTTATTGAACAGAATAGGTATTCAAAAAATTTTTTTTGGATATGGAAGGTTGCATAAGTGCTGCCTATTGCAACTGCTTAGAGCTACAACCTTTGCTTCTGGAGACTGAGCTGGAACTAGTATTACTTGAATTACTTTAAAATAAATCCAAAACACCCAAATTTATATCTGGAATAATACAGAATGAATGTGCAAAGTAAGTATAAATTCTTGACCAAGACTTTTTTTGTGGATATGACTTCCAAAGAACAAAACCAACAGGATGTGTGTATGTATAGAGAGATTTATTTTAAGGAATTGGTTCATGAAATTGTAGAGGCTTGCTGAGTCTGAAATCTGCAGTACAGACTGGCCAGCTGGTGACTTAGAAAAGGGTTACAATTTGAATCCAAAGGCAGTCTCTGGCGGAATTCCTTTTTGCTCAGGGGGTGGTCAGTCTTTATTCTCTTAAGGCTTACAACTGATTACATGAGGCCCTCTCACACTATGGAGAGCAACTACTTCACTCAAAGTCCACCGATTGAAATGTTAATCTCATCCAAAAAACACATCCAGAGTAATGTTTGATCAAATATCTGGGCACCATAGCTCAACAAAGTTGACACATAAAATGAGCTATTACATGTAGGTTGTTACAAATATGTATTTTGGATTTGCCTGACTTGTCTCCTTATTTATCTATAAGTTCCTTGGGTACACTGGTTTGCAGGAGAGTAGGTGATCAGTAAATATGTGACATATTTTCATATAGCAAGATCAAGGGAATATAACGCATGATAACCAAAAATTATTCTCACCACTAAAGGTCTCCATTATATTTTAAAAAATGCTAAATTGCTCAGTTACTTAATTTTCTAAAGTGGGTCATATTTGATTATTTATACCCTTTAAATAAGCTAGGAGATGAGTATGGAAGGTCTTCCAATAACACTTTTACTGGAGGTTGCCTAACAGAATTTGGGGACTTGCATTGGCAATGGCCTACAACATTGATGTTATAAATGAATTTTCTTGGCAGGGGGGAACATACAAAGCTATAAGTATTGGGCAAAAGTCTCAAGCCTCACAGAAAGTCTACACAGAGTCTTCTACAAAGAGTCTTGTGATCATGGCTGTATTAGTCCGTTTTCATGCTGCTGATAAAGACATAACTGAGACTGGGCAATTTACAAAAGAAAGAGGTTTATTGGACTCACAGTTCCATGTGGCTGGGGAGGTCTCACAATCATAGTAGAAGGTGAAAGTCATGTCTCACATATCAGCAGACAAGAGAAGAGAGCTTATGCAGAGAAACATCCCATTTTAAAACCATCAGATCTCATGAGACTCATTCACTATCACGAGAACAGAGCAGGAAAGACCCACCCCCATAATTCAATCCCCTCCCACCTGGCTCCTCCCATGGCATGAGGAAATTGTGGGAATTACAATTCAAGATGAGATTTGGGTGGAGACACAGCCAAACCATATCAATGGCAAACCATGAAAGTTTAGCAACTGTTCTGATCAATAATACAAACATATAGGTTTGGAGATCATTGAAAAATATGTAAATTCCCATAATAAAAGGAAATATGGGATATATGTATTTATTTATATATGTGTCTGTGTGTGTGGGACATGTGCCTTTCTATTTTATTGAAAACTGTGCTCTTGAATAGTGAACTTTGATGCCACATAGTATTTTGCAGCTAATCCCTAAAAGGTAAGATGTCATAGGCTAGGGTAATGGTTTATAGTCACTTATGTGCCAACATAGATTTGGAAGCCAATAAATGCCTGGCAGTAAATGACTAACTAAATAAAAAATTTTAAAACCCTCATGTGGGAAAATCTAATGCCAGCATTTTCCCAGCAGTTGATACAGAGTTTCCACAATGGCTGTCTTTTATCAAGGAAAAAGTTGATACTAAATATTCTGTTTTAGTGTAGATTCCACAAGAACTGTAGAAATATGGGGTGAGGAAAATACCAGCAATAAGAACATGATTATCCTAAAAGACTGACACCAGTAGCTTTAATTTTATATTTCTACTTTTCACTTAGATCTCTGATAAATTGTAAATCAGATATCAGCTGAGGTCACCCTGTCCTTTCAGATTTAAATACAGTTGGCTTCAGTCTCTTTGTCTTCTGTCCTGTGGGATGCATAATGCTCTCCCTGATATTTTCATGAAGTTTTTCGAGCTCATGTTTCTATGGACATATCTGCTCAGAGTCTCCCTTCTGGTGACCTCTTAGTTCACTTTCATCTGATGTCCTGGACAGGATTCTCTAGAGAGACAGAACTAATAGGATATATACAGATATTTGAGACATGATTTGTTAGATAAATTGGCTCACACAACTGTGGAGACTGAGAAGTTCCATGATATACTATCTGCAATCTGGAGAACCAGGGAAGCTGGTAACATGGCTGAGTTCAAGTCTGAAGGCCTCAGAAACCAGGAAAGCCAATGATGGAACCTCCTGTCTGAGGCCAGAAGCCTGAGAATATGGGGACTGCTGGTATAAGTTCTGGAATCCAAAGGCTAGAGAACCTGGAGTTCTGATGTCTAAGGGCAGGAGAAGAAGAGTGTCCCAGCTCCAAAAGAGAGACAGAATTCAATTTCTGTTGCCTTTTTGTTCTATCCAGGCCCTCAGCTGATTGGATGGTACCTGCCCATACTGGATGAAAGCAGAACTTCCTTACTTAGTCCACTGATTCAAATGCTAATCTATTCCAGAGACACCCTCACAGACATGCCCAGAAATAATGCTTTCTTAGCTCTCTGGGCATCCCTCAATCCGAACAAGTTGACAACTAAAATTAACCCTCACACCCCCAACCCTTACCACTGCTCTTGTCTTTTCTCAGCCGTGTGCTGACCCAGACAAAATGGACTATAGTCCCCTTTCCTTCTGGGGAAAATCATGCAGATAAAGCATTTGGGTGTGTAGCAGATTTTATAAAAGATGTGGGGAAACAGAGTGGTTAAATCACAGCAAGGCAAACAACTTAAATATACATGGCTGGAGCCGTCTGTCGTAGCTCTTTTTCCTTTAGGATCCCTCACCCATGGCGTGGCTCCTTTCCCTTCTCTGCTTTAACTCACCACCAAATTCCTATTATTTCTTATAAAGAGTGGTCTTCTTACGGATTATACCCTCTGGGCCTCATCTTCCCTCTGAAAGGGATCTTTCAAAGTATAGACTTAAGCCAGTGACAGCAACACTGTCAGCTGTTAAAATGGTGTTTTCATCTGGTATCTGAAAAGTACATTGGAAGTTTCTATTCCAAATCTCTCTCTCTCTCTCTGTCTCTCTCTCACTCTCTGTTTCTTTCTCTCTCAACATGGATCTTCATGTACCAAAATACTGAAATATTTTCTGTAGGTTTTTTTTTTTTGTTTTTTTGTTTTGTTTTTGTTTTTTTTTTTTTTTTTGCATTTCATCTTTTCCCTGATACCATAAGCATCCACTTTTGAAGACTGTCCTTTTAAAAATTCTACCATTGGCTGGGTGTGGTGCCTCACGCCTATAATCCTGGCACTTTGGGAGGCTGAAGTGGGAGGATTACTTGAGGCCAGAAATTTGAGACCAGCTTGGGCAACATAGTGAGGACTTGTCTCTACTAAAAATAAAAATAAAAATATTAGCTGGGTGTGATGGTGTGCACCTGAAGTCCCAGCTACTCAGGAGAGTGAGGCAGGAGGATCCCTTGATCTTGGGAGGTTGAGGCTGCAGTGAGCCACTATCATGCCACTGACTCCAGCCTGGGCAACAGTGAGACCCTGTTTAAAAAAAAAAAAATATACCATAATATTTTTATGCATTTAAATGGATCATTGTGTAGGTTATTTGTAATAAGAAGCAATTAGTGTGTCTAAGTAGATTTATAGATAGACTTATATTTCCAAAATATTCCAAAATATTGTTAAAAATGTTCTGCTTACATTACTTAAATTATTATATATCCAGAAAATTAGAAAGTAAAGTCTCAGGTATGTTGGAAAATTCCAGAGGCATCAAAGTTTAAATTAAAGGTGCTTCAGTTGGAATGTCCCTCAGTAGGTGAGGACTATTTGGGTAGCTTCAACAACATCACTAACAATTAGTTATTGGTAAACCCAAAGACCTCAATTAAATAGTTGTTTGAAATAACTCTTTTTTGTTGGAGCAAAAAGTACATTTCACTTGGTGGAACATTTGTATCCAGATGGAGCTATCAGATCTCAGAGAATTCATTTCCTTTATTTTGGCAAAGATTCCTCTAAGTGTTTACTGTGTGACAAACACTGTGTTAAGCTATACATGAATTAAATAATTTAGTCCTCCTCATGACTCCACGAGGTAGCTATTTTTATCTCCATTTCACATACGAGAATACTGAGGTTTAAGGTTAGCTAACTCATCCAAGATCACAAGATGTTGGCACACCCAGGTGTATCAGATAGGGCCTGGCAAGAAACAGTTGGCACACTTCAACAGGGTACCTGAGGAGAGTTTAATGAAGGAAGTACTTATCAAGGAATAAGTAGCATCAGCCAGGAATGGTGAAACACACAAGGGCTAGCAGCAGGTCTCCAGGGGCACAGGGAGGAGCACTTACTGGAACTTGGAAAGACCTGCAGCCACGGGAGAGGAGATACCCTGCAGAAGCTGTAGTCGTCTTTTTTTGTTTGTTTGTTTGTTTGTTTGAGACAGAGTCTTACTCTGTCACCCAGGCTGGAGTGTAGTGGCGCGACCTCGGCTCACTGCAACCTCCCTCTCTTGGATACCAGTGATTCTCCTGCCTCAGCCTCCAGAGAAGATAGGATTATAGGCATGCGCCACCCACTTGGCTAATTTTTGTATTTTTAGTAGAGATGGGATCTCGCCATGTTGGCCAGGCTGCTCTCAAGCTCCTGATCTCAAGTGATCCACCCTCCTTGGCTTCCCAAAGTGTTGGGATTACAGGCATGAGCCACTGCGCCTGGCAGAAGCTGTAGTCTTAGGTAGAGCAAAGCTGATAGTGCCATACTATGGCCCAAAGAGAACTGACAGATTACATTGCTGAGCAATTTCTCATCACATCTTTTCTTCTCCTGCTAGTGGCTCCTATTGACCAAACTCAATGAGAAGGCAGAGGGCAAAGAAGCCTGACTGATCTACTCTGTAAAGGTGAGCCTCCCTGGGCAGAGTAGGACAAAGAAGTTTGGAGAGTGGGTCTGGAGGAGAAACAGACCATTCAGCATACCAGGTGCATCTGAATCCAGAGCCTAAGCCCTTGACCACCACACTATCCTCTTGCCTTGGTAGGTGTGTTGATAATTTCCACAGAAGGGGGATGCTGTATAAACATGATACAGTGGAAGGAATACTAGAGTAGGGGTCAGGAAAATCAAATACTGTGAAGTGTGGAAGTGCCTGGCACAGAGTAGAAACTTAATCAATGTAAATCCCTCATCCCCTCCCATTGTGCATCATGAGCTTCCCAACACAGCCCATAAAATCTCCAAGTTGTAATGCTGAAAGAAGGGCCACAACCTTGTCAATGACGCAAAAGAGCTTTCATCAGACTGTGCATAATTTAGAATGTGAATCTCTGAGAAATGAGAGCTGATGAGAGCAGACTTTAGTAATCCCCTAAACTCTCAATCATCTGTGTTTTGGTAAAACAGGAGCACTAGCAGATCATATTCTGCTGTATACCACAAGTCTGGCACACTTCTGTGTAGTGGCCTGTGGTGGGCAGAATAATGGCCTCCTAAAGAGGCCCATATCTGAATCGCTGGAGCCTGTGAATATGTTACCTTACACAGTCAAAGAAAGGCTACAGATTTGATTAAGGTTAAGGGCCTTGAGATGGGGCAAGATTATGCTGGTTTACCCATGTGAATCCAATCTACCTACATGAGTCTTTAAAAGCAGAGAACCATTCTCAGCTGTAGAAAGCCAGAAATATAGCAGCGTGGAAGCAGATTTTGAAGATGGAGAAAGGCCATGAGCCAGGAAATACAAGTAGCCTCTAGAAGGTGGAACAGGCAAGGAAACAGCTTCTGCACCAGAACCTCTGGGAAAGAATGCAGTCCTGCCAACATCTTTCTTCCACACCAGTGACACCTATGCTGGATATTTGACCTACAGAACTGTAAGAAAATAAATTTATGTGAGTTTTGTTTTTTGTTTTGTTTTGTTTTGGAGACAGGGTTTCCCTCTGTCACCCAGGCTGGAGTACAGAGGTGCAATCACAGCTCATTGCAGCCTCAACCTTCCCAGGCTCAGGTGATCCTCCCACCTCAACCTCCTGAGGAGCTGGGACTATTGGCATGCACCACCACACCTGGATAATTTTTGTATTTTTTGTAGAGAATGGGGGTCTCACCGTGTTGCCCAGGTTGGTCTTGAACTCTTGAGATCAAGCGATCCTCCCAACTCAACCTCACAAAGTGCTGGGATTACAGGCCGGGCACGGTGGCTCACACCTGTAATCCCAGGACTTTGGGAGGCCGAGGCGGGTGGATCACCTGAGGTCAGGAGTTTGAGATCAGCCTGGCCAACATGGCGAAACCCCGTCTCTACTAAAAATACAAAGAGTTAGTCAGGCATGATGGCGGGCTCCTGTAATCTCAGCTACTTAGGAGGCTGAGGCAGGAGAATCGCTTTAACTCAGGAGGTGGAGATTGCAGTAAGCCGAGATCACGCCACTGCATTCCAGCCTGGGTGAGAGAGCGGGACTCCGTCTAAAAAAAAAGTGCTGGGATTACAGGCGTGAGCCACTGCACTTGGCCTTGTGTTATTTTAAGCTACTGAAATTGTGGTTACAGTAGCAATGGAAAATGAATGCAAGCCTCTTCATCTTTTTGTTTCAGGGCAAGAGCACCTCAGTATGTAAATTTCTTGATATATGATGACTGACACTGAAGTGTTCAACAGGCTCCAAACATCAATCTTTAAGCATTGAATCTATTCAAGTTCTAGCATAGAAGTTTTTTATTCAATTGCATACCAGCGTTACTTGAGAGTAGACTGATGCTTCACATTGTTGTTGTTGTTTTTATTTTTTTTAAATAACTCTGCCTCTTCACTAGAAAAAGGTTTTGTTTTGGATATCATTAAAACAGTCAGGGGAGCATAGCCCTTGAAAAGATCTCAGAACTAGTAACCTACCTCCTGACCGTGCCTAAGTAGAGGAACCAAAAGTTTTTTTTTTTTTTGGGGGGGCGGGGGGTGGGGACGGGGTTTCGCTCTTATTGCCCAGGCTAGAGTGCAATGGTGCAATCTTGGCTCACCGCAACCTCCGCCTCCCAGGTTCAAGCAATTCTTCTGCCTCAGCCTCCCAAGTAGCTGGGATTACAAACATGTGCCACCATGCCTGGCTAATTTGTTTTTTTTGTTTTTTTTTTCTGTTTTTTGTTCTTATTTTTAATAGAGACGGGGTTTCTCCATGTTGGTCAGACTGGTCTCAAACTCCCAACCTCAGGTGATCTGCCCACCTCTGCCTCCCAAAGTTCTGGGATTACAGGCATGAGCCACTGCACCCGGCCCCAAAAGTTTTTGAAAACCTTCACGTCAACCACAGAGCCTTCAGTATACTGTATGTTATTTTGTACCCAACCCATGGTTCTGGTCGCACACAAAAATGTCTGTGAGATTCCTGGTCAACTGGTATTCACCATGGAGTTCATAAAGGGCTGATGTTCCTCAAATACCAGATGAGTCTAAGTAAGTACTACTTTATGTAGCCATACATGAAGTGGAAATTGAGTTTAAGCCCAAGCTACCTGTGCCTGAGGGGAACAAATAATTAGAGGGGTTTAGAGAAGACCAAGTTATGCAGGTGTTTACTGTAATTCTCTCATTATGTATATGTGAAGGTAGCCCTTAGACCCTCAAGTGTATTGGGAGGTATTAATAATAACCACAAAGATGGTCCTGTGCTATGGCAAATGCAGAACTTTCAAAGTACTATTCAGCCTGGAGAAGAAAGCTCATTTCCAGATCCTTCCTTCTGTTTTTCAAGTGACATCACATAGGAGGATGAGAATTTGTCTTTGTATTAAGCTTCCTTTGTCATGTCTACTTCAGACATGATCTCTGAGTTTGAAGTCCCAGGATTTTAGATGAAAAGAATCTTTGAGTTAAGGGAGGGAGGGGGCCACTGCATGAGAATGCCTGTTTCTAATCTCAGAGTACCCACATGCTGAATGGCTGATTAGACAAAAGCCACAGAGGGGAAAATCAGCTACTCTGGGTTAGGGGATTCAAATTTCATTGTGGTGGACACCTATTTATCTTTTATTGTAGTCAATTTCCCAAGGGAGAAAGGGCAAATGTGTCCCTCCTATGCCAACATTGTAGCACCCCCAACGGAGCAGACCTCAGGAGTATCCTACACAGAAGAAAGGAGCAGTGAAACCTATGACAACTGATTTTTCTCTGAAAACAATGTTATGTGTATATTTCATTTCTTCATCTCTCCAAAAACTTTTGTAACAAGTATGTTTTTTGCAACTGTGGCAGGTATACTAGAGACCAGCTCCTATAACCTAATGATCATGCCAAGTATTTCTGTTATATCTCTTAAAAATGGCTTTTCTTCTCATCTCCCAAAACAATTTTTTTTTTTAAACACAGGGCCTTGCCTGTTGATGATTTTCTCACACTTTTGTCAAGTATACTTTTTTTTCAACTCAATGTCTAATATCACAAAAACCTGGCACTTTAAACTTCAGTTTCTACCAAAGGTATAATGCTTTTTAAAAAGAATTCTGCCTAGTGTTCCTCCAGTGTAGCAATTAGCATTCTCTTAGCGGCAAACATCAAAATATCCAAATAAAATGGTTTCAGTAATAGGGATGGTTATTGTCTCTCATAACAGGAAATCTGGAGGGAGCTGACTCCAGGTGGATTGAGAGGTTCAGCCACGCCTGCAGTCTTATCCATCCTTTTGCTCCACTATCCTCTATATATTTGTTTTCAATAGCTCTAGGTATCCGCTCCTTACACAACCAAGTTCCACTTCTGCATGTGTTTCTCCTATTAGGAGGAAAGAAAACTATTTCCCAGCTGGTTCCAGCAGAGAAGTCTCCTTTTAAGTCTTTTGCCAAAATAAGTCTCTAAACCAGCCCCAGGAAAGACGATGAGATTGCCTTGTTTGCTTTAGATTGATCTTGATTAGTCTACTGAGCCTGAGCACGATTTTCTTAAGCATCTCATTCCCAACAGGAAAGCAACAAAATCGGCATTCTATTAATAAGACAAAGAAGAGAATGGCTCTTGTGTGGACAATCAACAATGTCTTCCACATCACAGAACTCTTTAGTATGCATTAGAAAAACCTAGGGTGGTGGTTACAAGAGCAGATTCCAGGTGTCAAAGAGATTTTGATTACAGATGAGGTCCAGGAGGGTGTATTTTCAACAAGAACCCAGATGTCTTGGATCTAGTCATCCACCAGCCAAAGTTTAAGACACTGCCCTACAGAAATGAGAACAAACTTTCCTTAAAAAAAAAAAAACTTTGGCCGGAAGTGTTGGCTCACACCTGTAATCCTAGCACTTTGGGAGGCTGAGACAGGTGGATCACCTGAGGTCGGGATTTTGAGACCGGCTTGGTCAACATGGTGAAACCCCGTCCCTACTAAAAATACAAAAATAAGCTGGGTGTGGTGGCGGGTGTCTGTAATCCCAGCTACTCAGGAGGCTGAGGCAGGAGAATTGCTTGAACCCAGGGGGCGGAGGTTGCAGTGAGCTGAGATTGCACCACTGCACTCCAGCCTAGGCAAAAAGAGTAAAACTTCATCTCAAAAAAAAAAAATCTTGTTAATACATCAATAAATATTCACTTTTAGTACCTGGATGTTACTGATCCACACAAGTACATCTACTGTTAGAAAGTAACCATTCTTAAGCAAAACAAAGGACGTCTGCCTGCATAGGGTGATCAGAATAATGTCCAAATGCACAAATGATAATGAGATGATGCAGATAAAGTGCTTAGCATAGTAGACTATGAATGTGCCAATGGAAAATTATAATTTTTTAACCTGTCGAGTTTTGTTGCTACTAGATCTTTGCATCATTATTTCCTGCTCAATAGTTGTCTTTGTTCAAAGTGTCAGTTTCATAGAACATACCACTACTTGAAATCTTCTTTATTTGTTCTTTTAGTCTGTCATCCTCACTAATTATCACCTCCACAAGGAAGGGCTATGTCTTGTTCATCCCTATTGCCTAATTCTCAAGTCCTGAAATTTTAAGCATTTAAGCAGCTGTTTTCAAATTTCTAAATAAGACACCTTTCCATGTAGATATGATCTAAACTATGACATACAACTAAATTGTAAGAAAAATGTCAAAACATGGTTTCTTTTATCAATAGTTTACTATAGGAAGTTAAGAGTAAAAGTGAACAATCTATGATAGTGAATTAATAATGACTTTAGGAAAAACTAATAGTACCCAAGTAAATCTTCCCTTTGACAACTTAATTCTGAAAATTATGTATGACTTTGAAAAATTGAATAAATCAGCAATTTCCAGAAACTACTGACAATTAGTATGGTTGCAACTTGATTCCCCAATCCAGGGTGTGCCTAGGAAATAATTAGTAGAACTGGCCTTTAGGTATTCTTTTTTTTTTTTTTTTGAGACGGAGTCTTGTTCTGTTGCCCAGGCTGGAGTGCAGCGGCGTGATCTCAGCTCACTACAACCTTCACCTCCCAGGTTCAAGCGATTCTCCTGTCTCAGACTCCCGAGTAGCTGGGATTATAGGCACACACCACCATGCCTGACTAGGTTTTTTGTATTTTTAGTAGAGATGGGGTATCACCATGTCGGCCAGTCTGGTCTCAAACTCCTGACCTCAGGTGACCCAACTGCCTCAGCTTCCCAAAGTGCTGGGATTCCAGGCGTGAGCCACCACGCCTGGCCAGCCTTTAGGTATTCTAATGTGCATTCCTTCTGAAAGGAGTTTATCACTATGTTGAAATTTCTGTGTTCTAAACCCACGTTATCTGATAAAACTTTCTGTAATGATGAAAATATTCTACATCTGCACTGTTTAGTAAAGTATTACCCACTAACTGTATGTGGCTACTAGGTACTTGAAATAGTATGACTGAGAAACCGAATTTTTAATTTAGTAGCCACACATGGCTAGTGGCTTCCACATTGTAGAGTGATGTTCTGGACAGTTTTTTGTAAGTAGGCACAATGTATAGCAACACGTTCCTAGAGCTTTAAATTTTGAAAATGGATTTTCCCACCATCGCTTATTTCCTATGACTCCAATTTCCCCTTTTTACTTTTATTCCCTTGTCAGTGAACTGCTTAGCTGCTGGCTCCAAAGTTTCACTACCAAGAGGATGCAGAAGTATCATAGTAGGGGCAGTAAAAACATTACATATATTATAAAAAAGCCACTGTCCTGGGAGTGAATTCTGAGAAATGCAATGGAAGACAAAAGGGGGCAGGAATAAAAGGCAAGAGGTTTCCTTGATGTGTTCCCCTGTGATTTAAGACCTTTTTTTTGGTTTTGTTTTTAAGTCAGCAAATCTATCAAGCACTGTGCCAAGGGCTACGGGCAAAAGGATGGGAATGGATAGAGATGGGTAAACTAACAATCACATCAGGAAGTGAAACACAGGGTAAGTTACAGAACACCGTAGGAATGCACCAGGCGTCAATTTCCTCAGTCTTTGGGGAAGAGGAGTGATGGGGGTACCATGAAAACAAAAAGTGATATCTAAGCTAAACCTTTAAGTGTGATGCCAATTAGATTGGATGGGAGAGATGACAGAAGAAGGGAAGAGGGTTAGGGACAGAGAGAAGGAAAATACGTGCTGTAGAAGACCCGAATATGCCACTCCCAAATATGCCATTTTGACATAAGGATGATTTTGAGCTGAAGGCAACTGAAGAAATAGATATAAGAAATGTTCTCTCCTTGCTCCCATTTGTCTAAAAGCAGGACGTAAACTTATGAAGGTAAAGGTGTCCCTCCTCTCTTCTCTACCAGGAAGAACAAAGATTGAGCACCAAAGGCAACTTTAGACACTTATCAGCCCCGGAGAAACATGTATAGCAAAATTCTACTTATTTGCCTTCCTACAATTTACCACCCCTAGAGACTCAAAGTCCTTCTCCTTTGTCTTGCCACTTCTCTAAACATTTATTTTTCTTTGTTGAAGATGCTATATGTACAAATCTACATAATGATTATCCAATCTCTGTTTTCATTGGGAAGCAAGCAGGTCTGCCAAAAATCTGTTACCTAAAAGCATGATATAGATATAGAACATCTGGATCAATTGAGAACAAAACAACCCAAATTACAAATGTGCCACATAGGTATGAAGCAGACAGTTTTCCCCACTTACCATTAGAAACCAATTTTCTAAAGCTGAACCAGCTTTAGAAAACCAATTTTGGAGTTTTTAAAAACTCATAGTTGCAGTGTGAATACTAAAAGCAAGTGGAAAGTATAGATTATAATTATAGATAATGGTTAAATTTGATATTAAGGACTTCCATTTGAAAACAAAGTTAGGAATAGATGTGCATAATAAAGATGCATTTAGATTTATTTAAAAAATATTTTAAAAAATTAGGCACCATGCTTGTTACATTTGCCCTAAGCTGAAGTTGGCAATGAGATCTGTTTAGAGAATATGCTCACCTCTTAAAAAAAAAGTGGAATAATTTTCAGCATAGTAGTATATCCCCCTCAGAATTTATTATTTAAAACAATATTTTTAAAAAATTTAGATTTAGAATATTAACACTTCAAAAAATCAGGTGCAATGCTTATTATATTTGCCCTAAGCTTCAGTTGGCAATGAGATCTATTTAAAGAATATGCTCACCTTTAAAAAAAAAAAAAAAAAAGTGGAATAATTTTCAGCTATAGTAGTATATCCCCTTCAGAATTTATGCTACATATGTGCACTACCTGTTTTATTATCTCTTTAAATCAACTCACATTCTTTTAAACAAATGTGATTTGAAGCTTTAAATCACTACGGCAAATTAAAAAACATTATTGCTTGTTATGAATAAAAGATAAGACATAAATAAATACAAATGAAGACTAAACTATGTTCTTACATTCTAGCTGGTTACCATTGTTCCCTAAATGCTGTGTTAAAAAGAGATATCAAGTACCAGAAAGATGTTTAAGACAAACTGAGGCTTTTATCTTGGTATAATCAAAAAGATTAAAAAGAAAACAAAATTATTTCCTCATTGTGATTCAACATATACTTAATGCAGTTTCTGTGGCACCACCTAAAACCATCAAGAGTATTAAACACAGCTGAAGCATAACTTATCTTTCCCACACAATTGATATTGCATGTCGTCTTCCTTTAGATTGATGTAAAAAAAAATCTGTCTTATCAAAAAAATGTAGTTAGAAGATA
The DNA here is from genome assembly GCF_000001405.40 of Homo sapiens. Lineage (NCBI taxonomy): Eukaryota > Metazoa > Chordata > Mammalia > Primates > Hominidae > Homo > Homo sapiens. Next base: position 111,675,579 of record NC_000007.14, read on the forward strand.
GGAATGAAAAATAAAATGTCTGTCTTTGCTAAATGCTAACCAAGGTAACATCTTTGGGATACTCCCCACTGACCTGTTTTGCAATATTTCTGCAAACTATATTTGTGATGTATATTCATTGACCCACTGGCTCATATATTTGTATAGCATCTGCCTTCTCTTCAATTGTGAGTTCATTTCCCTCTGCACTATTACTTTGGCTCACCATAGGCTCTAGGTACCCAAGCATGGAAAATCATCATAGAAGTGGTCAGCAAAGTGTGAGATGCAATAACACCCCTGTAGGAGTATCCATTGACCTCAAAGTTGAGAAGCAGTTCTGCCCAGCTAGCCCCTCTCCACTGCTGGCCAATGCATCAAGCCAGCAACCAGGTACTTACAACATGAGAAAGATAGGAATGGTAAAAGGTAATATGGCAAGGACAAAGACCATATAAGGTTTTTGTGGAGGACTTTCCTTAGAATTGGAGGTCAGCCATTATCTTGCAAGAAAGGCTGGGCTGCTCTACCTGACTCGTGGGGTGTTCCACCACTGCACTCTGAGCGGCATTAACCAGGGCAGCAGGTAGCAATCACCTGGGGGTATTTAAAATGCCCATAGCCAGCCTCATCCCCAGAAACTGTGTTTTAATTCATGTAGGATAGGGCCCTGCTGCAATAAATAGCTCCTCAAGTAGTTATGAGGTGTAGTCAGGGTTGAGAACCAAGAAAGCATCATACTCAGCAGACAGCTCCCAGCACTAGGCAGCAAGGGCAGGAGGTAGGGATGGTGACAGACTCCTTCAGGGTTAAATGCTAAGACAGTACTGGTAGCTTGGTTAGGCCAGCTTTGCTGTCAGTGTGCTGAGAAGCCAGCAGCCTACATTGCTAGGCTGGAAGTGACTGCTGTCATAATTTATAAGATAATGTTTTAAAGAAAGAGCTTTAAAAAATCCCATGTAAGTTTTAACTTAGTTTAACAGACTAAGTATCTGTTAAGCCTTAAGCATCTTGATCTTTCCAGTCCATATGTCATGGCCTGTTTACCCAGCTAGTTCGTTCTTTTCTCCATTTCTCTATTTGCCTGTTGTTAAGCTAAAGTTATGTTTGTACATTTAGAAGATGGGATGAGATCCATGTGTATCTAAAAGGGCACACCTCTCCAACTATGTTCTATATGATAATTTCTCATTTTTCACTGGTTACTTAAAGCTGTTACTAAAACAACATGTATGAATGTTGGATAGATAGAACACTAAACTTAAATTAATTTCAAAACACTAATAAGAATCAGATCCATTATTCAGAGTCAGAGATAAAAATATCTTCACATGCTCTAAAAGAGTAACTTCTTGATAGGAAAAGTCATCCCATTTTCTTTTAAAGCAATCAGAGGCATCATGGTGTCATTTTTAATTCTGGCAGAATCAGTACATCCTCTCCTTCCACGGGTTGGAGCTCCGTGTGCTGATTCTGAGTGACAGGAACAAATGTCATTCCAACCACCATCACAGCACATGGAGGATTCCTGGGTGTAATGCTGGTCTCCTCCCTTGCTGGGGTATTGCAAAGCTTAATTAATGTTTGCAAAACACATGGAGGAAATTGTATAGAAATTACTATGTAATTGCAAAAGATCATTGAAGGGAAATGCTAGTAAAATTTACTGGGAGAGGAGGAGGATTTAATTGGTAAGTCTTATGCTTTACTTTGAAAATCATATCAGACAGAAGTGAATTGACTTTGTAAGTGCCAAAAATAAAGGAAATTATGTTGGGTGGTCTATAAATTCAAGATATTAAGTTTCATGGCTGAATTTAATTTCGTTTGAATTCATAATACTACAAACCTAACCAACTACATTAATTTGTTACAGAGACTAAAATCTGCTTGTATGTCTGTCTCCTAAGAAAACCCAAGTGTATAAGGATCCTTAGTTTTCCAAGAAGTTCAACCAGAAAAGATAGCCTAGCCACCTTGATGGTAACTGGATTTACTTTGAGGTGTTTCCATTTAACCATAGCTTTTGGATGCCTTGTCAAAGCAGCATATTATCTTTGTTGGATTACTTCTTGGGAAACTTCAGCAATATTGGTAATGTTTTGCATTTTCTTAGTTTTTTTTTTTTCTGAAGCAGAACTTCTGAGCTGAGCTTATTTATCTGATAACGTAATTTTATAACCATGTAATTTGTACTGTTTTTTTTTTCTCCCAGTACATATTTTGGTACAATGTCAAACTTACCACATTTCAGGGCTAATGGGTTAAGTAGAATAATTATTCTAACTAATTTGTAGGCACCAAGGTTTGCAAACCTCAATTAGAGTTGACCAAGGGGTTACTGTGTGGCTCAAGGCTTGAATAACTGAGGGCTGAGCAGCTCAACTCAGGGCTGAGTTTGCTGTCAGGTCCAAAGCAGTTCTGTTATACACCTAATCTGCAGGAGCTAGAGTCCAGATCACAAGGACCAACCCTTGCCCAGGCTGTGGCACAACCTGACTGTAGGGAGAATTGAGTAATAGCTGCAGCAATCCAGGGTTTGCCAATAACTTTCTTTACCAGGAAAGGCTGTTCATTCAAGACATTCTCAGTGTGGTTTAAGGACTGTGGCTAGATGTCAGATCTAAGGACTCAGGTGGAAGGGAGCAAAGAGACAAGGTTCTCCAAGAAAAGGGGTCTTGTTAGCAGTTGCAGTCTCAGTTATGTTCAATCCTCGGAGCAAAGGGTAGAAACTTGAGACATTGTAATTTTCAAACTAAGGCATGTTGCTTAGACTGGGATTCAGAGAACCCAGGAATGGAAACAAAGAAATAAGGAACAGGGGCATATGAGAACCCAGAGACAAATTATTTGGATGGGAGCAAGTGACAGGAGCTGGCTAGTATGTACCGTTGCTCTACAGTGCTCATCTGGTTAGGTCTTGTCCCTGCTTACAAATCATGAGTAACTTGAATGTTTTCTTTGGCACAAACGAGAAAATCTAAGAATGTTGAACTTTATCTCAGCTAAGGAAAGCAGCAATGGTAGAGGTACCATCCCACCCTTTGTAATCCTTTTGTGTGCTGAGAAAAACACATTTAATCGTGGTCTAACTCCTGCCTACATCTCCAGATACCCTCTTGCCATCCCTCCAGCAAACCCTGTACTCCAGCCTCACAGTCTACTTGCATTTTACCATTGGTACTGTAAGGATGGAAAAGTGTGATATCTTTTCTCACCTATCATAAAGGTCTCAGCTGACAAGCCTATGACAAAAGACAGATTAACAAGTATAAGCCAAAAAGTATCTGAGACAGGTCTCAATTTAGAACTTTATTTTGCCAAGGTTAAGGACAATGCACGGAACAAAAAATAGAAAATCACAGGAACAGTCTGTGGTCTATGACTTTCTCCAAAGATGAATTTAAGGGTGCCAGTATTTAAAGGGGAAAAGTGGGTGGGAGGGTATGGTAATCCACATGTTGCAAGAGAAAAGGAGCAGGTAGGGGAATAGCCAATTATGTATTCTTCTCGTGTTCAGTAAAGCAGCATTTTACATAAGATAAGGAGAACATAGAGTAGCTATCTGTGGAGATACGTAACCTGTTATCTGTAGCTGTCCAGTTAGGAACAAAAGGAAAGGCAGCTTCTTGCATGACTCAGCTTTCAGCTTAGTTTTTTCTTTTGGCAGAGTGAATTGGGGTCCTGAGTATTTATTTTCCTTTCACATAAGAGAAAGCCATAATACATTGATTTAGTCACAGTTTTATGTGACATGGGAGCCTTCAGAAATGAAGACCCAAAGATCTGGGAGAACTGTTTTTATGCAAAGTGTGATGAAAGAAGTGACTAGTTGTGGAGAAACATGATTGGTCAAAAGGGTACTATCTAATGGTAATAACTGAGGGGGAAAACCCAGCAAGGCCTGACTGTTCAGATTCTCCTTGGCCTCTCTGTGTAGCATTGCTTTCTCCCCAATTTAGGGCATGACTCTGCTGGAATGAGGGTCTTCAAGGGAGAAAGTTTTACTTGGAAGGGGTCCCAATCCAGACACCAAGAGATGGCTCTCAGATCTCACACAAGAAAGAATTTGGGGTGAGTCCACAGAGTAGAATGAGAGCAAGTTTCTTTAAGAAAGTAAAGAAAAGAATGGCTACTCCATAGAGCAGCTGCAAGGGCTGCTGGTTGGATATTTTTATGGTTATTTCTTGATATGCTAAACAAGGGGTGGATTATTCATGGGTTTTCTGGGAAAGGTATGAGCAATTCCCAGAGTTGAGGATTTCTCCCCTTTTTAGACCATCTAGGGTAACTTCTGGACCTTGCCATAGCATTTGTAAACTATCCTGGAGCTGGTGGGAGTGTCTTTTAGCATGCTAACACATTACAATTAGTGTTTAATGATCAGCGAGGACAATCAGAGGTCACTTTCATCACCATCTTGGTTTTGGCAGGTTTTGTCTGGCTCCTTTACTGCATTCTGTTTTATCAGTGGGATCTTTGTGACCTGTATCTTGTGCCAATGTCCTATCTCATCCTGTGACTAAGAATGGCTAACTTCCTGGGAATGAGGCCCAGCAGGTCTCAGCCTCATTTTGCCCAGCCCCTGTTCAAGATGGAGATGGTGTGGTTCAAACACCTCTGACAAAAGCAGACAGTGACCTTTCTAGGGTTTATGGCTGGCTTTGGGGGAAAGGAGTTCTAGTGTCTATGACCTCCCTTTGGGGAAGAGAAATTCTGGTTTTCATGACTTGCTTTCGGGGAGAAAGTAGGGAGGATCCAGGAGGGTGGGAGGTGGTCAGAATGATGTTGCTTCTGAGTCCTTCCAAAGTCCTTCCATTTCAAAGTACCGTACTTTGGGGTATTGTATTCCTAGCCCCAGTAGTTCCAAGTTCTTTTGGGTATCCCTGCCTTTGCACAAGCTACTCCCACTGGGCAGAACTCATTGCCCTCGTTCTCTATCCAGCTAGTCCTGAATCATCCTTCTAGACTAAGTTGAGCTATCCGCTTTTCAGAAGCCTTTCTCAGCCTCATCTGGGACTCATAGCATTGTGTTTACTGTCATTAGAGTACTTGCTGTACCAGTTTATGTATACAGTTTTCGGGGGTCAGAACATGATACCCCAAAGTATGGCGTCTTGGTATGCTGAGTATTTTTGAGCTGAAGGAGACAAGAGGGCCCCAGAAGCAAGAAAGTCTTTCTCCTTCCCTCCTCTCTTTCCTCCCCTAAAGCAAACCATAAAACCTGGAAAGGTCACTCTGACCTACCTCCCCTTTAGTAGGTTATAAGACCCTTTGAATAGGTAAGCCTTACTGGTTTTCCCTCATTAGACCATACCTTTTTGTCCAATCATGTTTCTCTACAACTATCCACTTCCTTCATCAGATTTTGCATAGAAATATTTTTCCCTAGGTGTTTGGATCTTCATTTCTGAAGACTCCTGTGTCATATAAAACTGTGATTAAATATTATAAATTTGTTGGCCAGGGCTGGTGGCTCATACCGGTTATTCCAGTGCTTTGGGAGGCTGAAGTGGGAGGATTGCTTGAGCCCAGGAGTTTGAGGCTGCAGTGAACCATGATCACCCCACTGGACTCTAGCCTGGGTGACAGAACAAGACCTTGTCTCAATCTATCAATTTGTTGTGCTTTTCTCTTGTTAATCTGTCTTCTTTTATAGGAGTGACCCTTGCAAAATGGGTGAGAAAAAGTTATCTATTTGCTTCTACACTGTGTTAAAACTCCCATTTGTTTACCTTAAAACAGGCAAAAACCCTTTTAGACTCTGAGCTACACAGTGGTTGGGGAAAAGGTTCTCAATAAGTTTGCTGGAAAAACCTGCCTGATTAATCATCATAGATTGAGAGGGGACCTTGTATGGTAACAACCACCTCTCTGCTATTTACGTGGAAATGAGCACTACTGCTGCTGGCTCCAATTTGATTGATAGCACTCAGGCTTTGCAGATTGGAAGCCTTAATTAAATGTCAAAAGGGACTACATTGCGAACTGTGAATTGTCTTTTAATTACAGTAAGAGAGCAATTGAACTATATGATCCGGTAATTGTTTAAAGTGACCATGCTGAATCCTTAGAATCCCCCTCAGTTTCTTTCTCTATAGGATGCTGCATGACAGCCCAGAGCAGGCATTAAAAGGGCAAAAGCAGGGCCTGGAGCAGGGAACCTTAGGCTACCTAAATGAAAGGATCCCTCCTTACTTTCTTTTCCCTCGTTACCCACCCTTCTTTTTCCTTTTTTCTTTCACACTTCAGTTCCCTCATTCCCAACTTTTGGTCATTACCACACAAGATGTTTTTTATAATTCCTGCCATGTCTATGTACCATTAATAGTTTTATATAATTCATAGTTTCTTTCATTCATGTACACAAAAAGCAAACTTTGTATGACTACCTTAAGCAATAACCAGTATTACTTTTCAAAGGTTGCCTTAAAAATAAATAATGAGAAATTCTGGCCTGCCGGAAAACAGCCCCACCCTTACAGAGCAGAAGAATTTGAAAAGGGTTCTTTTGGAGCCTGGTGGCCTCTAGAGGCTCTTCCTTCTTGATGATCTGCTCTGTATGAGTTGAAAGGCAGTGTTTGAAATTACAGTACAATTCAAGCTCTATCTAAAGCCAGGCAGCCAATATGTCCCCAGTAGTGAACACCAGGAACCACCACTGATACCTGCACTGCACTGTGGGCAACATTGCTCTAGTTTCCAGTCTCAAAATAGATAAAAAGTGTCTTATTATTATGTTGGTCATCCTCTGTCAAGTAGGAAGTCCTGATTTTTCACTTACATGCCACAAACATTCTGATTAACATCTTGATTTTACTTTTCCACCCTTTTAACCACCTCAGATACTTTGTTCTGGGAACCTCTGTATGTCTCTTTAAAAACCATACAGCTAGAATTTGGAACTGACATTTAGCAAGCACCTACTTTAAGGTAATTTATACAGTCTATCTGTATTCATCATTGTAATGACCTTGAGAAATAGGTATCATCCCTATTTTACAGATGTGAAAATTTTGCTTAACGTTATAGATGTAAAGATTCAAATTTTTCATTTGTACACCCCTACTTTGTGCTGGCTCCGTGAATCTGCTGGAATTTTTTTTTGGTTGTCACATCATGGCTGAGTATCATAGCAGCATTGTCTCAAAATTCTTACTTGCTATATTCCCAGTGATAAAATCAAATCAGCTCTGCCTATGACTAATCTTCAGTTCGCTACGACCATTTCATCCAGAGCTGGCAGAAGGGTTTCATCTGTGTTCTAATGCCAAACAATAGGCAGAAGCTGCCTGGACCTTTGCACTGGGAGACTGTTTCTGGGCTTGGCACAAAAAAGTGATTAATTAGAAGTGTCTGCTCTAGGTTCGGGAGCAGGGAGTGACAGCACAAGTATCATACATTTGCCACGCTTGATGTAATCTTTTCTGGAATTATAGTTGTCCCCACTTATTCATGGTTTTAATCACCTGTGGTCAACTGTGGTCCAAAAATAGTAAGTCAAAAAATTCAAGAAATAATTCACAAATTTTAAGTTGCATGCCATTCTGAATAGTGTGATGAAATCTTGCAGCGTCCCACTCTGTTTTCTATGGATGTGAATCACCCCTCTGTCCAGTGTATCCACACTGTCTACACTACCTGCCCATTAGTCGCTTAGTAGCTGTCTGGGTTATCAGATCGACTGTCTCAGTATTTCAGTGCTTGTACTCAAGTAACCTTTATTTTACTTAATAATGGTCCTAAAGCACAAGAGTGGTGATGCTGGCATATTATAATTGTTCCATTTTATTATTAGTTATTGTTAACTTCTTAATGTGCCTAATTTACAAAGTAAACTTTGTCATAGGTATACGTGTAGAAGGGCAAACATCGGATATAAAGAATTTGGTACTATCTGAGGTTTCAGGCATCCACTGGGAGTCTTGGAATGTATCCTCCTTGGATAAGGAAGCACTGCTGTACTTATGGGGTCAGTCATTTCCCAGTTAGTATTTACATGTGCTACATTTTCTCCTATTTATGGCTTAGCAGTGGTCTTTTTGGTTTCATATTACTTCTTTGGCTATCCAAGTTTAAAAACTTGAATCCAATTGTGTGAAGGTGCTGGGAAACCTAGTTATTTCTCTTCTTCATGTAATCAAACATTATCTGTATACCGAAGGTGATATCAAATAAACTAATACAGGTATTCCACAGAAACAACCAGTAGGACTATCCCTGCATTAGATTTTATAATCTGTTAAAAATAAATTTCACAAGATATCCAATAAGGATTTGCCAATTTTTGTGCTTGTGATTGCTAAATACAAAATTGTTTGCCTCTGACAAAACAAGTCCAATATTAAATAGGTTATATAATCCATTTGCAATTTCGTATATAAAATTTTCCCAAGTTTGAAGACTAGCTTAGGGGTTTAAAAACAACCTAGGTTGATTGTCATAAGAATTTCACCATTTAACTCATTGGCTAGATTTCAATAAAAGTGATTTTTTAAAAAATTATGGCTTTCAAGCCCTCTAAAATCAGTTACTTTTTTAAATTTACGTATGCTTTAGATACCAGTTTACAAATTGACTTCTGAGAAGAACATGTTTTCTGATATCTATACAAAGAAACTATTAAATCATTTTCCCTGAAATGACTTAAAAATGTAAACATAGAATGTAGCAAGAAAGGAGTGAAAACGTGTACATATTCTCTTTTTTTTTTTTTTTTTTTTTTTTTTTTTTGGAGACGGAGTCTCGCTCTGTCACCCAGGCTGGAGTGCAGTGGCATGATCTCAGCTTACTGCAAGCTCTGCTTTCTGGGTTCACGCCATTCTCCTGCCTCAGCCTCCCGAGTAGCTGGGACTACAGGCGCCTGCCACCATGCCTGGCTAATTTTTTGTATTTTTAGTAGAGACAGGGTTTCACCGTGGTCTTGATCTCCTGACCTCGTGATCCCTCCCGCCTTGGCCTCCCAAAGTGCTGGGATTATAGGCGTGAGCCACTGCGCCCGGCCTACATATTCTCTTATATACCTATGATAGGGTTATGTCTTGATAGCCTGTCATAAGTTGAAAACATCATAAGTCAAAAATGCATGTAATACACCTAACCTATGGAACGTCATAGCTTATCCTACCTTAAACATGCTGAGAATACTTACACTTGTCCACAGTTGGGCAAAATCATCAACACAGAGCTATTTCATGATAAAGTGTTGAATATTCCATGTAACTTAGTAATCTGTTGAAAGTGAAAAACAGAATGGTTGTATGGTACTTTAAGTACAGTGTTTACTGAAGGGGTATCACTTTCTCACCATTGTAAAGCCAAAAAATTGTAAATCAAACCATCGTTGGCTGGGCATCGTGGCTCATGCTTGCAAATCCCAACACTTTGGGATGCGAAGGTGGGTGGATCACCTGAGGTCAGGAGTTGGAGATCAGTCTGACTAATATGGTGAAACCCTGTCTCTACCAAAAATACAAAAATTAGCCGGGCGTGTTGGGGCACCCCTGTAGTCCCAGCTACTTGGGAGGCTGAGACAGGAAAATTGCTTGAACCTGGGAGGTGGAGGTTGCAGTGAGCTGAGATCACACCACTGCACTACAGCCTGGGTGACAGTGAGACTCCATCTCAAAAAAAAAAAAAAAAAGTTGGGGATCATCTGTATTAAGGTTATAATTAAAATTCTGGATTTATTGTGTTCTAGAATAAGGAAGGCAGAATAAGGAAGTCACAGTAATTTTTTTCCTACAAAAAAAAACTTAAGAGGATGAAGTTCTAAGAACTATTTTATGTATTGAGTCATTCATAATTGGAATATTTTATGCTTAGCATTAGCATACTGACTCTTAATTTTAAAATGTTGGTTCTGGAAACAGAATTTACCTGCTTCAAATTAAATTATTTTCTTTCAGAATTTTACTTCTCCCAAGTACCCTAAGGCACATTAAATAAGACAGCACAAGTCATATGGCAGCCTCTAGAGAATATTTATCTTAATTGCATTGATCTTACTTCATAAGGTTAAATACAATTTTTCCCCAAGTTATATATCATTTTTATTGAGGTTAATGTTGAGTCAAGATCTAATTTCAGCAGCTTCTTAAAGTTATTTGAACTGTTTCCTCCAGCTACATGATACTTATTGTTCATTTGAAATTTCAATTCACCATGCCTTACTCCACTCATACATAGCTGGATATGCTTTTTAAAATATTGTGGTTTAAAAGAAGAGTGTGTGCTAGTTAAGTGAAGAAATTTTAGAAGACTTCTATTTCTGAATATGGCAAACTTGATAACACAAAAAAAAGTGTGGTTGTTTGAAAAACATGGCCTTATATTCTTTGACACTTTTTCCATTAAAAGGTGAAGTCTTTACCCTTCCCTTTGAATCTGGGCAGGTTTTGAAGCCTTCAACAATAGGGCTTAGCAGAAGTGACACTAAATGATCTATGATGCTAGGACACAAAGGACCACTCAGCTTGTTGGCTGGAATAATTGCTCTTGGAGCCCTAAGCCACCATGTGAGAAGCTCAGCTGCCTGGAAGTTACCATGCTAGAAAGGCCCCATGTAAGTTGTCCAGTGGACATTCCTGGTTGAGGTCAGGCTTCCTGCTATCCTTACAAGGCACCAAGCATAAATAAAATGCCATCGGATTATTGAGGCCTTTGAGTCACCCCCAGCTTCTTGATGTCTGAAGCCCTAGACATCATGGAACAGAGATGAGCCATCCTCACTATGCACTGTCTGAATTTATCACCCACAAAATCCATGAATATGATAAAATGGTGGTTGCTTCATGCTTCTCAGTTTTGGAGTTGTTTATTGTTCAGCAATAGATACCTGGAACATAACTTGGCACTTGAAAAACGAGTGCTTTCATAATATAACCTAGAATATGTGGTGTTGATTTTGGGGGCCAGGTAGCAGGTGGGAGCCTGATGGACCTTTGGGAACATGAGGTGAAGTACTGAAGGAAATAGAAATGTTATGGGAAGTTGGAGGAAAGAGGACTCTTGTTAGTGTTAGCAGACAGTTTGGTAACACTGTCACCTGTGATAATGTGGAAAATAGGAAATACACCTAATGAACTCAATGATCTAGATAAGAGATTTCTATGCAGAATATTGAAGGTGTCTCCTGGCTTTCTCTGTCTGCCTATAATAAAATGTGGGCGAGCAAGGCACTAAAGCATAGAGCTTAGGGGAAAAAAAGGGGGGAACAAGTGGGTTTTTCCAGCTAGTAAACAGATCTCAGAGTAAGAAAGAACCTCGGGGTAAAGATCAAGTCCTAGCTGCTGTTAGGAAAATGTAGTCTCAAGGGAAACATGGAGTCTAGGGCGTGACTTATAAACCTGTACTTAGAACTCACAAAGCTTTAAGGTTGGGCCTCAGACTCTTTTTAAACAAACGAGAGTCTTCTAAGGATCTTAAAAGTGCTGTGTAGACACTCTCCATTAAACATTAAATATAGCCTTTTTTTCTTTTTCTTTTTTTGAGGTGGAGTCTTGCTCTGTCACCAGGCTGGATTGTGCAGTAGCGCGATCTTGGTTCACTACCACCTCCGCCTCCCTGGTTCAAGCGATTCTCCTTCCTCAGCCTCCCAAGTAGCTGGGACTACAGGTGCCAGCTGCCACGTCTGGCTAATTTTTGTATTTTTAGTAGAGATGGGGTTTCCCCATGTTGGCCAGGATGGTCTTGATCTCCTGACCTTGTGATCCACCCGCCTCAGCCTCCCAAAGTGCTGGGATCACAGGCGTAAGCCACTGTAGCCAGCCCTAAACATAGGCTTTCTAAGAGAGACAGATGAACGAACAAATATAAGAACCTTAAGGGCATTGTTCCATAGCAGCCTCGGAAGAGGCCCAAGGGAGAGAAAGACTTCCTAGGAGAGATTTCTAGGTGTGTCTAATAAAAAGTTCATAAATAGACCAGGCATGGTGGCTCACATCTGTAATCCCAGCATTTTGGGAGGCTGAGGCGGTTGGATCACCTGAGGTCAGAAGATCGAGACTAGCCTGACCAATATGGTAAAACCCCGTCTCTACTAAAAATACAAAAATTGGCCTGGCGTGGTGGTGGGTGCCTGTAGTCCCAGCTACTTGGGAGGCTGAGACAGGAGAATCACTTGAACCGGGGAGGCAGAGGTTGCAGTGAGCTGAGACTGCATCACTGCACTCCAGCCTGGGTAACAGAGCAAGACTGTCTCAAAAAAAAAAAAAAAAAAAGTTTATAATTTTTTGGATTTTTTTTTAATTTGGATAATTTTTTAAAAATTATATCAGTTTTGGCAAGGCACAGTAGCTCATGCCTGTAATCCCAGCACTTTGGGAAGCTGAGGTGGGTGGATCACCTGAGGTCAGGAATTTGAGACCAGACTGGCCAACTTAGTGAAACCCCGTCTCTACTAAATATACAAAAGTTATCTGGGTGTGGTGGTGCATGCCTGTAGTCCCAACTACTTGGGAGGCTGAGGCAGAAGAATCGTTTGAACCCAGGAGGCAGAGGTTGCAGTGAGCCAAGATTATGTCACTGCATTTGAGCCGGGGCAACGGAGTAAGACTGTCTCAAACAAACAAAAAATTAGTTTTGAATAAAAGGGACAGAAATAGTATGAAATGAAAGGAGATCTTTCATTTTATTCTGAAATTCTGAAATTCTAACTGCAGGAAGCAAACTGAGAATATGTATCAGATGCAAAAGCAATTTGAATAATATATTAATAGCTACACATTGATGTAAGAGCTAAGGACATTTTTGTTTTGTGTTCCTTATTTAAGATGGGAAATAATTGAGTTTATTTAGATGCTGATGGGAACAGGCTAGTAGCTGGGAAAGACAGAAGATTCTGGAAAAAATGGGGATTGATGACATAGCAAGTCTCTAAGAAGAAAGGAATTGAGAGAACAGATTTTGAAAGGAGGAGAGAGACATTTTCCACTGAGATAGGGAAGAGGGTCTGGTAACTTTAGGAGGATGGGGCTGAAGGTTGGCCCCTATTTTCTTGACAAATGTAAAGCAAGATCATCAAGGACCAGCAACAAACTTAGAGTTCCAAGACATACTTTTCTTCCTTTATGGCAATGATACATTCATTTGTTTTATACTTTCAGATTAAAATTATTTTTATTATCAATCTTAAACATGAGAAACTGTATAAATCATTCTGGTTTGATCCTGAAATTCATCACCCATTATATTCTCCAAGAGATTTGCCTCTGTCCTTTTCGTTTGTTTGAATTCCTATTACCACTAGTGCTCATATTAGATACCGGGGACTGAAATCCAGGGAGGTTAAACTGGTGATGGTCATCCACAGGTTCCTGGAAGGGTTGGACACTACCCAGGAGTCTTCTTATTTTATTACTGTTTCTCACTAGTGATGGTTTTGTTTTCCATTACATTTCTTAATGATATGTCCTTACCGGAGACTCAGAAAAGTGCACTTTGTCCTGTTGCAAATTTTCATCAATGAGGTGAATATATTAAAATTATAAGGGCTAGATAATGTATCAGATAGCAAAAATATTATTTAAAATGTTTTCAGTGTGCTATAGTAATAGTCTAAATGAACAAAAGGAATTTTGAAAGGGAAGAAGATAAAGTTTTGCATTTAGTTTTCAAAATAGGCAATTGCAAGAAAAATATATGCCTGACATGATTAATGAAGAAATAGAAAGGGGTAACTTGTAGTACTGGATACAAAAACTTACTGTAAAACCATATTAAACAAAACAGTACAATATTGGTATAGGCAAAGAGAGACAAATAGTTGAACAGTCCAGAAAAAGCCCATCCATAGAACAAACTCATCTGTATGTTTGCCCATATACAGCTGGGCAAGATCAACACAAAGCCTATTTTATAATAAAGTATTGAATAGCTAATGTAATTTATTGAATAACCTATTGAAAATGAAAAACAGAGTGGTTGTGTGGGTACTTGAAGTGTGATTTCTACTGAATGCATATCATTTTCTCACCATCATAAAGTAGAAAAATTGTAAATCAAACCATTATTAGTTGGAAAACTGGTGAGCTGGATTAAAAAATGGAAATGTATCCTTACCTCTTCCTATATAGAAAAATCAATTCCAAATAGATCAAATATTTTAATGTGAAAAACAAGTGAATTTTTTAGAAACACTACAAAAGAATAATTCTGTAACAGATATGGAAAGACTTACTTTAAAAAGTATAAGCCGTTGTGAAAAAGACTGATAAATTTGACTATACTGAAATTAAAATTTATAATGATCAAAAGCATCCTAAAGAGATTGAAAAATAAAAGGTGCACACTGGAAGAAGAGATATGCAATTTATTAAAATTACAGATTAATATGCAGAATATGCAAATAAATCCACTTATTAATAAAGACATTTCAACTCAATAGAAAAGGCATAAAGAAGAGTTTCACAGGGGAGATAGGACAGCCAATAAACAAATAAAATGAAGTTCAGCCTCATTAGTAATCAAGGAAAAACAAATTAATATCACAGTGAGGTACCATTTTAATCCCCATTAGACTAGAAAAATCAATTAGCCCTACAATATTAAGTATAGCAAGAATGTGGAACCACAGACCACTTACTGCTGATGAGATTGCATACTGGTAAAATGACATTGGAAAGCAAGTGTGCATTTTCCAGTAAAGATGAAATTCTGCATACTCTGACTCTTCTTTAGGTACACACCTTAGAAAAACTCTTGGACATGTGCATAAGGAGGCATGTGCAAGAATCTTCATAACAAATTATTTTTTGAGACAGGGTCTAGCTCTGCCCCTCAGGTTGGAATGCAGTGGCGTGAACATGGCTCACTATAGCCTCAACCTCCTGGGCTCAAGCAATCCTCCTGCCTCAACCTCCCATGTAGCTAGGACTACCAGTGTGCACCACCATGCCCAGCTAGTTTTATTTTTATTTTTGTAGAGGAAGGGTTTCGTTTTGTTGCCCAGGCTAGTCTTGAACTCCTGGGCTCATGCAATCCTCCCACCTGGCCTCCCACAGTGCTGGGATTACAAATGTTAGCCACCGTGCCCACCCATAACAAACTTCTTAAAGACATGAAACCAGAACAAACTTAAAAACCCTCCATCAGGGAAATGGATAAATGAAGCAGTGAAAATTAACGAACTACAGCTACATGCAGGGTTATAAATGAATCTTTAAAACAACACGGAATTCTTTAAAAAGCAGAAAACAAACAGCATGAGTCTATTTATTGGAAGTTTAAAAACAGGATAATATATACAACATATTGTTAAGGATATGTATGTTATGTAGTAAGCAAACACGAGGCAATGATAAACACAAAATTGAGAATAGTGGCTTCCTTCCCCAGTGTCCCTGGGGAGGATGTGGATGCAGTCAGGAAGCGGTTCACAGTTGGCTTCAAAGGTGTTAGAAGTGTTCTGTTTCTCAACAAGCTGGTTAATGAGGATTCTAGTGTGTACCTATATGTTTATTTCATAAGAGCAAAAGTACGCAACATAGACTCTTTGGTATATGTGTTTCACAACTTAAAAATAAGCAAATAAGAAATACACTTTTATATGTAGGATTTACTTCACAATTTTAAAAATCAGTGCATTAAGTGGAATCATGCAGTATTTATCCTTTTTTGACTGGCTTATTTCTTAGCATAATGCCCTCAAGTTTCATCTGTGTTGTAGCATATGACAGGATTTCCTTCTTTTTTAAAAAAGCTGAATATTATTTTCTTACATGTATATATACCACATGATTCCATTTGTGATACATCTAAAGTAATCAAACTCCTAGAAATGGAAAGGAAAATGGTCGCCTAGTGCTGGGGGAGAGGGGGAAATGAGGAGCTGCTGTTCAACGGGTCTAGAGTTTCAGTTGCATAAGATGAAAAAGTTCTAGAGATCTGCTGTAGAACTAATTGTGCTTCTAGTTAACAATACTGTACTGTACACTTAACATTTTGTCAGAAAGGTAGATCTCATGTGTTTTTAACACAATAAAATACATAAATCAGTAAATTCAGCACATTGAAAAAAAGAGTGGTTAGGGAACCATAAGTTGCATGTATGTCTGGGGTTCAGATCATTGTAAATAAGTCTCCCTCTAAAGTGTGCTCAACTGTATAAGATACTCTGGATCCTCTCAGCACACTGGAGCCTCACTTTTGGTTCTGAGCACACTGCAGGGGAGAATGACTACTACGCCCTGTGTCAGGGTAGTAAGTGATCCTGAATCCATGGCCTATAGGATGTTTGAAGGAATGTTTAGTCTGATACAAAGCAGACCAAGCTGTCTTCAAACATAGGAAAAGTTGTTCTTGGGAAGAGAGAGAAGTATGTTCCAAAGAGCTAGATTTTTCGGAGGGCTAATGTTGCAGGAAAAAAGCCTTTGGCTCCATCAAAGTATCCCAGGGCTCCTCTGGAAGAGAATACGATGTCTCACGTGGGGGTGAGTTGAATCACATGGTGGCAAGGTGACCATCTGCTAGGGAAGTCATAGGAAAGTCTCTTCCACTTCTGAAACTCACTGACTCAGTGACAGTGCTTATCAATTAAATTAACAAAGTGATCTAGGTTAAGCACTGACGCTTCAACAAGGACTCCATTTATTCTCTGCTCTTTGATGAATATTAGCTGTGACTCAAGACTTGGGAAAAATATTTAAACCTTCTTTACAGATCTATGAGTGAGAATCAAAATGGTATCCTGACACTTCGGCTTTCTGGCCTCTGCAGCGGGGGCCATGTAACCTCCTGCTTGGAGAACCAGGCTCTTATGTCTATGAATCATAGAAAACTACTTCAAACCAGAATAAGCAAAAACTATGGAATTTATCTTAGGATTTAACAGAGCTGTTTCACAAAATCCTACGGCAGGAAGCACAGTCGAGCCACATGGAATCCAGACTGGGAAAGTGATCAGGCAGCTACTCTTGATTTCTCTCTACCTCATTGTCTCTCTCAGGATGTCTCAATCTCTGTGGCTACATGGTTTCTTTTAATACTGTTAATCAGCCCATTAGTTTCATTCTTCTCTCTGCAGATGAGCTTCCTTCACTCTTCCACATGCAGTGCTGCCTCACAGGTCTATGTGCATGCTTAAAGCCATTTCCAAATTCCTGGTGGAGTGTCTTGATGCTCTGAGCTTGGATCAAGTGTCCATGCCTGCTGTGCATGGCCAGTTATCAGTGGCAGGAGGTAGAAATGTAGTCTCAGGGTTTGTCTCTATAGGTAGAAGGTAGATTTCAGAGAAACAGAGCAGCTAATGAACTGAACTGATACTCTGAACATTTTCAGGCAAACCTCTAACTCACAGGGTTATGAGGATCACATATTGTAAGGTACATAGAACATGTGACCCATAGACATCCAGTTAATGTTAGTTTCCTCTCCTTTATTTCTGAACCTCAGTTTTTTATGTAAATTAGAAAACAATATCATGACTCATTTAGTATGTGAAAATCATAAAGATGGTATATGTATTAGTCTGTTCTCCTGCTGCTGTGAAGAAATACCTCAGACTGGGTATTTTGTAAAGGAAAGAGGTTTAATTGACTCACAGTTCAGCATGGCTGGGGAGGCCTCAGGAAATTTACAATCATGGTGGAAGGCAAAGAGGAAGCAAGGCACCTTCTTCACAAGGCAGCAGGAAGGAGATGTGCAAGCAGGGGAAATGCCAGACACTTATAAAATCATTAGATCTCAGGAGAACTTGCGCACTGTAACGAGAACAGCATGGGGGAAACTGCCCCCATGATTCAATTACCTCTCCTGGTCCTACCTGTGACACGTGGGGATTATGGGAATTACAATTCCAGGTGAGATTTGGGTGGGGACACAGAGCCAAACCAAATCAGTATATGTGAAAGGACTTTGCAAACTTAAAAGTAAAATAGAATCATAATTTACTTCCCTATACTTCGTTCTAGCAACTCCAGGCATCCACAGCTGGAGTTCCCTGAGGCAGATGGCTTGGATCTCTTACTACCATATCTTTGGTCTCCTCCTGTTACATGCCTTACCTTTGTGGGTTTGTCTAGTTTCTATCGTGTAGATGCACTGTCTGGCATGGTCATTGTCCAGATCCTAGTAAGAGCAAATTACTAATTTTCAAGTCTGAATCAGTCCAATTTATAAAGTTGTTTTTTTTTTTTTGTTTTTCTTTTTGTTTTTTTCCTGATCTTCTATGCCCTTACCTACGGAGCAAAATCAATAGACAAAATGAAAGTTCATCTGTGCGTATATCTATGGCCAGATAGGACTACTCTGGAAATTTTGACTATTTCATTCACATCAGCTACCAACTGGCAAGCAATTGATCATACTTGTTTTGCTATTTCAACCACCTTAATGACTAAATTGGACCGACCACTTCTTATTTAGTCATTCTGTAGATAAACTGGGGTGGGGCTGGAAACTGTTAATTCAGCTGTGTGCATTAGACATGCTCCCTACTCAGCTCTTCAGGTAGTGTCACACTGATAACATATACTAATTCATATTAGAAGATGCAGACCGAAGTGTCATTTGCTAGGACTTCAACCCAATAAAAATACTGAATAAAATCAAGAACCATGAACATGATCCGTGTTGTATTTTTTACCATTCCTAATCAATATGTACAACTTTAGTAATGTTTTTATATTGACATTATTGGAAATGAGGTAATGTACATAAATGGATTTCCCTGATAATTTCACCTTCCTCCTTCAGTGGCATGAAAAAAATTAACTACTTTTGGATGGCAGTTTCAAAAACGTATCACATAAATCTAAAGCAATAAAAAAACCTAATCTAAATACAGCACACCCTTGGTATTTGTAAAGACTTTTCCTGAGGTCTTTGCCTGCCCTCAAGATTGAAGCTACAGGAATGTTTGTACAGAGGCCTGACTTTCTCATGGGTTATATTTATCACAAATTTTAACTTTCACTAATGTTGTGTCCTCATATAATGGAGATAGCAAAGAAGTACAACTCGTAGCATGGGATGAGTCATGTCATATGTGATTCTGAATGCAGTAGTGTGGAGGTGGAGGTGAGGTGAAGAGCATAGGCCCTGGAGCCAGTTGCTGGGATCAGATCCTGACTTTTCTCTTTAACAGCTTAGTGACGTTGGGCAAGTTCCCTGACTTTTTCTTGCCTCTCTCTCATTTATAAAATAGGGATAACAAAACTTACCTCAAGGCATTATTGAGAGGACTTTGTTTTGTTTTGTGGTTTTGTTTTTTTTTTTAGACAAGATCCTCACTCTGTCGCCCAGGCTGGAGTGCAGTGGCACAATCTCAGCCCACTAATACCTCCACTTCCCAGATTCTAGCAATTCTTGTGCCTCAGTCTCCCCAGTAGCTGGGATTACAGGCATATGCCACCACACCCGGCTAATTTTTGCATTTTCAGTAGAGACAGGATTTCACCATGTTGGCCAGGCTGGTCTTGAACTCCTGACCTCAAGTGATCCACCCACCTTGGCCTCTCAAAGTGCTGGGATTACAGGCATGAACCACCACACCTGGCTGACTTAGTAAGTTTTATCACATTACTTGGCACAGAGTGATTGCTAAATAAATGTTAGATTTAAATTAATTACAATTATAGAGAACAAAATATTGGACTTGAGATATGCATTCTGCCTAGGGATGGGTGGCAGGCTCATATGCTAGCAAGGTGACTTGAAGTTCACAGAATTCAAATTTGTGTCTTAGCTAACTTTCAAATTTTATCACAAACTTTTAGGGACATGATGAATAAGTCAAAATTATTATTTTCAAACCCAGTAATGTCAGAACTTTATTGTAATCACAATATTTCTCTCCCAAACATCTCACTTGTAATAAAAAAAAAAAAGAAAGAAAGAAAAAGGCCGAAGATTTAATATGCAGTTCCCAAGATATAACATTGATTTGTGGTCAAATAATATAGGCTAAGCCGCTTAAACATTTTGAATTTGCTCCCACATGGTGACAAATTTTTTTTTTTTTTAACAGAAAGAATTGTTTAACACGTTTCATCTTTGAAGTCCTTTTTGGAAAGTATTAGATAAACTTTGATATTTTTACCTAAAATCATCCATCACTTCTCAGTAAATCCTTTACTGGAAATGTGAATACCATCCCAGTGGAGTTAAAATGGGCCCAGAAGCTGAGAAATTTGCTGTATGAGAAAATAAAATCTAGGGAGCTCTAAGGTCTGAGTTGGTATGATTTTATATAACAAAGTCAATTACAGCCATAACTGCTCTCTACTTACTGAGACCTAATTTAAACTAACATCATTTCAAATAATACTCCTTGAGAACTAAATCCTTTGCTTCTTAGGTAAGTAAAACTCTCTTTTGACTTCAAAGGGAGTTTTGCCGACCTTTAGAAAGCAGTTTATGTTTCTAGTCATATTACCCTTATGTGATCCCCTTTTTCTCTATACTTTTGAGTTCCTTGATGTCTGAAAATTCTGATGGATATTAGTGGTGCAACTTCCATGCTAGTTTGCATTAATGTCTCTCCCCTTCGCTTCAACTGTTTAAGTAGCTTTTAAGAAAAATTATGTTGGCATGCTCCCGAGAAATTGCACATTGTGATAGATATAATTATCTTAAAAATAGATCAATATGTATTTAAAATACTAGGGAGTGTGTTTTATAAGACAGTATATGGTCCATAGCACTGGCATGATGAACAGATGCATATATTGTTTTTGCTCTGCTGCTCTAGGAAAGCACTTTTTAATTGCACGTATGGGTCATGTAAAAAAGTAGAGAAGCTATACCAAAGTACTTCAGCAATTAATATTTTTTAAAATTGATGATATACAGCCCATTAGCTCTTTTGGTTCCTTTCCAGTGAAAATGCCAGTCTTCCTTACCAGTCTTCCAGTCTTCCTTACCTTTCTGAAGCATGAGCAGAAATCAGGTTTTCTCTCTTGGCAAGTCAAAGCTAATTTCACTCAATAGATTTATGCAAATTGATATTTCAGATGAAGATGTCTCAAGGAGAGGTCAAGAGAAGGTCCCAAATGGGATTTGGTTTCAAAGGGCAAATAAGAACTCCAGACTCATTTGTTTTCATCAATATTTTGCTGTACCCACGATACATATGTCATAATCAAATTCAGCCTGAACAGGGAAGCCTAATCATAATGGTGGTGCCTGGCTCTAGAGTTGAGATATATTCATATAACATGCTCTGTTCCCCTCTTTGCCGTCAATCATTATTGCATTTCACTTTGGGGAAGTAATGAATACCAAGTTTAGTTGTTGGAGTTGTATTCTTAATTAATTGAGATTATGTGATTATAACTAAGATTTTGGCAGCAGTGGCTAGCAGAGACTTATTAACGATGATCAATTATGACCAGGTGGACTTTTTGACAGCTGATTTTTACCTGACAATATGTGTAAAGGTTTTAATTAAATAAGTAGAGCTAACAAGCTGACCTCACCATCTGCTGTTATTTCTCTTCCTGGGTAGATCATTCCATTCCTTGCATAGGAACGAGTCCTCTTCATTGCAGCCCCCTTTCATTTGCTCAGCACAGAACTTACAATTCATCTGTCAGTATGGCCAGTGGTTGAGTACCTATTTATAGTCCATGATAGCACCATGACCAAAAAACAATTTTCCAAAACCAGTTGCTGAGGATCTAAACAATCCCATTCTTGCTCCAAACCAAAGAAAGAAAATTAGGCCCCTTTCTCTTTTGTCCAGTCAATAATGGCTTCACATCAAGGAAGTCTAGAACCTGAAATGCTTGCTTTGCTGTCATGATTGTTGGCAGCTATAGTGACATGGTGTGATAATGCCAGTGACCCAGGTAAACACAAGCAGAGTAGTGGAGCTGCTGTGCCTGGCTGAGGTCCCCTTCAGGACTGAACCATCTGTTGCTGGCAGTGTGGGCACAAATAACTCACAGATGTGTCCTCACTCCCACCCATACCCCCATTATTTATCCTTAGCCCAGGGAGCTGCCTCACTCTGGGCTACATCACCCTAGCTACACCCTGAGCCCCAGCAGTTGCCATCTAATGATTGGTCAATGCAGGGGTAGAAAGGCCTGACCCCTTGTCTCAAACTGAGACAATTGTGAGAGGCCAACTGTGCTCCAAGCTGGCTGCGGGATCACTGAGGCTTCTTTGGTAAGAATATCTCAATTTACCTTTTCTCTCTACCTACTCTTTTTTCCCCTCACCCCTCACAATGCTGTTTGTGAGTTCCCCAAGAACCATCCTGCAAGCAAATCTCTTTCTCAGAGTCTGTTTCCTGGACACCCGAGCTACAACATACAGTGATGACACAGAGCTTGCTTGCAAACAAAGATTGTACTGATTTTTGTGCCTTAAGACTGATTTCACACTTCTATGTGTCTTTTCTATGAGGAAGAGAGAGACTGTGGCTTTATCCTGCACTTCATTATGGATACAGTAAAGGAAAGGCTACATTTCATTGGAAGTACTCACACATACTTTTTCAGTGTGTATTGTCATATCAGACATACCTAAAACACTCATGTATTCAGTCAAGGGCTTCAGGGCATGAATTGACTTTGAATTGACTTAGCAATGCTTGCTGTCCATATCTTCTCTAGTTAGATGGAGCATTCTTCTATTTCCTTCCCCTACAGTGGTCCTCTACTGTAACTCCTAGCTATTCTCAGAAGCTATAGGTTTATCCCCCAAATTACTTTGTGTACCATAAGAGTTTGGTTTTGGGCAAGCTAAAATTGAGATGCTTATAAGACATTCAACTAGGCTGGGCGCAGTGGTTCACACCTGTAATCCCAGCACTTTGGGAGGCTGAGGAGGGTGGATCATCTGAAGTCAGGAGTTCGAGACCAGCCTGGCCAACATGGTGAAACCCCATCTCTACTAAAAATACAAAAATTAGCCGGGCGTGGTGGCTGGCACCTGTAATCCCAGCTACTTGGGAGGCTGAGGCAGGAGAATGGTGTGAACCCAGGAGGTGGAGCTTGCAGTGAGCCAAGATCGCACCACTGCACTCCAGCCTGGGGGACAGAGCGAGACTCCATCTCAAAAAAAAAAAAATTCAATCAAAGATATCAATTTGGCTGCTTGATAATGAAATTTTGAACTCAGAAGAAACAGTGTTAGCATAAAATTGCTATAAGAAACCACAAGAGTAGGATGAGATCATCTAGGGAGAGAGAAAAGAGGGTTTAGGGTAAGCTTGAATAAACCAAACTTAGGGGCCTGGGAGAAGATACAGAACCTACAAAGGAGACTGAGAAGGAGCAGCCAGAGAGAGAACTAGGACAGTATGGTATCCTGGGAGCCAGGGTGCTTCAAGAAGGATGGGGTTGTCAACTGTGTGATTTTTTCCTTTTCAATGATGGCTTTATTGAGATCTAACTCATATACCACAAAGTTTACCCTTTTAAAGTGCAGAATTCAAAGACTTGTGCATCTAATTTCAGAACATTTGCATTCCTCCTTTGTCGAAATAGAAACCCTGTATTCATTAGCAGTCATTTCCCCATTCTCCCTCTCCCCAGCCCCTGGCATTCTCTAATCTACTTTCTGTCTCTATGGATTTGTCTCTTCTGGATATCCCATATAAATGAAGTCATACAATATGTAGCCCTGTGTGGCTGGCTTCTTTCATTTACATTTTCAGGATTTACCGCATTGTAGCATTACCCGTACTTCATTTCTCTTTTATTGCCAAATAATATTCTGTTACATAGATATACCACATTTTGCTTATTATTCATCAGTCAGTGAACATTTGGGTTGTTTCTACTTCTGGGGCTATTATAAATGATGCTGCTATGACCGCTCATGTATATGTTTTTGTGTGGTGTGTTTTTCAGCTCTCTATACAATCTAGACTCAAGTCCCTAGCCAGAGATATGATTTGCAAATATTTTTCTGTCATTCTGTGGCTTGTCTTTTTACTTTCTTAGTGGTGCACTTTGAAGCACAAAAGTTCTTAATTTTGGTGATGGGCAACGTATCTATTTTTAATTTTGTTGCTGTGCTTCTGGTGTCATGGTCAACTTTGCTTTGAATTCTGCAAGACTGGGTAAAGTGAAGACAGAGAAACAAAGACAAATTTGGTGATGGAAGTAACTTATGATCTGGAAGAAGGTTTATAAAGTTTTGGGGTTGAACTCCTAATGCAGTGAATCATGAGGGCCTAAAGAGAACACATAAATCAACTCTTGGACCTGAGGTACATGGAGTCTAAGAGAAAACACAGCCTCCATTGGAATGGGCTGCAACTTGCATGGGAAGCGTTCATAGGGGATGTGAGCTTTTAGGTAAGACGAATATTCAGAAAAGAGGTTAAAGACAGAATAGTTTAGTGATCAGTGTTTGGGAGTCAGAGAAGGTATAGGGAAGGGTTGGGGAGCTGGTGTATGATAGATTGAGTCACTTCGAGGGAGGGGAATACATTCTCTTTTTTTTTTTTAATACTTTAAATTCTGGGATACATGTGCAGAACGTGCAGGTTTGTTACACAGGTATACATGTGCCATGGTGGTTTGCTGCACCCATCAATCTGTCATCTACATTAGATATTTCTTCTAATGCTATTACTCCCCTTGCCCCCCACCCCCCGACAGGATCCGGTGTGTGATGTTCCCCTCCCTGTGTCCATGTGTTCTCATTGTTCAACTTCCACTTATGATTGAGAACATACAGTGTTTGGTTTTCTGTTCCTGTGATACTTTGCTGAGAATGATGGTTTCCAGCTTCATACATGTCACAGCAAAGGACATGAACTCATTCTTTCTTATGGCTGCATAGCATTCCATGGTGTATATGTGCCACATTTTCTTTATGCAGTCTATCATTGATGGGGATTTGGGTTGGTTCCAAGCCTTTGCTATTGTAAGTAGTGCTGCAATAAACATATGTGTGCATGTGTCTTTATAGTAGAATGATTTATAATCCTTTGGGTATATACCCAGTAATGGGATTGCTGGGTCAAATGGTATTTCTGATTCTAGATCCTTGAGGAATTGCCACACTGTCTTCCACAATGGTTGAACTAATTTACACTCCCACCAACAGTGTAAAAGCGTTCCTATTTCTCCACATCCTCTGTAGCATCTGTTGTTTCCT
Organism: Homo sapiens; assembly: GCF_000001405.40. Lineage (NCBI taxonomy): Eukaryota > Metazoa > Chordata > Mammalia > Primates > Hominidae > Homo > Homo sapiens. Next base: position 111,700,617 of record NC_000007.14, read on the forward strand.
TACTTTTTAATGATTGCCCTTCTAAATGGCATGAGATGGTATCTCATTGTGGTTTTGATTTGCATTTCTCTAATGACCAGTGATGATCTTTTTTCCGTATGTTTGTTGGCCACATAAATGTCTTTTGAGAAGTGTCTGTTCATATCCTTTGCCCAATTTTTGATGGGGTTGTTTGTGTGTTTCTTGTAAATTTGTTTAAGTTCTTTACAGATTCGGGATATTAGCCCTTTGTCAGATGGATAAATTGCAAAAATTTTCTCCCATTCTGTAGGTTGCCTATTCACTCTGATGATAGTTTCTTTTGCTGTGCACAAGCTCTTTAGTTTAATTAGATCCCATTTGTCAATTTTGGCTTTTGTTGCCGGTTGCTTTTGGTGTTTTAGTCATGAAGTCTTTGCCCATGGACATGCCCATGTCCTGAATGGTATTGCCTAGGTTTTCTTCTAGGGTTTTTATGGTTTTAGGTCTTACGTTTAAGTCTTTAGTCCATCTTGGGTTAATGTTTGTATAAGGTGTAAGGAAGGGGTCCAGTTCCTGTTTTCTGCACATGGCTAGCCAGTTTTCCCAACCCCATTGATTAAATAAGGAATCCTTTCCCCATTGCTTGTTTTTGTCAGGTTTGTCAAAGATCAGATGGTTGTAGATGTGTTATTTCTGAGGCCTCTGTTCTGTTCCATTGGTCTATATATCTGTTTTGGTACCAGTACCAAGCTGTTTTTGTTACTGTAGCCTTGTAGTATAGTTTGAAGTCAGGTAGCGTGATGCCTCCAGCTTTGTTCTTTTTGCTTGGGATTATTTTGGCTATACGGGCTCTTTTTTGGTTCCATATAAAATTTGAAGTATTTTTTTCTAATTCTGTGAAGAAAGTTAATGGTAGCTTGATGGGAATAGCATTGAATCTATAAATTACTTTGAGCAGTATGGCCATTTTCACTATATTGATTCTTCCTATCCATGAGCATGGAATGTTTTTCCATTTGTTTGTGTCCTTTCTTATTTCTGTGAGCAGTGTTTTGTAGTTCTCCTTGAAAAGGTCCTTCACATCCCTTGTAAGTTGTATTCCTAGGTATTTTATTCTCTTTGAAGCAATTGTAAATGGGAGTTCACTCATGATTTGGCTCTCTGTTTGTCTGTTATTGGTGTATAGGAATGCTTGTGATTTTTGCACATTGATTTTGTATCCTGAGACTTTGCTGAAGTTGCTTATCAGCTTGAGTTTTTGGGCTGAGATGATGAAGTTTTCTAAATACACAATCATGTCATCTGCAAACAGAGACAATTGTACTTCCTCTCTTCCTATCTGAATACGCTTTATTTCTTTCTCTTGCCTGATTGCCCTGGCCGGAACTTCCAATGCTATGTTGAATAGGAGTGGTGAGAGAGGGCATCCTTGTCTTGTGCCAGCTTTCAAAGGGAATGCTTCCAGCTTTTTCCCATTCAGTATAATATTGGCTGTGGGTTTGTCATAAATAGCTCTTATTATTTTGAGATACATTCCATCAATAGCTAGTTTATTGAGTGTTTTCAGCAAGAAGGGTGTTGAATTTTATCAAAGGCCTTTTCTGCATCTATTGAGATAATCATGTGGTTTTTGTCATTGGTTCTGTTTATGTGATGCATTACATTTCTTGATTTGCATGTGTTGAACCAGCCTTGCATCCCAGGGATGAAGCTGACTAGATCATGGTAGATAAGCTTTTTGATGTGCTGCTTGATTTGGTTTGCCAGTATTTTATTGAGGATTTTCACATCGATGTTCTTTAGGGACAGTGGCCTGAAATTTTCTTTTTTTTTACTGTCTCTGCCAGGTTTTGGTATCAGTATGATGTTGGCCTCATAAAATGAGTTAGGGAGGAGTTCTTTTTCTATTGTTTGGAATAGTTTCAGAAGGAATGGTACCAGCTCCTCTTTGAACCTCTGGTAGAATTCAGCTGGGAATCTGTCTGGTCCTGGGGCTTTTTCAGGTTGGTAAGATATTACTGCCTCAATTTCAGAACTTGTTATTGGTCTGTTCAGGGATTCGACTTCTTCCTGGTTTAGTCTTAGGAGGGTGTATGTGTCCAGGAATTTATTCATTTCTTCTAGATTTTCTAGATTGCATAGAGGTGTTTATAGTATTCTCTGGTAGTTTGTATTTCTGTGGGATTGGTGGTGATATCCCCTTTATCATTTCTTTTTGTGTCTATTTGATTCTTCTCTATTTTCTTCATTAGTCCGGCTAGCAGTCTATTTTGTTAATCTTTTCAGAAAACCAGCTCCTGGATTCATGAATTTTTTTTTTTTTTTTTTTTTTTTGAGACAGAGTCTCACTCTGTTGCCCAGGCAGGAATGCAGTGGCGTGGTCTCGGCTCACTGCAAGGTCTGCCTCCCGGGTTCACACCATTCTCCTGCCTCAGCCTCCCAAGTAGCTGGGACTACAGGCACCTGCCACCACGCCTGGCTAATTTTTTATATTTTTTAGTAGAGTTGGAGTTTCACTGTGTTAGCCAGAATGGTCTTGATCTCCTGACCTCGTGAGCTGCCTACCTTGGCCTCCCAAAGTGCTGGGATTACAGGTGTGAGCCACCATGCCTGGCCCTGGATTCATTAATTTTTTGAAGGGTTTTTTGTGTCTCTATCTCCTTCAGTTCTGCTCTGATCTTAGTGATTTCTTGTCTTCTGCTAGTTTTTGAATTTGTTTGCTCTTGCTTCTCTAGTTCTTTTAATTAGGGTGTTGAATTTAGATCTTTCCCACTTTCTCCTGTGGGCATTTAGTGCTACAAATTTCCCTCTACACACTGCTTTAAATGTGTCCCAGAAATTCTGGTACGTTGTGTCTTTGTTCTCATTGGTTTCAAAGGACATCTTTATTTGTGCTTTCATTTCATTATTTACCCAGTAGTCATTCAGGAGCAGGTTATCCAGTTTCCATGTAGTTGTGTGGTTTTGAGTGAGTTTCTTAATTCTGCATTCTACTTTGATTGCACTGTGGTCTGAGAGACTGTTATGATTTCCATTCTTTTGCACTTGCTGAGGAGTGTTTTACTTCCAATTATGTGGTCAATTTTAGAATAAATGTGATGTGGTGCTGAGAAGAATGTATTGATTTGGGGTGGAGAGTTCTGTAGATACCTATTAGGTCCACTTGGTCCAGAGCTGAGTTCAAGTCCTGAATATCCTTGTTAATTTTGTCTCGTTGATCTGTCTGATACTGACAGTGGGGTGTTAGTCTCCCACTATTATTGTGTGGGAGTCTAAGTCTCTTTGGAGGTCTCTAAGAACTTGCTTTATGAATCTGGGTGTTCCTGTATTTGACACATATATATTTAGGATAGTTAGTCCTTCTTGTTGCATTGATCCCTTTACCATTATGTAATGCCCTTCTTTGTCGTTTTTGATCTTTGTTGGTTTAAAGTCTGTTTTATCAGAGACTAGGATTGCAATCCCTGCTTTTTTTTTCATTTAAATTTGCTTTGTAAATATTCCTCCATCCCTTTATTTTTGAGACTACCTGTGTCTTTGCACATGAGATGGGTCTCCTGAATACAGCACACCAATGGGTCTTGACTTTTTATCCAGTTTGCCAGTCTGTGTCTTCTAATTGGGGAATTTAGTCCACTTACATTTAAGGTTAATATTGTTAGGTGTGAATTTGATCCTGTCATTATGATGCTACCTGGATATTTTGCCCATTAGTTGATGTACTTTCTTAATAGTGTTGATGGTCTTTACAATTTGCTATGGTTTTGCAGTGGCTCATACCAGTTTTTCCTTTCCATATTTAGTGCTTCCTTCAGGTGCTCTTGTAGGCAGGCCTGGTGGTGACAAAATCTCTCAGCATTTGCTTGTCTGTAAAGGATTTTATCTCTCCTTTCCTTATGAAACTTAGTTTGGCTGGATATGAAATTCTGGGTTGAAAATTCTTTAAGAATGTTGAATATTGGCCCCCACTCTCTTATAGCTTGTAGGGTTTCTGCAGAGATGTCTGCTGTTAGTCTGATGGGCTTCCCTTTGTGGGCAACCCAACCTTTCTCTCTGGCTGCCCTTAAGATTTTTTCCTTCATTTCAACCTTGGTGAATCTGATGATGATGTGTCTTGGAGTTGCTCTTCTCGAGGAGTATCTTTGTGGTGTTCTCTGTATTTCCTCAATTTGAATGTTGGCCTGTGTTGCTAGTTTGGGGAAGTTCTCCTGGATAATATCCTGAAGAGTGTTTTCCAACTTGGTTCCATTCTCCCCATCACTTTCAGGTATACCAATCAGATGTAGATTTGGTCTTTTCACATAGTCCCATATTTCTTGGAGGCTTTGTTCATTCCTTTTCATTCTTTTCTCTCTAATCTTGTCTTCACACTTTATTTCATTAAGTTGATCTTCAATCTCTGATATCCTTTCTTCCACTTGATTGATTCAGCTATTAATATTTGTGTATGCTTCATGAAGTTCTTGTGCTGTGTTTTTCAGCTCCATCAGGTCATTTATGTTCTCTAAACTGGTTATTTTAGTTAGCATTTCTGGTAACCTTTTATCAAGGTTCTTAGCTTCCTTGCTTTGGGTTAGAACATGCTCCTTTAGTTCAGAGAATTTTGCTATTACCCACTTTCTGAAGCCTACTTCTGTCAATTCATCAAACTCATACTCCCGTCCAGTTTTGTTCCCTTGCTGGCAAGAAGTTGTGATTCTTTTGGAGGAGAAAAAGCATTTTGGTTTTTGGAATTTTCCTCAGCATTTTGCACTGGTTTTTCCTCATCTACCTTTGATCTTTGATGCTGATGACATTTGGATGGGGTTTTTGCGTGGGTGTCCTTTTTGTTGATGTTGATGTTATTGCTTTCTGTTTGTTAGTTTTCCTTCTAACAGGCCCCTCTGCTTCAGGTCTACTAGAGTTCACTGGAGGTCCACTCCAGACCCTGTTTGCCTGGGTATCACCAGCAGAAGCTGCAGAACAGCAAAGATTGCTGCCTACTCCTTGCTCTGGAAGCTTCGTCCCAAAGGGGCACCTGCCAGATGCCAGCTGGAGCTCTCCTATATGAGGTGTTTCTCGACACCTGCTGGGAAATGTCTCCCCATCAGGAGGCATGGGGGTCAGGGACCCACTTGAGGAGGCAGTCTGTCCCTTAGCAGAGCTCAATTGCCATGCTGGGAGATCTGCTGCTCTCTTCAGAGCTGGCAGGCAGGAATGTTTACCTCTGCTGAAGCTGCACCCACAGCCACCCCTTCCCCCAGGTGCTCTGTCCCAGGGAGATGGGAGTTTTATCTATAAGCCCCTGACTGGTGCTGCTGCCTTTCTTTCAGAGTTGCCCTGCTTAGAGAGGAGGAATCTAGAGAGGCAGTCTGGCTACAGTGGCTTTGCTGTGCTACAGTGGGTTCTGCCCAGTTCGAACTTCCTGGGGATTTCATTTACACTGTGAGGGGAAAACCCCTACTCAAGCCTCAGTAACGGTGGGTGCACCTCCCCCAACCAAGCTCCAGTGTCCCAGGTAGACTTCTCACTGCCAGCACAGCAGTCTGAATTTCAAGCCAGTGGATCTTAGCTTGCTGGGCTTCATGCGGGTGGGACCCGCTGAGCTAGACCACTTGGCTCCCGGGCTTCAGCACCCTTTCCAGGGGAGTGAACAGTTCTGTCTCGCTGGTGTTCCGGGCACCGCTGGGGTACAAAAAAAATCTCCTGGCAGCTAGTTCGGTGTCTGCCCAAAAGGCCACCCAGTTTTGTGCTTGAAACCCAGGGCCCTGGTGGTGTAGTCACCCAAGGGAATCTCCTGGTCTGCGGGTTGCCAAGACCATGGGAAAAGTGCAGAATCTGGGCTGGAGTGCACAGTACAGTCCCTAATGGCTTCCCTTGGCTGGGAGAGGGAGTTCCCTGACCTCTTGCACTTCCTGGGTGAGGCGACACCCCAACCTGCTTCAGCTCACCCTCTGTGGGCTGCACCCGCCATCTAACCAGTCCCAATGAGATAAGCCAGGTACCTCAGTTGGAAATGCAGAAATCACCCACCTTCTGCGTTGGTCTCGCTTGGAGCTGCAGACCACAGCTGTTCCTATTCAGCCATCTTGTGAAGACTCAGGAATACATTCTTAACAATCCTTTGTCTTTGCATCACTAGAACAAGAGTCAAAGTCCAGAGGTGATACAGCCAGCTAGAGACCTCTGATTGCCAAGGAGCAAAGAGAAGCAAGGTCTAGCACTCTCAGCTTATAAGTGGGAAAAGCATCACCTTCCCCCACACGACCCACAATGGAGGCTTCCCTCAAATGGCAGTGGGGATTGGATTCTGGGTAATACCCTTTCCCCAAAACACAAAAATCTGCTACCTACATACATGGTCAAATTTTTGTGTCTATTTTAAAAGACATTTTCAGATAAAATTTTCTAGACTAGGCGAGAGATTCAACATCAAATCCACATATCTGATTTTCTATCACTTTTATTTATTTTTATTTACTTATTTTTTTGAGACAAAGTCTCGTTTTGCTGCCCAGGTTGGAGTGCAGTGGTGCAATCTTGGCTTACTACAACCTCTGCCTCCCAGGTTCAAGTGATTCTCTTATGTCAGCCTCCCGAGTAGTTGGGATTACAGGTGCCCACCACCATGCCCAGCTAATTTTTGTATTTTTGGTAGGGATGGGTTTCCACCATGTTGGCCAGGCTGGCCTTGAACTCCTCACCTCAAGCAATCCACCCGCCTTGGCCTCCCAAAGTGCTGGGATTATAGGCGTGAGCCACTGAGCCTGGCCTGATTTTCTATCACTTTTATTTTATTTATTGTTTGAGATGGAGTTTTGCTCTTGTTGCCCAGGCTGGAGTGCAGTGGTGCAATCTCGGCTCACCATAATCTCTGCCTCCCGGGTTTAAGTGATTCTCCTGCCTCAGCCTCCCAAGTAGCTGGGATTACAGGCATGTGCCACCACGCCCAGCTAATTTTGTATTTTTAGTAGAGATGGGGTTTCCCCATGTTGGTCAGCCTGGTCTGGAACTCCCAATCTCAGGTGGTCTGCCTGCCTCAGCCTCCCAAAGTGCTAGGATTACAGGTGTGAGCCACTGCACGTGGCCTGATTTTCTATCACTTTTACATGTGCATGTTTGGCCTGGATGGTTTAAGACATGAATTTGATCTAATCAGCCTTAGATATTTTGGGAGAATATAGCCTTCAAAAATGTTTTTAAGGCATCATGTAATTCTTAAGTATTTTCAACGCATGCACGTGTGCATGCACATAAACGCACAGAACACTCACTGAAAATATTCTTTCATATATATGTAAAAATATACCAAGTGTGTTGGTTTATCATTTTCTACGTACAGCTTACTGGCACAAAAGTCCAAAAAGAAGCCCTTGCAAACATGATTTAATTTTATTGACACACCTTGCATCAATTTTCTAATTCAAATTCTACATGCAATGGTTAGGATTCATTCTAAACTGCTTAAGTACTGTAGAATAAATTTGATAGAAGGTCCTTCCCCCTACCACACACACGATAATTTAAAGGTTCTAGGATGGGTAAATGGCTCTGCTACATAACTAGTTATCTCTGCCTTCAATGTGTAACTTCTGTCTCTAGGCCCAAGACCGCAGCTGCAATTCATTTTCAGCTGGCAGTGAGGGGAAAAGGCTTTAGTGCAGGGCAAGCAGCTATGAGTTGTCCCAGAATTTGCATACATCGCTTATGATCACTTGCTATTGGCCTGAATTTAGTCACGTGGCCATTCCCAGTTTAAAGGGAAGCTGAGAAATAGTCTCTGCCATGAGCCCAGCTAAAATACAGGGATTCTAGTACAAAAGGAAGGAGAAAATGGATACTAGGGGGTTAGCAATCTCTACCAAATCAGTGGCATCTGATGTGTGAAAGTTTACTAGTTTTTCCACAGTTAACTCAATCTTTGTTTCAATGAAGTATAAAGAGGAATGTCTTGTTGAACAAGGAACCTCTTCCTGTTCCTTTCAGAGGAGAGAGGCAGTAGGCATTAGATAGAATCAAGAATATGGGGACAAAGAAAGAATATAAGAACTATGTGGGTTTATAATCCAAGCTTTGATATTTACTGGCTCTGTGACTTTGAGTAAACTGCTTTTCGTGTGCTTCAGTTTCCTCATTAGGATGATAGGAAAGAAAGTAGTTGGAATAGGGTTTGGGTTATAGGATTCACTCAGTTAATACTTATTTTATCTACTGAGGGTAATTATTAATAATTCCTTTTAGCTAATATTTTTAATGAAATATTCTGAAACTGTTATTAGTATCGTTCTACTATGAGAAGTACTTTTCAAAGAGCAGTCGTGGCCCTGTTGAGTTGATTTCACCTCTCATCTTCTGAAACTTTTCCAACTTCATTTCTTCTTACTCCTCCCCTGTGATTCTTTTCATTCCCAACACCTAGCTGCTTCCTGCCTTGGCTCATTCTGTTTCTTCCTTTCAATCCCTTCCAGACAGTTCATACTCACAACTTTTTCACACTTTCATCTCAAATTATTCCCCAAGCAACTCTTATCTACTCCCACTGCTGGAGCACCTCAGGCTTCCCTACATTGGAGATGCCCATTTAACCATCCTCTCTTGTACTAGTTTATATGGCATTCTGGTCTCTCTGGCTGACACTGTTACCTGCCTCCCAAATATCCACTGCTCTCTTTTGCTTGCTATTAGAAACCCAATTTTATTCAAGGCAGTGATATGTTCACCAAGTAAAATGTTTACTATCCTAGCCTACCATGCAGCTAGAGATAACTGTGCAACAGTTCTGGCAAATGAGATGTACTGGTGTCTGTTTAGGGATTTGGGATATTTTTACCTATAAAAAAGGGAGACATTGTTAAAAAAATTATCCTGACACTAGTTAAAACAGTAAGACAGGCTTTATTCAGGAGTATTGTAATGGGTGCCAACACAATCACAATAGGGGAGCTTTGTCAAGCTCAACTCTGAATACAGTAAAGACACCTGGGGACTTACAGCCAATGAGAAGGATGAACGGTTATTGGATGGAAAATAAATAACTCAGAGAAGATCTCAAGGGTAGGGGGATTCTTGCTAAACTGACCTGACAGCATTGTTGCTGAAGACAGGCCAGGGTGATCAGATATCAAGGATGGGTGATGAGGACTTTTTGATCAGACTGAGATATCAGGGGACCTAGTTGAAATAAAGCAAGGACCTAGTTGAAAAAAGGGCTCGGAATTCCTACCTAGAGCAATCAGACAAGAGAAATGAATAAAGGGCATCCAAATTGGAAAGAAGTCAAATTATCCTTGTTTACAGATGGTATCTTATATTTGGAAAAAGACTCCACCAAAAAACTATTAGAACTGATAAATTCAGTAAAGTTGCAGGATAAAAAATCAACATGCAAATATCAGTAGCATTTCCATATGCCAACAGGGAACAACCTGAAAAAGAAATCAAGAAATTTATCTCATTTACAATTACTGCAAATAAAATACCCAGTAATTAAAGAAGTGAAAGATCTCTACAATGAAAACTATAAAATATTAGTGAAAGAAACTGAAGAGGACATAAAGAAATGGAAAGATATTCCATGTTCATGAATTGGAAGAATCAAGGTTGTTAAAATGTCCATACTTCCCAAAGCAATCTACAGACTTAATACAATCCCTATCAAAATACCAATGACATTCTACACAGAAAGAGAAAAAGGAATCCTAAAATTTATATGGAGCCACTAAAGACCCAGAATAGCCAAAGCTATCCTAAGCAAAAAGAAGAGGGCTCAGAGAGACTTTGTAAACATAGCTGTTTTGCTCTTCCTTCTACCATTCCCCATTCACCCCCACCTTTCTTATAATCTGGACCTGTGATATCTGAAACTGCAGCAGTAATTTTGTGCCCATGAAGAAATACACAGGAGGAAAAAAGCACCCTCGTTAAGGACGGTGTAATGAAAATAAAGAGCTGGAGTTCCTATTGGCATCATTAGTCAGTAAACAAATGCCAGCAGCCACCTGACTCTTCATTTGTCTTGTCTTTGCATTTCCAGCTGATAAATCTACCATTTCCACATATTTCCTGTGTCCCTCCCACCTCAGGTGAAATTTCTGTCCTATTTGGTTCCAGAGTTAATATTGGAAGCAGAAAATACTTTAAATTTATTCCTGCTTTAGATCCCACCCCTGACTCTAGCATTGACTTACTCTAGCAATTGGCCTGACCTGGCATGGGGTTACCCAGCACTCTACATGAGGCTCCAGAATTGCATCCTCAATGTACCTGCTTCATCTTTCATCTGAGATGTGATATTCTGGGGAGAATTATGGGCTTCTCAGTTGCTCTCTGAAAAGATCACTTCCACCTCTTACCTATTTTATGTGAATAAGCTTCTGAGTCTTTGTTTTAAGCCCAAGTCTTCCATGTGAGTGTCAGTTTATAGAACTGGACTTTTTACGCTCCCCATCCTGACTCCTGCTGGACATTGGCTGTCTCTGACCCTGGTCTAAAGGCTGGCACTCTTTTCCCCTTGAGAATGCCTAAGAGACACCAGTGTTAGCCTTCTGAGCATCCATGCTCTTTGGTTTCCCTGCAGACCTGTGGTGACCCCCTGCTTTCTCATCCTGAACCCAAAGCATGGATAAACCATGCATAAGCCATGACTGGAGATGTCCATAAGATTTGGGCTTTGTGTGTGTGTTTAAAATCTAGACTATGCTCAGCTGTTAGCTCTTACAGCTGCTCAGTTACCCCAGCAGAAGGTCTGACCTGGTAGGTGATTCTAGTGTCATAGCAGTCCCATTGTCTTGTCTCATTACAAGAAAATGGTCACATCTTAGCTATAAATCCTTTGAAACTTTGATAATTCTAGTTACTTGGGATTTGTGGTTTGTCCTTTTAATAATACCATTGAGACTCTGAGGGTTAGTTAATTCTCTTTTTAAATTTTTAAAAAGTGAACTCTGAGAGGGTATTTATGAACATGTAATAGTCTAATAATTGTTGAATGAATGGATAATGAGTCACTAAGTCCAGGGAAACCTATAGGTCAGAATAACAACAGTGCTTTCTTTTCATATTTCTGTCTTCTGAACAGCTTCAGGGAGTGTGGCCTGCTTGTAATTGGTAATGAAAATAGGAGACTTTAATTCCTTCCAGTGCTGTCTTGTTTGATTAGCACCACAATTTGTGTCCAGTAGTTACACGGAAAAAAACAGTTATCTTGGCATTTAAGCTAGTAATTCCAAATGTGACACAAATGACCTGGATACTGCTTGTAGTGGAAAATACGAAAGAGGCTTAATGTAAAATCCAACCTTCGAGGCCTTTTGTGGCCACTTCTGCTACTCAGCATCCACTCATGCCTGACCGGCACCATTCCCTGGTTTTAATCCACCTATCTGGTTCACCAGCTGTTGCTTGGCTCATTACATTTGACAAGGTTCCCAAGATGGTGATACTAGCCTCCCTGGTACTTTTTTTTTTTTTTTAACTAGGGAGAAGAAAGAAATATTTTCATCTTCTCATTGCAGTTTTTAATGAAACGTCTTTTTTTTTCTTGTTATATGTGGAGTGATGACTAGTCAGTGAAAAAGTACTGGAGTGTGAAGAAAAAGCAGCAGAAAAAAATGGTAGAAAGAAATGGCAAGTTACTATTTAGAGACTTAAAAATAAACAGAAGGGCCCACTTAGCTTTCCTCATCCGCTGGTCCTATCTCAGAGGTTGTGCCTCCATGGGCTCGAGTCAATCACAGTTTATCTGATTCATTTTCAGTTCTTTGGAGACAGCAATGTTTGAAAATTCGGTTCCTTTCTATTGCAGAAAAGCTTTTGAGCCACGCCAAACAAGGGTCCTGTGATGAAATCCACAAAGGCCTTAAACTGAAACCTCCCAAATGAAGGCTAAGGTCTGAAGAAGACTACTTCACACTGTGGGCCAGTGAGTGAGCCAGGGGACCTTACTTCACCTTTTTATTTTTTTTTCTGTAGATTCTGACTCTAAGAAACAATTGAGTGTTTTGACCAACAACAAAAAAATCAAAAGTCTCTAAGGACATAAGCAATAGAATATTTTAGTGTAGAAAATTGCAAGCAATAAAACAGGTAAAATAATAAATACATGTATTCCAAAGAAAAATACATCAAAGGCCATTACAGCAAGTTACATTACAATAAACATCATAGTCATGTGCTGCCCTGTGTTCTGATTTCTAACTTTCACCTCCCCTCAACATCAGCCACTCATTTCCATGGCACTGTCTGGACTACTGATCACCCAGAACTACTCCAAAATGACAATACATAACGTTCCACTCCTGGCCCATCACTTCCTCCTTCCAGCTCTCACTCCTTCCATATCCCTTTATCCTTCCACATCTGGCCTTATCCAAACCTCCAGTCACATTCCTCCAAGTCTATCAGAGCCCCAAAGTTTTGAACCAAGATGAAGGCAACCTTCATCTGCCTTCCTGGAAGCTAGACTTTGGCCACTGAATGCTGCTGGAGAAAGTTGCAAAATCACACCAAATGGTGCTATCACAGATTCATGATCTCCAATCTCAGCTGGCCTTCCACATGGCCCAGGAATTCTTATATATGTTTAGACATCATTAGCTCCAACAAGGGTGGCCCACCCTTCACAACTCTCCTTAGGCCCACTTTACCAGTTCACTTACTCTCAGCAAATAATTCTTCTCCTGCTACATGGATAAAATAGGGTCACCAGGAATGAACTTTTTAAACTCTCACCATATCTCTAAAAAATGTTGATCTGTATTCAACGCCAAGAGCTCCAGAGAAAGAGGCATCCCTCTTCCTGTTCAAGACCAATCTCTTTCCTGTCCCCTGAATCCCATTCACATCCTCAGGAACATCTTCATCTACCCTACAGGCTATTTCTCTCCCTGACACATCCTATTATTTCTACTGCAGATCTCTTATTTGTCCTCTCTGCTTCTCTGCCTTTAGTAAGATCCTCCTTACTGCAGACCTGTAGGAGCCTCTCGCTGGTCTTCCCGCCTCCTCCATTCTTTGCTTCTCCCAATCCACCCTCGTAACCTATGAGTAATCTTGCATAGCAATACTAAAATATAAGCCTGAGCAGTCTTTCTTCCATTCTTAAAATCCTTTAGAGGCTCCTTATCACCATTAGGAAAAAAGTTCAAACTCCCTGGCATATCATGCCCCTCATAACTGGGTCTTTCCCTAACCTCTCCAGCTCTATCTCTTCGCTGTTTGCCACCTGATGCTTCTGCAATCAAAACCCTCTTTCTCTCCCCCACATACTACTATCTTCCAGGTCTCTGCTTATGCAGGTAATCTCTTCCTGAGATGTCTTTTCCCTGTCTTGTCATTCCTGATTGGTCAAAATCTTTCATAAAAGGCTACCACCTCTGTGCTGCCTTCTCTACCCCCACTTCACCTTATAACACTCTACTCTAGGTTAAATGCCTTGGCATTACAGTAGCATCCTTCTCATGATTCTTTTCTATTCTGTATCATGCCTGTATCATTTATTCATCTATTAAGCTGTTTATTTCTTTATGCAAATTAACTACAGAAAAATTGAAACTGGCCGGGTGCTGTGCCTCATGCCTATAATCCCAGCACATTGGGAGGCTGAGACAGGTGGATCACCTGAGGTCAGGAGTTCGAGACCAGCCTGACCAACATGGTAAAACCCCGTCTCTACTAAAAACAGAAAAATTAGCCAGGTATGGTGGTGCATGCCTGTAATCCCAGATACTTGAGATACTGAGGCAGGAGAATCACTTGAACCTGGGAGGCGGAGATTGCAGTGAACCAATATTATGCCACTGTACTCCAGCCTGGGTGACAAGAGTGAAACTCTGTCTCAAAAAAACAAAACAAAACCCCAAAAAACCCCTATAATTTTCTACCTAGATTTAACAACACTAAATTTTGGCCTATATTCTAATATACATATAATTCTTTGATAGTGGGTTTATAAATACTATTTTATGGCATAAAATTTTCAGATAGTATTATAAATATCTTTTCATGACACAAATCACATACACATCATAATTTTTAATAGCTGCTGAGCAGCATTACATTGTATGGATATTTTATTAAAGCCATTCTCCATTGTTAGTAACTTAGAATATTACAAAGTTTCATTATTATAATCTACATTGCAATGATTATGCATAAATATTTGTATGCATATTTGATAAGGATATTTTCTTAGAATCAACTCTTAGAGGTGGAATTTCTGGGTCAAGGAGAATTTTAGATGGTGTTGGGAGATATTTTGCCTAATAGAAGAATCACTATATTTAGATGCTGGTCTGTTTCTCTTCCTTCCCATTAGTCTGGAGCCACCTGCAAGGTGGAAACGTTGTGTTAGTTGCTATGTCCCTGGGACCACACTTTAAGTATCACTGCCTCATGTCAGAGTCAAGCATGTCAGAGATTCATGCCATCTGGCTGACTGCTGTTCTCTAAGAATAGGGAAACATAAAATAGGACTTCAGGATCACCAGCGCCAAACTTTGTTCTACTATTGTCGAGAAAATAAATCAGCCCAACAGCATGATAAAGCAGTGTTTGAACCTATGTGTTGAATGGGTACATATTATGTGAAGTCAACCTTTATGGGTTGTGTCACTCATTTGGTGATTAATAAATTTTTGATCACCTAGAGACATATCTTGTGATATTAATATACATATATCACTAGATAATATACATGTCTCCATTTTTCACAATTAAGAGGAATTTCCTGGAAAATGGCAAGCATTATACTTCCATGAATGCCTATAAGTGTGTGCTCTTGGCAAGCCCTAAATAATGCCTTAGTCACCCAGATAAGTCTAGTCTTCATCATAAAACTACTAGAAGGAGGGACAGGGGCTCATTCTGCTAATGTTTTCATCCTCTGATAAAGGGCCAGCTAAGAGAATCAGCTGCCTGCCATGGGGAGCCCTCAGCACACTTGTAAAACAGAGTTGAAGGTGACTTCCCTCTGCTCAGCATCACTCACAGGTGGCAGGATGGTCTTGGCTGTGGCAGCCAGTAGGCATTGTAACATGGAAGGTCAAAGGCCATTTCAGCACCTCAAGAAAATGCACATTTGCTATTGCCACCCAGGAGTTCTTTTCAGCACTATATCACTAATATTTTGTACATCTGGTTTGAGGAAGTTTTCTGAATGACACACAGCTTCCCAACAACTTTAAAGGATGATGGAATTTTCTTTAAAAGCTAGTAACAGGAATATGGGGAAAAGGAAATTAGTGTCTGGAGACACTACCCACACATCAGGGTTGTTCAAAGACTTTTGACTTGAGTTCTGCAGCAATCAAGCACTCAAGGCTCACAGTTCAAGATGAACCCCAGGCTCTTAGCCTAAAACGTCTGCAATCACAGCTGAGCATGATGAGATGGAGAAGAATTAAAACAGGTTCAAACTTACTAAATGATGTAAAATCACTACCAGAAAATTATATCCCATGAAATACTTGAGGCCAAGGTGATAACTAATCAGCTCATTTCTGTAAAATGTTTTGACTCTTGCAGAGAAAAATATTAAAAATAGTTTCTGCAAATGTTCCATCTCACTTTAAGAGTAACGGATGCCCCAGGCCCTAGGTCTTCTCCCACACCACTCTCTACTGGGAGAGTTGGGATTCTACTTCTACTCTCCTTCCCCTGCTTCCCAGGCTGAGATTTCAGGAAGTAGTATAGTGAAAAAAAAAAAAAAATGAGACAGTTGTAGGTCGTTAACTTTTAATTGTGCAAGTAAAGATATTGGGAAAAAATCCTCTCATGTACTATCACTATAGTTCAAAAGCAGAGGATGTTGTAATGTCCTAGAAAGGTAGACTGAAGAGAAGTTCTTCTCAACTTGGGGCAATTGGGAATTTAAGACAACATATATATCCCTATCATGTTGCTCTTTTTTTTTTCTTATTTTACAAAAAATGTGTGAAAACTTCATAATGGGGCAACACTGGCATTTGGGAAACACTCCTTTAGTGTGTAACAGCATGTTTTCCATGTTTCCCAAACACATCCCTTAAAGCAGCGTTCCCCAACCCCTAGGCCATGGTACTGGTCCTTGGCCTGTTAGGAACTGGGCCACATAGCAGGAGGTGAGTGACTAGGCCACAGAGCATTATTGCCTGAGCTCTGCCTCCTGTCAGATCAGCTGTGGCATTAGATTCTCACAGAAGCATGAGCCCTGTGGTGAACTGCGCATGCAAGCGATCTAGGTTGCGTGCTCCTTTTAAAGAATCTTAGGCTGGGTGCAGTGGCTCACACCTGTAATCCCAGCACTTTGGGAGGCCAAGGCAGGCAGATCACCTGAGGTCAGGAATTCAAGACCAGCCTGGCCAACATGGTGAAACCCTGTCTCTACTAAAAATACAAAAATTAGCCGAGCGTGGTGTTGGGCGCCTGTAGTCCCAGATACTTGGGAGGCTGAGGCATGAGAATTGCTTTAACCCAGGACACGGAGGCTGCAGTGAGCCGAGATCATGCGACTGCACTCCAGCTGGGTGACAGAGTGAGACTCTGCCCTAAAAGAAAAAAAAATCTAATGCCTGATGATCTGGGCTAGAACAGTTTCATCCTGAAACTATCCCCCTACCCTGTCTATGGAAAAATTGTCTTCCACACAACCAGTCCCTGGTGCCTAAAAGGTTGGGGACTGCTGCCTCAAAGCACTGCATTTCTGTTTCCAGTCTGTTCTCGGGCACATTCTCCTCCTGATCTCCTCCCCAGGCACCTAGCTTCCCCTGCTTACTCTCATCCTTTTCTTCCTCCTGCTATTCTTTTCCTCTGACCCCACGGAACTCTGACTCCATTATGGGCCAACATCTGCCTTCTTACCTCTTACTTGCATTTCTCTCCAGTCCGCTCCTTTAAATTATATCCCAGATATCCTGATTATACCTCTTTCTTAGGGGGTTTCACCATTGCTGAGTGTGAGAGAAGGGAAGTAGCAGGATCAGCCCACCCAGTTCACATCCACAAACACCTGAGGAGATTGGCAAGGTCTACCCAGCCCTGGGGTTCTGCTGGAGCTCACCTAATCCACTCCTGAGGCTGTTCCTGCTTATTTTTGCCCAGGATTTTCCGGTTTCTAGGGAGTGCTTTCACTTGGTGGTTCCTAGGCCTACCTGTCTCTCCGTTTCCACTACGATGTTTTTTGGGGAAGGTAAATTGTAAAACTGATAGTTATTTGGCTGAAAATCTGGAAAATTCAAAATAAATGATCACCCATAATTTCACACTTAATTATTATCAGCTTGGTGTATTTTTTTAAGCATGCAATTTTAAAAATGTAGCCATAATCATAGCATACATATACTTCAAATCTTCCTTTTTTCATTTCATATATTAGTTTTTCCTCCTTGTTAACAGTCTTCAAAAACATTCTTAAAAATAGTGTTATATACCATTCCATTGATTGACTGTATCATATTTTATGGAACCATCTTTATATCACATTTCTTTTTTCTTTTTCAAATTTTATTTTAGGTTCAGGGGGTATATGTGCAGGTTTGTTACATGGGTAAATTACGTGTGGCTGGAGTTTGGTGTACAAATGATTTTGTCACACAGGTAGTGAACATAGTACCCAACAATTTTTTTTAACCCTCGTCCACTTTCCACCCCTCCACCATCAAGTAGGCACTGTTGTCTATTGTTCCCCTTTATTTTTTTGTTTGTGAGACAGAGTTTTGCTCTTTTTGCCCAGGCTGCAGTGAATGGTGTGATCTTGGCTCACTGTAGCCTCTGCCTTCCAGGTTCAAGCAATTCTCCTGCCTCAGACTCCCGAGTAGCTGGGATTGCAGGCATGCACCACCACCTCTGGCTAATTTTTGTGTTTTTAGTAGAAACAGGGTTACACCATGTTGGCCAGACTGGTCTTGAACTCCTGACCTCAGGTGATCCACCCACCTCGGCCTCCCAAAGTGCTGGGATTACAGGTGTAAGCCACTGCACCTGGCCTATTGTTAACCTCTTTGTGTCTATGTGTATTCAATGTTTAGCTCCCACTTACATGTAAGTGAGAACATGTGGTATTTGGTTTTCTGTTCTTACATTAATTTGCTTAGGATAATGGCCTCCAGTTGCATCCCTGTTGCTGCAAAGCACAAGATTTTGTTAGTTTTTATGGCTGAATAATATTCCATGGTGCATTCATACCACATTTTCTATATCCAGTCCACCACTGATGTGCATCTAGGTTGATTTCAGGTCTTTGATATTGTGAATAACATTGCAATGAACATAAAAAGTGCATGTGTGTTTGTGGTGGAACAATTTATATTCCTTTCGGTATATACCCAGTGATAGGATTGCTGGGTCAAAGGTAGTTCTATTTCAAGTTCTTTGAGAAGTCTCCAAACTGTTTTCCACAGTGGCTGAACTAATATCTCCAGCAGTGTTTAAGCATCCCCTTTTCTCTGCAACCTCACCAACCTCTGTTATTTTGTGTTTTAAACAATGGCCATTCTGACTGGTATGAGATGGTATCTCATTGCGGTTTTGGTTTGCGTTTCTCTAATGATTAGTGATGTTGAGCATTTTTTCATATGCTGCTTGGCCACATGTATGTCTTTAAGACGTGTCTGTTCATGTCCTTTGCCTACTTTTTAATGAGGTGGTTTGCTTTTTTGCCTGTTGATTTAAGTTCCTTATAGATTCTTGATATCAGAACTTTGAAGGGTACATAGTTTGCAAAAATTGTCTCCCATTCTGTTTACTTTGTTGAGAGTTTCTCTTGCTGTGCAGAAGTTCTTTAAGTTTAATTAGGTCCCACTTGTCTTTGTTTTTATTGCAATTGTTTTTGGAGGCTTCATCATGAAATCTTTGCCAAAGCCTATACCCAGAATGGTATTTCCTACATTTTTTCTAGGGTTTTTATAGTTTTAGGTCTTACATTTAAGTCTTTAATCCATCTTGAGTTGATTTTTGTATATGGTAAAAGGAAGGGGTCCAGTTTCAGTCTTTTGCGTATGACTAGTCAGTTATCCCAGCACCACTTATTGAATAGGGAACCCTTTCCCCATTGTTTGTTATTGTTGACTTTGTCAAAGACAAGACGGTTGTAGGTGTGTGGCTTTATTTTTTGGCCCTCTAACCTGTTCCATTGGTCCGTCTGTTTTTCTAAGTACCATGCTGTTTGTATTACTGTAGCCTTGTGGTACAGTTTGAAGTCAGGAAGTATGATGCCTCCAGCTTTGTTCTTTTTGCTTAGGATTGCTTTGGCTATTTGGGCTCTTTTATAGTTCATTATGAACTTGAGAATAGTTTTTCTAATTCTGTGAAAAATGTCATTGGTAGTTTGATAGAAATAGCAAATTGCTTTGGGCAATATGGCCATTTTAACAGTACTGACTATTCCTACCTATATACATGGAATATTTTTCTATTTGTATAATCTCTGATTTATTTTAGCAGTGTTTTGTAATTCTCATTGCAGACATCTTTCACCTCCCTTGCTAGCTGTATTGCTAGGTATTTTATTCTTTTTTGTGGCTATTGTGAGTGGGACTGCATTATTGATTTTACTCTCAGCATGGACACTATTGGAGTATAGAAATACTATGAATTTTTGTACATTAATTTTTGTATCCTGAAACTTGACCAAAGTTGAAACTGAAGTGAGTGAAATTGAGATGTGAAAATCCATACAAAAGATCTACAAAACCAAGTTAGTTTTTTGAAAGAATAAATAAGATTAATAGACTTCTAGCTAGATTAATAAAAAGAGAGAAGACCCAAATACAACACAATAAAAAGTGACAAAGGTGACATTACCACTGACCTCATAGAAATAACAAAAATCCCTCAGAGACTATTATGAACATCTCTATGCATACGAATTAGAAAACCTAGAATAAATTGACAAATTCCTGGAAACATACAACATCCCAAGATTCAACTAGAAAGAAACTGAAATCCTGAACAGACCAATAATGAGTTCCAAAATTAAGTAATAAAAAAAACCTACCAACTAGAAAAAGGCCTAGGACGGAGAGCCAGATAGCCAGATAGATTCATAGCCAAATTATTCAAAACATATAAAGAAGAGTTGGTACCATTCCTACTGAAATTAGTCCAAAAAATTTAGGAGGAGGGACTTCTCCCTAACAATCTGAGGCCAGAATCATTCTAATATCAAACCTAGCAGAGACACGATGAAAAAAAAAAACTTCAGGCCAATATCTCTGATGAACATAGACTCCTGATGAACAAAATATAAGCAAATTAAATCCAGCAGTACATCAAAATGTGAATCCACCACTATCAAGTAGACTTTATTCCTGGGATACAAGGTTGGTTCAACATATACAAATTAATAAATGTGATTCATTACATAAACAGAAGTAAAAACAAAAACCACATGATTATCTCAATACATGCAGAAACGGCTTTTGCTTAAATTCAACATCCCTTCATGTTAAAAACCCTCAATGAACTAGGCATTGAAGAAACACACCTCAAAATAGTAAGATCCATCTATGACAAACCCATAGCCAACACCATACTGAATAGGCAAAAGCTAGAAGCATTCCTCTTGTGAACTGGAACAAGACAAGGATGCCCACTTTTACCACCCTTATTCAACACAGTTCTGGAAGTCTTAGCCAGAGCAATTGGGCAAGAGAAAGAAATAAAAGGCATCCAGATAGGAAGAGAGGAAGTCAAACTATCTGTCCTCATAGACAATATGATTCTATATCTAGAAAATCCCATAGTCTCTGCCCAAAGGCTCCTAGAACTTATGACTAACATTTCTATGACTTGAATTTTTTGCCTATTGTTTATCCAAATACTCATGTTCCATTTTGAAATATTTTCTTAGCATAGGTTTACAGTAATGGAGTTATATGGCTCAAAGGACATAACTATTTTTTAGACTCTTGATCCATATTGCCACATTTTGTTCTGAAAAAGCTATCCTAATTTAGTGCCACCAGCTGTATCAATTAGTACGACTTTCACAATACTCTTTCTACAATTGGGTGCTGTCATGTTATAAATTTAGCTAATTTAATAATACATTTAGCGGCCGGGCGTGGTGGCTCATGCCTGTAATCCCAGCACTTTGGGAGGCCAAGGCAGGTGGATCACGAGGTCAGGAGATCGAGACCATCCTGGCTAACACGATGAAACCCTGTCTCTACTAAAAATACAAAAAATTAGCCAGGCATGGTGGCGGGTGCCTGTAGTCCCAGCTACTTGGGAGGCTGAGGCAGGAGAATGGCGTGAACCCAGGAGGCGGAGCTTGCAGTGATCCGAGATCGTGCCACTGCACTCCAGCCTGGGCGACAGAGCGAGACTCCATCTCAAAAAAAAAAAAATTTTTTTTTAAAAATACATTTAGCTAATGTTACACATTTAGCTAATTTAATAATAATTTAATATGCTATAACAAATGTTATTTCACTATAGTTTTTTCCCTGATTAGTAGAATGGTTATTTTTCCATTATTTGTTTCTGGTTCATCTTTTATAAATTATCTATTAAAATATTTTCTCCCTTTTGCAATACTATGTATCTTAATAGCATATTTTTAAATCAATTTGGGTGAGTTCTTTATAGAATGAAGACATTAACATTGTTATATTTACTCCAATTGTTTTTTTTTTTTGGTCCTGTTCTTTTATTTTGGTTATCTTTGACTTAGAGAAGTTTTGAAATTTAATACAGCTAATTCTGTCTACTTTTTATAAATGCTTAAGTTTAAAAAGTTGCCTAACCAAAAGAAATAGAAAGGAAAGAAAGGAGAAAATTTTCCTATTGTCTGAGGTTGGTAAATGTTACATTTGTTCTTGTCTTCAGGCCTAGCCATTGTGTTAGCTAGATGAATATGCTCAACGGTCACAGCCAGCTCTCCTCAAGGAGGAAGCCGTATGAGACAGGATCAATGCATGAGTAGAGAGCTCAACTCTGAAGAGAAGAGCACCTCTTTCTCTGGGTTTAGATGAACAAGGATTTGGATAAATTGTGTATTGAGGCAGAAGGCTGAGGTAGTGCCATCTAGAGAGTGAGGGGAGGGAGAATGGGTGTGATAGGACATCCTTGCCGAATTTCTTTATTATAGACCCAAGCTCTCTTAACACTCACCATGCAATTACTAGTGTTTTCCCCCCTTGGAAATAAACTGGGACTGTTAACTGTTGTTCTAGACTAAGACATATCAAGACTTTCCCGGGCTTTTATCAAAATGAGAAAATTTACATAATTGACACAAAAGGGACTTGTAAACTGTTAATAATACCTGTAAAATTCCTTTTAGAATTCTATATAAAAATTGTTTCTATTGGCTCCTTACTGCTGCTACTAAAGAAGAAGAGCTTGACTGTTTAACCCTTCACAAACTTATAGGATTAAAAGTAGCTGGTCTCATTGCTAATCACTTCTGCACTAGTAGTGCAGAAGTACAAGTAAAAGAGCAGATCTGGATCTGGACCTCCTTGAAAACCACATCCGGAGTTTGCAACCAGGTCCAGATCCAGATTTGCTCTTTTATATAAAGAAAAAAATAAGCAAGAGAAGTGAAACCAGCGTAGTGGCATCCAAATATTGTATAATTCTTTTTCAATCTCTTAAAATGCATCATCATCATACTTGCATATAGTTCTATAAAGCCTCTGCATAAAATAGGAGCCCCTTGCAACATCCCAGGTCACCAGCCATTTTTACTCCTCAGAGACAACTATTTTCAATTTTTAAAATTATTTCTTAATGTTTACCTTATATCTCTAAATAAAAAAGTATCTTTTATGATACTTTTTGATTGTCATTAAGTTTTATGCATTATCTACTAATATCCCTTTATGGAACATGAGAATTTATTTTATTCTCCACATACATGAATTCCTTTACTCTCATCCTTCCAGTATAATTATATGATAATTTGGGGCTAGATCAATTATGTTTTACATTTCCGTAACTATGTAGATATGATAAATGGCTGACTCATATAGTATAGTATAGTTACATTTACTTTCTTGTATAAAAGGTTTCAGTTCTTTCTGGAGTTATTAGCTTTTTCCACTTGCACAGCTTTCTAGGTACCTAACTCACCCATCCCTTAACTCTGTTACAAAAGTGTATGTCTCCCTTTAGTAAGGTTCAAACACAATGAGCACTTCATCGCCTTCATCTTCTTGGATGGAGACTGTTCATTCTGTGAGCAGACTGGGCTGTTTAGTGTGGTTGTTCAGATCATCATCCTCACTTCTAGGCTTTTGGCTCCTTAATTGATTGTGAATGACAGAGGTAAACTCTAGATAAGTGATACATGGGTTCAGAATGTTGGGGATTTTCTAGTATTCTATAGAAATAGGATCTAAAATGTCTTAGCAATCTCTTCTCTGGGATGAAGTGTTTTAGTAGGTGCCATCCTAAATTTAAAGCCTGTTACTTTTCTTTTCATCTCCCCTTTTCATTTCCTTTATCAGGATATCAATATCCTTAGCACAAGATTCTATAAATAAAATACTTCATTCACTTATTAACCTTTTCTCAAACTTTAGGTAAGGTAGCAGTATTCCCCCCCCCACCCCACCAACATATTAAATAAGTAAACACACATTGATATCCAATCTTGAAAAAATTGCCATAAAAATATATTACTGGTGGCACTAAAACTGAAATAAGACTCTCTGAACCCCCCTCACTTAAAATCCTTGCCTGGCTGTTTCTATTCATCCTAAACAATTATACTGTGATTTGCACCCAATCCTACTCAAAGCCTGCTCATTAAAAGATCCACCTTAAACAAAACTCCAGAATTTCAACAAAATCTGATCTTGCCCTTTGCCATAAGACACTACCAAAGCTCTGTTGAGGTGGGTTTCTCTCCTTTATGGTAGGGAACAATGAACTCAGCCCTGTATCGTCAATAGATTGTGTTGATGATTGTGTTTTTGAGGAACTAGCAGTTAACAATTTAGAAAAACTATGTAATATATATGTGTAGAAAAAGGCAAAAGGAATATGTAAAAAGTAGTATTAATAGTTATGTCAGGGGATTGGTATTTTGTTATATTTCAAACCTATTTTTATGGTATTCTTTTTTTTTTTTTTTTTTTTGAGATGGAATCTCGCTCTGTCGCCAGGCTGGAGTGCAGTGGCACGATCTCAGCTTACTCAACCTCCGTCTCCCAGGTTCAAGCAATTCTCCTGCTTCAGCCTCCTGAGTAGCTAGGACTCAGGCGTGTGCACCATGCCCACCTAATTTTTGTATTTTTAGTAGAGATGGGGTTTCACCATGTTGGCCAGGATGGTCTCGATCTCTTGACCTTGTGATCTGCCCACCTCAGCCTCCCAAAGTGTGGGGATTAATATGGTATTCTTACATAATGAGGGTTGGGCTTAATAAGTAAGAATTCATTTCAGTACAAACCACCTTTCAATGTGTACAGATAAAACAGAGGCAAAGCTATGCAACTTGTTATTCTCTTTGTTGTGTTTTGTAGAACAATTAGTAACAATCCAGGGAGAAACCTACTTATGTAGGAAACTGAGCTCTTCTTATTGTAATTGTGCTTGTAGAATCCAAATACTGATGGGTTCAGTTGTAATATAAATAACCCAAAAATATTCTGAAGTCACTTAGTTAATGTTGAGAAACAATCAGGAGGACACTGACAATGGCCTTTTTTTTAAAATTTTTTTGAGACAAGAGTCTTGCTCTGTTACCCAGGCTGGAGTGCAGTGGCATGATCTCAGTTCACTGCAACCTCCGCCTCCTGGGTTCAAGCGATTCTCCTGCCTCAGCCTCCCGAGTAGCTGGGATTACAGGCACCCGCCACCACACCCAGCTAATCTTTGTATTTTTAGTAGAGATGGGGTTTCACCATGTTGGTCAGGCTGGTCTTGAACTCCTGACTTAAGGTGATCCAACAGCCTCAGCCTCCCAAAGTGCTGGGATTACAGGCATGAGCCACTGCGCCCAGCTGACAATGGCCTTTAAATGGATTTTTGTATTCTACGAGGCTGAAGCTGTAGACAGTGGTTTTCTTGGCACTGAGTTACATAAATGTCTTCAACCTTATACAATATTGACACATTTCACCAAGTTAAAAGCCAGGCTTTATTAATCGAAATCTTGTAGTCAGTGGGTTTTTCAGTGTATGTCACATGTATATTTTCTATCATTTTATGAAAACCAGGGAGAAGAGTTGGCATGCAGATAGATTTTTACCACAGCTGTCAAAACCAGCATTTAACCATGCCCTTATATGCTTGGAAGTTATCTGTTTTATGTCAAGTTTTCTGATGCAAACACATTTTGATGGTTTGACTTGTTAAGTTGGCTCTGGTTAGGCCAATGAATGGTCAGCCAACCACGTAAATGTTACCCTTTCTATGGGATATTAACCCATACTGTTTGTTACCTTTCTGGTGATTGTTCCCTATGGCATAAGTGAGCCGTAGTGAGTGTGAAATGCATCTACGTGGCAGGACAACACAAACAGGATCTATCTAAAAAGAAGTCTGGAAATCTCACTATAATAAGATCAAGAGCCGCTTCTATTACAAGTAAAGACATGCTGATGATAGGAGTAAAGACAGAAATATTAAGATTAATCTGGTAATTTTATTTAATATTTACCATTCAGCAGCAACCAACATGAACATGTGGGCTAACAGAATCTCTTAAAATGTTCTGCTATGTAGCTGCTTCAGAAATACACACACATGATAAATTCAAGATAAATTCAACTGCTCACTGCCAAAATTTTTTTTAAAAAATGGCTCCAAGAGCAAATAACACTGATTTATAATGTGCCCAAGCACTAGTCAACAAATCTATTAAATTACACAGGAAAAGGAAATCAAGGAAGCTTTGTTATCTTATGCATGTCATCTTATTTAAATGGAAGGTTTTACTTCTTTAAAGCAACAGAAATATGGAGCTTCACATATATATGTATATATATATGAATGTGGTTACAAACACGAAGTGTTATCAAAAGCAAAAGCTAGTTCAAAAAATTTCTGACTGCAAAACTTGCAAGATACAAAGCTAAAATGCATATGTTCCTTTTCTCAATTATGAACACTTTCACTAAACATAAATATTTAACATATATTAATTTTTCCGACATTCAAAATTGTAAAGTCAATATGGCAGAATTGTTAAAAGCACATATGTACAAATATTCTTTTTCCATACGTAAAGTATTTGGCATAATTATAACAATCATACTGCATCAACAACTGTTTGCGTTTATTTTTACTTTTTTTTACACATAATGGTATCTCTTATTAAAATTAACCAGTTATATACAAAAATACTTGAACATTTATTATAGAAAACCTCTATAACCAGCCTCAACAGCATATACCTGCTGAATGGTTTCATTAAGAGAATATAAAAAAGTGGTCACTGCCTTCCAGGTAAGCTACCAACAAAACAAACATGGTTAAACTAAAATGAGCTTCCCAACAAAAGAGGGAAAATATTTAACAGTATGATTTAAAATACAGTTCATATCTATTGTCAATTGAGTGTTATAAACAGTCAGTAAAAGAAAAAACAAAGATATAAAATACATTACTACATACAAGGTGCTTTTTTCACACTTCTACAACTGGCATTAGCATCCCTATCTAGACCTAAGATGCTATGTTGCAATATTCAAGCTAGAGAAGTCTACAGCAATCCTCCTTCAAGAGAAAGACGACAGGTCAGCTAAGACAAACTCCACTGGTAAAAGTGGAGAGTCGTGAGGAATTTTTTATTTTGTGCAGGACTGAAAGTTAATGCCCTTGCCTTTTATAAGTCCTTTTGCCATTTAATCGTGCTAATACATTTTCACTAAGTTTTTTTTTTCTTCACTTAAGCTATTAATTTAATACTGTCTGTATTGATTCCTGAATTCTTGCTAATGGGGCACAGTCATTTGTGCCTCATTAATACTTCAGCATTTGCTCTTGTTCAATGACAAATTTTATATAGGAAACTATCAAGAAAGGAAGCGCAAAATTCAAGTAAACATTTCTTCTGGAGCCTCTTGCTTAATCTAGCTGATTGGAACTCTGAAGCAAATTGCACCTTGAAAAGAAATACAGTAGATACCACGGTGTCAGGGTAGTAAGGGATTTAGCTACCAATTCACAAAATAGAATTTTACGAATGTAGACAGCAGTCAAACAGCAAAAGCAACCTTAAAGAAGTATTTTGTTTCAAGAACAAAACAATTTCCAGTCCCAAGCTTTGCAACCCCTTAAGTATACTGTCTTGCTCGCCTGCTTGAACTTTAATTCTGATGATCTGCACTGATAAACCTTGCCTTATTTACAGAAGTCTTCTAAAATAAGGACCACTGTGTTAGGATGTGCACTGACTTAATAAGCTTTCTCCAAGTATCAAGTATTCAGTAAAAACGATACAACATTGTCACACATTGTATCGTTTGACAATATCGTATTGGTTTTAAGATTAAACTATATAAAAAAAAGTGAACATAAAAAGGTACAAAAGGAGTCTTTATCACTATTTACCACTTCCAAATGAGAAACGTTTTAATGAAATTCAGCCATACTTCATTTAACATCTGGCGTTTTAGATCAGCAACTTTTAATATTGTGCAACATGATATTTAATAAGCAAGTTTTAATTCCATTCATCGAAGGAGCTGAGTAAGTTATTAAAGTGCCTACACTAAATGTCTTCTCATCATACTTCTTATTTTGTAAACGGGCAAAGAATGCATCGCAGGTACATAGAAAAGTGACTTATAACTGAGAGACCTTGCGGGGCAGGGGCCTGGGCCGCGGGCCGGGGTCAGTCCTCCGGGCCCCATTCTCCAGGTGGCTGGATCGCGCTGCCAGAGGCTTGGGGGGCAGCGCGGGCGGCTCCGACGTGACGGGGATGGAGAGGCTGTGAGGTAGCGGGACGGGGCGCCGCAGAGTCCGCTCGTAGACGCTGTACGGGGGCGGAGTCTTGCTCTCCTTGCGCACTGGCTCCTCCCCGCCGTAGCTCGGCACGGGCACCGGCACTGGCACCGGCAGGGGGGCCGACTGTTCATTCACCTGATTTTCAAAGCCTGAGGTTTCCGACGTGCTGCACCGGCTGAGAGAAGAAATCCCACTGCTGTAGCTGCCCGACAAGACAGGGGAGTTGGAGATGAGTCCTGGCGAGTGGTACTCCACTGGAGAGGGGGTGAAAGACTGCACAGAGCCCTGCTCCGGGGAGAAGGAAACGAGAGGGAGACACAGCATTGAGTCGTGAACGCAGATGCGCTGAAATGTACGCCCCGACGCGGAGGCCCCGGCCCCCAGCACCCCCAAAGCCGGCTGCAGCAGGAGATGCAGCCTTTAAGGAGGTGATTAAGGTAAAAGGCCATTATGGTGGATCCTAATCCAAGCTGACTGGTGTCCTTATAAGAGACATTTGGACACACAGGGAGACGTCAGGAATGCGACACACACAGACCTTGCAGGAAGGGCGGTCTGCAAGCCCAGGAGGGAGGCCTCGGGGAAACCAAGGCTGCCACGCATTGATCCTGGACTTCTACCTGCCAGAATTGAGAAAATACATTCCCAGTGTCTAAGCCACCCAGTTTGTGGTATTTTGTGAGGGAAGCCCGAGCAGACGAATACACTCACACTCAAATTTGAGTGTTGTCCTTTGTAGCACTGAAAATGCACACCAGACGTTTATCTGCGAGGGCCACCAGTCCTCGAGTTCAGTTCACCGCCCAGTTTACTCCTTATCATTTTCAGATAGAGGAGAAAGGAGCTGGGCATGGTGGCTCACGCCTGTAATCCCAATACTTTAGAAGGCCGATGCAGGGATCACTTGAGGCCAGGAGCTTGAGACCAGCCTGGGCAACATGGCAAAACCCCATTTCTACTAAAAATCCAAAGGGTTAGCTGGGCGTGGTGGCTCATGCCTGTAATCCCAGTTCCTCTGGGAGGATCACCTGAACCTTGGGAGGTTGAGACTGCAGTGAGCCGTGGAGCCACCAGTGCACTCCAGCCTGGGCAACACAATGAGACCCTGTCTCAAAAAATAAATAAAGGTATCCACCAAGATAATCTGGAGGCACACATTAGTCCTATAGTTTGGAAGAGAGGGAACTGGCCAAAAACCCCAAAAACCTAAAAACGCCATAAAACCTTTGGGGGCGCTATTCACTTTCCCAGCTCAGCAGGGCATGCTGCAGGCCAGGAGCCAGGGCCGCTGAGCACACTCAGCTCAGAAGACCCAGAG
Source organism: Homo sapiens (assembly GCF_000001405.40). NCBI lineage: Eukaryota > Metazoa > Chordata > Mammalia > Primates > Hominidae > Homo > Homo sapiens. The sequence continues at coordinate 111,729,754 of NC_000007.14, forward strand.
AGCTCAGGAGGAGGAGCAGAGGCACCCGAGGTTCTGCACCTGATTTCTCCAGCCATCACTCCAGACTCCAGACTCCTGAGCTGAACTGGCGAACTGGCAGCCCTCGGGGCTGTAGCCTGTGATGTGAGCTGTTTCCTCAGCAGTTTTTTAAAAACCTAATTTAGTTAATTTTTAACATTTCAAATTTCACATGAAACTCCAGAATTCTGGCAGTTCATAAAGAACTAGGAGTTCTGGCCACAATGGCACACATTCTCTTAATAGAGATAATCTTTAAAAGCTGAGAAGGGCTGTCCCTTTTCACTTTGCCAGTCCCCACTATGCCACGTGGGGACTACACCCGGCCTCCTTCATTTGTGTCAGCTGTCTGGCCCCATTTGGCATCTGAGTTTGTTACTTTCCCAACTAGTATCCCAAGGAAAACGAGTCCTAAGATAGATGCTCTGTGAAAAGAGGGTTCCGCTGGGAAATGCTGCACACTGTATACTCCTTGTGTATATTCAAAACATATTCGCATTTTCAAGGCTTAGAATAAAGGAATACAAATAATTTTGTTCAGTCCAGTGTTTTCCAAACTTACTTGACTATAGACCTTTTCTCCCCCGCTTATTACATAATGTCCTGGAAAACTAGTGTTCTATGGTATACACTTTGAGAAATGCTATCTTCTTAAGCTAACTTGACTTTGGTTTCTCTTTGTAAACAAAATAACGCTGGTAGATACACATCCTGTCATTTAGTAGGAGCCTAACATTAAGGCCAATTAAGAGTTCCCAATTCACTGCTACCTCTGTCAAAAGTTAGACCTGAAATTCAAAATATGGCAGGTCAGCTCAGTCTTCGCTGTAGGGTTAGACCCACAGTTTGATGGCTGGCTGGGGTAAAAAAAAAACCCAAAACCCCACTAAACTCTTATCAGTTAAGGCAGCACACTGCAAGGCTAGTAACATGGTAGCAGTGTGCCCCCTAATGTAACCCAGGAGGTATAACACAAATGTTCGATCTATGTTCTCTTCCTTCAAACCCTACATATAAAGACATGGCTTCGAACTGCATATGGCCAGTAAAAATGTACACAGGTCTGCTGAGAGACAGTATATACCAGCTTGCTAAGACTATTTTATAGCTATTCAAACATTTTTAGCTCTTGGGTTCTTTTTAATGTTTAAGAATTAATCTCTTAAGACTTATTTTCTTACTACCCAACAAAATTTAAGTTGAAAAATACAGATGATAATTCCATAGCAACGTGTGGGAGCTCTGTGTGAGTAAGGGCAAATGTAAAAGTGCGGAAAAGCCATGTTGCTTTCCTTTCTATCACATCGAGGTGACAGGCTATGACTTCCAGAGTGAATGCTGTCACAGGTACTTCATAATAACAGCTGCATTACAGAATGAGAACAAAACGAGCAAATCACTTGCACTTACCCGCGAATTTCTACGTCAGAAATTCTGGCAATGCAAGGGAATCACACTTCTTTCAATTTTCTCCATTTTGCGGGGGGAGGCGGGTTGTTTTCCCGTTTCTCAATTTCTATCAGCAACTATCGTTAGCACCACAGATGCACTGGATCGCAACCTGCCCCTATGTGTTTGTAGAGGCTAATTTGTCTTTTGCACATTAGCTAGAACTAGCTCATCACACAAAGGACATGGAGCGTGTAAATCCTAAGTCACTCAGGTACAAAATCATTCTTTCGACACACTTCATATTTGCCTCTGGTGCAGCAGTTCTGAACACCAATCTCTCACGTACTGACAATCCTTGAAGCCGGTCTGATTCAATTTGGATAAGACTAAATATTATTCTTTATCTTCATGAGGGATTTTTTATGTTTAAAGATGTTAAATAGCCCATGTCTACAAACCAATTCGAATGTCTGACCTTTACAGCTTTCCAGTTTGTTCCCTAGAAATCTTTTAAATCCATATTACTGCCTTGTTTTTCATGATCAAGTATGTATTTCTAATGTAAATGAGAAACTTGGTATAAAATATTAACAGAGAATGTTAGGTTTGGCTTTGACAAAATGGGTTTGGCTGACGATAAAGGCAAAAAGACACAGAATATTTAGTAGATCTTGATACTGATGTTTCTCAATCTAAGTGTGTGTGTGTGTGTTTGATGTACCTTAAACTAAAAGGCCAGGCTGAAAGTTTCCTAGGAGGTACATTAGGACCACATTCCTTTCCTAATTCAGTATATGCACTGACTTCAGTCTGCAAGTTCTCACTGCTACCATTTGGAGAATGAGGCTAATAATCGAAAAACAAATGGCTGCGTTTGTGCAGGAGGCACCCAGAAGGGAAAGTCCAGTGTTGTTTTTCTCAACCAGCTTCCCCTATCCCTGATTGATAAGTTCTTTGCCTGGTCCCTGCAAATTAAAGCACCTTTTGATATATCTGGGATGAGTCTTAGAGAAAAAGAAAACTGGGCCAGTCTCTAGCCTCAGTCGAAAGAAGGGCCTTTACCTTCAATGGAGATCGCCCGGCAGGCGAGGGGGATACTGATGTCGTGTGTCTTGCTGGTGAAGCTGTCAATGGGGAGAGAGATAACATTTCAATTAAGAAAAACCAGACGATTGACTATCTGCACATGCCCTCTGTGTTACAAACCCAAACAGATGATCCAGTGCATAAGGACCTTCTAAGCAAAGGGGGTGGTGAGGATGGGGGAGAAGCTAAATGATGCCTGTCTAGAATGGGTTCTCACAAAGGGTGGCACTGCCAAGATATGGGAGCATCAGTGAAAAGTTATCATGGCATATATGATGCTTTGACTATTGACAGGTTCCCAAACTGATCCAATGTCCTTTCCGTTTCCCCAAAGTCCAGGTGCTTCTGCACTGCTTGATCTGTCTCATAAGGTGCTTTTAGGTGTGAGATGCTAGGGAGCAGTTCTTGGGGAACAGCTGTTGACTTTGGCGTGAGCACCAATGGGAACACCATGGCCACCCCAGCAGCCTGGAACAGGTCTACGGGAACATATTTAATCAGCTCCCCCCAAACAACCCCAGTACTCCCCAAATAGGTAGAAAACCCTTGGCCATGGCCATACAACAGGTGCATGGTTTTCCATTTCTTCCCCTAATGCTTGTACTCAGGTCTTCCCATTATCCCCTGGTGGTGGGTCTCTATGGATTTCATCATCGTGGCCAAGAAGAGTGAACTGTTTGCTTTTTCTCACTAGATTTTCAAGTCCTACACCTGGAACACAGCATGTGTGATAGCACTGTTCCTGTGTGCATGCTTGTATAGCAAATCCAGCTCTCTAAAGCATAGCCCTGTATGGTAAAGGCTGGCGTGACACAGTCAACAGGGTGAGAGTCAGCCACATTTCTCAATTCCACAGAGACGTTTCGGTGAACTCTGGGTATGTCGCTCTGTGATTAGCTGCTACTCTCCCAGCTGTCACAGTGAGGTTTGCAACTCACAACTACTGAAAGGCTGTAAGAAAGAAAGACAGTTACAGAGCCCCACAACAGTGACCACAGATGATGACATAAGAACAGACCATGAGAGCAATCAGTGCAGAAGGGATGGCAGCCCTGCCAGTTAACTTGGGAGGGGTAAGGTCATCTGTGTGCTCTGGGTCCTAAGGGGTCAGTGAGAGTGCTCCATGATCACACTGGTAGTGTGCAGCCTCTCTCTTGCACTCTTGAATGCTGGGGCATGCTGTCAGCACGTGTCACATTCTAATACCAGCCTTAGTTCTCCTATCCTGTTGATCGTGGGTGCTGATTATGGAAGAAAATCACATCTGTATGGAGAAGCTGATCCTGACGGAGAACTATGTTCCTGCCTTAACGGTGGTAGAAAGTTGATTGTTCCCTAGGACCCTCTTCCTCCTGACTCAGGCAGTTGCTGACACCACCATGGTGGCCCCTGCAACCACAGCATATTTGCATCAATATTATTCCTTAAAAAATGCTTTTCAGGTTCTCAACTTTAGGGACACAACCAGGTTTAAATTGGAGACTGCCTGAATATATGTACATCGTGAATGAGATACAAATAGTTTGGCCGATAAGTTTTAGGCCTCTGTACACATACTGATATACTAATGCAGGTGATCAATAAGCTTAAAGTTATTTCTTGTTTTCTTTGAAGACCTCATATGTCTCTCAAAAATTATTGGTGACTTGACTTTTGGCTTTGACAAGTATAGAGTAAACTAGGTGGCACATAGTTTATTGTGTTTTGTGGCAAGGTCTCACTTTGTTGCCCAGGCTAGAGTGCAGTGGCTCAATCTTGGCTCACTGCAACCTCTGCTTCCTGGGCTCAAGCAATTCTCCCACCTAAGCCTCCCAACTAGCTAGGACTAGAGGTGTGTGCCACCATGCCTGGCTAATTTTTGCATTTTTTTTTGTAGAGATGGGGTTTTGCCATGTTGTACAGGCTTCTCTCAAAACTCCTGGGCTCAAGTGATCTGCCTGCCTTGGCCTCCCAAAGTGCTGGGATTACAGGTGTGAACTACCTTATTTGGCCCAGGCTGAAGTGCAGTGGTGCCATCTTGGTTCACTGCAACCTCTGACTTCTGGGCTCAAGCCATCCTCCCAAGTAGCTGGGACTACAGGTGTGTACCACCACACCTGGCTAATTTTTATATTTTTTGTAGAGACGGGGTTTTGTCATGCTGCCCAGGCTGGTCCCAAACTTGTGAGTTCAAGTGATCCACTCACCTTGGTCTCCCAAAATGCTGGTATTACAGGCATAAGCCAAAACACCTGGCCAAGATTTTGCTGCTTAAACGACCACCTGAGGGGATGCGGTACCCTGAATCAACCCTTTGCGAAATATAGTCCTTGCATAAAGACCTCTCAAAGCAACAGATAACTATGGATACAAAGTTAATGACTCTGATAAGCTTATGGAGCGTAACTGTTAGTCAATGGCTATTTAGAGGCAACTGGAAACTTTGGCATCAGTCCTGAATAAGACTGAAGAAAGTAGCTGAGTTAGCGGAGGTTGATAAGAATGAAGTGGTTCAAAGTGAAGGTTAGAGAAGATGCTAGTGGCCTACCAAGGTTAGGGTGCCTCCCCGAATTTGAGAATGGTGGCTTGGTAAAGAGCACTCTATAAAATCTGTCCGAGAGGCTTACTTGGAACAGACCACTGTTTGACCCCGTGTAATAGAAGTTCAGGAAAGAGGGAGACAATTGTCAAGGAATTATGCAGCTACTAAGGTTTTTATCCCAGAAATCAAACGCCTACCTTTCTCTCAGGAATTCAGGACAAACTGGAGTAGTCAATAAAAGTTATTTTATAAAAGTGATCATTCAAATTCTTCAAATACCCACCAGTCTGTGTGGGTCTTGGAGGGACAGGGGGAGAGATAAGTTTCCCACTATCCGACATGTTCTTGGCTTCCTTCCCACTGTCCAGGCTCCAGCTGCTAGGGGTGGGGTTCACAGCTGGAAGGGAATAACACAGCTAAAAACACACGGTCCAGCTTTGCCCTTCCAATGCTTGAGATCTTAGAAGAAAGTCAGAATTATCCAGAATGAAAAACTTAACTGGATGAAAAACAAAACAGGAAACTTCTTGAATACTAAACCTTTATTTAATTGGCTGCCTAACAGTTATAGTTACCATTTAACTGGGCGCTAACAAGTCTCTTTATTTCCCTTAATGCTGTCAAAGGGAACTACAAATCTTTACACTGGGGTGTAAAACTTGCTGAGAATTACAAATGTGTTTAGATGCTGGATAACAGATGGAAGATGTAGTCACTGGGCTATTTTAAAACTTGGCTTTTAGTAGACATTTCTGGACAAGTGACACCTAAAAATGGAGAAGGCAATGACATACTAATATTTTAACTATTTGGCAGAATTCTTGGGAAAGAACAGCCATGCAATATTATCTCATTGATAACTCTTTCTGAAATCAATGAATTACACTGAAATATGTCCTTAAAAAATGATTTGGAATATGGACAGTGTCATTCTTATTTTGTAATTTGTCTGCTCTGTGCTTCGATAAGATGCAGGAATATGGGGCAATCCTGGCAGGAATAAGGGCAGGACACGCTGGTTGTAAATAGCCACTATGCAATGAGGTTTACAACAGCAAATCTGGGTTCCAGTGACTCACTCCCTGTACAGACACTGCCATCTGGTGGGCATGTTGAGAATTTCAACATTTTACCACTCGACCATTTTCACTTAATGGGATGGAGTTACCACTCTTAAAATTCTTTTTCTCTATTCTTTTAAATTTGCATCGTGGTTTTCTTTAGTAGAAGGGGTGAGAAAAATACCACATTCCTTAGTTCTACTGACAAAGATGAACATGTGACTTGTAACATTAAAGCTAAATTTGTGTTTTAAAATAATTTTGCCTAAGACTTCACTAATTTCCATCTCCCAAGGAAAGTTCTAATGTAGCAGTGTACCCAAATGACAATAGTTTACTTCTTAATGAGGGCAATTAAAAGGCACTTTCCCAGACTATTTCATTAACGACTCTTGATTTATTGGCCTGGGGAACTGCTCTTATTTTTGAGGCTTGACCCTGAGAGAGGTGAATGGGTGACTTGCTGCAAGCCCCGACCCCGTAGCTGAGGAAATCGTGTTTAATCTGCTCTTCATCTTCTGCCGTGTTGCAGACTGATCCTAATTGGCTATTTACTGCTGTCCATGTGTTTGGTTCTCATTTTGTGTGACCTTGAGGCAGGGCACACTCCATTATGCACTGGATTGCAATTCTTAAATGGTATTTAATTGTACAAGAGCCGTATCTGAGTCACAACAAACAACACATGAGTTGGCTGAATGAGCTTTGTAAGGGAGACGAAGGATGGGACCACCGAATCGATCCGGGTGAAGCTATTTTCATTGTGCTGAACAAGGAGCCTAATTGGCAACTTTGCTTCAGGAAGAGGAGGCATTGCCTGGGTGACTCACTGGATGATAACAAAAAGCCATTAAACATAGGCGTTCCTATCTTGCTCAGATTCTGCTGTTAAAATCTTATAGGAAAACAGCTTTTGAAGAATGATCATGAATAACTGTCTTTCATTAATCCCTTAAAGAGCATACTAGTCCTGATCATTAAAGAGCTAGAGCACTGCTTTCCACACAGACACACAGAAGACTGGAGAACATGAGGATAAAACAAGCCCTTACACATTCCAGGACTGACCATGGGGCTGGCCTTACCTTTTTCAGGTGCAGAGAGATTTGGGTCACTGCGTGGCAAGGCCCCGTCTCCAATATGATTAAACAGCATCCTCTGCAAAGTTACAAGGGTTGATTTTTATGATGTGATATACGGGCATGTGAAACCTTTCAGAAAATGAGACGATTATCTCCTCAGTAAAACTTTTTGTTCAAAATAATTTTTGTGTGATATGATGAGCCTAGGAACAAATAATTTAATTATATTTAAGTAAAAGGGGGTGGGAAGAGCCTTAGGTTTTGAGAAAGAAAAGAGTGTTGGAAAAGTTTGTATTATATTTTAAATATAAATGGTAAATGTTCATAATAAAATGTAAAAAATAAATAGTAAATAGCAGTTGTGCTATGAAGTTCTTTTTTTTTCTTTTCTTTTTAGAGATGGAATCTCACTATATTGCCCAGGCTGGTCTTGAATGCCTGGGCTCAAGCAGTCCTTCCAACCTTGGCCAATCCCAAAGCGCTGGGATTACAGGCATGAGCCACCACACCTGGCCTGTGTGGAGTTCTTTGTAAATACAAATGCTACAGTGGTGATATAAAACAGAAATAAGAATTAAAGGAGAAATATTAGTTCAAAAAATCACTAGTGAGTGAAATTTAACCCCTGCATGTTAAAAATCATTTATTAGGTAAAAAATATATGAAATAATTGATAGTCTACAATTTTTAACTTATAAAAATGCCAGTTTTACATGGTTTTACCTAATATATTAAATAGAAGGTACCAAGTCCTTAAAAGTAGATGTACTACGGCAGTGCACACTATTGAAATTTAGCAACATATATACTGCTTCCAATTTTACTAAAACCAGAAAACTTGGGAGGCTAATCAGAGAAGGCTTTCAGAGTTGCCCATGCTGACAAGAAGTTCTCCTGGAGCAGAACAAACTGAGAAATTCCCTTGCAGCATCATCAAGTGACAAAGGGAAATAGCTAGTCCAGCCAAATGCACTCAGATATAATTTCTGCAAGACATCAGCGTTGTGCAGAGGCGGTACCCTGGGACTTTCGGGAGGATCACACAATCAGCAAAGACAAACCAATGAAGCCAAATCCCACTCTCTCTCATCCACTTCCGGATGTGGCTACAGACTTCTGCCAGGATGGTGTAGAAAAACAGAAATTAGCTGGAGTAGAAATAACTATTTTTCTCTGCTCCTAAACTATTCCCAAATCTTTAAAACTCAGGGCTACCCATGAATCTTCAACTTTGAAACCACCCTTCAAGGCTCCTGAAGTGCCCAAGGGCTGAGCCCAAGCCTCTGCTCTCAGAAAAACAGGGATCACTTCAAAACCAAGTTCAGGCAGGGGGTGAGGGCCAAGCTCCCTTACTCGCATGAGCAGTTGACAGGGAAAGGCTGAGGACTGAACCGCTCTTTTCTCATGCATTCAAGAATGGCAAAGGCAAACAAATTGCTCCTATACTCATGGGTACCCAGATAGGAATCGATTGCAGCTCTTTTAAATAGGTCTAGGCAAAGGCAAAGACTGCTGGGCAGGAGAATGCTTCTCTTCAAGGGTATTTTCCTAGTTTAAGAGGTTCCCCCAGACTTCTGTTACATACACAGGGCATGCAAACACAGGCACTTTATTCACCCAACTACTTTGCATAATGTTTAAGAAGCAGCAATGAAATAGATCAAGGAGGGTAAACTTCCCATTTCCCTTTTAGCATCACTGCCAAGCAACTACCATGTGTCCCTATCAGAAATATGGCTCAGGGCCGGGAGTGGTGGCTCATGCCTGTAATCCCAGCACTTTGGGAGGCCAAGGCAGGTGGATCACCTGAGGTCAGGAGTTCGAGACCAGCCTGGCCAACATGGCAAAACCCCATTTCTATTATAAATACAAAAATTAGCCATGTGTGGTGGTGGGCACCTATAATCCCAACTACTCGGGAGGCTGAGACAGGAGAATTGCTTGAACCCAGGAGGTGGAGGTTGCAGTGAGCCAGGATTGTGCCACTGCACTCTAGCCTGGGTGACAGCGAGATCCTGTCTCAAAGAAAAAAAAAAAAAGATGGCTCAGGCAGAAATTTCTAACCATGGGCAGAAAACAGAGGTGCAATCTTCACCAGCTGGATTGGTCTGACACTGCCCAGCTGCTTGCTTTTGGCAGCTACCGCGTGTTTCTGCAGAGATAGGTAAGCAATTCCAGAATTGTCCTTGTTTTCTAGTTTCTCTACCCTACAAGGAGTACCTGCGAAGGCTCCACAGGTGTTGGATAGATGGCACTGCATGGTCTCTCTCTTGGTGACAGGCAAGAGTTTTCTCGGGAATGTTTGTGTTTGTCAGACAACAAAGGAGAAGCTGGGAAGAGAAGGAGAGAGAGGATCATCAGCATGGTAGTGGTGCTGCACCTGTTTGGAGGCGAGAGCCTGAACGTGTGGCAGCTGGCCACAGTTCCCAGGACTAGAAGGTTCTCTGGGCACCCTCAGTCTTCCCCACACTCTGGCACTGACCTCTGGCACTCGATGGAGCAGAACTTGTCACATTAGGTGAAGCCGAGTGAGTAGAACTCAAGCTTGAGGTAGATGGACTTGGCTGGAAACACACAGGGAGCTATTATCATACCCTGATTAAAGGCTTCCCACGACACTGACGTATTTGAAACAAAATCATCAACTTTTTTTCAAATTAGCAACAAAAAGTCCGTTTAACAATATAGAAAATCTTAATAACTTAGATTGACAAAGAAGTCTGCATGAATTAATGAAAAGTCTGAGATTTTGACTCCTGCCAAAGGAATGCCTTCGTGTTAGATTCAGCTATACACTGTGACTTCGTACCAGTTAGCAGTGCATTCCTTCATTGAGGTATAAGTAGAATGACTTCCAGCCTAGGGCCCAAAAACAGGCGAGTGCGTCTAAAAGGCATAAAATATGCCTTCTTGTTATCTGTACAAGTATGTTCAAAGCATGAATTTGGAAATAAGTGTTATGTCTCCTTTCCAAAGATAGTGGTGAGGAAAATTTCAGCTTAGTCTTACTGAACTATCATAAATGCCATATTAGTAGTGTTTAAATAAAATGTTTGCTTGCAGGAGTTATACTGGCTCTAAAATCCCTAAAAACTACATTTTTCTTGTATAAAAAAAATACCTTTGGAAACTTTCTGATATGTACATAAGTAAAGATAATTTTAAAACAGACCCTCAAATCATGTCTTTTTTTCTTTTTTCTTTGAGACACAGTCTCGCTTTGTTGCCCAGGCTGGAGTGCAGTGACATGCTCTCGGCTCACTGCAACCTCCTCCTCCCAGGTTCAAGCGATTCTCCTGCCTCAGCCTCCCGAGTAGCTGGGATTACAGGCATGCGCCACCATGCCCGGCTAATTTTTGTATTTTTGATAGAGACGGGGTTTCACCATGCTGGCCAGGATGGTCTCGAACTCCAGATCTCAAGGTGATTCGCTCACCTCGGCCTCCCAAAGTGTTGGGATTACAGGCATGAGCCACTGCACCTAGCCAAATCATGTCTTCTTAAAGAAAAAAAAAGCCATTTTGGAATGCTAAGAGGGGCCGGGCGCAGTAGCTCATGCCTGTAATCCCAGCACTTTGGGAGGCCAAATTGGGCAGATCACTTGAGGTCAGGAGTTCGAGACCAACCTGGCCAACATAGTGAAACCCCGTCTCTACTAAAAATACAAAAATTAGTCGGGCGTGGTGGTACACACCTGTAATCCCAGCTACTCACGAGGCTGAGGCACGAAAACTGCCTGAGCCCGGGAGGCGGAGGTTGCAGTGAGCCAAGATCGCACCACTGCACTCCAGACTGGGAGACAGAGTGAGACTCGCTAAAAAAAAAAAAAAAAAAAAAAAAAAAAAAAGGCAAGCTAAGAGGCAGCTAGTGAGTGGCAACACACTCTGAGAGTCCTGGACTGCAGAAGGAACTTGGGGCAGGTCTCAGAGCTGAACCTTGTGCAGCGTGCCTAGGCTTTTCCATCGCTTGCTGATGTCGTCTTAAAGCGATGGGGCAGTTTTAAGAGAAACGTCTTTGTAGACTCTAGAGACCCATAAAGCAAGAAGAGTGTTTAAAGGTTTGTCCTTAAGCCAAGTTCTTGCTTGTTGGTCTGTTCATCAGCACAGCAGAATGAACAGAAACACTCATGATTGAGACAGAAAAGGAATAAACACAACCAGACAAAAAGCTAATTAAGTACCTGCATGTTAAAGACTTCATCAGAGCTTTCTGATTGCCCTGTAATATTGCTTACTTCAGCAGAAGCTTGTGAGGACAGTGAGGAGGAAGAATATCGGTTGACAGCTGGGTAACTTAACGGGCTGTTTCAGGGGGAAAAAAAAGGTCATTAACTCAGTCTCCAAATTGTACTTTATCATGTGCTAGAATGCTATGAAACCAAAGGGGGGAAAATACATTCCGTTTTGTTTTCTCCTGTTTGCCTCAATATAATCAAATGTTTGAGTTTATTTATTTCTCATGCTGTTGCTGTTTTACTGGTGGCAGAGGTCTGCAGCTGCCTCGCGGGTTAGTTATTTCATTAAGAAATAGCGTATTTGACAAATTGTGCCATAAAGAATGAGAGAACCATTCCAGATCAGCTTGCGGGTGAGGCCAAATTGTAAGATAATTTGGAATATGACTTACCTGCGTCTAGGAATTACCCTGGTACCATCTGGGCTCACAGAAGCAGGTGCTGAGTTTCTACACACACGAGGGCTTCCATTAGGAAAATGGACAGGACTGGCTTGCATACAAGCAGAGAACTCCTAAAGATGTAGTAAAGGAAATATCTCATTACAGTAATGATTTGGGCAAAATAACTTATGAGACAGGTTAGCATACTAGGCACACATCCTAATTGCCATCAAGTCTTCACATAGGGAGCTATTAAAGCAAGTTCCAGTATTATTTGGCTTTCCCTCACTTACATTTGTGTTTTCCCAAAAGGAAAGCCTCGCAAATAGCAGACAAGGCAATTGTATTTGAGGGCTCCCTGGTAAAACAGTGCAGTTTGGTAGAAAAACCACAAGATGTCACTATTGGATACATCATCATCCCTTTAACAAGCAAACGGCAGTGATCAGGCTGCCCCGCCATGGACACCTAAGTATACATACCTGTATCCCTAAGCTCGACTTCATCACAAAGAATTGGTCAACCAGCTTTTTGTGAAGGGGTCTCATATCTTGAGGTACAAACTTCTCATGCACGGCCAAACCAAATTCCAGAATCTGTGCCTTAATTCACAACATAAGGAAAAAACCTCACATCAATGACTACCTCTCACTAAGTGCCTGCTATGGGCCGAGCACTTTACTACGCATTTCGCTTGCATTATTGCTAATCCTCTGCCTCTGACAAGGTAGGAACAGCTGTCACTTTACAGGTGAAGAAAAACTGAGGATCTGAAAAATCCTGCATGGATAAAAGACAAATGGGGATTAGAACTTGGTTCTGATTTCAGACTTAATTTTCCTACTCCCCCAGGCTTCTTTCCCATGTATTTTAGATCTATAATTATAATGCCTCGTAACAGTTATGTGTCCTTTTGGCCCCTTCCTTCTCTCCCCAGGGTGGAGAAGGAATAGGGGCATGTGCTGCTCACTGTTAAGAGGGCCGGCAATTCTCCCTTAAAGATCTCTTCTTTGCATGGCACCCTCTCCCCCCACATTTCCCTCTCCCACTAGGTTCCTCTGTGCTCATCCATCCCTCCCACAGACTTTCAGAATCTGCCAGGGAGGATGGAAAAAACAAAACAAAAAGGAATTCTATGACAGTTTCCATGCTTCTTGTTTTTGTTTAAAAAGATTATTCCTGGCCAGGCGCGGTGGCTCACGCCTGTAATCCCAGCACTTTGGGAGGCCAAGGCGGGTTGATCACAAGGTCAGGAGTTCAAGACCAGCCTGGACAACACAGTGAAACGCTGTCTCTACTAAAAATACAAAAATTAGCCAGGTGTGGTGGCACGTGCCTGTAGTTCCAACTACTCGAGTGGCTGAGGCAGGAGGATTGCTTGAATCCGGGAGGTGGAGGTTGTAGTGAGCCAAGATCATGCCACTGCATTTCAGCCTAGGTGACAGAGCTAGACTCTGTCTCCAAAAAGAAAAAAAAAAGAAAAAAGAAAAAAATCCCAAAAAACATTATTCATATTCACTTATAATTCAACGAGAGAGCAGGTCCTACTTAAAAAACTTTCCTGCAGTGAGGATCCGAAGAGATGAAGGTAAACATTCAACCTTCCTTTGTGCAACCATCAACAGTGTGTGATTCCTTTGATTCGAGCAGCAGCTGTCTTTTGTATTTTAAAAATGCCCCCCATGCTAACATGGTCAAAAGGACAAATTCCATAGACTGGGAGGAAAACGAATCCTATATCACCACAAGGTTTTGTTGTTATTGTTGCTATTTTTAATCTTTGCAGCTCGTGAAGATTTTAGGTTGAAAGCTCAGGTCAAACAGGACTGACCCTGGCGGGTTGGGGCATCCAGCACCTTCCCTAAGGGACGGGGCTCTGGATGCTGCCCACTGCCAGCATATTTGCATAACAAATATCAAGGATGCCTTTGAAAGGCACACTTGGAGTGCAGTGTGTATGAGGCATAAAGGGAGAGGCTACATCTGTGATGAGGACATGGAAGGGATGTAGGAGGTGGATCTAAACGCAGAGGCCCCCAGTCTTCTCCATTTTAAACACTAGCGTTGGGTGACTTCCCTTTTGTTCACAGAATGTTGCAAGTTGGGTTCTCTGGGAAGTAGACTCCAGCATGGATTTCATAATGTTTATCAGGGTGTACCTTGGGATTGATGCCTGTCAGGGGGAGGGACAGAAGCCGGACTTGACAAGAAAAGAAGTTGAGCTGCACAGCAGTCCTGTCAGCTACTGCCAAACCCAAGGGACCTCTGGAATGTTCTTAAAAATTTATCTGTATTTTAATCTTTTTAGAGACAGAGTCTCACTCTGCTGCCCAGGAAGGAATGCAGTGGTGTGATCATAGCTCACTGCAACCTCGAACTCCTGGGCTAAGGTGATCCTCCCACCTCAGCCTCCCAAGTAGCTGGGCCTACAGGCATGCACCACCACACCCAGCTAGTTTTTAGGTTTTTGTAGAGATGGGGTCTTGCTATGTTGCCCAGGCTAGTCTTGAACTCCTGGTGTCAGATGATACTCCTACCTCAACCTCTGGACCTTTAATGGTCTGTCAAAGTTGTCCTGTGTTGGTCCCAAATGGCCAGGCTTTCTATTGCTTCCTCAGTATGGGATGTGCACCACTGAGAAGGTAGCAACCTTGGGCCAAGTGGCTCTCTGCAGTGGAGGCAATCCCTGAAGGGCCTGACAGCTGGAGATGTCTGTTGAGAGCCACATTTCCTGCAGCTGAGGCAGAGTAAGTCTGTCCTGGAAGGAGCACTGGGGTGGTGCATGTCTCTGTCCTCTAGAGAGTTTATCTGAACTACTTTGCAGAGGTCCAGAGAAGGATGGTGCCCTCTCCAGTCCACCTCCCCACAGAGATGATGAGACTTGGCCAAGGGCACATTGACAGTCACGTGCACTGCTTGTCTTATAACAGAGATCTCACATTTTCTAGGCCATGGCTCTTTCCACAAGGTTTCAGGAACATAAGCAGGACGTAGAAGAAATAAAGGTTCCCTGGTTTTATTTTTCTTGGCAGTCTTCTTGACCCTGAGCTACCATTTAATTCTGGGGAAATAATTCAGTCAGGCTGAATCCAGCAGATACAGTCCTGGGGTGGAGTGAACCATTCATAAGAGGTAAAACACAGATCTTTAAAAATCAATGAAGGTTAAAGTCATTGCATAATCCTAAGTAATGGATGACCTCAACTGCTCACTTCTAGTATCTACAAACACCCAGAGTCACATTGAGAACTTGACTTATTCTTTATTTCCTTACAGATCAGCTTCAAGTAATTCTTCTCTCTCTTCTGTGGCCACCTCTCTCCCTGTAGTATTAGGTTTTGTGGACTAAGCCTACAGAGCATAAAAGATGGATGAAAACCAGACACGACCTCATTTTCTAATCCAAAGAGCATGCTTTACTTATTAATTTGGCATTATTGGGTAGAAAGAAATGCCTTTGTCATGTTTCATCACACATATTCCACTTTTCACAGGAAGCAAATGTCTTTATTTCCTGTTTAACACAGGCTTCCAACCATGTCTCCTACCTCAGAGGTTTTCAAACCATTTCAGGCTATCAATAGGGACACAGTAGGCAACAGATTACTCATTCCAGTTCTTTGTACTTGATGGTTCCAAATAAATAAACCACGCTTCTCTGGGGGTAGAAAATGATGAGTTGTATGTAGTTTTGTCCATATCATGTAACCTATAGGTTTACTTTGCAAAATATGACACTGCTTTAAAGCAAGATCTACTGATTGCCCACTTCCTTATTACAATGCTTAAGTAAAAATTTCATTCATGCCTCATATTTGGAGTTGGCCTGAACTTTTCTGAGCACAGAATTTTGAGTGAAAAGTTGGCATCGGCCAGGCGCGGTGGCTCACGCCTGTAATCCCAGCACTTTGGGAGGCTGAGGCGGGTGGATCACAAGGTCAGGAGATCGAGACCATCCTGGCTAACACAGTGAAACCCCGTCTCTACTAAAAATGCAAAAAAAATTAGCCAGGTGTGGTGGCGGGCACTTGTGGTCCCAGCTACTTGGGAGGCTGAGGCAGGAGAATGGCGTGAACCCAGGAGGCGGAGCTTGCAGTGAGCAGAGATCATGCCACTGCACTCCAGCCTGGGTGACAGAGGGAGACTCCGTCTTAAAAAAAAAAAAAAAAAAAAAAAAAAAGTTGGCATCAAGCCTACAGCAAGTCTCTAGGAAGAGAACATTCAAAGAATGTTTTAAGAGACCACATGAAGTTGTTTGTTTCACAGGTTGAACATCCCTAATACAAAAACTGAAAATCAGAAATCCTCCAAAATTTGAAGCCTTTTGAATGCCAACATCCCACAAGTGGAAAATTCCACACCCAACCTCACGTGATGGGTTGCAGTCGAAACTTCATGCACAAAATTATTAAAATATTATATAAAATGACCTTCAGGCTATGTGTATAAGATATATATGAAATAATAAATTTTGTTATTTGACTTGGGTCCCTCCCCCAAGATATCTCTTATGTATATGCAAATATTTCAAAATCTGAAACACTTATGGTCCCAAGTATTTTGGATAAAGGATACTCAACCTGTAACTGGCTGCCATAGTCTACTCATTGTTAAATTAATTTTTGCATCGGAGTGGGAAGAAGAAGTAGAAATTAGCAAGCTGGGATATATTACAGGAATCTGTCACCCTTGCTTGCCAGCTTCTGTTAGACCACTGATGCAGGAAACCATGCAGAGGGGGCTCTAGGTAAGCAAGCACATATCCAGGCAAAATAGAAGGGGGTTGGCTTCTGCTTCCCTTACCTGCTCAAGCATCAGCTCTCTTAATCGTGCAATTTTCTCCCCATCTTCAGGGTGACTTAAGATATATTCTTTGACAAAGAATGCCTAGTAAGGGAAAGGAGAATCAGTCTACTTTAGTGGAGTACAAGGCAAGTCAAAGACAAGTTGTTTTTAAAGACCTGGCATCTTTATGGAAATGACACCATTACAAACCACATTTTGGGACAGATGGGCTGATTACTAGTGTAGGTGGTTGGTCAGAATGGGAACATAAGGAAAGAATTGTTAAAGGAAGATCAGTGATTGTACAATAAGTACCCTTGCTAAAATAAAGAACAAGCCCAAATCAGTAAGCTATATGGCTTGTATCCTAAAACAAACTGCCTTAAGATTCAGTGTGACCTAGATGGTGGCCTTACCTTCCAGGGTATTATATCTTTCTGTTTAAGAGAGCAGATGAAAGGTCCACTTAAAGTATCATCTAAGCAAGATCGGTCTTATCTTTTTTTTTTTTTTTTTTTTTTTTTTTAAATAAGAGATAAGATCTTCCTATGTTGCTCAAGCTGGTCTCAAACCAAAGTGCTGGGATTACAGGTGTGAGCCACTGAGCCCAGCCCAGATCAGACTTTTCTATGCCCATGAACTTCTTTGCTTAGAGAAATTATTTTAGACGGATATTTATTAAACAGTCCTAATGTCCTTTCTACTTTTATTCATGCAAGAATGAACACACACACACACATTTTTATTATCCAAATATAACATGTTGGGAAAATGGAGTTACTGGGCAATTACAAATGACTGTATGTTTGCTCTATTTAACAAAGGACTCTGTGTCAATCGCAGCCCTATGTTTGCGTGCTGATATGGGTACATAGTCTGAAAAAAGATTCATGAAACCCTAAGAAGTCACAATTGAAAACTTTCTCTGAAACAACAATACCTAATCCTTACCTCTTGATACCTGGAAACGCCACCATTAACTGCAGCATCTATAACTCCATTCAGGCACATAGTCAGGGGATTAATATTCTGCATCTGTCTTGTCTGACACTGACTAATCAGAGTCTTCAGCTGCTGATTCTTATTTTCTAGCACTTCAATTGCATTTTCCAGAGGACTCATTTCTACCTGAGAAGCAAATGAACATAAATATATATTGAATTTGTGACATTCAAGAAGAAAGACAAAGTAGTTTATCCATGTTCTGAATTATCTGTGCTCCCCCTTGGCTTCCATCAATATCTCTACCAGGGGCCATTCCGTAGAATAGACAAGGATGTGGAAGTCAAGTGGGATGTTCATTAGCAAGGTTTGGAAAGGGCAGGTAATTATACTTATTCATTGAAATGTGGTTTGGATAATCATCAATTCTACATTAGCACTGCAACAACCAATTTAATCCTTAAAATAATATCCAAGCATCTCATGTCTTTTAAAACTAGTTTTTTTTTTCTTTTGAAGGGTTAAATATTCAGAGACCCTGAATATTATCCCCTTTCTCATGCTTATTTGATACAAAGCACCATGGGAGATATAAAGATGCATTTATGGATCCTCTGATGTCAAGGAGCTTTCAGCCCAGTTGGGAAGATGGGACATATGCCACATGAACCTCATATATATATATAACAGCACCATAAGGTGGCACAGGATGGCACACAGTTGGGAATTATAGAAAACAAGATAATATATACTGCAGGATCTATTTGTTGGAGAGCCAAATAGAATCATAATGACTTAAAAATTCCAGGCTGTATGGAGGACCTAATTGTGAAAATGATAAAAGTGCTCTTCAAATGTATGTCATTGGGACTGCTATTGCCTTGAAGAGAAGGTCTGCCAAGCTCTCAGCAATCAAGTAATTCAGGACTACAATTAGCATATTTAAATATTGGTTCATTCAGGCAAGGAAACAAATTAGAGTTTTTAAAGGTCACTTGGATCATCTTAAACCAACACTGAAAAATCCTAGAATATGAAGACTGAACATTCATCAAAGACAAAGAGAAGGGAAGATAAGCAAGAACATAGAAGATTTTGTAACATGTGTAACCATCAAAAAGCACGTGTTCAGGGTATATAAGGATTCTTAAAAACCAGGAAGAAAAAGGCAAACGACCCAATAAAAAATGAGCAAATGAATTAAACAACCACTTACAAAGGAATACATTCAAATGGCCAGTAAACAAATAATGAAAAGGTGTTGGGCCTCATTTGTGATCAAAGATGTGAAAAATACTGCTACAATAACATACTACTAAACACCCACTGAAATGGTAAAAATGACAACAGCAGATGAGAGTGAGACTGTGAGCAACGGACTCTCAATTACTGCTACTGGAAGTTCAAGTTGGTTCATTCACTTTGGAAAAACAGTTGAAGATATATATACATGTGTGTGTGTGTGTATATCGATTCAGAAATTCTAGGCATATAAGGAAAAGTGGGGTAGGAGGTTTGTGCACGTGTACCAGGAAACATGTACAAAAATGTTCATAATCTCCAAAATCCGTATGTCCATTGACAAGAGAATAAACATATTGTGATATGTTCATGGAATGGAATAGTATACAGCAATGAAACAAACTTCAATCACATGCAATAACATGGAAAAATATTACACACAACACTGAGTCAAATATGTCTCAATAGAACACAAGTAGTATGTTATATAACGTTCAAAACCAGGTAAAACCAAATCGACTTGTTTAGAGAGGCAAATAGGTGATACACTAAGCAAGGGAATGGATACCATAGAAGTCAGGATAGTGACTACTTTTATGGTGAAGATGGAGCTATAATTGAGAAGAGGTGCACAGGAGGCCTGCAGGATACTGCTGGCAATGTTCTGTTTCTTTACCTGAATGGTGGAAAACGGGTATTTACTTTCAGATTATTTGTAACACTAAACCTTTGTTTTATGTACACAAAACCTAAACCATAAAGGAAAAGTCTGAGAGCTCTGAGTAACTGAAAGTTAAAAAGTAAGCAAAACATCTTAGAACATAGAATGGTGGTTCCCAGGGTCTAGGGGAAAGGGGAGAGGAGAACTTCTGTTCAGTGAATATCGAGTTTGAGTTTTCCAAGATGAAAAACTTCTAGACATCTGTTGCACAACAATGTATATATAGTTAACACTACCATACTGCACACATAAAAATGGTTACAATAGTAGGTTTTATGTGCTTTTGGCTATAAGAAAAAAGCAATCTTCATCTTTATAAATTCAAATGCTATTAAAAATCAAATTTTCTAAAAGTAAATAAAACAAGACATAATAAACACAGGCAAAATACAAACGACTTGGAAAATATTTCCAACATGAAGGATAGATAAAATGTTAATATTTGCCAAATACTGAAGAAAAGGGGCAAAGGATATGATTGGTATAGAGTTCATCAATATATGAAAACATATCTTCACTTAGCATTCAAAAAATGCTGAAACAAAACATCCAACCCCAGTATAATTTTGGTCTATTATTTGGAAAGATTAAAATATACAACACTTAGTGTTGGAGAAGATGCTGGGGAAATAAGTATTCCTAAGACTAGTTATCCCCTCTAGACAGGGTGTAAACGATATATCCCATTGCTGAGCCATGAATCAGTGGTTACAGTGGGGATACTTTTGATTAATTCACTTCTAGGGAAATATAAGGGGACGGTCAAAGAAGTGTGCAAAGATATGTGATAGAGTGTTCACCAAGAATTACTTTCCTCTATCCTTCAGATTACAATCTCTAAATATTGTTCACCACTAAAATGAATAAGGAGTCATTGGAGAAATAGCTGCTTTCAGGTCTGGGGCAGGAGATGTTCAAGTGATCCTAGACCACCTCGTCTTACCAGGAAGGATGGTAAAGGTAAGGATGGGAGGAAAACATGAAAGTATCTGGCCTGTGATCCATTCATTTTCTTTACTGGGGAATGTCCTTAAGGGACAGAAAAGACAGGTGACTATGTCTTATCTCTTTGTCAATTGAACCTTCAAGTAAACAGACTAAAAGTAATTGCTAGGAGGAAGAGATGTTATCTACAGAATGCCCTAAAGTCCCCAGTCAAAGGATTTCTTTAAGTAAATAAATAAACCAGAATCCATGAGGCATGATTACAGAATGTCCCTGAGAAGCTTTACAACTAACTCTCTGGAGTAGAAAATGGAATGTTTCATAATCGACACTTCATAATTTAAACGTGCTTCTGAATGAGGAACCCTGTGAACCTCAGGGACTCCACCTATAATTCTGAATTATTACTGATGTGGGGAAGAAGGACCTAGCAGACGATGTGTAATGTCTCAGAAATCTCGCTGCTTTATCTGAGCATCCTGCCTGCCTTGAAATTACTAGTAAAGCTTGATGCTGGGAGGGGTCGCTGAGTCCTGCATCGAACTTGACAATCAGATCCTGTGTGTTAGCTCAGTAACAAACACTACTTGGATACTGTGAAAACAGACTCAGGAGCCATTTTGAAGATGCTCCCAACAGGCAAAGATGGAACATTTTTAAATTTAATAACTGCCATGGATTAAAACAAAACAAATATACTTATATCCATGAGTTACTAATGATCCAAAAACCAACCAAACAAAAACCCCTCCAGTCGCTTTTGTAGAATACAGCATTATCTTTCCTGTACCTCAGGGTAATCAAATATTTAGTGAGAGGACATTTCTCTTTACAGAGTATTCCAATGAGTAAATAAACATGAAATAAAATATCACCATTTTGCAACCCATAAAAGATTAATGGATCTGGTCAATGATCACCAGTGGCTGCCAACATCACACACACACACGACAACCAGTAGCACATAACACCAAGTATGAAGTAGTCTTGTGAAAATAAAAGCAAACATTTTATCAAGTCTCTAGTTCTAACTACCAATTTACAAGGAATACAGGTGACAGAGAAACATGTTATATGACTTCACTGGGATGCAGTCTGCAGAATCCACACATACGGAAACATTTCAGGATAAACAGTCTTTAGTTTCTTCAATAAAAAAATAAGGAAAGTGATGCAAGGGGAAACTTACAGATTGAAAGAGACTTAGAAGACATTTCAATCAATTGCAATGCATGGCCCTTATTTAAATCTGGATTCGAATAATAGAGTAAAAATATTTTTTTTTTTTCTGTTTTGAGACAGTCTCACTTGTTCTGTTGCCCAGGCTGGAGTGCAGTGGTGCAATCTTGGCTCACTGCAACCTCCACCTTCTGGGTTCAAGCAATTCTCCTGCTTCAGCCTCCTGAGAAGCTGGGATTACAGGCGTGATCCACCATGCCCAGCTACTTTTTGTATTTTTTGTAGCGACAGGGTTTTGCCATATTGGCCAGGCTGGTCTTGAACTCCTGACCTCAAGTGATCTGCCTGCCCTGGCCTCCCAAAGTGTTGGGATTACAGGTATGAGCCGCCATGCCTGGCCTAAAAATATATAATTTTTTTTTTTTAAAAAAGAGGGTTGAGACTGTCACCGAGGCTAGAGTACAGTGGTATGATCATAGTTCACTGTAACCTCAAACTCCTGGGCTCCAGTGATCTTCTGGCCTCAACTTCTGGAGTAGGAGGTTGCTAGGACTGCAGACATATGCCACCATGCTGACTAATTTTTTAAATTTTCTGTTTAGACGGTGTCTTACTACATTGCCCAGGCTGGTCTAAAATGCAGAATAAAAGACTTGGTAAAGTGTGGAATGAACACTGTACATTTTATGATCAAGTAATTATTGTTAATTTTTAATGTGACAATATTTCAGGTTTTTAAAAATAAATATGAATACTAAAATATTTGTAGATGAAGTGATATGACATCTGAGATTTACTTCAAAAATAGTCCAGTTGAGAGGGAGCAGGTAGACATGTAGATGAAACAAAATTGGCTTGATGGCTGTTGAAGCAATGATGGGTAAGTCAGGCTCATTATATCATTATACATTTTCTCTATTTTTGTATGCTATAACTTAAGTTTAAAAAGGTCACTGGCTGCCATGTACAGAGGAGACTACAGGGATAAGGGGGAAAGCAAATCTTTTAGGAGGCTACTGCAGTAATCAGGCACTAGGTGGCGCTATCGGTGGGGGCGCTGAGGAGTGGTTAGATTCTGGGTATACAGTATTTAGAAAGAGGCACATTGTTTTCTGATGGGCAGGATGTGGTATGAAAATATTCTCGTAATCTTTAGTTGGATTTTTAAAAAATCATTTATGGATTCTAAACTATAAATGTTTGTCTTGATTAAAAATTTTTTAATCAGCTTAGGTTTTTTTTTTTTTTTTTTTTTTTTTGAGACAGAGGTTTGCTCTTGTTGCCCAGGCTGGAGTGCAGTGGTGTGATCTCAGCTCACTGCAACCTCTGCCTCCCCGGTTCAAGCGATTCTCCTGCCTCAGCCTCCCAAGTAGCTGGGACTACAGGTGCGTGCCACCATGCCCGGCTACTTTTTTGTATTTTTAGTACAGACGGGGTTTCACCATGTTGGTTAGGCTGGTCTTGAATTCCTGACCTCAGGTGATACACCTGTCTCAGCCTCCCGAAGTGCTGGGATTACAGGTGAGCCATGGCACCCAGCTGAAATGAGCTAATTTTTTAATCAGGACAAAAACACTTTTTTTGGGTTTTGAAAATAATAAACTACAGAGGAAACAATAGTTCAAAGGCATTGATATCTTAACAAAAGTTGATAAGCTATTGGGGGGGGGGTCTGTGATTTAGAAAATAAAGGTCCCCAATTTCATCTGAAACCTTTGGTGCCACATGTTTCAGAATGAAGAACTTTTCAGATTTTAGAAAGGCAGTATAGGGCCATATATGGTATATTATGTAACCCCTAGCAGGATCTAGGGCAGGTTCCTTTAATCAAATGCATTACATTAATAAGGCTGGGCATGGTGGTTTATGCCTGTAATCCCAGCACTTTGGGAGACAAAGGCTAGAGGACTGTTTCAGCCCAGGAGCTCAAGACTAGCCTGAGCAACATCGTGACACCTCATCTCTACAACAAATCAGAAAATTAGCCAGTTGTGATGGCACATGCTTGTGGTCCCAGCTACTTGGGAGGCTGAGGTGGGAGGATCACTTGAGCCCGGGAGGTCAAGGCTGCAGTGAGCCATGATCATATCACTGCACTCCAGCCTGGGTGACAGAGCAAGACCCAGTCTCAAAAACAAAAAGGAAATATAATATTTCTACAGTGAAACACATGAACATTCACACTAAGTGAAATAAAGTTAATAAATGGACTTGCATTAGAAAAGGTTGGGTGTATTATTAGCAAATGAGCTTTGGAGCCGAACAAATGAAAACATCTCTTGGTTTTCAGATGCTGACATCTGCAGATGAGGAATTTCAATTCAACGTGATGTATTTGTATTGAGCACCTACTACCTGTCCCTGTTCTTGAAGACCTTCTACACTAGGAGTTAAACCAGGAAACCAATAGCTTTAATCGACAGTGAGGACATTCTAGGCAGCAAGAACAAGAGAAAAACACAAAAGCTGTTAAGAGTGGGCTGTGTTCAGGGAACAAAACAGCTGAATTTGATTTGTTCCATTTGACAGAACATAAGATTACATATTCTAATAAAGTAGGCAGCTGATGTTTGAAAGGTTGTGTTTAGTAATGCTCCTTTTATCATTATCAGCATGCTATTTTTTATTAGCATTGTATGTGTATATGACATTTCCAAGGGCTAGGACCATTGATGAGACTTCACAGGATTTAATGCTCTGGGTAGTAAGTAGCTAAAGGCTCTCTGAATCATTAATGCAGCATGGATGACTAAAAACACTTCTACAAGTTGGACCCATGCCATTCAGCGGGAAGCATAATAAGACTTTTTGAGCACTGCGTTTAGCAGTCTCCCCACTTCCATGGAAGGTACCAGGGCACAACATGTAAGCAGCCAGCTTTTGGGGACTCTGGACCTCAGACTGGACAAGAATACAACTGCACTGATGTAATCTGCTGAATAGAGTTCAATTTTAACTTTTAAATCCTTAGCTTAATTGAACATGATAGGCCGAGAGTAGTTTCAATGCTGAGACATTTCAGGTAAGACAAACAATTCTTGAAAAACAATTTGGTCAGGAGCTGTTCTTTCTTCTGGATTGACAGAATAGGCTTGTGACCTAAATAAGGTATGAATTACATTATATTTGCACAATTGGCACACTTCCTATCAGAGAACTATGGCAATGAAAGGGTGAGACCCAGGCTCAAAAACAAACACATTATTATTTCTGCAGTGAAACAAATGAACATTCACACTAAGTGAAATAAAGTTAATAAATGGCTATAATGGATGTAGCAAGGGAGGCTGTGAGACTGCAGGGCTATGGCTGACATCGAGGTGCTGTCGCTGGAAGAACAGCACAGACAGCTGGGTGGGGTCCCACCCTGGATGTGGCTGCCTTCAGCTGCTGCTCTCCCTGCTGTCCACAACTGGGGCCTGGAGCTGGGGTCACATTTTACAACCGGAGGGTTCTTGGGAGCTGTGGTTACCAGGTTCTACAGTGGCACCCACTGATCTACAGTGGGTGCTCCACCCAGGACTGCTCAGTGAGACTAATACGCTGCCATCCTTTCTACTGGGAACTGTAACAACACGGACTTACTGTGCATCGGGCACTGTGCAGAGACTTGACATTAGCCTCCTTCAGCCTGTAAGAAACCTACTGCTAGAAGAGAGTAATATAATTGGCTTTGGAATCAGAAATATCTGGGTTGGAGTCTCTCTTCAACATCTTGCTATGTGATCTTTGGCAAAGGCTTTTGACCTCTTGTCAAAAATTGCAAAAACAGGAATAAGAATATATACCTCATAGCTTTGATATGATGATTAAATAAGATAAAGCAGGTAGTATTAGCACTGGTATGATACACTAAGCACTGAAGGTCACACAGCTATAGTAATTAGGAGAGCTGGAATTCCAAGTCTTCTAACTCAAGGGCCTGAATAGTTTTTTTACATGTAGCAAATTGAGTTGTTTTCAAGGAATCCCTCCATCTGGACACATTAGGATAATATTAATATTCACCTTCTCAGCCTTGGTAATAGCGGTCAAGACCATAAACATTCACTATTTTACTATGAGTGCTTCCAGAGAATCTGGGTCGAAGGAGAAGTAATGAATATACGGCACAACTCCAAGTGAACAACTGTGATGAGAAAGTGCTTGAGAACAAGCTCTGATCCTTACCACTTCACGCTTTTCCACTTCAAACCAGCGAGAGATGCCAGGCAAACTCTGCACCAAGTATAATGACGTTCTCTCCACCCAGAGACTCTACAAAACACAAAACACATTAAGTCTCCCAAGTTGCCCTTCTTTCTAGCTACTTCCATGACTAGTGTTTGTCGGTCACTGTTACCAGGCTTTGCTTATTCCTGTCAGCCTTTCTTTAGTCTTCATTCAAGCACTCATGAAACTATCACAGTGAGAGATTGCTGAAGCTGATTTTAACAATTCCACTGTATGTCATCAAACTTTTTTCCATGTGGAATAAATGAGCTCCTACTTCAAACAGCAAGCTTAAAAATACAAAAATAGGCTATCATGTTATTTTCTTTGCTACTTCTCCAAGATTCTAATTCAAACTCTCTTCACTCCTTAACATCTAACCACTTATATCCAGAAGGGTCAGCCAGTCAATGTATCAGCCTGTCAACGTAGAATTAGAACAACAGAGTCCTAAGGGAAGCAAAGGCTTTAGGAACCACACAGCATGATCTATGTTAAGGATGAGGACACAGCCGGGCACGGTGGCTCACGCCTGTAATCCCAGCACTTTGGGAGGCCAAGGCAGGCAGATCATGAGGTCAGGAGATCAAGACCATCCTGGATAATATGGTGAAACCGCGTCTCTGCTAAAAATACAAAAAAATTAGCCGGGCATGGTGGCGGGCACCTGTAGTCCCAGCTACTTGGGAGGCTGAGGCAGAAGAATGGCGTGAACTTGGGAGGTGGAGCTTGCAGTAAGCCGAGATCGCCCCACTGCACTCCAGCCTGGGCGACAGGGCGAGACTCCTTCTCAAAAAAATTATTTTTTTTTGAAGACACTAGGTCTTAAAGCAGCAATGTGACTTGCTCAAAAGCTACACTACCGATAGAGCCAGCATTAGAACCTACCCACTAGGACCTCTGACTCCTTGTCAGTTGCTAAATCTACTGTGCCACATTTTCTTGTGCTTGTTTGAACTGCTGTTAATAGAGGCAAATCTGTATTTTAGAGCCAGGGCTTCCTCTGGCCGGGACGAGCAACCCCAGGACATGTGAAACCATGCTGCCTTTGGTATGAGCTGCTGTTGATGACACGTTTCTTTTTTGTCAACCAGGTTTTAGTATCTACGCCTCATCTTTCTTACTTAAACCAAGTGTATTCCCAAGAGGATAATACACTTTACAAAATTCCTGAAATAGTGCCATTTACTCAAACCACAACAAAAAAAAAAATGGAAGAGTTTCTTTGAGCCAGCCAAGCTGTGCTGAGATGAATAGGGCAGAGATCTTGTGACAAGAGCTCGCAGTGTTCTGGTGGTGACAGGGAGGTAAGCAGATGAATAAGAGCTCAGAGTGAAGAGAAAGGGATGTTCAAGGCTTTGGGGGCCAACAGAGGGGGATGCAGGCACACACGCCAGCCTGCGGGAGGAGGACAGCAGTTCTCAGAGGGGGTGACGCGTGAGCTGCATTCTGAGGAGTGAGTAGGAGTTTGCCAGGAGGAGAGTGGGGGTAGCAGCGCTGGCAGGAGGAGCGGCTTGCGAAAGGGCTTGGCGGGAGAGGAAGAGAGAAGCTGAGTGTCGCGGAGGCTGAGAGGGAGGAGGGGTGAGTGGGTTGTGGTGGAGATGAGGCTTCTGGAGGGCAGTTTGGAGCCAGATTCTGAGGGCTATAAAGCAGAGGAATCAGGAGCCAGATTTATTATTATTATTTTTTAGGGAGATTGCTGCGCCACTGATACAGATTTAAAGTGACAGCCACAACGAAATGTAGTACGGTGGAAAAAACAATGGAGAAGGAGGCAGAAAATGTGAGTTCTAGGACTGGAGCTACCGGTAACTAGAAGGTGACTTTGAACAAGTCAATTGCCTGATTTCAGTGATTTCTGACTATGATTTCACTAAAAGCAACTGCAAGAAGAACTATATCATCAACTAGCTATATCTTCTTTAATTGATTTTGGAAGGCACAAAGAATAAGTTTCCAGAAAAAACAAGAACATGATCATGGATCTTTTTAATACTATCCCATTGTTGTTTTCCAGTGGCCTCCTTGCCTTGATATTTAGCCCATCAAATCTCTGGGCACAAGGGACTGCTCTTTATTCAATCCTGTCATAACTCTGCAAAACCTTCCCCTTCTGATCTCCTCTCGGTTGTGAATGATCCCTGGAAATACTTCGGGGAGTACTGGGAACTGACACCGGCAGAGCTGACCAAGTGAGTTAACATGAGACAATCGTGTTAGGAGCACATTTCCTAGCTTAAGCAGGGAACATCTGTGATGAAAAATGCTAAGCCAATTAACTCACAAAAATAAGCTAATTTTGCATTCTTTGTTTAGATATGAAATACTAACTGGGGGGGGTGTCACTATGTCATTGTTTGCAAAGAAAGGGGCAGACTCTACTGAACAATCTTGCCTCTTTTCTGCAGTGGGGCTATGAGAAACCTTGTCCCATTCTGGCTGAGGGTGCTGAAGTAGGAAGGCGTGTTGGAACTACTGAGAGCAGAGAACTCAACACACACAAAGAATCCAAAATTTGCTTTTACTCGGAGTCCTGAGAAGTTCTAATTACACACTGTTCTAACAAGAACAAGCAGCAAAGATGGCACATAACTTACCCAACGTACCAGCAGTCTACCCAACTGTTCTCTGTCTTCAGGAACTCCTTTTCTCTGTTCATTATGTATTCTTTATTCATTGAACTTTACGTGAAAATAAACATCCCAAGATTCCCACAATTGGTTCAACATAAATGAATAAGAGGACTGACTTCAGCCAGGAGTTCTCAAAGACTGGTCTAAGAACCACCAGCATTAGAATTGTTACAAAAAAGCTGATTTTAGGACCTCCTCCCAGACCAACTGAGTCAGAATTCCTGAGCTGGGCACCAGAAATCTGCTTGGTTAGGGAGCACTCCATGTCACTCTGATGCACGTGGAGCTGCAGAACCACTAGACTAAATGATTTATATAGTCCCTTCTGTTTCTGTCACTTGACACTATTCTGAGTAAATATTTACCAAGGGCTGTGCCCCAAGGGGCTCGCAGTCTATCTGAGGAGTTAGCATGTAATAAGAATTGCATGGTACCTTGAATTCATTCTCTTTATCTTTTGTGCCTTTGTGAAATGGTCGGTCATAGCGGAATTTCCAGATGTGATTCACTTTATAGAAGCTTTTGATGTTGTCCGGAACACCCTCTCTCTGCAGGACCTCCTGGCTCTCTGGAATGGGAGTCACAGCATATATCTGCAAATCTAGGATTCAAGAGTCAAGGAGAGAACCTGACTTGGCAAACTCCATGGAAGTCTGGCTTGGGCTGAGCTATGGCAGAGAGAAGAGGATGGGTAACAATCTTCTGTTTCCATTTCAGTTGAAGTCATTAAAAAAATTACCAAGAAGACGCCAGGAACTCAGTTCTAGCAAATCACTTCTCAAACTACAGGTCTTGAACTAGTTCTAGGTAGGTGAAGTATCAGCTTGAAATTTCCATGACTTGAAAATTTTCATGACCTATGAATTTAGATATCACTAACTTGTGTGTGTGTATGTGTGTGTAGGTAGATGGGAATGGTTTGGGCCTTAGATACTCAGAATTAGGATAATCCTAATCCTTGTTCATGAGACATCTATTAGTCTGTGCATGACACATTTAAATTTATTGTTTGCTTATAATAACATGTAAATACCTATGCAACCATGACCAAAGACAGAAACTAGAACACTGACGATGACTTACATTTATCTGTGTGATTATCTGTGTCCCTAGCCTTCCCACATCTGTGATAACTGCTGTCCCAAATCTTGTATTCATATGCAGGGTGTTTAGTTATAGTTTATATTTTTAAAAATTACATTAAAGGAGTATCATATTAACTTGTATATTTACCTCCTTCTCTTCTTATTTAAAGAAAGATAGCAAAATATTTTTCCTATGTACTTTCTTGCATGTCTTGCATTTTGGTTTCTGCTTTGAAATGGTATTCATAATTGTCAGTGGAAGTTTTAAAAGTGTTTTTTAAGACCATCAGTTTCAGGAAAAGGCAGAGGGGTTCAGAAAAGAGTGCTGGGGTGAACTGCCTTTGTCTCTAACACCTATATAATTTCAGCTCAGTTGTTTGTGTTTAGACAATAAGAGCATGAATTATACAGCAATGATTAAAGGCTGTTCAGGATGCCATAGCTAAAAGCCCCCAAAAGATACTGGAGTAGCTCTTTCTCTTCCATTCCTCATTCCAGAATACAAATAATCAGGGTGGGGGGAGGGGTGAATAATATGTGCCAGTAAACACAATACTATGATTTTCTTGAACTTAAGCAGTTTCCACAGGATATGTCAAAGGAAGTTTATTCTAAAGGATGTCACTAAAAAAGAGCTTTAAAGGCAGGGTTGAGCTATACAAGAGGTTTAATTAAAAGGGAAAAATTCTTTCAAGAGAGTTCTTTCAACTGACATCATCGTAATAAATAGAACAATTAAGTTCTATTCAGAAGGAGTTAAGCTAAAATTAAGATGATGGGAAAGAGGGAGCAGTAACGATGTGGCTATTGAAAAGGGACTGGTGGCTGAACAACCTTGCATGGAAATGCTCTGCAGCTAAGAGCCAGTGCAATCTCACTGAGTCCAGCCCTTGTAGGTGCGGATACACTGAGCTTCTGCCTGGAAGATGGTCTCATCGGGCTGGTTGGCGTGCTGCATGGCGATGGCATGGGGGAACTCGTTCAGCATTCTCTGTTGGAAGGCTTCCAGCCTCTCGTAGTCATGCCCTCGACACACAAACTCCTTATTCTGGAGATGAAAGCAAAAAAGAAATTAGGGCTATATAACTGAGTGGATTACAGACAGAGCCAAAAAACATGACACTGGCAGTAACTGACCACATGCCCCATACCAAGACACTATAACAAAAATTACGCTGGAACAATCTGAAAAGTTTGCCCAATTGTTAAAAATGCAGATAAAGATCATGAGTTCACTCTCTACTGCATTTAATAAGGCCCAATAGAATGCCTCACTCTTCCCGGTTCACTTGCATGAGGTGCAAAGAGGTGGATTCTCAGAGCACCAAAGTATGAAAACAAAACAATTGTATCCCTCTAAATGTTAATAAGCACATGTGTAAAGATTATTTTTATAAAGTACATATCAAATTCATGTGGGTAATTTCACAATTTGGAGGAAAAGTAAATTTGTTGTCTGCTTTTTGTGTGTGTGTGTGTGTGTGTGTGTGTGTGTGTGTGTGTGTGTGTATTCTGCCGTTCATGATGCTCTCCTTCAGTTAAGAATGGTGAAGGTTATTTCTGAGGTAGGTTAAGACAGCTGGAAAGATGGGAAGGTTTCCAAAAAGTACCTGAATGATCTGATTAGATATGACGGATCTCTGACATTTTAATGATAATGAAGTTGTAATTGAGCACAGTCATTGATGAAGCACACTGCATGTCTTATTTAACTCATATAAGCTTGAGAGGTAGTCAGTGCCCCCTACAACACCCCATTTTATAATTGGGGAACCAGGGCTTAAAGTCTTTTTTTTTTTTTTTTAAGATGGAGTCTCACTCTGTTGCCCTGGCTGGCATGCAGTGGTATGATCTCAGCTTACTGCAACCTCCGTCTCCCACTTCAAGCAATTCTTCTGCTTCAGCCTCCCAAGTAGCTAGAATGACAGGTGTGCACTACCATGCCCAGCTAATTTTTATATTTTTAGTAGAGATGGGGTTTCACTGTGTTGGCCAGGCTGGCCTTGAACTCCTGGCCTCAGGTGATCTGCCTGTCTCGGCCTCCCATAGTGCTGGGATTACAGGTGTGAGCCACCACGCCTGGCCATGGCTTAATGTCTTGAAATACTTTGTCCACGTGTACTAGATTGAAATTCTGGTCTGAGTCCAAACCCTGGGCTCTTTCTACTCTGAACATGGCCTAGTGTATGCAGGAAAAACACCTAGGAGCTACCAAGACCAGGAAAACTTGTGGGATCTCAGGCCCTGGAGATCTTCAAGTTAAGGGGAGATCAGTTTGGGGCCTAGAGGAGCTGAGGTCCAAGGTTTTCTCTGTTTTTCCGCTCTATGAGGTTCTTATGTAAAACGCCGTAAAGAGGGACTCCAGGCCACAGAGAGGGAGTGAGAAACAAGTCATGGGCAGAGGCTCAGTTCTTCCGCAGGGAAAGGGCAGCTGCAGGCAGGTAGAGGAAATACAGCAGGAACTGGGCTGGATAACCTACCTCGGTTCCCCACAAACCCCTAAATATATCATGATCTTTTGAAAAACACAAGGTTAGGGCAGGCTCTACCTATAATTGTGGACCCCATACAATTCTAGATTTAAAACTTTATAGATAAAAGTTACAATTTCTGATGCTGTATTTTAAAAATTCTACTCAAAAGATAATTAATTTGCTTGGTAAAATAAAACACAATACATCCCTCTCTGCCTATTACAGGAGCCCCCAAATAAATATTTGAATATCCTAGTAAATGAAATATATTTTAAAACAAACAATGCTTATATATGACAGTTTGTAAAAATCGGGGCATTTGCTCTAAGAATACAGGCATTCAATGGTATTAAGAAGCCATTTTAAAATAAAATGAAATTTTGGGTCTGATATTTGGGTCTCTAAGAAATAAAGCATCTTCCTTATCAGTACTCTTTTTTTTTCTAAAAAAACACATAGATTTATTGAGATATAATTCACATACAATAAAATCCACCTTTTAAAAATGTGCAATTCAGTGGTTTTTAGTATATTTATAGAGTTGTGCAAACATTAACAAAATTTAATTTCAGAATCTTTTCATCATGTCAAAAAGAAACCCTATACTCATTAGCAGTTACTTCCTATTTTTCTCTTCCTCCAGCCAGTCACAATACTACTTTTTGTTTCTATGGATTTGCCTATTATGGAATTATACAATGTGCTGGCCTTTTGTGACTAGCTTTTACTTAACATAGTATTTTTAAAGTTCATCCATTTTGTAGCACATATAAGTATTTCCTTTCTTTTTATTGCTGAGTATCATTGCATAGATATGCTGTGTTTTGTTTACCCATTCATCAGTTAATAGATATTTGGGCAGTTTCTACATTTTGGCTATTATGAATAATGCTGCTATGACGATTCAGATACAAGTATTTGTGTAAATATATATTTTCAATTTTCTTAAGCATGTATATAGAAGTAGAACTTCTGCGTTAATATTCTTTAAATAACCCATTTTGTTTTGTTTTCTTTTTTTTTTTTTTTTTTTTTTTTGGAGACAGGGTCTCACTGTCACCCAGGCTGGAGTGCAGTGGCTCAATCACAGCTTACTGAAGCTTTGACTCCTGAGCTCAAGCAATCCTCCTGCCTCAGCCTCCTAAGAAACTGGAACCACAGGCGCACGCCACCGAACCTGGCAATTTTTTTTAACTTTTAGTAGAGATGGGGTCTCACTATGTTGCCCAGGCTGGTCTTGAACTCCTGGGCTCAAGTGATCCTCTGGCCTTGGCCTCCCAAAGTGCTGCAATTACAGGCATGAGCTACCGTGCCCAGCTAAATAACCCGTTTTTCATGAGGGGAAAAATCCCTACTTAGATCATAAAAGTGGATAAATGTATTTGAGTGCTAAAAATTATCTTGGAAATTGATCAAACAACAAAAGACTTCTGGCCTCAAGCAATTCTCTTGCCTTGGCCTCCCAAAGTGCTGGGATTACAGGTGTGAGCCACTGTGCCTGGCCAAAAGGATGTTTTTAATGTTGATATTTGTTTGCTTTTAAATCCAAGACCAGACTAGAATCTGATTCCTTAAAAAAAAGGTCAGGCTCCAGGATTCTGAAGAGTGTAGTGCCCTTTAGAAACCAACAGAGGGGGACCCTTCTCTTTCATTGTGAAGCAAATGCCATTTATACCCAGGAAAGCTATTTTTAAAAGAAGAATGATATAGAAGATTGATTTATTCTAATTGACTTTTTAACAAAATTTATTCTATTTGCTAATGCAGTTTTCCAATTTGCTAAACTCTCTTTAAAATTATGACTCTTAAACTACTTCTAATTTTTTAAAACTTTATACTTTTAATTATAATCTTTCAGACATGACTCTGCCAACAATGTCATGTCTGTTTGTGCCAACAGAGGGAGACGACCTACTGTGGCAGGGTCGTGTCTAGACCCTGCTGCGCAATCCCCAGCCATCTGTGTGGCTATAGCTCTAGACTGTCTGCTGCTCTGCTCAGAACCTGGATCCAGGCCATCTGCAGTCCTTAGGGGGTTGCTCATAACAGCTTGGGATCAGCTACACCTCCAAAACGTAGTCTTTTAAATTCAACATGTATTCTGACTTTGCCATTTTTTAATTTTCATTTTCTGGGGGTCTTGCTCTGTTGTCCAGAGTGGTCTGGAACTGTGCTCAAGTGATACTCCTATCTCAGCCTCCCAAGTTTTTGGGATTACAGTGTGCCACTGTGCCCACTTGCTGCTGTTTTTGATCAGGAATCAAGATTTCCTCCAGTTTTAGGCAGGCCCACCTGCAAAGTCAGCTTTGTGACCGCCCACTACACTGTGTGGAGTCTCTTTTAATGCAACAAGGAGATTTCACATTATGTCTGTGTAGCACCCAAATGCATGGTCATTTCAACTGACTAAAGAAAACATCTGTTCCACGTGATACTAAAATGAACCTGTATTGGATATTTTGGGATCTACCTATCTGTCTTTTTCATTCTGAAAGGCAGATAATGATTATTAAACAATAAAGTGAAATCTTTCTCTTCTTCTCCAAGTACACCCATCCTAGTATTCTGTCATATGTGCTGACAGGCAAGATTTAGGTAAACACAAACATCAAAATATTTCTGTATTGAGAACTAAAGTTGTAACAATTGATTCAATTTTATAAACTATCCCAGATACCTTTCCTTAGTTGCTTGGGGAATTACATTTGCTCTTTTAAGCAATGTTTTTGTACAAGGAAGGTGTATATACTGAAGTATTCAATAAATATTCAAGCATAGAAGACACTACTGGGCAGAATGTGAAAAATGAAAAGAATGGAGTTGAATATTTTATTATCTTATAGGTGTCTTAGAATGTCTAAAAGTTTTCTCTTTGTAGAAATGGAGTTTATACTAGCAATAAATTGGGTCTCTTTGCTGGGTGACATTTATCTTTTTACAAATTCATCAAAATGGCCAAACAACACTCTTTACATGGTGCTGGAGGTAGGGTTTTCACATGATGTGAAACTGCATTGCTTTCGATACTCTGCAACTCCAAGCCTCCTGCAGTGCCCCACCATTTTTTTTCTAATACTAACTTGATGGAAATTGCAGACTGAATTAAAATAGTGGGTATCAGACAAGGGAAACTATAATTATCAAAGATTGCTCACAAAATATACCAAATTTAGGAAGGGGTTGATTGCTATCTCGGAAATTATTTAAACAAGGCATTCTAGATTAATATAGTGTCTGCAAAGTAAAAGTTTAAAAAAAGTCTCATGCATATTATTACCTGTCATATAAAATGTCATTAACATCTTAGTTTTCTTGATTGGGATATCTATATGAGAGCTGTGAAAGCAAATTAAATAGTATATTACTTACTCTTAAGAAAAATGGAAATTTTTTTCCATAAAATCCAACTCTGAAGAACTCTGGTTCAAGACGTTGCTGGTCCATAATTTTGTCATACAAAGAGGCTTCCATCATCTAGAAAGCACAGGAAACATTCTAAGCATTTTATCTCATCTTTCGGTTCTATCAAATTTATAGAATAAGATTTCTTTTTTACATAAAGGAGAACTTTATTTTAATTGAGTTTGCTGGAAAGAAAGTTTGACTTTCTTTTTGATGCTTTAAGTCGGGGATTGGCAAATTTCCTCTATAAATGTCCAGAGACTATTTCACATTTTGCAGGCCATATCGTCTCTTCACAACTACTTAATTCTGCTAGGCCCACAGGCTGTAGTTTGCTGATCCCTGCTTTAAAGGATCAAGTGTATTATCACATGTTATCCCCAGAGAAAAATTATTTCTATGCATGTAGTCCTATCAAGAAAAATATTTTCTTCACAATCAAGTAGAAATTAACATGAATTATTAGAGGCAAAACTTTTCTAGAGAATTCTTGTGCCAGATGTACTTACCTGTGGGTTTGCCTCCACCTGGCACATGGTAATTCAGGACATTTGGAAGGTGCAATCTTGCACAGGTTGGGCAAGGATAAAACAACAAACCAAACCAAAGGAGACCCATAGTGCAAAGTGCTGTCTGGGCTGAAAGCTCTTAAGTGCGCCTGACAATGTTGAAACTATGAAGCATATAAAGCTTATGGTTTCCCATTCATGGTATTATCATCCCCAGGGTTTCCAGAGAAAGACTAATATTACACTTAAAGATTCCCCCTCTATCCCCCCTCTAGTAACAGCACCCCAAAGAGCAGTTGGCATGAAGTGTAATGCTTTGGGTTTATAAAAATCTTAGTGACTATGGCACCCAAGGGCTCTCACAAGTAAACATCATCACCTCGCTTCTGTTACAGGGACAGGATGCCAAGAGATGAACAGCAATGTTTTCATATAAAACTGCAGTGCCTGCCAGAGTCAACATGATGGACTGAAGTTAAAACAAGCTTTTTCTCTTTCGTTTTCATGTTAGGAGAAGTATCGATGAACTGCTGACATGAAATACTGTGCCAAAAGGACAGAGTCAGTTCCTGCCAGTTGAATAAATTCCTTGTTGGGATATAAGGGATTTTATGAGCTGTTACAGGTTTATGGTATTATCTCTTAAATGGCTACCTCAAAATTAAAAGGCAATATTGTACTCTTTTTTTTAATGTATAAAAACTGATGATCCTATTTTAGAAACCCTGAAGAACTGAAGCACTCAGCAGGATCTTGTGTATTACAAGATGACACAAACGTTCATGTTGCTCAAGAGTAAGGACTTGGAGGGCAAGGAGGACTTGTTTGAACCTAAGAGCAAAGCAGATATAAAACATTTGGTTCAGAGAAACAGAATACTCAACTCCTTGAGCTCTTAGGTACTGAAACGTTGATCTAAGTCCAGCAAATAAAAACACATTGCTGAAGCTAAAGAGAGGTGACACCTACAGAATTTGGCCCTAAATTATTTAGAAATAGGTCAGCCATTCCTACAGATTTGCAGATTATGGGACTAAGAATGGTATATTGTTACAGAAACTTATGTGTAAGTGGAAACTCTTCAAACAGGGTGGAGATTTTCCACAATAAACTAAAAGTGTTAATCCTGGATTAGATTGTATATTTCATATGTGGTATTTAAAACAGATCAAGTGCTCACTTTTTTATATTAAATAAAAGCATTACACAAATCAATTTGCTATTTCTCTATATAAATAGCTAAGTATGCTTCAGAGGATTTATCTTAAAAAGGGTTTCTGCAAGACCACAAAGTTAATTTCATAGAACCACACTGGAAAGCTAATCACAAAGGGAGGCTATGGCCTGATCAGGATGCATCCAGGCACCTTACCCGCATCTTGCTCAGGTTTCTGTAGTCATAATAACTCTCATACTGCTCTGCAATCTTCCGGCACAAGATAATGCCATTCTCCCAACACTGTGGACAAATGAATGAGATCAATGGAACCATCTGACAATATCCACTTACTTCTACCCAAAAGTCAGAACATGAGTGCTTTCAGAGCACCAAGCCTTACTCCTTAATCTTTTTTTTTTTTTTTTTTGAGATGGAGTCTCACTCTGTCACCAGGCTGGAGCGCAGTGGCCTCATCTTGGCTCACTGCAACCTCCGCCTCCCTAGTTCAAGCGATTCTCCTGCTTCAGCCTCCTGAGTAGCTGGGATTACAGGCACGCACCACCACACCCAGCTAATTCTTGTATTTTTAGTAGAGATGGGGTTTCACCATGTTGGCCAGAATGGTCTTGATCTCCTGACCCCATGATCCACCCGCCTCGGCCTCCCAAAGTGCTGGGGTTACAGGCATGAGCCACCGCGCCCGTCCACTTCTTAATCTTTATAAAACACCTTGAGACTTCAAGCTTGAAAACACCATGTAATTGAAATGTAAATTATTAAAAATCCTTTGAATGCTGGAAACGATAATCTACCACAACAGTCATTAATATATTGTACATGAACTATATTTTCTGGTGTCATTCCAGAATCATCTTGAAATGACTACAGTTCCACAATGGCCGAGTAGATGGATATAAACAGGCCCTCAGTGCAGAGGAGAGAATTACCACTGACCCCTAAGGCCCAATTATCTGTGACTGGTACCCTGGATTCCTTGCTTGGCTTAGTTGTGCTTGCAAATTGTGAGAGGTCTAACCAAGTTGGTTACTCTCAGCAGAAATGTAAAAATTCTTTAATCTAGTATAGGTGTCAGCAAACATTTTCTGCAAAGGGCCAGAAAGTCAAAACTTTAGTCTTTGAGGACCATTTAGTTTTTGTCACAACTCTGCTGTACTCAATTCTGCTGTTATAGCACCAAAGCAGCCATAGACACAATTAAGCATGGCTGTGTTCCAATAAGAATTTAGGGACACTAAAATGTGCATTTCATATCATTTTCACATGTCCCAAAATGTTATGATTCCTTTGATTTCTTTCAACCATTTAAAAACGTAAAAGAGATTTGTAGCTTTGGGGCTGTACAGAAACAGACAGTGAGCCATTTGACCTGTGGACCATAGTTTGCAACCCCTGATCTAGCACAGACTCCCGGGGATGGACCAATAAATGAATTCAGAGAGTTTGCACCACTTTATCCCACAGGTGGAAACTTTACAGCAGGAGGGCACAAAAACATTTCTTTTGGTATTCATGTAATGATATGTCAGTGTACCTAGATAAATAATAAAGGAAGATGTGGAAGAAGCAACTTCCTTGCATCAAATTTTTACGTGTACCCAATTATATTTTGTAAAAGAATTACAGCCATTGGTTGTATTTTAATTTTCTGTTTAACCTTTGCAATCTGGAAGATAAATTTGAGTCTAAGACATGTACCACCAAAGCATCCAAGTGTTCAAATCCAATAAACAATGGCGGTCAGATTCATGAATTTTTTAAAAGAGTACTACAAGCCCTTGAAGAGGGGTAGGAAGTGGAGGGAGGTGATGTACTGAATTGCTTTATGAAGTCAGTGAGGTTTTTTCAACACCTCAAGGCATCTCTTAAGTATATGATGGGATGCCACAAAATTCTTTAAACAAATTAAGTTTCATATATTTTACCTTAAAGTATAATGGAGCAGAATGCATGCCAATTTCGGGAGAGTGTGAAGGATGATAATGGTTTTTCAGAGAATACAATATCTGCGTGCTATGGTCTGCATGTTTGGGTCTCTGACAAATTCATATGTTGAAATCCTAACCCCCAGGGTAATGGTATTAGGAAATGGGGTCTTTGGAAGTGATTAGGTCATGAGGGTAGAGCCCTCACGAATGGCATTAGTGCCCTTATAAAAGAGGCCCCAGAGAGTTAGCCAGCCCCTTTCACCATGTGAAGATACAGCAAGATGGCCCTCACCAGACACTGTATCTGCCAGGGCCTTGATCTTGAACTTCTCAGCCTTCAGAAATGTGAAAAATAAATTTCTGTTGTTTATAAGCTACCCAGTCTAGGGTATTTTGCTAAAGCCGCCACGAATGGACTATGTTACTGGGGATCAAAATCTCTAAATCGGTGTTTATCAAAGTGTAATGAAAAGGTCATGCACATTGGACTCTCCTAGGGTCCTTGTTAAAATCACAGATTCCCCAGCCTCATGCCAGACAAGGCACGAATCAGAATGGCTCATTCAGAATCAAAATGAATCAGAATGGCTAGGAGTGGCACCTAGGAATCTGCATTTTAACAAGCTTTTGGGTGTTTCTAATATACATTAAGATGTGAGGATCCCTGCTTAAGGAGGTGGGCATTCATAAACTAGAAATGAAAGGGAAAGGGACATCAACACCATCACCCCAGGAGGGACCCCGGGCGGGGCAGGGCCACTTACTTTGCCTCTGTCAAAGTTCTGGATGATGGTGAGGTGCAGGTGCTCTTTGCGCTGCCATTCTGTTTGCATGGGGTAGGTCAGGAACTCCCTGAGGGGCCGATCAGACCATTCCAGTAGCTCGTCATATAAGAGGAGGGTATATGCAGCTTCTGCAAGTCACGTGAGAAGACAATGATTGAGACAGGACCCCAAGCCACATTCCCTCAAATGTGGCCAGTTTCCGACAAACTGGGGAAAAAAAATACTATTTTCTAAATTTCGTGATATAGCAGAAAAATATCCAGAATATATGCAGCAGTAGGGTAATGAACGAGGACTTCCCCTGGATGATGGACTTGGACTAATCAGATCTGTATTTCATCTTTTGTTTCCTGTATTTTCGTTTCTGTTTTTGTCTTTTGTTTTTGTCTTCCCTAAAATGTCTGTATGCTACAGTATAATCAAAA
This sequence comes from Homo sapiens, assembly GCF_000001405.40. NCBI lineage: Eukaryota > Metazoa > Chordata > Mammalia > Primates > Hominidae > Homo > Homo sapiens. The sequence goes on from NC_000007.14 coordinate 111,769,975, forward strand.
TGTGTAAGGATATCATGCTGTTGCTGGTTCAAAGATGTGGGGAGACAGGCCTTTGTTTGCTGAGAGAGTTCACTAGTAAGTTCCTTGGGGACTATGAGCATCCCCCAAAGGGCAGGCTTAGGAAATAAAAAATGGCAAATTCTTTGGGATAATAAAGGGCTGAAAAATCGAAACTGGTGAGGAGGGGGTTCAGAGTGGAGGCAGAATTTACAAGGGGCAAAGAAGCCAGAGAGGAGCTGAGTGAAGACCAAAAAAAAAAAAAAAAAGAAAAAGAAAAAATCTAATAACAGGGTAGGGATTGGAGAGGGTGGAAGTGCTGCATGAGGAGTGGGGGGAGTGTGTGGGTGTGTGGGTGTATTTGTGTGTGTGAGAGAGAAAGAACCGTTGCAGGCTGTGTGATATGACTGCCTTGCCCCAGATGGCCCCACAAATCTTCTGTAAAGAATACTGATATCATTACATGCTTGGCATGGTTGGATTTCCTGCAGAAACAAGGGGTGATTTTCCATATACACATAAGTGGAAAAGGTGACCTATGGATTTAAGTATGGTTGGCAGATAGTGTATTTGACAGGATACTTGCCATTCTGCAGGTCTCTCCTTTTCCTGAATTGTAAATATAGCCCAATAGATCAAGAATAGGAACCAGAATTGTCACTGATAAAGGACTATAATAATTTTTCCTATAATGTCATAATAGCCTACTCAATTACTCAATTGAATAAAATGGACAAATACTTATGTTATTAATCCATTTAACTCCACCTCAGGTTTCTCAAAAGACATAATGATAGCTTTTAAGATGGTATCAATAATGGTAATTCCTTTTCTTCATTTATTTGCCTTTAGGGTAACTACACATAAAGCCCTAAAGTAATATGCTGAGTTATAATGCTATGATGTGGCCATCTCCATGTAAAAAAGATAGTTGCAATAAGAAGGGCCAGGGCCCCTATCACAGGCACTGGTCTTTTTTCTCTTCAATTACCTTTGGTGAGCTTATACAATCTCCTGGTTCAATTATTATTGTGAAAGCTTTCCTAATCCACCAGCAGTCTCTTATCCCCCTCCATTCAGTTTGCACAGTTAGCAATATGAACTTCTTTCAATGCAAATAAATGATCATGGTTAAAACCAGTCCATGACTCTCAGTAGCTCAAACAATAAATTTAGGCCTCCTACAGTGACAGAGAAGGTTGCTCATGATCTGGTTCTTACCAAGCTCTCTATCCACATTTTCTCACTGGGTCTCCATGTAGTACAGGTATGAAAGAGCCCACCTCCATCTCTTTTAAGAAGCTTCAGTAGCTGCTGAGGCTCCAGTCCTCATAGTTGGAGCCCCCGGACCCCATTATCCACTTTCCAGGAATGAGCAAGATGCATTGTGGTCCAGAGGCAGCTGGGCACAAGAAAGCTGCCCGACGGGGACAGTGATGCCTTCTGTTGCATGCACTCTTGCTGGTCTCTTTCTTAATGGGATTGAACGTGAGATGGACAGAGAAAGCAGCCACTAAAGGGTGTCAGTTAACTGGCGGACACAGACACAGAGCTGAATCACCATAACATAGGTAGCCATGGAAGACTACTCTGATTGCACAAGAATTATAATAACCAGATCCTCAGAAGGGTGCTGTTATTTTAACAGGCATCTAGTTTTCTCTGACATCCCTGAGATGATTTCCTGATGTTTAATTCCCCATGTATCATTATAATAAACGCTAAGTATCTAAGGAAACCCTACGCATATTTTTGTTCTTGCATCCACACTCTTTGCTCTTGTCATCCGAACAAGCTGTGCTTCCTCTCACATACCTCTCTGATTCACACCTAAGGGCCTCACAGCTTGTGCCTGCAAGACCTTCTTTCCCCCTTTGCTGAAATAACTCCTACTTTCTCTTAATGACCCAGCTCAGGAGTTACCTTCTTTGTCACTCAAATTTCTTTTGTGTCTCTGTCAGCATGTGACTACTCAGAAAATACCCCAGAGACTAACTGATCATTTCGAAGAATTAGGAAGACTGAGGAATGTCCTTCCCACGGCTGCCCACAGGCAGTGATGACTTCAAGGGCGATGAAAGTCAAATTTACAGAGACAGAAAGTAGAATAGTTGTTGCCAGGGGTAAGAGGAATGGGGAGTTAGTGTTTAATGGGTACAGAGTTTCAGTTTGGGAAGATGAGAAAAGTTCTGCACCTGTAGTCTCAGGTACTCAGGAGGCTGAGGCCAAGAGTTTAAGATCAGCCTTGGTAACACAGTGAGTCCTCGTCTCTAAAAAAATGTATTTTAAAATTAGCTAGGTGTGGTGGCATACGCCTGTAGTCCCAGCTACTTGGGAGGCTGAGTCAGGAGGATCATGTGAGTTCAAGACCAATCTGGGTGATAGAGTGAGACCCCCATCTCAAAAAAAAAGAAAAGTTCTGTCGGTGGATGGTGGTAATGGTAGCACGACAATGTGACTATACTTAATACCACTGAACTGTACACTTAAAAATGGTTAAGATGGTAAATTTTATGTTATGCACAATTAAAAAACAAAAAGAGGCCAGGCACAGTGGTTCATACCTGTAATCCCAGCACTTTGGGAGGCCAAGGCAGGTGCATTGCCTGAGGTCAGTAGTTCGAGACCAGCCTGGCTGACATAGTGAAACCCTGTCTCTACTAAAAATACAAAAAATTAGCTAGCATGGTGGCAGGCACCTGTAATCCCAGCTACTCAGGAGGCTGAGGCAGGTGAATCACTTGAACCCAGGAGATGGAGGTTGCAGTGAGCTGAGATCATGCCATTGCACTCCAGCCTGGGCAACAAGAGTGAAACTCCGTCTCAAAAACAAAAACAAAACCCCCCAAAAAACAAAAAGAGCAATGAAGGTCTCCAGTCTCCAAATGCTTTCCCAATCAGCTTGCCCTTGGAAGGTCCTGGGATGGGCGGAATGCCAGGTGTGGGTCAGGTGCCCCTGGGAAAGCCTGGGAAAAGAAGGCACTGGCAGGCAATCAGATGAAACTGACAAATGACTGAGCGATGGCATGGAAAAGATGTGAAGACAAATTACACCTGTTTCAGAATTTGATTTGGGAAAATGACAACACATATCTGAGAAAAACTGTGTCTAGAGGAGGCAGTAGTAAATTTTTATTAATCCCATTCTACCATTTTGAGAAGTGTATTACAAGGACACCAATATGCAAAAAGAAATAAGAGAGAAGAGTAGAGATGAGTTAGGCATGGAGGCTGCTGTCACAAAAGGCTGGAAAAGGGTTAAGTCACTTAAACAGAATCCTAGAAAGATAGAAAAGTTCCCTGTCAATTTCACTGTCTCCAAGAACAGAAATGAAGATAGAAGAGAGAAGAATAAAATGTTACATGGGAAAAGAACTGATTTCTTATGACTTTGGGGAACATAAAGACTGCAAGTTGAGTAAACAAATTAAAGAAAAAAGATTAACCCAGTTTTGAAATATAATCAGACAAATTTGGACTTTATTTCAGAGAACCAAAATATATCTGTTATATATCTGGAGTAGCTTATCCTCACTTACCTCCCGCATTTCTCTTTTTATGAACTTTAAAAATTTTCAAAAAGTTTACTGTTTTTTTTCTTTTTGAATCGAGAATTACCAATATTGAGAAAGAAAATCTGCTTATCAGGTGTTAATGTTTAATTAAAGGGTACATTAACTTGTGATGCATTTATTTAAATCTCACATTGCTAGGCACTATTCTAAGAACTGAGAAGACTAAAGATAAGAAAAACATCACTGTGGGCCAGGTGCGGTAGCTCACATCTGTAATCCCAGCACTTTGGAAGGCCAAAGCAGGTGGATCTTCTGAGCTTAGGAGTTCGAGACTAGCCTGGGCAATATGGCAAAACCCTGTCCCTACCAAAAAAAAAAAAATTAGCTGGCTGTGGTGGCATGTGCCTGTGGTCCCAACTACCTGGGAGGCTGAGGTGGGAGGATCGCTTGGGCTTGGGAGGCAGAGGCTGCAGTGAGCCCAGATCGTGCCACTACATTCCAGCCTGGGTGACAGAGTCAAACCTTGTCTCAAAAAAAAAGAAAAGAAAAGAAAAGAAAATATTACTGTCCTCAAGGGACTCCTTAACTGAAGATTATCCATATATACATGCATGCATGTACATACACAATATATAACCATATAATATGCAATTATTAATAAAAAACAGTTTGATAGGTACTTTAATAGAAATCTGGGGCCGGACATGGTAGCTCACTCCTATAATCCCAGCACTTTCGGAGGCTGAGGCAGGTGGATCACCTGAGGCCAGAAGTTCGAGATCAGCCTGGCCAACGTGGTGAAACCCCGTCTCTACTAAAAATACAAAAAACTTTAGCTGGGCATGGTGGCAGGCACCTGTAATCTCAGCTGCTCAGGAGTCTGAGGCAGGAGAATCGCTTGAACCTGGGAGGTGAAGTTGCAGTGGGCCGAGATTGCACCACTGCACTCCAGCCTGGGCGACAGAGTGAGACTCTGTCTCAAAAGCAAAACAAAACAAAAAAATCTGGAAAAAATGCAATGGGAAAAAAGAGACGGGGAAATCACTTAGCCTATGGGAGAAGGATTGTGGGGCATGGAGATGGTGAGAGAAAGAGAAGAAAAAGAACTTCAGGAGGGGGATGGCTGCATGGAAAAGAGGGTGAAGGAGCTGATCCTGAAGGATGAAAGGAGGGTATGTGGTACAAGTGGTAAGATGAGGCTGAACAGACAAGCGTTGGTTCAATTACAACAGACCTTGAATAAAGAATTTGAAGTTTATTTTGTAGAACACATACACTGACAACAGAGTGATATCTAGGGAAGGAGTTGGCAAACTTTTTCTTAAAGGCCCAGACCGTAAATAATTTAGGCTGTGGTCTTTGTCTCCACTACCCAGTTCTGCCACTGTGGCGCAAAAGCAGCAATACACAATACACAAATAAGTGGGCACGGGTGAGCTGTTATAAAACTTCCCTTACAAAATAAGGTAGCTAGCCTGTAGGTTGTAGTTTGTTGACTCCTGTTCCAAAGAATAACTCTGCTGACAGTTCAGAGGCAGACAGGTGAGAAATGATGGTCTAACTGAGGCAGTAAAGGTGGGAACAGTGAAAAGGAAATGGTTTTGAAAGATTTCTAGGCAACAGAATTAATAGAACTTCATGAATGATTATTTGAGGGAGGCTAGAAAAGTCAAAGATACATCAGGGTCTTCTGACTGAGTAAATAGTGATGCTACTAATTGAGACAGTGGAACCTCAGCTAGAGGAATGAGTAAATTCTGGGAACAGAAGTACCATTTCATAAAGGATTCCCTTACTCTTTTAAAGTTGGGGAGGAGCCATGATTCAGGAGTTCCTTGGAAGAACAATGTGGCAAAGGACCAAGATTTGAGGTTCCCAAATCTAATTAAAGGGTTCTGCTTAAGATGGAGTACATGCATTCCACCCTATCTCTCCCACTGATTACAACTAAACAGCCTGGAGAGACTATATAACACAACTATTGGAGGACTCTGAAAAGTAAGAGCAGATGGACTGAGGAAAAAAACGAATACTCAAAGAATGACCATACCACAGTTAATTCTGTTTTAGTTTTTTGCCTTCCACATCTCCTGGCTTAGACTTCCCTGTTTCCTGGAACTGCAAATGGGAACAGACAGAAAAAGCTCCAAGAAAAGTCCCTTTAGTCGGAGTACTGGGTAGAAGATCCCCTGTGGGGTGAAGCGCTGTAGACATTTCTGGCCTCACTCAGTCTCAGAAACAAAGCTGCACACTGTAGGGGTGGCAGTGGGGGCAGTGGCAGTGGCAGTGGCAATAGTGCCTTCTATCAGTTCTTTTCTTTGACTGCTTTGCCCACAGAGAGACCAACTGCAGGGAGTGCATCATGGCATGAAGAGAGAGGATCAAGCCTTGGCTATATAGCCAGAGTACTAGGAAAGGAAGTTCTTGGGAGAAAGGAAGAATGGGGAGGATCACAGAGGGGAGGGAGCTCAAGAAAGGGATACTAAATTCTGCATATGAAGTCAGACTCATCTCCAAGGTGCACAAGTGTAGAACAAACCAATGGATCAATATAACAAGGACTTCTGTCTGTTAAAATTCAAAAAATTAATGTCTTCCTAAAGATTTTAACAGACTCCAGAGTCCTATAACATAATATTCAAAAGGTCTAGAATATAATCCAAAATTATCTGACTTTTAAAAAACTAAACAACTCTCAAAGGGCAAAAGCAATGAAAAGATGCCAACCCCAATTTGATGCAGATGTTAGAATTATAGACAAAGACTATGAAGCAGTTATCATAACCATGCTCCATGAAGTAAAGGTGAACATTTTTGAATAAATAAAAAGATAGACATTCTTTGCAAAGAAATTGAAGCTGTAAAAAGAAAATAACTACATGGAAATTTTAGAACTGAATAATACAATAACAAAAATAAACGTCTCACTGGAAAGGCTCAATAGCTGAATGAAGCAACAGAAGAAAATCAGTGGACTTAACTCAATAGACATTAGTGATCTGAAAACAAAGGAAGAAGAGAAGTTGAACAAAAATGAACAGAGTTCCAGGAACCTATGGTACAACACCAAAAGGCCCAACATTCATGCCATTACAGTCCTCAAAATGAGGAGAAGAACTGGTAGAGAAATATATTTAAGGAAATAATGCTTGGAAGCTTCCCGAATTTGGTAAAGGAAATAAATGTACAGATCCAAGAACCTCAGCAAACCCAAACAAGTTAAACTAAACAGGAAAACTATGCCCATACATATAATAATCAAACCACTGAAAACCAAAGATAAAGTCCTGAAGACAACCAGAAAAATGTTACAAACTTCATGTAGGTGAGTAATTTCTTTTTATTATTTTTTGAGACAGGGTCGGGCTCTGTCTTCCAGGGTGGAGTGCAGTGGTGCAATTTTGGCTCACTGCAGCCTCTGCCTCCCAGGCTCAAGTGATCCACCTCAGCCTCCCGAGTAGCTGGGACTACAGACATGTGCCACCATGACGGGCTAATTTTTTGAATTTTTGGTGGAGACGGGGGTTTTGCCACATTTTCCACGCTGGTCTGTAACTCCTGGGCTCAAGCGATCCACCTGCCTTGGCCTCCCTAAGTGCTGGGATTACAGGCATGAGCCACCACGTCTGGCCTTGTACTTGAGTAATTTAAATGACTGCATATTTCTTGCTAGACACCATGAAGGTCAGAACACAGTGGAATTATATTTTTAAAGTACAGACACAAAAGAACTGTTCACCTACAATACTGTATCCAGTAAACATATCCTTCAGGGATAAAGGTGAAATAAAGACATTCTTAGATGAAGGAAAACTTAGAAGATTCTTCACCACTGGATCTGCTTTAAAAGAAATACTAAAACAAGATCTTCAGGCTCAACAAAAATATTATAACAGAAGGAACCTGGGAACTTCATGAATGAAGAAAGAATAATAGAAATGGTAAACATCTGAGTAAATAAAGTATTTTTATCCTCTTAAATTCATTAAAATAGGTCTGACTATTGAAAGGCAAAAATTATGACACCATCTGATGCGACTTTCAATGTATGTAGATGTAATACATGTGGCAACTACAACATACAGTGGGGAGGATAATGAGACCTATATAGTTGTAAAATTCCCACATTTAACTTTGATATGGTTTGGCTGTGTCCCCACCCAAATCTCATCTTCAATTGTAGCTGCCACAACTCCCATATGTCATGGGAGGGACAAGGTGGGAGGTAATTGAATCATGGGGGAGGGTCTTTCCCATGCTGCTCTCATAATAGTGAATAAGTGTCACAAGATCTGATGCTTTTATAAGGGAGAGTTTCCCTACACAAACTCTCTCTTGTCTGCCGCCATGTAAGATGTGTCTTTTGCCTTTCACCATGATTGTGAGGCCTCCCCAGCCACGTGGAACTGTAAGTCAATTAAACCTCTTTTTCTTTATAAATTACCCAGTCTCAGGTATGTCTTTATCAGCAGTGTGAAAACAGACTAATACAAACTTGAAGTGGTAAAATCCTAACTATAAGCAGACTGTAAGAAGTTATGTATGTATTTTGTAATCCCCAGAGCAACCTCTGAAAAAGTATGCAAAGAGAAATAGTCAAACAACCTACATGTATGTATCATGTATATGATATATATAGAATCTGCAGAAATATATATCCAATTAAAAATAAATTTTAATTTTAAAGTAGAAATGCTTGAGTCTTTCCACTCTAATTACAAAAAGCGGAGGAATGATCATGATTAATACATCAGCTCCCTTCCCAATCTGAGCCAAAAGACAGAATTACCTGTAAAGTTCTGTGCTTTGAGATGCAGATCATAGAGTTTGTGAATGTAGCGTATATACATCTCCTCCTTGTTCAGTTCAGTCTTATAGAAGTTCTGTAAAAAAAGAGTACAGGTATGGATAGTTCCTCAACAATCTGGCCTACAATTATCTGCCTTTTACTCTGCTAAAGTTCCATGTCTGGAGCCAAGAGAACGGATTCATTTTTCCATGTAAATATCTCTAAAAATGAAATAAGGTGGCTCAGTGACAGTGTCAGTCATTTCCTAGCAATTACTGGATAAGTTGGTTTCTTGGGTTTTTATCCCTGATTCACATTTCTTTACTTTTTATGATTTTTTGTTAGTTTAAATGTCAATGAACAATCAGCCTGTTCAACTAAAAAATATTAAAAATACGTAACAGATTAATCCATTTTTTAACTTGGCCGATTGATACTCAAAGGACAGTTTCTTTCATTTTAAATTTCAAAGCTATTTTGCTCTAAAGAAAAAAGTCTCAGCTGGGCACGGTGGCTCATGCCTGTAATCCCAGCACTTTGGGAGGACGAGGTGGACAGATCACGAGGTCAAGAGATTGAAACCATCCTGGCCAACATGGTGAAACCCCATCTCTACTAAAAATACAAAAATTAGCTGGGTGTGGTGGCACACACCTGTAATCCCAGCTACTTGGGAGGCTGAGGCAGGAGAATCGCTTGAACCCAGGAGGTGGAGGCTGCAGTGAGCCAAGATCATGCCACTGCACTGCAGCCTGGTGACAGAGAAAGACTCCGTCTAAAAAAATAAAAATAAAAATCTCTAAAAAAAAAAAATAAAAAGCAAAAATCTCTAAGACATACAGGTAAGGATGAGTAAAAGCAATGTAAAAGAATGGGAAAGAGGGTAAATAAAAAGGCTCTTTATTTTTAAGATGTTATTCTGCATTTCCTATGCGTTGGACTTCAAATGTTTCCAGTTTATGTCCAAAACATAAAGGGACAAATAAGAGATTTTATTTCAAATTATTATTACAGAAACATGTTTATTGAAAATATTTTGTTTCCTAAGAAGTATTTAGATCTTAGGAAATATCTCTAAAATGTTTTTACCAAAACTCAACTTTTACTTACCTGGACAAATTATGTTGGCTATTTTATTTTTAGACAGAGTCTCACTCTGTCACCCAGGCTGGAGTGCAGTGGTGCAATCTCAGCTGACTGCAACCTCCGCCTTCCGAGTTCAAGTGATTCTCCTGCCTCAGCCTCCTGAGTAGCTGGGATTACAGGTGTGCATCACCACACCCAGCTAAGAATTTTTAGTAGAGATGGGGTTTTGCCATGATGCCCAGGCTAGTCTCGAACTCCTGACCTCAACTGATCCACCTGCCTCGGCCTCCCAAAGTGCTGATGCCACTGGGATCAGGCATGAGCCACTGATCCTGGCCCAGGCTGGCATTTTAAAGGCATACTGATAAGCATCCAAAGCTACTTCTTCACCACATTATAAAGCACATGAGTCCTCACTGAACTTATTCAACATAAAAGTGAATGTAAATGAAGTTGGATTCTAGTAAAAGCATAATGTTGTGAGTCTCCAAACAAGACATGTTTAGTGAACAAATCATTGTGCATTATGAAATCTCTGCTGGAGACACTTGAACTACTATTACTACTTATTGTTACTGTTTTAATTGATGCTAGTTGGTGTGTGGAAGAAGGGGAAATCGGTGATGAGGGAATAAATCTGTTGACTTGGAGGAGTGATAGGCTTTTCTAAGAGGAAAGGCCAGGAATTCTAAAAACTTTTTAAAGCTGATTAGTAGACAGGGCTTTGGTAATAATGGACCGATCTAGCAAATGTGGCTGTTGAAATGGTACTTGGGCTTGAAGCCTGAGGATCTGCTATCAAATGTACTTTCCGCCCATTACCTAACAGGTGTCCATTCTTCAGTCTGAGGACTCTTCTAACTTTGAGACACTGATATTAAGTCAAATGCATCATAAATTTTTTTTTCAATTTATACCATTATCCTCCCTCTTTTATTCTTGTCTCCTGTAGATCTTGGCATTCTTTAAAAAGCTCAATAAATAATGCTATTCACGTCTCTCTTATTATAACCAAAATCATTTTAATTAGCAAGAATTGTTGTATCATAAACACAAGTCTAACAACTCCACAGCAGGTTTTTATATGACTAAAGGATGATTTGCTCTAATAGCTTTCTGGTAAGAAGCAGCTTTGAGAACAAAACAAGCAATCACTCTAAATAAATAGTTCTCTTAAAAAAATACCTCCAGTCAGCAGATGATAATCTTCCAAATGTCTGACAAAGTGTGTGACACAAAGAACAAAACAATAATTACATTTCCTAGTATTAGTCATGTCAAATATTACTTTTTTAAAACCAATTTAACCCCGATCTTGTAAAGGATGTCACAGCTCTCCTGAAGACAATCTGGAATTGACTTTTTCAAAGAGTTAAGAGAAGTCTCTAAGAGGAAGTGAGTAAATGAAGAGAACCACATTGCTACTAGAAAAAATCAAGAACCTTCCATGTGGAGTAGAGGCTAAAAAGATTAGCTTCAAAGTGATAGATTTGCTTCTTTAATAAGTATTCTTGTGCTAGTTTGAAATAAGTAGAGCTTTCAAAGTGTTAAAATTTTCTAGAAGGACTATTCTTGGTCAGTGCAAAGCTATCAGGATAATGTCTCAAGTGGTTAGTAATGGGGCTACTGATTATACTATATTAAATCTCAGGTGTATTCCTACTGGGAGACTAGAGTAAATACATTAAAGGCAGAGTATTAATTCTTTCATCCAAGGAAGTGATCTCTTCTTTTATACCAATTGTGGAAATGAACATAAGGTCTATATTTATTTGCTCATCTCCAAATGGAAGGTACTTGAGAAAGAAGATGGAAGAATGGAGAGGATTACTTTGGGGAAAGGTAAAGGCTTTGAGGTTATTTATGGGACTTTGTGCCTGGAGTTGAGGTAGAACCAGAGTTAAGAAGACAGAGAAGACCTAAAGCTTATCAAGCACTTAGCTTTTCTCCCAACACTGACATACAAGCACGAATGTGGGAGAAACTCAGGCTGAGGGTCTTCACTGTGATGAGAGGCTGGCAAAAGCAGGTGAGAAACTGGAGAATCAACTAGGAAATTTAAGAGAGGGAATGACTATGTTCAAGTTAGAAATGAGTACTGAGAGCAGAGGTCAATGGTCTGACCCAGTGAGCGTGGGCTAATGGCCTGCAGGTTACCGTTGGGTCTAATGAAAACATTATGGAAGAAAGTGAACAAGATGTGGCCTGATAGAGGATGCTTAGGTCTCACTATTTTTAGGGACTGATATTGGAGGTGGAGATGTAACAATTAGATTAAAAATGTGGAGGAGGCAGTGGGTGTGATAAAGACGGATACCATCATAGGCTCAGAGATGAGAAGCAGTACAGCAAGACATGAGGAAAATAGATGAAAAGACAGTCACAAGAAAGCAGAAGCCCTGAGCTTTGAAGACGAACTGTGACAGGAGTAAACAAAGTAATACAAAACAAAACAAAACAAAAAGAAACTGATGAGCTAAGAAAAGACAAAATCAAAGTAGGGGCAAAAGAATTTCAAGGTGCAAGCAAATAGAGAACTATATGGCATGTGAGGAACTCAAATGATCAGAGTAAGGATAAGAATGACTGTGCAAGAACTTAGAATGTAATAGATGGCGAGGATTCATTTATTCTACAAAATATAAGAAAAAGAAACCATGAGATTCACAAATATAGAACTAGACTTTTCTTGTATTTTATATTTTCCTGTACTTCAGATCTGATTGAAGGAACTTATCCAAAACATTAATTTGACTTACATTAAAATATGACAAATAAACATCTAAATGTAGGGCCACTCCTTTGCTCTGTGGTAAGAATACCATTCTATTTAATAGTTAGTTATGTGACATTTTATATAAATGTTGGCTTGCCCAGGACAGCTTTGGATTAGCCTGTTATCCTTACAGAATGTTTAATTTTACTCTCAAAAATGTCCTGCTTGGTCATCCTAGTTACAAAGCAAACCTTAACAAAAGTGCTATTATGAATTCAATTTGCAAAAAAGCTAGAGTAAAAATTAGGGTGTTAAATAGAAAACTGTCATTTGTTCACAAAAGAAGAGATCACTAATATTTATCAAAATGTGGACTGCATATCACTCTGTGAGAAAGGAAAAGAACAGAAAGAAATTGCTACACAAAGTAGAAAGACCTCTAACAGGGGATACAGTGCTTTTTGCTAGGACAGCAACAAGACTCTAGGAGGGTGAAGTAGTGCAACCGGGGAACCCAATGGCATCACTCTGGGATCCCACACGGGTCTCCTATTAGGGCTGTGGGGAATGCAGGGGATGCACCTTGTAATGTCTGGGACTGAGGATTTCCTGGACTTTAATTTAACCTGCAGCTCACTATGCTTCTCTTAAAAACACTTGTAAATTTAAAAATAACTCTTCTAAGAAACATCACATTGCAGATTAAACACAAACAAAACATAGTATTTCTGGGAAAAAAATACAAGTATTAGGAGAAAAGGAGAAAAAGGGGAATAGTTTACTAACCAGAAGGCTAACTGTGCAGCCAATCTTTTTGCCATCTACCTCTCCCATTTTCATGCAGTCCCTAAAAACAAAAAGCAATAGTCAGAACTCAGAACTTCCTTCCTAGGGGCAAACACAGTTTGTTCTTTTTGGGGGAAAAAAAGAAAGAAAGAAAGAAAAAAAAAAAAAAAGAAGCCACTTTTAGGGACCAGAGGCAATTTGCATTGCAAGCGTTCGTTCATTTAGATACATGTTCCAAGGACTGATAATCTAATCTCTAGGGAATCTGGGGAGTCAGAGACTCCTGAGCATCAGCTTCTGTTAAGAATTTCATTGCCATGTCAAGATTATGCTCCCTCTCAATGGACATGGGCTCAGGAAGTTAGAGGAGTGAAAATGTGTTATTGTACACTTCCTACAGTAGGGTGAGAAGTGGCTGGTAAGCCTGGCCATTAACAATGAGAATGAGGGTTTCATTCCTAAAATAAAACCAAACTACCATGTATTTAAGTGGGATTAACTACTTTAACAGTTTAGATAATATAAAAATAAAAAACATAGGTCTATGGAAGGTGACACTGTGAGTTTCATCTCACCCACGTCCCCTTTTTAAGAGAATATTTAAGAGAATAGCATGATTGTACAATTCTCCATTACATTGTTTTCACCCTAAAATGGATTGGTTCTACTGGTTCTAGGGGCTAAGTCTAAATACCAAAATAAAGATTTTTTTTTTTTTTGAGAACTCTCAGGGACTCCGAGAATCCTCTCAATTCACCAAGACTTTGAAAGAACTATCAAAAAACAAAACAAAGCAACAAAAAACAAACAAAAGCTCAAATTAACAGCTCTGAACCAGCTGGTTAGAAGTTCATTATCTTAGTATACCAGGTTCCATGGTCTGATAATCAATTGAGTGATTCACAAGAGTGGAACGTTGATTGTATTCTATTTGATTTTCTAACTGGAGTTCAGCATGAACTGGAGTTCAGAAAAACATGCGACTTGGCTTACCTGTAATCTAACAACCTCTCCATTAGACGAGTTACAGTAGCAATTAATGAAACGCCACTTTCCCGCCATGTTTCCCGCTCAATTTTCTTTAGTAGACTGGAAAAGAAAGAACCCGGGGCATTTTCAACATTTATTTTTATCAGTCACCATGACAACCACTTTACTTTCATCAGTACCTTAAATGCCTTAGCAACCACTGCAACATCTCACAAGTAGCACAATTTGCAAACAATGTCTTACCTAGGATAGGGACCAAATAGTGGAATTCTAATCCAGGAAGCATTGACAAAGCAAATTGATTTTCAGATTATCCAAGTCATAAAATACAAACACATGCATATAATCATATTTTCAAAATATACAAGCATCTCACAGCTCAAAGACATTTTTTCCTAGCTTCTCCCTTACACTAACAGAGGCTTGCGTCTTACCACATCAAATAACACTGCAAAAAGCAAAAACAGGAGTGCCTCCAAGTTTACTTTTAAGCAAGATCTTGCTTTATTCACATAAAAATATTTTCCTACCTCTCAGTGGAATGCATCTTCATCCAAGCAATTTTACTGCAATGCAACTGCTACAGGAAAATCCTTGTACAGCTGGTATGACGTTTTGCGTTTTTTCCTTTCACTTAACATTTGCCCACTCAATACATATTGTACTATCTGTGCACTCACTCAACAGTTTCATTCATTTTGTCACTAATCACAGAGGATTTTCCATGTGGTTGTTACAGCAGATTGATGACAAGTACTGAACCACATCTCTCCTCCTACATTTCCCCTAATCCTAAGCACCTTGGAGCACAGGTACTATGTAAACACAAAATAATAACAATCATGATAATTACAATCTGTGTCACTTTCACTCCCACCTCTCAGCAAATTAACAGTGTACTTGGCAAAGGCTTTATGATTGAACTTCCCCCAAAAGATAAAAGCAAGAACATTAAGCATGGCAATATGTGGATACTTCCCTACCCCTTGAAATTTAATGATTGCCATTTCTGTCTAAAATCTTATTTGTCTTTCATCTTAGTTTCAGGAATAAGAGAGAAAACATTTCTTACAAGTACAGTCTAAGCATATCATATATGTACTTAGTTCAAAAATAAACATTCAAGAAGAAAGCTGTTTTGTCAAAGCTTTCTCTTGTCTGTGGCTATGTTCTCTCCCAAGTTTTCTCTCCATCATCCCCTACCTCTTTCTCTTGTTATTGGCATTCTAGTGCCCAGCCTTCTGTCTTGTCTCCTCCTGTGTTTCCTGTGCATCCCTCATCCTGTTTTTCTGGTTTATTCTAAACTGTTTCTTAGGTTAAGAGTGGAAACTGCATATGGAAGGGATGGAATCTGCCCTGACCAGTCCTGCAAGCGAAGGTCCCCTAGTTTGTTTAAAATGTGTTTTCTTTTAAAAACCTCTGAACAGCACCTCTTTCAGGCTTAAATTGCAAATTGTATTGAACTCAAATGAAAATCTGCCTGCCAAAAAGCAATGCGGAATGATGTAGAAATTTCCCCGTGACAGCCTACACCTCATACTTTAGAGGCTGAAAAACAAAGAACTCAAGTTAGGTAATAATTCTAAAAATACATGGAGACTTCTTTTATGGGCATAAGTTTCATTAATTTGCACAGACTTCTGATGCAGTAAGAGCTACATAATCCTCTTGTAAGAAGAGGCAAAGTTATGCACAACCTGTTTCCTTGACTAACTCAAGACCAAATGTTAGGACTGAGTCTAAAACCCAGATCATCTGTGTGCTCAGCCAGCCTTGTTCCCTCTCTTGGGAATCTTGCCATTTCCCTGTTTACCTGATACAAACTGAGAAAGAGAGGCTATCATCAAGAAGAGAAGAGTCTTTCTAGGTAACCCGGGTGAGAGTGGGTATTTTCATTTACTCTATAATAATGCCCATGTGCCCACATTGAGCTAGGGAACCCTGATAACAGTGAAAGGGGGTTTCTCATTGCTAATTGATAAGGCTGCTCTGTTCTATGCAATAGAAATTCCTAACCCTGGGAAGCAAGACAAGCCATGGCCCTGCAGGGATGACTCTGCTCACCAGGTTTTCACTCTATGAAAGAAATCTGTGTGTGTGTCGGGGATTTCACCCTCAATCTCCCTCTCTCGGTATCATAATGGGGTTACGTAGAAGTCATCACTCTAATATATAACACCTGTGTCTGTGCATGCTCTTTTTAATCCAAAGAGTAGAGTTAGAGATGTAAGGTATGGTGTCACATAGTGAATTCTCTGTCTCCAAATGGTAATTAAATGTGTGATCACTAAAAATCTTTGAAATAATGTGGAGTCTTATTGAATTATTTAGAACTGCATAGGAGAAGGCAGAGCGAAAGACTAAGAAATACCTGAGATGAATGTTACTTCTTCTGGAAAGCCCCTTTAGAGCCCCCAAGACTGTAGGTAGACCTACTGTATGCTTCCACAGCACAGTCACTGCTGGATCCCCAGCCCTGGGGAGTGCCCAATAGATAAAGCGGAATGAGCGAATCAGGTGGAGCCAGGGGAAGCAGAATTTAGTTGTGATACTCTATTCTGGATATTGCATGTTGGTGTCTATAATCTAGAATTTCAGTGTTATCAAAATGAATACATCTTTATGAAATAAGTTTCACAAAGATGTAGTATGCATTAATGAAGATAATGTTTGGGCTTAGGGAAAGATGAGTTGAGTTCTTAGCAAGGAAGGTACTAGACAAATTTAAAGTCTTACTCCAAGGGGTCCATTTTGGCAAGCACTACAATTTAGGAAGCAGTGAACTACTTACAGCTTTTCAGCTTCAGAACAAATTTTAAGAGGTTTTAGACATGAATTACACGTAACAAATGAGAATTTGTACCATATAACGGCATGTGTTCCTAATTCATAATGTGTGCAGTGACCCATTGTGATTATACTAATTCATTGTGATTTCTGTTGCCAAAAAAGCAATTTATTGTTTCCTGAAATAAAGTAATATTTACGCCTTCTTTCTTGTGCTCAGGTAGTAATGACACTTAAGTATCACTTTTGATTTGATTTATTCCCAATATGCTGATCGTAAAAGCATGAAAGGAAATTATTTATAGTAGCATTTCTAGTAATATCCTAAAAATCAACAAAAGTATAAAAATCTCTATTGAATGAATCAGGTACCTTAAAATAGTCCTGATTATAGAGGCTTAATATTTTAATTATTGGTTTGATTCTCATGTCGAGGTACATCTTCTATTTCAAAGTCATATTTATACATGAGCAACTGAAATTGCATATTATCAAGCCTTTATTAAAGTAGATAAGAGGCACTAAAGAACTATGTCAGTATTTATTAATCTTGTGAATTTGTTATAAATAATTAATCACAAATCTCAAGAGATTCATTTCACTGAGTGCTTTCTCATTTTGGTTCTTTGTTCAAACCAAGGACTAGTAACTGAAATGAGAGCAGTTTTCAAAAGCAATTTATTATACTGCATGAGATTTTAATCAGAATTCTTGCTAAACTCCAAGCTGCCATAAAAGACTGAAGCTGTGTACACTAGAATGAATGAGGTCTTGGTGAATAATTATGAAAACCTCTCATTTAATTACCATATCAGAAAAAAATGATACTGTTCAGAATCCAGTACAAAGAATATATTTTATCACCCACCACTACCACAGGAAATCTCTATACCCTTCTTGGCTTTTCCTTTTAATGTAATTTTCTTAAAAGCTTCAAGATAATTTTTAATCAGGCATGCTGAAATCTATCTAACCTATTAGTCACTAATTATATTCTTCAAGCCTATATATTAATGTTTCTACTGTTGTAAATTCATGATCATAAAGTTTTGGACCTGGCCATCAATACTAAAGCACTGATATTTAGTTTTAGGTGATACTTGGGCATAAATACAAACACGAATATATTTTGTCATAGAAAAAAATGTGTTACTGCATTATTTTGCACTTCTGAAAGAACTGCAAACATTTTTCAAGCACAATAAGCAAATTCTTCTTTCAAAAAGAAATACTTTGCACATATGTTAGATTTGAAAATGACTAAGATCCATAGGAAGCTGTAGAGAAAACAAGTGCCAGAAGTGAAATCCCAAAGCACTAAAACATTCTCACTGTATCTTCTGGCCATTTAAACACAACGCATGAATACTTGGTACAAGCAATTCATCCTGTGGCTATGATCAGATTCTATGGGTAGGGCAACCTTAAAGTCTCTTTACAGCATTCCATTATTTCTCTATCTTCCATACAAATCCAAAACACAGAATTTACTAAAAGTGATTTGCTTCTGAGATATTCTAATAAAAAGCATTTAGGAAGCAATTAATGCTGAGCGAACAATCAGTATTAATTAATTAAATCAGGTGTTGAAGAACAGATGCAAACTAGGTTAATTTTCCAACAGCAAATCAGCATCAGTATCTTGCTTTGGAAAGCAGTGCACACAAACATTACAATCACACCCCTTTTCTCCTCTCCCACTTATAACCCCACTTAAAATCATTATCTTGCAGGAATGGTTTTAAAATTATCAGGCATGAAAAGAGGGAGATTTGTTATGTAACATATGCAACCTGTCCTAATCAGAGATTAAAACAGGAAGACATGCCTAATCATCAACATTATAAGATCCATTCGCCAGAGTTAGGCAATTATCCTTTATTTCACACTCCACAAAGACAAAGCCCTCCTGTGAGACCTAAGCTGTCTTTGCAGCTCTCAGCTACCGTGGTGCAGAGAGGCTCAGTACTGACACCAAATCCCCCAGAATGGAATCAACTTGAGATAAACATATTACTCACATACTGTTGAAGAGCTCGCGGTATGTTTCGTCACCTTTGCCTTCTGACATCAGGCTATCCAGTTTGTCAATTAGCTTGGCTTCCACCTGAAACATACCCAACTATTATTCTCTTTCCTCCCCTTCACAAGTAGGATTTCTAGGCAAGTTAAAACGTATTTCTTTGTGCCAAGGAAAAAGCCATGGTAAATTTTGTGAAAGTGACATTATCAGCTACGGTTAATAGCAGGCAACCCTTTGGAATTCTAAGGGACTAATCTAGATAGAGTTACATGACTTCACACTCCTGGCTGGGTAGCGTTTACTGCTGCCAAAGACATCTATCTATTTGTTGATTCAAACACAAATGCTTGCAGCCCAGTTTAAACGTTTGAATTCTTTTTTAGGAGCTAAAAAACTGGCAAGTCCTGTTTCTTTTTTCTTTTTTTTAAACATCACTATATATAAGGACATCAGGAAACTAACATATCCACATACATTAATTTAAATCTTTGATGTGTTTTATATCTATTTTCTTTCTCAAAACAGTTTGAGGTTGCACTAAATCTTTGCTGAAGTTGAGAACTTGCCTTACCCACGTACAGATGGTAGATCCATAGCAATAGTCTAAGTCAGCAATAAGCAGCAAGAGAGAGAAAGGACATATTTCCTGAAAACTGTAGTCAAAACATTTATATTTTCCAGGATGTAAATCCTTTGGAACTTGAATATCAGGAATGGAAAAATATCCCTTTATCTATGTCTATCTGAGGCAGAAGAGACAGAAAATGAAAAACTTCTCTATGGCCAGAGAGAGTTAAAACGATTAGGGACTGGGAGGAATATTTGACTTTGTCAAAAGACTAAGCCCAATTATTATTCCTTTAAACCAAATTTCAATCAAGAGATAAAGACAAGGGGGAAGGAAAGTGGGTTTTTCTTTCCTAAGTACAATTTTTAAATAGTCTTTCATTCATCTATTAGCTTTCTTGAAAATAAATGTGTATACCGATACAGGTGAAACACCCATGCTTTTGGCAATAGGAGGGTTCCATGTCTGCAGTCAGATTGCTTGACTGGTTGACAACCATTCCTGAGATTTGAGGGAGGCTTCTTCTGGAGAAACATGAGGAAGGGTCAAACCCTGTGGGCACACAGGTTTGTGCCATGACTGTGTGAACAGACAGTAGGCCTACTATCTCCAAATTGAAGGACCTGGCAGAGCAAAAGCAGTGAATTCCTTCAGAGATCTGGTTTTGTAATAAGCCTGTTTTCCCAAAACTGGAGTATAACTATTAGAACCTATGTCAATGAGAAATGGTAAGCTCATTCCCTTGGAATTTCCTCTGTAAGAATTTCCACAGCTTTCTCCTTTAAATTAATTCTCAATGCTTCAAGCAAAGAGCAATAAAAC
Organism: Homo sapiens; assembly: GCF_000001405.40. Classification (NCBI taxonomy): domain Eukaryota; kingdom Metazoa; phylum Chordata; class Mammalia; order Primates; family Hominidae; genus Homo; species Homo sapiens. The sequence goes on from NC_000007.14 coordinate 111,790,054, forward strand.
ATACTGTAAATCAAATGCTCAAAGCTAAGCCATTTGCCAAATACAATGTGCAGACCACTGAGAGCTCAATGAGTTTAATCATTAACTCTCTGATTCTTCTGCTCTGTGTCCAACTGGGTGCAAATAAAGTCTCTGCAAGTTCTTAAATACAGATCTGGGAAATCACAAAATTTTTCAGCTGAAAAGGAATCAAATGGTTTTCAGGGCTTCACTGAAGGCTCAGGACAACACAGGATCTGAGAAGTATCCACGGCTGTGTGGCTTGGGAGTGGATAGGCCAGGCTGGAATCTAGGTCTGCTGACCCAGTGTTCATTTCCCAAGTTGGAGTTGAATCCAGAAGTTCACAGATGCTTCAGGAGAGCTGAAACTCTTCCAACTCTTCTGAGGAGCACTTCTGCCTACCTGTTTAAAGTTGCCACTCCGCCTCTGCTCCCAGTCCATCATATCATGAAAAATTGGAATCATGACATTCCGAAGATCTGGCTGGGGTATCAAGGTCACTTCTAGGAAGGGGCCAATCAGGGCAGGGATAAAATGAAGCTTGTGCTCTCCTAAAGTGAGAAAAATATTTGAGTTTCAATATATTCAATCTTAATATGATTTCAGAAATTAATATCATAAAATTTGTTTAAAACTATTGCTAGAAATATATTCAATTATAGTCGTCTCCTCAAGCAAGAAAATATAATAACCCATGAGATACAATTAAAAATTATATAAATCGGCTGGGTGCAGTGGCTCACGCCTGTAATCCCAGCACTTTGGGAGGCTGAGGCTGCAGATCACGAGGTCAGGAGATCGAGACCATCCTGGCTAACACGGTGAAACCCCATCTCTACTAAAAATACAAACAATTAGCCGGGCGGGGTGGTGGGTGCCTGTAGTCCCAGCTACTTGGGAGGCTGAGGCAGGAGAATGGCATGAACCCGGGAGGCGGAGCTTGCAGTGAGCCAAGATCGTGCCACTGCACTCTAGCCTGGGTGACAGAGCAAGACTCTGTCTCAAAAAAAAAAAATTATATATATATATATATATATATATATATAAAATAAATCATCAGGAATTGGTTATGTACATTATTGTATATGCACACATTAAAATTTTTATGTGATCATTTAACATAAGGCTGAAGAAAGATAACATAGGTGAAGTTTTTCAATATAATTAAGCAAAAAAGCAAGTGCAATACAGTATGTATAGGAATATTTTTAATTTAAAAAATACACACACACACACACACACACACACACATATATCTTAGTCTAGAGTATTATATCCCTAATGTTAACCACAGAGGTTATCTCTGGATGGTGAGATTACGGGTGATTTTTTTATATGAAAAAAGGTGGCTAGGTGGTTCTTATCTCTATGATATAATTTTTCTCGAGTGTCTGTTTTTTTTGTTTTTTTTTTGACATGGAGTCTTGCTCTGTCACCCAGGCTGGAGTGCAGTGACACAAACAGCTCACTGCTACCTCTGCCTCCCAGGCTGAAGCACATCTCCTGTCTCAGCCTCCTGGGTAGCTGGGATTTACAGGCACATGACACCATGGCCAGCTAATTTTTGTATTTTAGTAGAGATGGGGTTTCACCATGTTGGCCAGGCTGGTATCAAACTCCTGACCTCATGTGATCCGCCCAGCTTGGCCTCCCAAAGTGCTAGGATTACAGGCATGAGCTATCGCGCCCAGCCTGTTTTTTAAAAAATAGAGATGGAGTCTCACAACATTGCCTTGAATTCCTGGGCTCAAGCCATCCACCCGCCTCGGCCTCCCAAAGTGCTGGGATTACAAGCATGAGCCACCAGGCTGGGCCCCTTGTGTTTTTTCTTAACAGAATAAATACACAACTTACATAAAAATTTAAATAGTGGTCCCCCCAAAAGAATATAAACATTTTCTGAAAAGACTAAAATGTAACAATAGTGAACCCACAATGGTGTTTTACCAAGTGCTAAAAGGTATGGTATTGATAATTCAGAGGAAAGGAAGGTGGGGAATGGTATGGACACAGATGATTTCATGTAGCAGGTGAGTTTTAAGTCTATTATGCTGGTGAGTGTTAAGTCTATTACGCTAATCATCTTTGTTAAATCTCATAAGTTTCTAGTTCTATAATATGACTATTGCATGCTATGAAAAACACACTCAAGAGCTAACCTTCAGCATCATGGCTGAAAGCACATGCTACTGAGAGCATCCACTTAGAATTTACAAGTTGGGAGGCTGAGCAGAAAGATAGCTGGCTTCATAAAGGAAGGTAATTTTCCAGTGACACTGTAGATTCACAGTGCATAGGTAGTATAAATGACTTTAGAGGGTTTTTGTTGTTGTTGTTGTTGTTATTGAGACAGAGTCTCACTCTGTCGCCCAGGCTGGAGTGCAATGGCACAATCTCGGCTCACTGCAACCTCTGCCTCCCAGGCTCAAGTGATTCTCCTGCCTCAGCCTCCTGAGTAGCTAGGGTTACAGGCACGCACCACCACGCCCAGCTAATTTTTGTATTTTTAGTAGAGACGGGGTTTTACCATGTTGCCCAGGCTGGTCTTGAACTCCTGACCTCAGGTGATCCACCCGCCTCAGCCTCCCAAAGTGCTGGGTTTACAGGCGTGAGCCGCTGCGCCTGGCTTACAGGGTTTTTTTTAAGTAACATGAATATGAAAGAATCTGGGGAGCAGCTAAAATGATGACTGAGATGAGAGCTGGGAAAACATGTGGATGTTTGTGAATTCACTGTTTTTTGTGATTGGAAGTGCCTTGGGAAACCTCCACTGTCTTTGGAAGGTGGGCCCCCATCTCTGGATAATCGCCTTATTTTCAGTGCTATGAGGTGTTGGCAAGAGCATGACCAAGTCAATAGCAAGTTTTTCATATCTTGGCACAGAAAGTAACACTGGCAATAGATGAACACATGAGGAAAGTGGGCACACAATGACTTCTGGACAATCAGTGAAGCTGTTGAAACATTAAAAGCTAAACTCATGTATTATATTTTCCTTTAGGCTAAAATATCCAGCATCAAGAAGAGTTGTTTGATTAATTCTACCCTCAAGTATTCACTCTCTATTATATCCTCAGAGTATGAGCATTTCTGTCATGATAAAACTTTCCTCCCTCTCTCAATGACACGGAAGGGTACCTGTTACTGCACACAGCTAAATATTTTAGATTTGAAGGGCCATGTTGCAATGCTGCATATGCTACCAGTGTGAGAGAAGAGAATTTAGAAAAACTTCCCCACAGTCTATAAGCCAGAGAGGTCATGGTATCTTCTGTCTCTATACATCAACTTTCCTCAACAAGGCATTACAGCAGTCAAAGCAATGGTTTGAATTTTTAAGTATTGAAATTACTATAAACACAAAGAGAGACAAAGCAGTAGTGCTTACTTCTTTCTTGTACATGTTTTGATAAGGAACAAAGTATTCATTTAATTGTTTGGGAAGTTTGGAGAATGTCAAGATCATAAAAATGTACCTTATTGTATATTGTATGTGTTTACTGTATTTCCATTTTATTAACTCATTCAGTCATTAATCTATTCATTCAGTGACTCAAGAAATAAGAATGTCTAGTGTATTTTAAACACTGTATTAGGAAAAATACTTGTAAATAGCTAATCACAATGGGTATTTGGGCTATTGCTAAGCTATAAATCTAGTATCAAGAAAAAACAAAGGGCCTGGTGCAGTGGTTCAACGCCTGCAGTCCCAGCACTTTGGGAGGCCAAGGCAGGAGAATCGCTTGAGCCCAGGAGTTCAAGACCAGCCTGGGCAACATGGTGCAACCTCATCTGTAAAAAAATACAAAAAGTTAGCCAGGCATGGTGTGTCACGCTCAGAAGTTCAGTGTGGCAGGGGTCAGGGTTGGATGAGGGATGTGCTGGCAATGAGGGTGGCTTGGTTTGTAAGCTAAGCTGAGTGGAAGAGGTAGTTGGGTAGTTCAGCTGTCAGTGGTGGTGGCCAATTAGAGCTTTATTTTGTATAAAAATAACTGGGAGAGTGTGGAAGATGGGCTGTAGTGGGGACACAGATGCTGGAGGGCCAAGTAGGTTATCCAAGTAAATATGACAAAGATTGGTTCAAAAGCAGCAGCCATGGTAATAGAGAAAAGGGGCAAGAGCATGAGTGAGAGTAAACACTGCTATTAAATGATATCAAATTTATAGAAACAGGAGCCAACTTAAGATGGAAGGCAAGATCACAACTTCAGTTTGGGGCATGTTTGAGGTACTTCTAACACTGAATACTCTAGCAGGTGTCAAAGAGCCTGGTCTGGGGCTCGAGACAGAGGCCTGGGCTGGAGATGTACTATTTCAGAACTTTCAGTGATAAACAGGGTGAATGAAATCACATGGGGGAAACCTGTGGCAAAATATAAGAGGAACAAAAGGAACAGGACAGCCTGGGCACACATGTGCCGGGACAAGAGAGGAGCTGACTAAAGAGACATGGTGCAGGGTAGGGAAGGAGAAGTGGGAAAGTGGTGATGGGAAATGATAGAGAAGAGAAGGCTTTCAGAAGCAAAGAGGGGCAAGGTTGTCAAATGCAGTGACTCCTTAATAACATCTGTTACTTGTAAGCATTCCCTATGGCAGGCACTGCTCTGGGTGCTTTACATGTGTAATTTCATTTGCTCCCTACAACAACTCTAGGTGGTAGGAACTATCAACCTCCCACTTACAGAGAAGGCAGCTAAAATCCTGGGAAGTTAGGCAACTTGCCCGAAGTCACCCAGCTAGCTGGCTCTACAATGAATTCTTAATCACTCTCCTAGGAATGGGACTCACTACAGGCCTTTAGATGTGGCAGAAGAGTAATGCAAGTGAAAACCTGATTACAATGAATTACAAAGTAAAAAGAGAGAGAGACAAGGTGAGCTGGCAAGGATTTCCAATTTCTCCTCTTAAAGTTGTCTGAGAGTAAATGCAAGAAAGCCATTTAGGAACTTGAGGGGTGGAAAGGAAGAGGGATTTTTTTTATCTTTCTGATGGGAGAGTGCAATCACATGTGTCATTTGTCCCATATTAATCCATCATTCCATGTGGTTGGGATGGGGTTGGGGAGTCCTCACTCTACTGCCCCAGCCTCAAGAGTAGGCATATCACCTGGGCCTTGTCAAATAACCAGCTTCAGCTGGGTACAGTGGCACTCCTGGTAGTCCCAGCTACTTGGGAGGCTGAGGCAGGAGGATCACGGAAGCCCAAAATGAAGTACAGCTGAGAAACATAAGGACTTCTCTAAACAAACAAACAAACAAACAAACAAAACCCAGCTTCATCCCTGGCCCCAGGGACCGGTTCATGATAGGCACATCACCCAGCAGGAACAATCTGTGGCTCTGAGCGACATTCTAAAAGGGACTTTGAAAAGAAGAAATAGGCTTGAAGCTGATGGAAGCCATTTTCCCACAGAGTGGAGAAAGCCTAAGAGTACACAGAGGTTAAAGTCAACACACAGAACAAAGGAGAGCTGGGAAACAACCAGCCCTGATGCGTGTCCTCTTGAAAATGATCATGCCTGAAGCCAGATCCACCTGTGGGCTTCCTAGCTCCCAGAGACAATGTATTTCTTTAACATGACTTTGGTGTTTTGATCTTCGACTTTGTCACATGTAATTAGTGGAGCTCTGCTATAGTAGTTAGAATGTAAGCACCAGTACCCTCTGTCAAAGGCCCTCTGAACAGGGTCCTGCCTACCCTCTGCAGACCAATATGGTGATAAGGAAGAGATGGGAAGCTCTGTGCCTAAGACCTTCATAAGCCTGAATTCCCTTGGAATTTCCATCCTCCTGGAAAAGGTACCCTTGACAGAGGCCACTGGTTTGAACTACCTTCTATCTTGAAGATACATAGAGGGCTTTGTATCAACTTCTCAACCACAGTCTGTGATGCTGTCCTAAGGCTGTCTCAGATATCTGCCTCCACTAGGAACTGGATCTCCTTGCCCTTGGCCTGTATCTTGAGTGCCCTAGAGGACCAAGGTCCTCATGATCTCTGCTGGCAAGATGTTCACCCCCTCCTTTAGCTGCACCCTGGGGCATCTGGGAGGTCCCCCATTCTTGGGAATGGGTGCTCCCCAGAGACCTTACACCATCAGAGAGTGTCCCTCTATCACAGGAGGCGGGCTGATTTTACCTTGGCTTGAGTGTCAGTGTGAGTTCAAGTGCTCAAAGTGCTTTGATTATCTAGCCAGACATACAGCTCCAAACACAACCCTCAGACCTGTGCCCATCTGAAAGTCCCTTTACATCACCAAAGTCATGCAGTCCTTTCCTCTCTCTCAAGGTTTCAACAAACATAACTTAATTGTTTCTCACTAATACAGGACACATTGCTAGTTCTCTGCAGTACATTGCAGCTTTGCAACTTTTCCTTTTTAAGTTTTTCTACTGCTACTTCTGTGATGAGGAAAGTTCTGCCTTCAGCAGTTGGGAGTAAGATATCTTCTGTAGTCAAATGTTAGTCTCAATATTTTCCCATCAGCAAAAAAGATGGCCATTTGGTTTCTACGTTCTTCTAAGGCACCTATAGTGTTTCCTATTAAAATGTTACTTAATTAGTAAGGGGATTTTAAGTTCGGAAGTTAACTAGAACCATTTTTTTTTAAAGGTAAGTGCTTTAGCATGGGCCATAATAGCAGGCAATCTAGCACGTTTCCTCTGTTAAAGAAGCCTTGCCCAAAGGCAACACAGGCTCTCCAAGATCCATTTTTTAGAAAGCCAGGCAAATCACAAATTTAGGAAGTGAAAGGGGGAATCATACAAGGTGGACAAGCTAAGGTTGCGTGGGTAAGCGTGGTTAGTCCCACCACTTAGTTCATCCAGTTCCATGGCTTGCAGCACCATGCCTTCAACCATGGGCAGCACGTTTAACATGGTGCCGAGATCCAAAAACCAGAAAGGGAAAACAGTCGGAGAATGCTCCCTGTCTTCTCCTCCACTCTGGGTCATACAGAAACGAAGAAGACTAAAAAAATGCTTTTATTCTCACTTCTTTTTCTAAATGGGTAATAAATTATCTTCAGTTTACACCCCTCTGAAGTGCACTCTAAAACACCAGAACTTCCTTAACCTGAGAACGTTAAAGAGAAAAGCAACTCATTTTCTTTTGCACAAGGACAGGGCATTTTTACCAAACCTTTGCAAGTGCTGTAAGATCAACCCAGCTCTTTTAGCAATCTTATCAGACAGAGCCAGGGAAAAAGTTCCCCAAAATTAAAAAAGCAACTTTCAGGGGAACCATCTAAAAATCCCCCTTATTTGGGGCCCTTTTAAGTTCCCTTCTCATTATAGAACCTTAGGCAAATAAAGGAAAACATAGGCTGATTTTCCGAAGACCCTAATAGGTATATAGAAGTTTTCCAAAATTTAACTCATGTATTTCACCTCACATGGAAGGATGTTATACTGCTCCTAAACCAGACCCTAATGGCAGCTAAAAAGCAAGCAGCTGTGCAAGCAACAGAGAATTTCAGAGGTGAGCAATATATTTCCTATAATACACCAAAAGGGAAGAAAGCAAATAAGGAAAGCAAAAAAATAGTAGAAACACCATTCCCAACTGGGAGGGAAGCAGTTCCAGTAAACAACTCTGACTGAAACCCCAAAAACTCAGGAAATAAATGAAAAAAGCACTTTTTAATATGATTTTAGAAGGCCATGGAAAATGAGGGCCAAACCTCTTAATTACTCTAAACTGTCTATAATAGACCAAAAGACAGATAAGAATCCTGTAGCCTTTATGAAAAGGCTGAGAAAGACGCTAATAGAATACAACCCCTTACCCCTAATTCAATCAAGGGATGGCTCATTCTAAAAAACAAGTTTATTACACAGGCAGCTCCCAATATTAAAAGGAAACTACAAAAGCAAGCTATAGGACCAAATAGCACCTTAGAAAGTCTCCTAATGGTGACCACTTTGGTCTTTTATAATAGGGACCAGAAGGAGGCCCAAAGGAAAAAGAAAAATCTCAGGAGAAGGACAAAGGCTCTAGCAGCAGCTTTGCAGGCTTGCAAAGTCCAGGATCCCCGAGGTGCATCTGCTAGTTGCTATCAGGGTAGCAGGCCAGGGAATTTTAAAAAGGAAGGCCCAGGCAGCAAGAAAAAGCCACCTCAACCCTGTCCAGCCTGTGGCAGAGACCACTGGAGACAGAACTGCCCCCAGAGGTGGAGGTCACTGGGTTCAGGACCAGTCTCACAGATGGTCCAGCAGGACTGATGGGTCCCAGGGCTCAAGCCCTGGCTCCAGCAGCTCAAACTGCCATTATAGCACAAGAGCCCTGAGTAATGCTGAAAATTAAAGAAGGGAAAGTAAACCTCCTTCTAAACACTAAAGCCAGTCTCTCTCTTTTCTCCTCTCTAATCCAGGCCTCCCCTCTTCCCATAGCAAGACTGTAAGGAGTGTCTCAGAAGAAACTCTAATCCAATATTTTTCTCAACCTTGGTTGCAGTTAAAAGGACCTATTATATACACATGCTTCCAAGCCACTGTCATAATAGCTCTACTAGGCAAAAAAAGCCTCCAAGTTAACCCTAGGAAATAATTTAACTGTTTACACCCCACATACTGTGGCAGAATTACTGTCCTCTAGGGAAAGCTCTTAGCTAACAGCCAGTAAAACAAGAAATACAAAAGGAGGATAAGCAGTAGTCACTCTAAATAACATCTCTTCCCAGGCACAGCGCTCAATTCGCTAAGCTAATAGCTCTTACAAGAGCACTTGAATTAAGCAAAGGAAAGGTAGCTAACATTTATACTAACTCCAAGTATGCTTTCCTAATTTTCCATGCTCATGTTGCCATTTGAAAGGAAAGATATTCTCTTACCACTAATGACTCTCCTATAAAATATCACCAGAAAATCAATAGGTTATTATCCTCAGTTTTTCTTCCACAAGAAATAGCAAGAATGCATTGCAGGGGACATCAGAAAGAAACAAGTGAGGTAGCCAAAGGAAATAAATTGGCTAATCAGGCAGCTAGGTCAAAGGCAAGGAAGCCTCAAGGCATCAACATGCTTCAAACTGCTTCTAATCTAGGAAGGCTCCATAAAAGAAATTAAACTTCAGTATTCCCTACAGAAATAAAAGAGGCCACTTCTCAAGGGCATACTTTCCAGCCCTCAGAATTGCTATGGTCAAATAATGGCAAACTCCATTTGCCAGGCTCCAGCCAATGGAAAGTCCTTAAAATCTTTCACCAAGCTTTTCACTTGGGAAAGGATAAAACTTATCAATGTGCTCAGATATTGTTTTCAGGCAGAAAACCTCTAAATTGGTTAAGCATGTAACCTATTACTTCCAACAAAAATTGACACAACTAGCAGAAGCCCAACCCCAGAAAACAGAGCCACCTTTATTCGACCCAAGACATTTAGTATTAGCAAAAACTCTCATCTCTCTCTCCTTCCATAAGCCAAGCTGGAAAGGGCCCTACACTGTTCTTTCAACCCCTTTGGCAATAAAAGTTACAGAAACCAACTTCTGGATACATCACATTCAAGTCAAAGTCTAAAAAGCTAAGGGAGCAACCCCTGACAGCCCAGAGGAATGTCCTAAACATAAATGTGAAGAAACAGAAAATCTTAAGCTAAAACTCATAAAAAATAAGTAACTAAGTAAGGGCTATTCATCTTAATCCCACTCCTACCTAACCTTTCCTCTCAAAGTTCACCACCAAATATTAAAACTTCTTTTTAACTCATATTTGCAAGCAACTTTTAATTATACATGGGATTGCATTTGTAACTTTATAAACCCACAAAGAAGATTACATCTTGGCAAGTAAAGAAATAATTTTATATGGAAATTATTTACTATGCCACTCTTGTGGAAACTGTTATCATCCCACTACTAATTGCAATAAAACTATACACTGTGTCACCCACAATGTGGAATTCTGGTTGTAAAATTCTAATTGCTGTAATATTTTGCCTGATTATCATCCTTATAACAGGATTAATAATTGCAGGAAAGATTTACTCAAGGTTGTTTTGGTTATAGCAAAAGTAATAGGGATAAAAAGTAAGTATAAAAGTTTTACTATCACTAAGTTTAATACGACTTTTTTACTAAAGGTTGATAATACAATGCACTTTAAGCTAGGAAAAGACTGTTATTTAAAAAAGATTTTATATAAGGAAAGATTTTGTATGGTAAATACTTGTCCTAAAAAAAAAAAAACAGCAACAACAACAACTGGTTATTTGAAGGAAAGATGTTTAGAACAAGTCAGAAAGTTTAAGTATGTTGTAGTCTGTGGAAGCTATAAAAAAATTAATAAATTGTCAAATTAATGCTAAAATTATTTTAGCCACCCAATAACATATCTCTCCCGATCATATTGCAAGTTATAAAAATAGCCTAAGCCTAAAATTCCTCTCTAATGGCAAGTCAAGGGGGAAATATATGCTTTTCCTCAAGAAAAATGTTACTTTTATGTTAACGTTTCTGGTAATGTACAGCGACATCTAGTAAAAACAAAACGGTATTGCAATCCACTGGTGTAACAAACAGGTGTCAAACTCTACTGTCAGTTATGGTCTATAGGACCCCCACTAATGGTGGTAATCTTAATGCTTATATTCTAACTCTGTATTTTAAACTTTCTTGTAAAATTTATCTTTTTTCGCCTAAAGGTAACCAAACTCCAAACAGTGCTGCAAACAAAGCCAAACACAGACACGCTATTCTTCCAAAAACCCTTAAATCAACCTCAGGAGAAGGCCCAACTGCTGTTCCCCCACACGACACCCCTTTTCAACAGGAAGTAGCCAGAAAGAATCGTCATCCAACACCCCCTAACAGCAGTTAGGTTTACGTCTCTTTAAAGGGGGAATAATACAGGAGTTATTAAGAAATAACTTTCAGGCTGATAGTAGTGGTAAAGGTTCTCTGTGAAAATTTTCCTGCAATAAAAAGCAACCGCCCGAAACATTTCTTCTCTAACAGAAAAGGCGGCTGAAGAGCCAGGCTGGAAAACTTTGATATGCAAATGCCAGTGATTAAAAACTAGGTTCATCTGACATGGGCAATATGGCGATTCCTACCACCTGTGCCAAGTGTCATGGCCACCTCCGGATAACACCATGTGTTCAGAACATCATGGCGACCCACATTTGCATATTAAAGGACTAAGGTGGGAGGGCCAGGTTTTTTGCGGACTGTGTGAATGACACACCTGGTCAAACCAATCCTCTGGGCCCATGCAAATCAAACATCGCCTCCTTCAGCCTCTGATATAACTGATCATTTTTCCGCTGCTCATGCAGTCTCTTTGTTTCAAGCCTCCCCACCTCTGTCTCTGTACAAGGGAGCTGTTTTCTTCTTTCTTGCCTGTTAAACTTTTCGCTCCTTAAAACCACACCACATGTGTGCGTGTCCTTTTATCTAAATTGGCGCAAGACCAAAAACCCTGGTGTTCTTCCATTCATCAGAGCCATGTCATCACTATCTCTAAATCACTTTTCCATACCCATTATGTGTGAGGAAGAAACATGGCTCATAAATCCTTTTGCATTCCTACCTTTATTTTTGACCTAGATATTCTTTTGTCTTTCCCAAAGGACTGCTTAGTTTTCCTCATCAGAGCAAGAATACCTCAAAAGAAACTTTTTATTTCTTTTCTTTTTTCCTTTTTTTTTTTTTTTTTTTTGAGACAGAGTCTCGCTCTGTTGCCCAGGCTGGAATGCAGTGGTGCGATCTCAGCTCACTGCAAGCTCCGCCTCCTGGGTTCACGCCATTCTCCTGCCTCGGCCTCCCAAGTATCTGGGACTACAGGCGCCCATCAACACGCTGGGCTAATTTTTTTTTTTTTTTTTTGTATTTTTAGTAGAGACGGGGTTTCACCATGTTAGCCAGGATAGTCTTAACCTCCTGACCTCATTAACTGCCTGCCTTGGCCTCCCAAAGTGCTGGGATTACAGGCGTGAGCCACCGTGCCCAGCCAGAATAAATACTTTCAAGACTGACAAACTCACTGAAATATAAATTCATAGCTCTCCCTATATTTTCCTCATTCTATCAACACATACAATTCCAGCCAGTAACTAGCAGCTAGCATTTGCAATTCCTTCCCTCAGTTATTTTTATCAGGGTAGAAAACCTGTGCAACCTGAACTCAATCACTCTTACTGTCATTTTAAAAAGCCTAAACCCACTAAACAGCTCACCAAGATGTCCTGGAAATTGAGTGGGGGGAAAGACAAAAGGGGGAAGAAAATTTCTGTTGGGGCAAAGGCTCACAAATTCTGAGATTAACAGGTCTTGCATTTCTTCCATAACCCTGCCTCATGAGATGGCTGCAGGGGCTCAAAGTCCAGCCACAGAGGCTGTGCCCCAGCAGAGCCCCAGCTATGCTCTCTCTGCTGCCTTGACACTGTGTAAGACACTAAACCTTTGCACAGCTTTTGGGTATGTGTGAAAAAAGGGGGATGGAAGAGAGAGGGAATACAAAATGAAACTGAATTTCCTGCCAGCCGGAATAGTTCTCCCATGCCTGAGCTGGTAGATGAGATTCAGAGCTTCTATGTTACTATCTTGGTCTTTAGTCTTTCCGGAGCCTGGCATCCCTTGGCCTCTCTAATGAAGACCATATTAGCATGCACTTGCTTGAGTACTTTTGAATCTCTTAAAAAAAATCTCTTCCACTTATGATATTTTACAATCAAATTTTCTTCAAATTTCTTTTTAATATGAAAAATTTCAAACGCACACAAAATCACAGAAAATAGTTAAAAAAAATCCATACATCCATCATCTAGCTTCAGTGATTATCAAGACTCTTGTCCTTCCCATTTTACCTAATACCCCAACTATTTTTTTTCTAGAGTACTTTAAAGCAGGCCTGAGACATTGTTATCAGTCTACTTGTACATACATCTGTAAGCATCTTTAACAGATAGGACATTTTACAAATATAGAACCCTAATGCCTTTATCACACCTAAAAAAGAAATAAAAATTCCTTAAATTAATTAAAAACCCAGCCTATATTAAAATTTCCTTTGATGGTCTTAAAACATGTCATGTATAGCTGGTTTCTTTCAATCACAATTCAAACAAGGTCCATATACTACATTCTGCAGCCTGATTTTTTCCATTGACAGTTAAGAAGGTCAGAGAAGCCACACCTACATTTAAGTCATTGTGCAGGAATGCATGAGAATAGCTTATTTGCTGAAAACATACTTTGGGAACACGGAATCTGCAAACCTGAACAGGCTCTCCAACCACAGAAAATTTAATTCCTACAGAACCAGCAAAGCAATTTTGAGCTATGTATGGCAACAGCAAAATAAACTTCATTTAAATGATTTCTTTTTAAACCATAGATTTAGTATACTTTCTCTACCTCTAATTGTTGGCCACATGGTCTTATTTTGAAGTATTTAGGGCACCTGCTACTTGGACTGTTGGAGTTTTATATTTATGCACACAGAACAGCCTGCTAGGGAAGTATTGATTTTTTTTTCTACAGCAGTTACAAGACACTGTGTTTGCAAATGTGGAACAAAGAGCTCACTTTATATTTAGTAAGAATGTTAGTTCATCTAAAAATAGAAAGAAAAACTTAACCTTGAAGAAAGATAAAAGCCAACACTGGAACATTCTAGTAAAGACTAACCTTTTTCTCTGTTCTTGCAAGTAGGGGTACAGACGGGTAAAGTTTTGGGGGAAAATATATGCCTTCCTCTGCCACGGCTCTTGATAGAACATTTTTTAGTCCTTCAACTTAGAAAATGAAAACGCTGAGGAATACCATATTTAAGAAAAGGTGTTTACTTATCACTAGTTGGCTTTTATGCTCTAAAAATACATTATTTTACCAAAACTGCAAATGAGATACCACCTCACACCCATTAGGATGACTACTGTCAAAAAACCAGGAAATAACAAATGCTGGAGAGAAAATGGAGAAACTAGAATGTGTGTGTTCTGTTGGTGAGAATGTAAAATGTTACAGCAGCTGTGGAGAACAGTTCCTCAAAAAATTAACAATAGAATTCCCATATGATCCAGCAATTCCACTTCTGGCTATGTACCCAAAAGAACTGAAAGCCAGATTCTCAGAGATATTTTATATGCCCACGTTCAGAGCAGCACTATTCACAATAGACAAAAGGCAGAAGCAACCCAAATGTCCACTGAGGAATGAATGAATAAAGAAAATGTGGTATATCCATACGACAGAATATTATTCAGCCTTAAAAAGGAAAATTTTGATACATTACAACATGAATGAATCTTGAGGACAATCTGTTAAGCAAAATAAGCCAGTTACAAAAAGATAAATTCTGTATGATTCCACTTACGTGAGGTACCTAGAGTAGTTAAATTCATAGAGACAGAAAGTAGAATGGTAGTACCAGGGGCTGGGGAGACAGGGGAATGAGAAGTTATTGTTTATTGGGTATAGAGTTTCAGCTTCACAAGATGAAAAGAGTTCTAGAGATGGATGGTGGTGATGGTTGCATTGCAATGTGAATATACTTAATATCACTGAGCTGTGGCCTGAAAAATAGTTAGAATGCACATTTATTTATATTTATTTTTATTTTTTTTTTGAGACAGAGTCTCGCTCTGTCCCCCATGCTGGAGTGCAATGGCGCGATCTTGGCTCACTGCAACCTCTGCCTCCCAGATTCAAGCAATTCTCCTGCCTCTGCCTTCCAAGTAGCTAGGATTACAGGCATATGCCACCACACCCAGCTAATTTTTATATTTTTAGCAGAGACGGGGTTTCGTCATGTTTGCCAGGCTGGTCTCGAACTCCTGACCTCACGTGATCCACCCACCTCAGCCTCCCAAAATGCTGGGATTACAGGTGTCAGCCACTGCACCCAACCAAGATGTACATTTTATTTGTATTTTACCACAATTAAAAAATGTTTTAAAACTAAATTTTAATTATATGAGCAGGATGATGTGTTCAGTGCTCTGTATGCACTGGAGACAGGTAGCATGACTTAAAGTTCCAGGCAAGAGCTCAAAGCCTTTCTGTCCCCAGGATCTACTGCTGTCTCACAAGGGAAGAAGAGAAGCCCTGCCTTGTTGACCTGTGGAGGACTATTTGTTGTCTTTGGACAACAAAACCTTTTGATTTTATTTCTATGTTCCCAACCAGACCTCATAGAACTAGGGCTGAAGCATGAACTAGCAGAGCCACGGATTCATTCCTGTAGACATAAAAATGGGTGCTCATGGCCCTGCTTGCAAAAACTCCAAGACTGAGGCGACAGCAGAAGAGAAGTTAGAACTCGCTTCCTCCAGTTGTGTGAACTACAAATGTACTAAAGGATCCAAATATTTACTAATTCAGAACAAAGGTTAAACTTTCTTAATGTAAATAATCATTATAAAAGCACATTTAATACTACAGACAAGTTGTTATGTAATTTTAGAATTATAAAATATTTCAAGCACACACAACTAAATGTCTGTTAGATGATTTATGGTTAAAAATAACACTGTAAACATAAGCAGTTCTAGGTCTCATAGGGTTGAAAAATTGCTCACAGGTTGCTAAGGGATATAATGATCAGATTTTAAAATCCTACAGCTTTAAGTTTAAAAGCAGACAAGTCACTGAATTACATGTGTCTTTCCCCTCCGTGTCCTCAGTGGAATGGAAAAAAACAACATGTTTCTAGCATATGGAAGAATTTCAACACTTCAGAGGTAAACATCAATGACCAAATCTGATTTAAAAGTATTATCCAGCAAAATGTGTATTTCTAAATTAGACCAACTAGACAGTTTCAAGTGGAAAAAAGTATATTAAGTGGCCTTGGGCATTTCCTCCCTTCATCTTATTTTCTAAAAGTTAGTGCATTTTGTATCTATTAAAAATATTGAGGATCTTGATTTATGAAATCATAAAAGCTTACTAGCTTTACTAAAACATGATGATGTTGTCTTTGTCAAGCTTTGTCATAGTTCAAACTAAATTGGACAAAATTTTAAAATATAAGATTTGAAAACTAAGATTTTAATAGGTGTGGACCATTTTTTCTTATGTCCTCCAAAATACTTGCATATATCCAGTGCTTCATAAACTTAGTCAAATTGAATTTACTGGACTGTTACATTAAAACATGGCAAATTTATAATTACCTGAATAAATTCTCTTACAGCATTCAAATTCTCAACATGACATATTTATAAGTAAACCAAATGATAACTAATGTACTTTGATATTCCTAAGTAACAAGCTGACTTAAGGCCTATAAGGGGTATCAAAATGTCACTCTGAATACTTAATTATTCTTCTCCTCATTTTATAAAAATATATGTTGGAAGAGAGGCTTTAACATTTCTGAATTTTTTCCAATTCTAGCTATTGCACAACAGCAACAAACTTTAAAATTCACCTAATATTTGGGAAGTCTTTGCAAAGTCTAGACACAACTCTTGGGAAATAATGCAGCAACCAAGGAATGAAGTAAAAATTTACGCTGACCCTACGCTTGAACCACGTCATGCTGGGAATCTGTAAGTTGAGTATAAAGGAGGAGCCTTTTCTAACAGCGTCTTAGGATTGTGCTAGAGCTAAGTCTTTATGGCTGTAACAACAAAGAAAGAGGATAAACTAAAGCAGTGCTTTTCAGTTTTTAGCTAAGTACATAAGAATCACCTGGAAAACTTGCTAAAACAGACTGCTGTGCCCCAATCCCAGAGATTGTGTTTCAGTAGGTCTAAGGTGGAGTGAGAGATTTTGCATTTCTTACAAGCTTCCAAGGATGCTGATGCTACAGTATAACAAAATACTGCATTATAGGTATTGATATGCTCCAGAAATTTTCCATATTCTCTAGATCTCTGAGAAAAACAGAGAAGCAATTTAACATAAAAACCAGAGAGGCAGAAATAGTTTCATTTTAGAAGAAAGACAAAATACAGGATAAAAGTTTATGAAGTATACAGTGACATGTTTAGGGAGATTACATGTGACAGCTTTATTTAGCAGCCCAAGGGTCATGGGCCTAAATGCATAGCTATTATGGTTTGGATACAGGTTTATGTGGAAATAACCATAGATGGCAATGCTGAGATGTATCTAGAACAGAAACTGGTCATTCTTTTTTAACATTCTTGTAACCGAACAGAATCTGTCCTGCTCTCATAATTTGAGCCCAGAAAAGAGCTTACACAACCACAAGTGCATTCAAACAGATTCAATGCAGCATTCTTTCAAAAACATCTTGCTAAATTAATGTCGAATGCAATATGGACACTACAAGGGCCTTGATCTTCTTTAGGAAAAACAAGGACACAAAGAATCAATGAAACCTGAAAACACTGAAGACTAAGAAGAGCAGTCTCCAAATAAGAAAACTATTTTTGAGCTGCAACTAAAGACAGACCATGATATCTTCTGGCTGGCCTTACATAGTTGAAGGTTGTTTTCAAGATGATAACTCTTTTTTTTTTTTTTTTGAGTCAGAGTCTCACTCTGTCACCCAGGCTGATGGAGTGCAATGGAGCGATCTTGGTTCACTGCAACCTCCACCTCCCAGGTTCAAGTGATTCTCCTGCCTCAGCCTCCCAAGTAGCTGAGATTACAGGCACCCCCCCACCACGCCTGGCTAATTTTTGTATTTTTAGTAAAGACAGGGTTTCACCATGTTGGCCAGGCTAGTCTCAAACTCCTGACCTCAAGTGATCTGCCCGCTCCAGGCTCCCAAAGTGCTGGGATTACAGGCATGAGCCATTGCTCCCAGCTTCATTATTTTTTTTTATTTTTTATTTTTTCTGAAATCACCAGCAAGCATTGAACACTGGGCTTAATTATATATACCAAGGCTCCCTCAAGTTGTTATGTATATTTGAGGAATATACATACCCTATTAAAAAAAAATCACCCTGTAATGATCCTGGTCAAAAATCAGTCTGTTAACATGAGTGGAAGTAAAACAATAATGGTTCTATTTTCATTCACAGAAAATAAATCCTTCCAATCTCCAAGTTGTACTTGGATAAGCCCAAGAGAAAAGATATTTTCAGGTCATTACGTATTCAACTCAAATAGGTCAATCATTTTAATAAATCAAAGAGGAGCATTAAGATGCAGTAATAGTAAATGAATACTAAAAACCTGCATAGTTAACATACCAAATGAAATAACTTATAAATCTCTAGAAAGGGACCCTATGCCAATGAATTTTAAAACAATTTGTTTTCCAAATATTACTGTTTTCTATGCAACCAGATCTGTACCATCAATTTTCTGGAATAATATACTCTATCTGCTATAGCAGATTAACAAAATTGGATCCAACAGTTTCTTAGCAACTGCAGATGCTTTTAAAATCCTTTGGCTATACTCTTTATGATATAGGACAATGGTCTCAAGTTTTTAAGAGTAGTGACGTTCAAGTCAATGTTTCATGAAGTTTAACCTAAATTTATTATGATTCATAGCTTCAACTCAGAGTTCTAGAAATTTTGAGTTGTTACAGTTCCAAATTCTGAAAGGTTGCCTCATCGCTGGAAATATGTGTAATGTTGGAGCAATGCTAGATTATAAAATTTATCGTTAATTAATAATGAAACACACAAAGGTAAGGTGACTTTTCTTAGAGACCAATTTAAAGAATTTGTTGTAACCTCATTCAATGCCAAAGTGTCAATTACTTTCTATAGATGTTTATTGATTTAGACATTTGGTTTCACATGGTGTCACTGGTAAATTGCCTTTCTTCATTTGTACACTTCAAGGTACAGCGAGGAGCTGTATAGTAGATGTGGCTTCTCTTTTCCTCACTTACCTAGGTTTTGCCACATGCTGAAAATTTCACAACCCATTGTTACCCGCATGTCACCATACCTGAAATAGAACAAAAAACCAAACCTGATACAATGCCTCCAGAACAAGGAAGTATTTGTGTGTCTTTAGGATACAATCTATCATTCTGAATTACAAGGCAAGGAGTTTTTAATTAAAGACATTTAATATACATGTCACGATGCCTCTAAGTCAAATTCTGGTGTAAACCTTTTAGTAAAAGAGATCTGTTTCATAATTTTTTGCATCTATAGAAATTTTGAATCCTGAAAGAGCCAGGTCAAAACAATGTGCAAACATGTTTGAAATATCAAAACATCCAGAAAAGACTGCTTCTTGACCCCTTGGTCACTGGTTCTTCACTGTGTGATTTCCAGTTATGCGCATTCTGATTTATGAATCATTTGAACTAAATACTCTTTAAGAGGCAACATTTCTCACCTGATTATACACTGATACTTACTTTTCTAACACCTTTTTCTTCTTGGAAGGTGTGAACATCTCCAACTGCAGACACAACTGGTTTATAAAAATGACTGCGAGGTAAAAGTAGGAATCCCAGATCTAAAACAAGAACAAGATATATCAATACTATGGTGTTACAAGCATATTGACAGGTGAAGTGACATAGTATTTTGGATTTGCTTCAAAAGTGGTTGAGGGTATAGTTGAAGTAAGACTGACCATGAGTTGATAATAGTTGAAGCTGGATATGGGTACCTCATGGGGGTTCATTATACTATTCTCTCTACTTGTACATATGCTTAAAATTTTCTAAAGTGAAGAAGTAACTAAATAAATAAGTACTATTATTATCTAGGTGTATATTGCTCCAAAGCTGTATTCCAGGTTTCACGAGCTTTTTGGTATATGCTAAAAGACAGATGCGTGGTTTCTCTTGTAATATGTCTGAGTATCTCCAAGAGGATGAGGTATAAGATGGATTTCTTTATTCCTGTGTGAGTTCATTTTTGGAACTCCTTTTAACGTAGAACTTGTAAAAAATGCATACACTTCTTCAGATATGCTAATTGCTTTAAATTCAGACATTATATAAAAATTCCCTGCCCAGGCAAATCTTTTAAGTTTTCTTATACCAAAAAACAGAATCAGAAAGAGATCTGAATAAAGTTCCCTGAAATAAACTTAGCAAAAAAAAAAAAGGACATAATGGAAGGAACACACTTCTCCACTGACACCATGTAAAATTAAAGACATAACAAACCAGGAGACATATGACACAGAATCAGTATCTGTTATACGTAAATAGCTCTTACAAATAAAAAAGAATATAATAAAACCCTAAGTAAAATAATGAATAAAAGTCAAGAACAGTCCAGGTGCGGTGGCTCATGCCTGTAATCCCAGCACTTTGGGAGGCCGAGGCGGGTGGATCACAAGGTCAGGAGTTCGAGACCAGCCTGGCCAATATGGTGAAACCCCGTCTATCCTAAGAATACAAAAATTAGCCAGGTGTGGTGGTGCGCTCCTGTGGTCCCAGCTACTCAGTAGGCTGAGGCAGAAGAATTGCTTCAACCTGGGGGGCAGAGGTTGCAGTGAGCCGAGATTGCGCCACTGCACTCCAGACTGGGCGACAGAGGGAGATTCTGTCTCAAAACAAAAAAAAGAAAAAAAAAAGTCAAGAATAGACAATTCACAAAAATATGAATTTTGATCAATAACTAGTAACTAGTCAATAAGTAATAATTAGTGAGAAATGTAAATTAAAGCAAACAGGATTTTTCTCTTTATCTGTCAGAAAAAAAATCTCTTCTAATGTTGGTGTAGCTGCAGGAAAAGAAGCAATCAAATGTAATTGGTACAACCTTTCACTCAACAATTCCACTAATAAATATTTATCCAAAGAAATAATTAAGGGCCAGGCGCGGTGACTCATGCCTGTAATCCCAACACTTTGGGAGGCTGAGGCAGGCAGATTACCTGAGGTCAGGAGTTCAAGGCCAGCCTGGCGAACATGGCAAAACCCCATACTACTACTAAAAATAAAAAAAAAATTAGCCAGGCATGGTGGTGTGTGCCTGTAATCCCAGCTATTCTAGAGGCTGAGGCAAGAGAATCGCTTGAACCTGGGAGGCGGAGGTGGCAGTGAGCCGAGACTGCGTCACTGCATTCCAGCCTGGGCAACAGAGCAGGACTCTGTCTCAAAAACAAAACAAAACAAAACAAAACCAGAAACAAAAAAAGAACCAAAGAAATAATTAGGGATATATGCCAAGTTTTATTTTACAAGAATGTACATAAAATGAGTAATTTATAAGAATGAAATATGAAATTTTGATATACTATAAGCTATGACATAGACAAATATTATGTAACTATTAAAATTCCTTTTTTATTGTATTTGTCCTTTTTTGTATTTTCTTATTATCCAATAAGGAAATTTTATAAAAGTGTTTAATATGAAATATGTTATTCAAAACAGAGTAAGAAGAAAGATGCCCAAAACAAAGAACCACCATTGAGGAAGAAAGCCAAGATAGGCACTGCTCATCTTTGTTTGCTATTTATCACTTGCTATTTGAAAAATAGTATATCAAGAATTTGTAGGCACCCAGGCATATCACATTATATCATAGATATACAGAGGGTTCTGCCTTAAAGAACCTTACCAATGTTTCATTTTTTTCTTTTCATTAATTCATTCTAAAAAATGGGAAGACAAAGAAATAAGAAACTAAAGGGTTTACTTTGTAAACGTTTTCTTCATATAAACTCCATTTCTAAAAAGTAAAAAACACTATGTTTTGAGTCTCCTTTGTCATAAACAGGGATCATACAGAAAAGAGCAAGAATTAAAATGTATAGTAACAATAAAAAACTATCTCCTTTTAAGCGCTATGATCTCCTTTTAAGCGCTATGTGAACAGTCTTCATCTGTTCACAAATATAATGAAAACTGTTCTAATATTCCTCATAGTTAAAACTAATACGGCCCAAGAAAATGTTAGGTAATTTCCTATAATACAATGTGATTCTTTTAGCCCAAGCAGGAGAGTCATATAAATGAATGCTTACCTTATAATCAAAGTTTTCATTTAAGAAGTTCTTACGAAGTGCATCTGAGAGGTATAGAACTGTTGTAATAATAACACTAGTGATAAAAAAAATGACAAGGTGAAAACTTCATATTAGTGAAAATCATTTAGTATACAAGAATAAAAACCTACTAAGATAAAATAAAACCTTCTTCAGTAAGCATCTGGAGCAATATTAAATAATTCATATTTGAAACAAAAAAGAGACAACAGGTCAATAAAAGGGGAAGAAATCTATCACTGAAGTCAGGACCTTTGTAAACTGATACACGAAAGATCTATGAATTCATATGGCTCAGACAGAAATATATTATCACCTTGATGTTTTGTAATGTTTTTTGTTAATTTCCAAACAAAGCAAAATGATTTACTACAAACATAACATTTCATATTTTTCTGTTTTTGAGACAGGGTCTTGCTCTGTTGTCCAGGCTGGAGTGCAGTGGCATGATCATAGCTCACTGCAGCCTCAAACTCCTGGGCTCAAGTGATCCTCCTGCCTCAGCCTTCCAAGTAGCTGGGTCTACAGGTGCATGCTGCTGTGTCCAGCCAAATGGTTTTTCAGTTTTTCTGAGACAGGTTCTCACTCTGTTGACCACGCTGGTCTTGAAATCCTGACCTCAAGCTATCCTCCTGTCTGGGCCTCCCCAAGTGCTAGGATTACAGGCAACATTCCATATTTGATTATCATAAAAGAAAGCCATGCTTTTTAAAATGCAGAGGAAAAAATGGAGCCCAAAGACAAAATAGATAGGAAAAAATAATAGAATACATTGAGTATTTATTAGACTTCTCTCTGTTCTCCCCTGTTTAAGGTATTAGAGGGCATGCAAGAGCTATAGAAGGCAGATTCCCTCTTTAAGGGTGACAAGACTGCCACTAAAGAAACAATTACAGACTGTGAAATTGTCTATAACCCAGTACGAAGCTGTGTGAAACCGACAGTGTTACAGACATTCAGAGAAAGGGTCATCTCCAGGGCAGGAGAAATCAGGAAAAGCCTGACCAATACAGCCATAGGTAGCTCGCTGGGGAGATTTTAAAAAGAAGGATTTGATGAGCATTCTTGGTTAGTTCTAGAGCTCTGCAATTTGTTCAAAATCTGCTAATTTTTATAACCAGGAGATAAATATTTAAAGTTGAACATATTTCCAATTGGTTCACTTAATGTTTAACACAGCATTATACTAAAGCAAGATTAGCCACCCCTTGAGCTACTATAAACTGAGGATCAATATATAAATTGTCGATATTTAAAATTTCTTTGACCTTTTCTGAGATGCATGTGTAATGAGTGTGTGATATGGTAAAGCCTCAGTTCTCTTCATGGGATTTGCAATTGGAGGATGTATTTATGTCACCCTAGGTAAAATGAAAAAACAAAAGAAAACAAAATACAGTATCAACTTCAAACTTTGGTTATCTTGCTAATATAGATTATATTTACTAGTTAGAAAAATATAGACTTTGAAAGACATAAATATTCATTATTGTTATCTGCTGGGAAACTCACTATTATAGCTTTCTTGTGGGGTAGGGAAATATTAACAAGGGTAATTAACAAGGGTAAGTTGATGGTTGAATGTGGAAGTTCAAGGTAATGAAAAGGAAACAAGACAA
This sequence comes from Homo sapiens, assembly GCF_000001405.40. NCBI lineage: Eukaryota > Metazoa > Chordata > Mammalia > Primates > Hominidae > Homo > Homo sapiens. The sequence continues at coordinate 111,813,514 of NC_000007.14, forward strand.
CCACGATTTCATGGGCATTCGCTCTACCATGAACAGGCACTGTTACATGCGTGTGCATTTTACATATGTCATATGTACCTTTCAGTGAATCTTATTATTAAATTTAAGTATAATAAAAACCTATGAGATCGAGAAGTCTTGTGGTTTCTTCAGTCCCCTAAATGGCAGATATCATCAGTGCAAGTCATATCAAAGAGATACATCACCTGCAAATGATGGTATAATGCGGCAATTTCCCAAAGACACTGGAAAAATCAATGATAACTGAAGACATCATTACTGTTCCAAAGTATTTTACTCAAGTTTTACTATATGAAACTGAAGCTGAATCATCAGAAAATGAAAGGCTATCAGGCAAGGAAGTTGTTCTTGCCTAGCATCCAGTAAGATCACTGGACTTCTAAGTTTAAAGAAGAAAAATCTGTATGCTTAACATGTGGTTATAAGCACAAACTTTCTGCTTTGATGTTCAACGAGAAATACACACAGTCCCACTACACCTGGGGTTTACATTAAAAATCACCTTGTGGTCCACAGTTTCAGCTTAGATTGACGTTCAGACACAATACCTCTGGTGTTAGTGAAATATGACATATCTGGAATTTAGACTATCACGCCAAATGTCACAGAAAGGAGCTAACAAACTCAATCTTCCAAGGGAGAGAGAAGTTATTCCATGGCAAAGATTACCAAATTGTTATTTACATGGTGGATCCCAAACACACAAAATATATTTGTGGCTTTTTGAAGTACACTTGCTGGTAAACAACATGGAATCTCTGTGGCCTTACTATGGAACAGTTGCTCTCAACCTGCCCCGGGCCCTAGAATCACCTGGGAGCTTTTAAAATACAATGCTGGGTCACATCGCCAGAGACTACTGATTGGTCTGGGCTACAGTCAGAACATCAGGATTGTCAAAGCTCCCAAGTGATTCTTATGGTGTACCCGGAGCTGAGAACCACTGCTCTACCTTAGATCAGTGCTTCTCAAACTTTAACAGGTACCTGGTGATCTAGTTAAAGTGCAGATGATCCAGCAACCCTGGAGTGGGACTGGAGATTCTGCACTTCTAACAAGCTCCAGCGGATGCTAATGCTGTTGGTTTGCAACCACCCAATGAAGAGCAAGGCTCCGGAGTGGCCAGAATCAGAAATATTCCCACAAATTCTGTTTCAGCATTCTCCTGACTTCTGGAATATTAGGACGATTTGTATGGGGCTTGCAGTTCTTATTTCTAGATTGAACACCTCACCCTCTTATCAGGGCTGCCTTACCATTAGGCAGAAAGAGGCACAGGGCATTGGGCCTGTGAGCCTTTCAGGGACTTTCGAAAACATTGAGACCTGAAAGAATGTTATGCAACCAAACTGAAATTTGCAAAATAAAAAGTAAAAATAATGACTAATCACATGTCCACAGAAAGTGACACGATGACTTTCATTAACTGTCCAATTTTAATATTTATGCAATTTTAAAATTATAGATTATTTTAAACTTTTACAGTTCCTATAGTATACATAAACGCTGAGAAATCACAGCCAATCAAAATTAAATTATTTTACTTGATAAGCCAATAATTAAGAAGCAAATATAAAAAATACTTTTAATTTTTTTCTTTAGCAAAATTGTATCTAATGTGGCATGTGGGTCTATTTAGTGCTTGATAGGATGAGGAGTAGGGCCTCCAAAAATATGACTGCTCAGGGCTAGAAAGATCTTAAAAGGACTATTCAAATGCTTTTCTTTCATACCTATAACATTCAGCCCAAGCCATCAAGGCAGTTCCCAGAGCTTTCTATGGTAACTCATCACTGACATCATTTCCTAACACACAGGTCTCTAAGCTAGCCAGAGACATTTATACATTATTGCTCCTTCATTTTAGTGGATACCTGTGGTGTTTAGGGACCTTTCTTTACTTGTTTCAATTTATCCAAAACCATGTGGATTCTCTGGTTTCATTCTTTTACTCATGAATCAGTGTTTGAATATGGGGATATTGCAAATCTCAGTGCTCCAACTCAATAGTCAAAAAAGATTTTCAATATGCTACCACAAACAGCCAAATTACTGATTTATTTATTCATTTATTTATTTCCTTCCTTCCTTCCCCTCCCCCATCCCCTCCCCTCCCCTCCCCTCCTTTTTCTCTCTCTCTGTTCTCTTTCTTTCTTTCTGACGGAGTCTCCCTGTCACCCAGGCTGGAGTGCAGTGGTGTGATCTCTGCTCACTGCAACCTCTGCCTCCCACATTCAAGCAATTCTCTTGTCTCAGCCTCCCAAGTAGCTGGGATTACAGGTGCCCGCCACTGCGCCAGCTAATTTTTGTATTTTTAGTTAAAATGGGGTTTTGCCATGTTGGCCAGGCTGGTCTCGAACTCCTGACCTTAAGTGATCTGCCCGCCTCGGCCCCACTGTGTGTGGCCCAAATTACTGATTACTGCCACAGCAAGGCATGCAGTAGGATCATTTTTGACAATCATAATCTACAGGCACAGCATGATAAAATTTATGTATAAAAGAAAAACTGGTGTACATGAAATCAAAGTTATTGCTTTATGGTTTTCCAGTTGCCACCTCATTTTGGGCTTAAGAAATAACTTCAAGCAACCCTATTTCTCCCTCTCACTCTCATCCAGGAAAGCTTATCTCCCATAATTTTTTTTAATTACTCCAATTTGATAATCTGCTCATACACAAGCCCGTCTCCAAAAATCATATATGGACTGAGAGAAATACCTTTGTGGATAAACTGGGTCTTGACAATATTGATGTTTATACAATGAAAAACTAAGGACATCTAAACCTAGAGTCCAGCAATTTCCCTACAACCTGGTGGATTAATTGGGGCAGCAAAAAATCAACGCAAAGACATTTTGGGGAGATGAAATTCGTGGATAACCAATGTGGGAATGCATCTAAACGAGTGGTTCTCAAACTTCAGCATGCATGAGAATCACCCAAAGGATGCTTAAGACTTCAGGGTCTTACCACTACCTATGGCTTGGGAGGTTTGCAACCAGGCCCAACCAGGTGATTCTGATGCATGTGGTCATCCTTCTTATTTTGAGGACTGGTGTTACACATGGAAGAGAAGACAAGGAAGGGCTGGAACTTAGAGAACAATGGCATCTGGGAATCTGGCCTTTTTTACCACTGCATCCACAGGGGCAGAGACTAGTAAGTGTATGTTAAATGACTGTGGCCTCATGAGTACATTTGAGTCTATGCTTTGTTATACTTGTTTGCCATATTAGATGACTCTAAAATGTGAAGCTTATACAACTTTTAATTTCATTTATTTATTTATTTTTAGCTATTTTGAACAGACTGAAATTAGACAGGCAAAGCTGATCCAAGTGGAGGGCACAGAATCAGCTAAAGCAGGGAAGCAGAGAAAGGAGTGATTTTGCTTTCAGTCAATGGGGCACGCAGTGTGGATGAAGCAAAAAGAATGGGAAAGGATTTACACAGAGTGACTCTGAAAACTCTTTTGACCAGTACTCCACTGGGCAGTACTGGTGGAAAATCACTCATATGGCAATAGCCTCTGTTTTGACCTCTTAGGCTTAAACCCTAAGAAAGCCTTTCCTTCATGCATTCATTCTCTCTACCAACACCTCACAACTCACCTGGAGGAGATGGATTGTGCAAGCAATTCTTTTGTCATTATTTGCTGTAACTATTCAAGTTTGGCACATTCAGCATAGTAATATATAGTTTTGATAAAAAATAAGTATCTATTATCTCCCTGAACAGTAAAAGCCTTTAAGGATAACTACACTTAATTAAAAAAATCACAATCAAAACAACAGTAGCTGTGTCAATGGATGCTCAGCAGATTAGCTACTCTACCACTCAAGTTTTCAGGGTCAGTGGCGCATATTCCACCTTCCTTCCTGTTATTATGGATAAACTGTCGACGCTCCTACCTTTCTTTGTGTGCACTAGATCAATGCTGCTCTAAGTGCGGGAAGCTTCCCTCCTTGAGAAAGTCTTACCACAAAAAACAATGTCAGTTTAATTAAACTGCATGCTTACACTGAAGATTTATTTTTAAGTGAAAGCTTGTCATGGACAGGTAGCAGTTAGTTCTTGGGCTGGCATACCTAGCAACCTTGCATGCAATCCTATCCCTGCTTGCCCAAGGACATTGCTCTTTTAATTATCCCTGTTTTCTTTAGCACCAATATTTCTGTCTTTTACTAACAGGGCCATGCCTATTAGTAAATCAACATGCTGTAATATCCCATATTCTAAAAGGAATCCCAGTCCTCACATCTCCTTCCAGATACAGCCCTGTTTCTATGCTCCCTTTGACAGCAAAACTCTTCCTGTAATTACTATTTTCAGTTTCTCAACTCCTATTCACTCTAATTAGGTTTTCCTTTTCACCACTCCACTGAAACAACACTTGTCATGGTCACCAATATCTACCACACTGCCAAATCCTGGGACCAATTGTCTGTCCACATCACCACCAACCTCCCAGCAGCTCTAGATACTGCTTCCTTCTTGAAATGCTTTCTTCACAGGATACTGTACTCTGCTGGTTCTCATCTTACATCATAGGCTGCTCTTTTTCAGTCTTCTTCACTGGATACCTCTCCACTTCCTGACCTTTAAAATGTGGCATGCCCTAGGGCTCAGTCCTGTCTTTTTCTCTTTTCAGTCTGCACTTTCTTCCTCAGTGCTCTTGTTCAGTTCCAAGGTTTCAAATCCTAACCATATGCTGAGGAGCCCAAACGCACATGTCCAGCCCCAACATCATCCCTGAGCTCCATGCAAGCATGTCTAGCTTTCCCTTCTACATCTCCACTTGAATATCTAGTACACCTCAAACTTATGTTCAACATGGAATTCTTCACTTCTCTCATCCCCAATGCTACTCCTCTTTCCATTTTTTCCAACTAGGTGAATGGCACAATTCATCCTTTTACTTAGGCCAAGCATCTAAGGAACACCTTCCGTTACTTTTCTTCTCTCCCACCCACACCCAGTCACTTGCAAGTCTTATCATCCTTATTTCCAAAACCAATCTTCTCACTACCTTCATTGCTATCCGCCCGTCCAAGTCATCATCAACATCTCTTACCTGGATGGCTGCAGTAAGCTCCTAACTGGTTCTCCCTGGTTTCTCTTTGGTCTCTCCACATATCAATATCTGGGTTCTGTCTTCCTCCACCAACCTCATCTTTACTGGTTCCTTCCCTCCCCACATTTCAGCCACACTAACAGTCTTTCAGTTCCTTGAGTGTGCCACATTTACTCTGGCCACAGGGCCTTTGTAGATGCTACCTACTGATAGAATCATTATTCCTTTGCTGTTTGTTACCCCCTGCTAAGCTTTCAGTTCAAGCTTCACTCCTTCATGAAAGACCCCTCCTATTCTAGTCCAGAACAATGTTCACTTCATAACACCCTCATATCACGGTGCTCTTTGTCTTTATAGTACTTATTTTACACATCAGGCACTGGAAAATACTGGCTGAATAAGTGGGTCAGTAAATGAATGGACAACCTCTCTAAGAAACTTTGATTTAACAAATCGCTTTTTGGCTACATAGATCTCATTTGAAACCCAAGTTGGTTAGTGCATGATATGTTTGAGGCCAACATGCACACAAGATAACCAAAATAAAGACCTGAAATTTCAACTGAAGAGAGAAGGAGTTTTTACCTTCCTCAGTAAGCAAGTGTGTTATAAGGTTTTTCTTCTTGAAAATATGTATAAAGCTGTGACTTTATTTTTGTACTTTATTTCACAATGTGTATGGGAAGGGGGTGGAGAGAAGCTTGTCTCAAAGTGTCCTGTATTTTTGGTACTTAATTTTCATCTTCCTTATGTTCCTTCTTTCTTAGATTGAGCAGTTGTTGTCATCAGAAACATCTACCAGGAACTTACAGGGGGTCATGAGATAGCTCTACAGCAAACAAGAAAGAGAAGAAATGCTTCTTGCCCTGGCAGAATTATAAGTGGGCACACTTGCTATGTTATACAATATTAGGCATGCAGTAGAAAAAAACAAGGAACCATACAAATCACCAGGTGTCTGGTCACAAACTCTGGCAGAGCTTCACACCAAGCAGGCAAGCTACAAGATTTGGAACAACACAGCTTATAGATGAAAGTTAAAGGCATTTAATTTACTTGAAAACAGAGGAAGAAAGGACCAACACATAAAAGAACATTCATTTTGAGGGATGAGCAATTCAATTGAGTTCAAGGGTAGAGCAATGGTGACTTCTCAGCCACCTGCTATCAATTTGACATGTATTAAGCACACGACTGGGTTAATAAAAGTGGGAGTTTGGGTTAAAATGCCCTTTGAGAGGCCCTGAAAAAATGTTTGTCTAAGAAAGTTGAAACTATGGAAGAAAAGGTGGTCAACTTCAGAGACATAGATGTAACTCCTGCAACGTGCTTCAACATGGTTTAGCCAAGCGGAAACTTTTTCTTCCTAGTGTATGCTCTTTAACGTATTTAAGATGTCCTTAACATCTTTCAGAAATCTACTTTTCTACCAATATTATATGGGTTAATATTTTTCATAGATAAAGCACAAATAGTAGAGGGCTAATTTTCAGACTATGCTGCATTTATGAAGCAAAGCAAACCTCATCTGCTTTCATGACTTGAATGGAGGAGAATGGTTAGAGACTATTAAAAGAGGAGAGGAGAGGAAAGAAGAGGCAAGAGCAAGAACATACAGCAGACTGGCTGCTCCAACTTGGCAGTGGTCTCTCTAGTTCCTGGAGTCCTGTCCATGAATGAGGTTGGACTTGCAGCCACCAGCCATTGCCAGTGGAGAGGCAGCGCCAGACTCCTACCAGCACTCACATGGGTGGCAATGGAATGAAGTCACCACATTTAGCAAAGGGTGATGGCACATTTCTTGGGTTTGCTATGGGAGTAACCTTCTGTTTAAATGTATTACACAGAGCTCATCTCTAACAAAATCATCTTCCTATTTGGTTAACACTGTAAATGAAAATTCTGAACAGTGTGTGTTTACGCAAAGGTAGAATCTATACTCTCAGACTGCTATCCATTTGTGTGACCATAAAGTCTTTAAAACTGAAGTAACGATGGGGCAGAGAGAGGCAGTATTTAATATCAAAAAGCCACATGGTTGTTACAATTTTAGGCAAGCTTAAGCAGAAATTGTATATGTAAGGAATAAAATGTCAATGTTACTTTCAGTTTGAATTTCTACCACTGAAATTTTAATTCAATCCAAAATATTCCTCTGCACATGAGTCAGGCAGAATGACCAAATGTTGATGCTGCGTGATGATGATGTCCATAGCCTGGACCTCTTCCCATCTGGCTCCTTGGATTACCTCACAGCCCTTCCTAGGTACCCAGAATGTTTGCTCTTTGGTTATAAGGCCAGATGAATGAGCAAAAACTCCCACCTAAATCTGTAGCATGCGGACAACCAAATGAATAGATATTTGATTCTACTCACAGATATCAAACTAAATATGTTAAATTCTAAAGAGAGCTATTTCAACACTCTCAATCTTCAAAATGGAAAAGCTGCTTCTGTACTTATGTAAAATATAATATGCTATGTTATACTATTTGTTACTTCACAAAGTTTTTAACACATCATTTTAACACCTCCAAGTCTATAAATGTATACTGCAGCAGAAGCCATATTGAGCATATATAATCAAAATCGAATCCTATATTCCTGCAGCTCTCACCACCATCAAAGCTTGCCATCTGGAGAAAACACAGGGCGACCGTGGCCTACAGATAGATGCTTAGAGAATCCAACCTTCATCCTGAGCATGAGGGTGTTGGCGTTTGGAAAAGAGGAAGAAGGGGAAGCAGGCAAATGTGGGCTTGGAGAGTGACAATGCTAATGAAATAGGGTAAATAACAAGCTTGGAAGTGAAGACCAGGCCAGTTTCCTAGAACACTTTTCCATTCTGTATCTTGAGACTATGGAGACAGGAAGTGGAGAGAGCAGATAAATCCATGACACTGTACTCTCCGGGATCAGCTCCTGCCATTCCGACTGCCCTAATATCCTTTCCTGCCTCCTCTCTCTTCTAGTATTGCTCTCAGATCATGCTGGATATGCTTAATATAAACTGAATTTATCATCTTCTAGAGATTCCAATATCGACTTTATGTCAATAACCTCCCAAATGCCTGTATTTTGTTCTGAAGTTTCCTCGGGGCAGTATTTTCAGCTCTCTATTGGCCATACCACTTGGATGAATAAAAAGAACGTCAATCTCCATGTGTCCAACTCAAAGGTCATGTCTTATTCCCAGTGTTGAGCAGATGCTTCATGTATGTATTTTGTTGAGAAGAATTAAGAAAGATCAGAAATGATTCAAATTTCTAGTAACAGAGAATTGGTTAAATAAACTATGGTATGGTCATTCAATGCAATATTATTCAGCTGTAAAGGAAAATACACAGAAGAATGAAAGGCTTTCTATCTATTAATTTGGAAAGATTGCCAGGATTTCTTAAGAGCATTATACAGAACAGTGTGTATATTACATTACCTGCTGGTCTCTGTATAAAGGAACACTAGGAGGACATGTAAGAAACAAATACAAGTGGTTATACAGCCTAGGGGAAGAGGGTCAATGGGAACAGAACTTCTCAATGCATATGCTATTATGTTGTTCGATTTCTGAATGATGTTAATATATACAAAGGAAATAGTAATTCTAAACAAGTGGTAACATTTTTTTAAAGGCTTAATTCAGAGGCAAAAAAAAAACTGCAAACTTGAGATCAAATGAAAAAGATAATTTTGTACTCCCTTCTTCCTCTATACATTGAGCTGCAATTATCATCAACTTAAATGTCTTACTTGTTAGCAACCAAGCGCATAACAGTCCAGTCCTTTGGAAACATCTCCGGGCGTATCAATATTCGGAACACAGTAAATATCTGCAGCAGGAAATCCTTGGATAAGGAGAAAATAGATCATTTTATTGGTTTATTGTAACTGTCAACATACATACGCACATACACAGGCAGTACTGTTGTACTGTTACCATTTCCAAAGCAATTATAGAGAAGGGAGCCATAGTTTAACAGTTTGCCCAAGGGAAGGAGTCATGACCCTTCCCATTCTCAGGACTCAAACCCACCCAAATGTTTTCTTTTCTTTCTTGGGCACAGTGAAAATGAGTTTTTATTTCTCTCCACAGGTTCTAACAATTTAGGGTTTTGAAAATAAAGTGGAAAACTTGTAACAGAAGATTAACAGGGAAATACATTCCCTTTCTTCTATTATAGCATCTTAAACATCAGAACTTTTCAATGCAGGAGAACAATGAACAGTCCTGGCTCAGCTCTGCTTTCCTTTAAGAGGGTGTCAAATTTTAGAAAGTTATGCTCATCAAAAAGCATCTCATACAAAAACCTATTTTTCTTACAGGGCATTCTTGAGATGCAGTATTAATGGAATGTATGCAGGTTTATAGAATTTGAGTGAATTTTCCAGAGTGTGCTGTGCACAATACATTCAAATGAGGATATGTGCTAAGTCCAGCCCAGTGAGGAGTGCTTAGTAGTTATGAGATTATCAATATATTCCTCACAAAGATGCCATGCGAGATGGTAGTAGTATTTACTGAGATGTTATCTTTAAATCGATCACCTGAAAACACTCTTGACAAGAAGCTATCATCAGACATGGAAATATTACTTTTTTTTTTTTTTTTTTTTTTAGACGGAGTCTTGCTCTGTCGCCAGGCTAGAGTGCAGTGGCGTGATCTCGGCTCACTGCAACCTCCACCTCCCGGGTTCAAGCCATTCTCCTGCCTCAGCCTCCCGAGTAGCTGAGACCACAGGCGCCTGCCACCACGTCCAGCTAATTTTTTGTATTTTTAGTAGAGACGGGGTTTCACCATGTTGACCAGGCTGGTCTTGAACTCCTGACCTCAGGTGATCCGCCCACCTCGGCCTCCCAAAGTGCTGGGATTCCAGGCATGAGCCACCAGGCCTGGCCGGTATATTGCTTCCTTCAACATTACAAGAGATAGGGTCAAATGCGCTATAGCATACAATACTTAAAGTGGAATCAAGGAGATAATGTACCACACACAATGAATGAAATGAGCTTTCCCTACTCAAAAAGGGATTAGCTCAATCTAGCTTTGATTTAGATTTATTAACTAGAAAACTTAAAGAGTTTTTGGTAACCTAAGTGATTCTAGGAAAATATATTTCTCTAACAATCTGATTGAAGATAACGATATGGTGTTGCTTCAAAAATAAAAAGCAACCCCAAACACAAGAGTTTTATTTATCAAATACAATGACACATTACGTTAAACATGTAAGCTGCTTGAATGTAAGATTATGGTTGTCACTCATGTGCACAGAAGACAGAAAAAATCTAAAAACTAAAAACCATGTGGTAGCTTTATTTTCTTTTTATATACGCTAACAACTTCAATCAAGTCCATAAATATTTTGACAAGAACTTATTTTAGCTTCTTTGGCATCAACACACATATGTTGATATGTAGTATGCGCCATGTGGAAACATGCCCACTAGGTCATCCATCTTTAAATGGCTAGACAGATCCGGTCCATGTCTCCAGAATCACTGGAAGCAGAGTTTGCCAAATGTATTTCACTGTAGGTCACATAATTTTGGGAAACACTTCACATTCTAGCTCTCTTGGGAGAGTAGGTCATTAGCTTACTAAAACTGTGAGAAGCCCTTTCTAATGCATTTCTGAAACTTATTTTAATGGTTTCTCAGTTGATTCTTTTGAGTTACTCAGACATATATATGTATATATATTATATATAATCCCTGCAAAAATGGCTTGTGCATTTATCTTTGAAAGAGTTATACCCCACTTCAGTTTCCTATCTTGGTGCATTTGCTTAGATAGATGTGAAAGTCATGAGAGTGGGGATTCTTTGGCTTTATGGTCTACAATTAGTTAGGAACAGTACAAATAAATTCTAACATGCTGAAGTTTTATCTTCTCGCCTCAAAAGTTGTAAGAGAACTGGAAACTGGAGGCAGCACTCTTAGTGGTAGTGGTGGTGTGTATGTATGTGTGTATGTGGTGTGTGGGGTGGGGGACTGTGCTGTCAGTTGAAAGGAGGAAAAATACTGGCTGAAAAGATTGGCTATAGGAGGCAAAACATCTATCTTACCAGCTAGCAACTTGAGTTTTCTTTTGTAGTGCTGGGGACAAAGGAAACAGTATTGCAGGTGAAGGAGTTGGGGATAGATGACCTGTTTCTGTGCTATCTCATTTTCCTAGTCACATTTATCTCCCACTATAAAAGGCTGTGGCAGCATGTGACATTGCCAATGCCTGTGAACTGACATAAATCTTTATTTCCCCCAAGAAAACTTTTCAGTGTCTCAAGTAGTTTTCTACAGTATCCATTCAAGCTTCATTGACATTTATAAAACCAAACATATTCAACAGTAGAAACCTTATAAGAAAAATAAAAGAGCACAATAATGAGGATCAGAAAACCTAGATTTTAAATCCTGGCTATGCAATTAACTAGCCCAATGACCTTGGCAATTTGTTTAACCTCTCTGGGAGTGAGTTCCCATACTTGTAAAATGTGGGGGCTTTGAGGTCTCTTGTAGTTAGAGGAGATTAAAAAAAATCAGTATGATCATTTAGTTATTCAAAAGGCATCTCCACATTTTTCTTACTTCTAAAATGTAGGCAAATGTTTCATCATATCATGTTGTCATAACACAAATACCTTCCATTTTAGTATTTACATGTAATTTAGTTTAGCAAGTCTTTGTCTACTGCCATGCAACAGGGTTTATTCCAAACTCAGTTCCAATACTCGAAAGCAATATGACCTCAATGCTAGATTCTTTAACATTTCCCTCCCTCCCACCCAAAATACAGTGGTATTTCCTTGACTGTCCTCTCCGAGTACTTTTCAACTCTGGTCATTTCACTAAATATGTGTTTTTGCATAGATAGATGTGGTTATTTTGCACATACAACTAAGTAACAGATTCTTTTTATAATTTGAAAAAGAACATTGCCATGCCTATAATATTCCTGCTTGGACAGCACAAAGAAATAAGTGCTTCATATGCTACCATTTAAAACCTGGCAGAATGGGAGCAGTTTCTTTTTCTGTTTTACATCATACAGCACAACATGGTCACTTAAGCAGGTTAAATTATTTAACATGGTTAAACTGTATTATTGGTATTCTTCAAATCAGGGTTCAAGATAAAAAAGAAACAGGGAGGTGTTATTTTATAGAAGTATTTTTTCTGCAGAGGTTCAAGTAAGAGAGAGGTTCAAGTAAGAAAGGTCTTGTGAAAGTCTTCCAAAACAATAAAAAGTCCCATAATTAAATATAAAACAAAGTAGGAACAGTTGTTATGATTTTAGAAATGATCACTAACATGTACTGATTTATAAATATCGGGTGCTTTACTATGTGCCAGGCACTGTGTTAGATGCTGGGGATACCTGGTAAGAGACATTCTTTTATTTATTCATGCAGCAGGTGTTTATGGAGTGTCTGGAACATGCCACACAATAGTAAGTAGGTTAAATGTGCTCTTTGCTTTCGTGGAGTTCACAGTTTAGTGGGAGAGATAAATGTTAATCTAAAAACCACACAGATACATGTATGCTTTGAAAATGTGAATAAGTCTGAAGGTCAGGTATTCCACACAGAGGGAACAACACCTGTAGGCCTCAGAAGCAAGAGAGAGCACAGGGTTGCCTGGACTGCAAGGAGCAGTGGCAAGACATAGGGCTGAAAGATAAATAGGGATAAATAAAAGATAGACATATTTCATAACTTTTTCCATAGTAAGGAGTCTGGACATTTATCCTGCAGGCATTGTGGAGACACTGAGGGGTATTATGCAGATGTTTGAGAGGATCGAATTTGTGTTTTAGATTTTTTAACTGTACCATATAAAAATTGTTTTGTGCTTACATATGATACTATGATATTAAGAAAGACACAAGACAGGATAGGCTTAAAAAATGTGGTACATTTACACCATGGAATACTATGCAGCCACAAAAAAAGAACAAAATCATGTCCTTTGCTGCAGCACAGATGCAGCTAGAGGCCATTATCCTAAGTGAATTAACATGGAAACAGAAAACCAAATACTGCGTTCTCACTTATAAGTGAGAGCTAATCATTGGATACACACTGACATAAAAATGGGAACAGACATGGGGGATTACAAAAGAAGGGAGGGAGGGAGAAAGAAAAGGGCTGAAAAACTACCTATTGGGTACTACATTCACTATTTGGGTGATGGACTCAACTGGGGCCCAAACCTCAGCATCACGCAATATATTCATTAACAAACCTGCACATGTACCACCTGAATCTAAAAATTTTTTAAAATCTATATTTTTTTAAAAAAGAGAAAGGCAAAAGACAAAAATTAGGCTTGTGAAACAGAATTGGCAAGACACAGAGAAATGAATCCTGAGTTCATGAAACATGAGTTAAGACATCCATAAAACAAAGCATCATGAGGCTGCTACACAGACTAGGGCATTTTCTTCTTACTTCAAGAACAATGAATAGGACAGACCCTCAGACTATACTCAAATGTCATTAAAAAAATTTGCCATAAATTTCAAACGTATAATACCCTTGATGTGAGGTTTGAATTCAATTAAAGGGTGTTAATAATCATTATCACATTGAAACTTATATTCTTAAAATGGAATCTTTAAGTATCTTACGCAAAATAACTCCCAAATGATCGTCCATCTTTTAGAGCTATATAACCATTTTTCTGTAATCAATATATTCAAATAAAGATAAGTCAAAATAATTATATTGAAAATCTTTTGAAACAGGCAGGAATATTAAGAGCATGCATTCTTTCAACAAAGATTTAATGTTCCAGGTTCTGTGCTTAGGACACCAAGACATGGTCTCGACTCTCAATGGCCCATAGTCATCAAAAACACAAGGAAATGGCAAATAATGAGAGTGCATTATTGCACGCTATCAGAGAGGGAGGACTGTATCCTGGGAAGGCTTCATCGAGAAGCTGATACCTGAGTGGGTTTGTAGGGTGAGCTGAATCAGAGAAGGGATTAACAGGGGTACACATTAGGTAATGGAAGTGAGGTGGTGGTAGAATAGGCATTACAGATAGAAAAAAAATGATTCAGAGGAATTAAAAATTATATATTTGGTTTTTAAGGAATATAACAGTAGTTTGAAGTGGCTGGAGTGACTGAAAGGTGTTTAGAAGGGGGTGGAGGATAATGTGGTTGGAAGGTAAATTGAGGATAGAAACAACATGATAAGGAGATTGGACTTCGTCCTGCAAGGAATGGGAAGTACTCAGAGTTTTAAAGCTGGATTGGGGCTTGATCAGATATAATTTTTGAAAGCTAGTGGGACAGTATATAGGAGACAATGCAGTTATAATCGTGCTGTACTTAACTTCCAGCTCATGTATAATCTTGTGCTTATAGCAAGATCCCCACAGTTCTATGAAAAGTTATAATCAACAAAGCACAGGAGTCTCACTGCTGTATATATATGAAATGCCAAGGATATGGACAAAACTGTAGCCTCCAGTATGAGGTGGGTGTATAATAAAACATTACTGACAACAGAAGGAGGAAAAAAATCTTGATCACTACCTAGTGTTTACTTTTGTTCATTTTAAAATAATATTATGTTCTAGAGAAGGAAAAAAACAATACAGAGTACCAGCCCTCAGGTCTTTGCTCCCACATACTTGTGTTCTGATACTGTGACTCATGCCTCTCACACACAAGTAAGAACCTAAGGACACAGGGGAAGAAGTGGCACACTGCTCAGGAAGCCAGAAGCTACTTCAGCAGTAACCCTGGAGGCATCCAGGCTCTTCAGGCATGAATGGAGTTGAAAGACCTTTAGTCTTAGTAGATACTTGAGAGCCACATACTTTTAAAATTCATTTTGATTTATAGAACCACTGGGAAATGCTAAGACAAACTTTACCTTTCTTTGAACTGTTAAAAAGAAAGGAAAAAGCAACATTAGGAATAAAAAACAACATGAATATTCATTTGAAAATCTCAATATATAATTGATCAAGTATCAATTAAAATGTAAAATGTGTACATCCTATGACCCAACAATTACACGTCTAGGAATTTATTCTACAGCAATATGGGTACAAGTCCACAGAAAGAGGTGTATCAAGATGTTTACTGCAAGACCCATTCTAATGGCAAAAATCAGAAATGATTAAATTATGTAGCATCCATATAATGAGATTCAGAAGAATAAGGTAGTGGGCTATATAATATCTATGAGATATTATCATGTAAAAAAGTATACATCAATATAAATAATTATATTAACACTAAAAATGTGTGTGTGTGTGTGTATATATATATATATATATGTATATATATAGTATACAAAATCATCTACAAGGTTACACCTTTAGATGTTAACAGCAGCTACCTCTGGGGATTAGGATACGTTGGGGGTTAGGAGGAGAGTAAATACACTTTATCACTTTTTAAAACAGTAGGGTTATGTGGAATTTTTGGTGTCTAATTTCAATATCACTTATAATTTCCCATTAAATATCACCCTATTAATTGTACTTTACCTATTTACTTTCTAACCTAAATGTACATACAAAACCCCAAGTAACTCTCCTTCTATTAATCTGGCCTTTCTCAGATATCTCCATTCTATGACTAGAACTGCTTTATTAACTTCAGAGAGCTGACAATTACAATTTTATATAATTTGATAGGAAAGATTTTGGTTTAAGAAAGTTTATTAAAGTTTAGGGAAAAGCTGAGTTTAGCTGCCTGAGCAATGAGCTCAGGATGTTAATAGAATTCCTAGTTCTCCCAATTACTTGAGAACAATAATAGCATCAGTCAATCTCATGGCGGGGGAGGCAGGGAGAGGATGAAATGTGGGTTAAGCACCACAACTGGCTCATGGCTGTGGGATGGGGTTGAGGAGGTGTTCCGTAACTGTTAGCCAATATCACTGCAGTTTATACATATTATATTTATTTACAAGAATGATTTAGATGACCTTAACAACAGGCTTTTATTAGTCTTGATATCTCTAATGTCTAAGCAAGATGCTCAATAAATGTTTGTTGAGTCAACAATTGATATCTGTAAGAAAATAATGGGGGCCTACTTCATGGGATCCTTTTAAGGATTAAAATTAGTTAATATTAAGCAACTGCTTAGAACAGTGCCTGATACATACTAAATTGCATATAAAATGCTTGCTGTTTAGAGGTCTTCACTTCCTTTACTACGATATCAAAACCCAAAATTACTCTAAAAGTTTTTGCCCTTATAATCCACTTGGCAGCAAAACCTGACCAGAATGATTTATAGTCTTTATTTATCCCATATGGAGTGAATATTTTGTATCACTCTAGATTTTATTGGAGGTGCTATATATGTACATTATCATTATGAAATCATAAAAATTCTGATTTCTGAAGTAAAATTGGTACTAAGGACTTTGTATAAGGGTCTAGGGACAAGTGTTATTATCTTTGAAAATATTACAATATAGGTTCAGGAACATAACTAGAAATATTTGGTTTTAAACAAAATTGAGCACAGGAAACATTTATTAATATCTTTTATAAGGTGATATATGAACTTTTAAAATGCAGATTAAAACAAGATGACTAGGGAGGCTGAGGTGGACGGATCACAAGGTCAGGAGATCGAGACCATCCTGGCCAACATGGTGAAACCTCATCTCTACTAAAATACAAAAAATCCGCCGGGCGTGGTGGCGCGTGCCTGTAGTCCCAGCTACTCAAGAAGCTGAGGAAGAGGAATTGCGTCAACCTGGGTGACGGAGGTTGCAGTGAGTCAAGATTGAGCCACTGCACTCCAGCCTGGGCGACAGAGCGAGACTCATTCTCAAAACAAAACAAAACAAAACAAAAAAAACAAGATGACTAATTAGCCTTTACTAAATTAAATAAATGTCCTCTAGCCTGCATTCACTCCAGTTATTTCTCTTTCATTCTTAGACTGGGAAAGTGTAAGAATCTTAGTCCCAGTCAAGGATAATTCTGTCCCTTCCTGCTGCCTTCTCAGAGACCTCACCCTGGAAGTTAGTACCTCTTTCTTAGATTTCCAGCTTCTCCCTCTCCACCAGCTGTAATCATGAATATATTTAAACATGCTTAAGTCTCCTCCATCATAAGTATTCATCAAAACAAAGTCTACACATCCAAACTTATCCCTCTTCTTCTTGAAACACTGCATACAATCCACTGTATATTTTCCTTTTTTTTTTTCTATTCTTCAATCCATGACAAGTTGGCTTTCACCCTCATCAGTGAAATTGCCCATCAGGTTCACCAACAATATTTAGGGAACCTTTCATGATGGTACTCGACCTCCTTGCAGTAGCAGGCACTGTTTATCACGCCTCCCTCCTTAGGCTTAGGATTCTATGTAGGTCCTTTGACCTTCATACTCTACACTCTCCTTGGATGTTCACATTTACTCCCATGATGTCAGTTATTATTCACTGGCTGACAGTTTCCAGATCTACATCCCATAACCCATCTCTCTCTCTCCTGAACTTCAGGCACAATTTACTAAACATCTCCATCTGAATGTCCCTCAGGTGACCAAACTCAGGCTGAAACCGAATTTACCTTTGCTCCCAAACCTGAATACCTAACTCCTCCTGGGATCCTCATGCAGTGAATGGCACCACACCAACACCCAGCCAATTGTCAAAAGGCCTAGGAGTCACTTACAACTCCTCCCACTCCTTCACCTTTTTAATATTATCAGTCATCAAGTCCTGCCAATTCAACTTCCTAAATGTCCCTAGACTCTATCTCCACAATCGCCTCTACTTCAAGCCACAGTCATTTCTAGCTTAGGTTACTACCTAAAATCTTTTACAGGGTTCTGCCTCTCATCTTGACTTCAGTGAATCCCCTTTCTTTCTTTTCTTTCCTTTTTCTTTTTTTTTTTTAGAGACAGGGTCTCCCTCTGTTGCCCAGGTTGGAGAGGAGTGGTGCAATCACAGCTCACTGCAGCCTCCACCTCCCTGGCTGAAGCGATACTCCCATCTGACCCTCTTGAGTAGCTGGGACTATAGATGTGTGCCACCATACCCAGCTAGTTTTTACAAACTTTTTATAGCGACAGGGTCTTGCCATATTGCCCAGGCTGGTCTCTAACTCCTGGGCTCAAGTGATCCTCCTGCCTTGGCCTCCCAAAGTGCTCCCAAATTACAGGCATGAGGTACCGTGTCTGGCCAAATGCATTTTCAATAGTGCAACCAGACAGGTCTTTCTTCCCTCAAATGAGATCTTATCTCTCCCTTCTTAAAACAATCACAAGCTTCAAAATGTCCTCAAAACAAAGTCTACACTCATTCATACAGCCTTAAACTCTATATTCTATCAAATGATCAACAACTATTTCTTGAATGCCTGCTATGTGCTAGGAATGGTCTGGAATCTAAGGATACAGCAGTGAGCCAGACAAAGCTTCAGATATCAAGGAGCTTATGGCCCAGTGGGATATATACATAAACTGGGAAATACACATAAACAAATAAACAAAAATATTCCAGATTCCAATAAGTATTATAAAGGTGGGGTAGAGAGTGTGCTGTGTCAGTCGGGGCATTCAGGTGATATTTTAATAGAGAGGTCTGAATGTTCCAGCCAAATATATATCTAGCACACTCCTACTAACCTCAGTTCTCAGCTGAGACCTCCCCTGGGAAGTTTTCCTGTTGCCTTGAGTCTGGGTTGGCAGCACCTCCCACACGCTCCATAGCATCGCGTGCTTACCCTGAACATTCACCACTCAGGGTGCTCATGCCCATTATTTGCCTGATTACTCCCCTACAGGAACAGGGTATCTTGTGCCTGGTTACATCCCTAGTGCGTGGTGCACAGTGCTTGCCATGCTTGAGTTGCTCAATATCCACTTCCTGAATGGCAGATGAAGTAATTAATATTATTAAATAATTCTCCTAGTCAGAAGGCCTTGCTATTTTTTTTTTCAGACGGAGTCTCACTCTGTTGCCCAGGCTGGAGTGCAGTGGTGTGATCTCAGCTCACTGCCACCTCTGCCTCCTGGGTTCAAGCGATTCTCCCACCTCAGCCTCCCAAATAGCTGGGACTACAGGCACGAGCCACCATGCCCAGCTAATTTTTGTATTTTTAGTAGAGATGGGATTTTGCTATGTTGGCCAAGCTGGCCTTGATCTCAGGTGATCCACCCACCTCGGCCTCCCAAAGTGCTGGGATTACAGGCCTGAGCCACGGCGCCCCGCCAGCCTCAGTAATTTTAAAGAGGGTAATATAATTGTCCTTGGAAGAGGTGTATTGGCTGACTGAAATGAGAAAAGTCCACATAAAACATTTTATTCATTATTTCCATTTGTTTTATTACTGCTAACATGAATACCAAAGCATAAAACTCAACACCTGGATAATTAGTCATGTCTTTCAGTTTATGCTTCTCTGCTATTTTTTAATTCCCAGGCTCCATAAAAATATGTACGCTTTTCCTATGGGAAATTTTCAAATATGAAGTCATAGACTTCTTAAGTAAAACCTAATGATTCTTTAACTGTGTTAAGAATACAGCTTCTAACGAAAGTTAATAAATGCACAGTTCTCTTCCTTTTGACATTATGGGTTTTTGTACTCAGAGTGGGTAAGTCCTAAGGCCTTTTATCCATTTTTAATTCTAAATTCAAGATTGAATGTAAGGCCAGGCATGGTGGCTCATGCCTGTAATCTGAGTACTTTAGGAGGCTGAGATGGGAGGATTTCTTTAGGCCAGGAGTTTGAGACCAGCCTGGGCAACATAGTGAGACCCTGCCTCTACAAAAAAATTTTAAAAATTAGCTAAGTGTGGTAGCATGTGCCTGTAGTCACAGCTACTTGGGAAGCAGAGGCAGGAGGATTGTCTGAGCCTAGGAGTTTCAGGATGCAGTGAGCCATGATTGTACTACTGCACTCCAGCCTGAGTAACAGTAAAACCCTGCCTCAAAAAAAAAAAGAAAAAAGATTCAATGTAAGAATGAAAAACATGATGCCATATGCCAAATGACTGACTGCTGAGGGATTAAATCTGCCAAAAATGATTCTTTGTTTTATATGACTCAGCTTTTCAAGTTCTCTAAGGTAACAACAGGAAGATTTTTCTGAGATCATACAATATTTTCCAGTTAAAGTCAAAGATAAGTGACCCCTATGTACTATCTATATTAAAAAATCAACAATTTCTTCCCCTAAGGCACTGGGAAGGCTTCCAATCAAGCAAATGTCATAGCAGAACTGTACTTTTGGTCCTATAATTCTCCACCACCCAGCTTAAAAGCAACAATTCTAATATGATGGTTTCCATATGAAATTTGTCCAGAAAACTGAAGAGATGGAAGAGAAATAAAAGTAAATAAGGAAGATGACAGATCATATCATTCCTCCAACTAAGAATAATCAAGCATTTAGTGAAACCATGAAGGATGCATTACAGTTCTGTGAATCTCAGCAAATACTGGATTTTTATAAACCTGGCATCCTTATTTCCTATTTAATGTCAGCTTGTCAGAGTAGCACAGCATATTGATTAGACTATAGCTGATAGAGAATATCAAATACAACTCTGTATCCCTAGTCAAAAAGTTGTAGCCAGAACTTCTCATTATGGTTTTAGTGAGATGAAATGAGTGAACATATTTACATATTCTCTTTTATCTTCTATTAAGGCAATGTTTCTAGGTTCACGTAGTTAATCTATTTGTTTTTATCTCTTCAGTTCTGTTATTCTGCTTCTAGTTTATTGAACTTTGATGACAGGTACTTCACATCCTATATCCTTCTCTGAAATGAGAGTTAATAGCTTTGCTTGAGTAATAGAAATCTTTAAAAGCCAATATAGATGAGCAGATCTGTGGATGAGGCTGAGAAAAACAGCTTAGAACTTAATGGAAACAGGTAAAGCAATTGTCTAGGATTTATCTCAACAGTGATGAATAAAAACAAGATAAACCCAAAAGATATGTTAAAGAAAACATTTTAAAATGTCACTTACCCTTAGTTCTTCCTTTGTATTAAAACTATCAAGAAGCTGTTGATAATGTCTATCTGTCATTTGTCGTAATAGGGACAGGAGACAAGCAACAAACTCCCCCTAAGTTAAAAAAAAAAAAAGCATACATTTTATTTTTAGTAAGGACGTAAAAGAACATCAGTAACTTACACTGAACTGTCCTCAAAGAGAATAGGTTAAAATGAAATCACGATGATCCAAACTTGCCCTGTGAAGTCTTCTTAATATAAATTATCCAAAATGTCACAGCCAAAACTCCCTATGATGATTACCATTTATTTACTTGGTATTCACAAATTTATAATTTTAGGGAGGATTTTTTTTTTTAACTTGAGTGGAAGCTTTTCACTTGGGAACTAACTTCACACATTTAAAGAAGGTAAGGCACCGAGGGTTTATGATCATTTACTGAGCATTTAACATGTCTGTAATAATTCTAACATTTAAGCTTCATATCAACACTATGAGGTAGGGGGTATAATACCTTTTTGAAGAAGGTAAAATGTAGTTTCTGATGTGCTAAATGACTTGCCCCAAGTCACTCAGCTAGAAAGTAGCAGAGCTGGCATTATCCCCAGTCTTTCTGCCTCCAAAGCCCTTCCTGTAGCTTCATGCTCCATTTTTGAATTCAAATGACCTCCTCCAACTCATCAGAGAGTTGATCTGCTGACTCACAGGGTATAATGAATGCCATATGTTGCATAATGTTCATTTCAATCTCCTTTTAAAAAATAGTTTTATTCAGATGTCTTGGAAGATTGAAAACAATTTTTTTAATTGGCCATTCTTTTTGTGCTTGGGCTCTATGTGATTTGTAACCATAAATTCTAATTCTTAAAAATTAACAATAAAAAAGTAAACATAGCATCTATGGATTTGAAGACCTACATAAAATTGCTATCACTTGCATTTTTGAATGAACTTCTAATTTAAAATGCTTGCATTTTCAATGCAACCTTTTGTGCTCAGCAAAGAATTTATCTACTTTTAAACAGAGTAATAACATTTAAAACAAAACAAATACAATAGGAGAGGCAATCACTGGTAACTAACTGTATATTTACAGAAGTGCAATTTAATTGGGAACTGGTTTCTTAGATTTTACATGGAAAGAGACTACAGACTTTATAAGTAGAGACTAAAAGCCCTGAGAAGGGAATTTTTCAACAGAAGCAGCTGGGTGAGGAAAATTCAATGTATCCTCGCCCACTGCCATGGGAGACCCAAGGATGCTATAATACTTAAAGACCATGTCAAGGCAACCAGGTACTCAGGCTAGATCTCTGTTTGCAGATAATCATTTGCAACACACAGGTATGACAAATAATTATCTATATACATTTTTTAGGGTAAATATTCAAGAAACTAACCAGTGTGGGCCAGAAGAAACATCCTTCAAGCTCAACATATACTTTGTTAATGAACATGGGAATCCTTGATATTTAACAAAAGAAATAAAAAGTTTAAAGGCAATATTATTAATATTTTTGTATATGTGTGTAAGGTAGTAACCCAACCCAACACTAGGAAAAGAATGATCTAGAAGGATTGAGAGAACAGTGCCTTGTGCTCACACAGGACTGGGAATAATAGAGCCTTTTTTTTTTTTTAATACCAGCCAGACTGGAAAAACCTCACAATTAATAAGGCATTAGTTAGAGTACCAAAAACAGTGTTTCCTTAGTACTGGAGAAAAACTACTCCTAGAGTAATGCTGTTCTGGTCCTACCTCACAAATTTCAAAAGCAAGACCTAAAATGATCAAATAGTTTCCAATAAATTTAACCTCACTCTATAGCAAAGCTCAGATATTTTTTAGAAATTAAAAAAATCCACCTGTCAACAATGTAAAATTCACAATAACTGGCATGCAATGAAAAATCACCAGGCAGGTCAAGAAGAAGGAAAAAATGACGCAAATGAGGAGAAAAAGTAATATATCAATAGAAACAGATCCAGAAATGACATAGATAATAGAATTACCACACAAGAACATTAACATAGTTATATTACTGTATTCTAATTTTTCAGGAAGCTAGAGGAAAGACTGAATATGTTAATTTAGAGACATGGAAGACATAAAAAGAGCCCAAATTAAACTTCTAGAGATGAAGGCTACAATTTGTGAGATGAATATTAATTGAATGGGTCGAGTGGCAGATTAGACACTGCAGAAGAAAAGATTATTGAACTTGAAAGGTAGGGCAGTAGAAATTCTCCAAAATAAAGCATAGACAGAAAAAACTGAAATAAAAAGAAAAACAGAAAAAAGCATCAGTGAACTGGAGGACAACTTCAAGTAGCAGAATATCTATGTAACTGAAAGTCTCAGAGAGAAGGAAGAGACAGAAAAAATAATTGAAGAAATGAGAAAAAAACTTTTTCAAACTCTTTGAAAATTATAAACCTGTATATCAAAAAATCTCCACAAACCCCAAGCACAAGAAACAAGAAGAAAATTACACCAAGGCACATCATAATCAAATTGCTTATAGCCAGTGGTAGAGAAAATCTTAAAACACTATTCAGAAAAAAAAGGGGCACATTACATAGAGAAGAACAAAGACAAAGATGAGAAAAGATTTCTCTTGGAAAGAACACAAGCTGAAAGACAACGGAGCAACAGCTTCAGAGAACTAAAAGGAAAAAAAACCCCAAAAACTATTAACCAAGAAAAATATCTTCCAAAATATAAAATATAAAAATATCTTCCAAAAGCAAAGACAAAATAAAGACTTTTCAAACCTCCCAAAGCTTATTCACCACCTCTATTCAACATTGTACTGAAGGTTTTAGTCAGTGCAATAAGGCAAGAAAAGGCAATCAGGAATACAGGTTTGAAAGGAATTTTTAAAAAGCTGTCTTTCTTCACAGAAAGCGTAGCTGTGTATATAGAAAAAGCTATGAAATTGATAAAGAGCTACTGGAACTAATTGAGTTTATTTACATTCCAAAATATAAGATCAATGTACAAAAATAAATTTTACTTCTACACACTAAAAATGAACAATCAGAAATTGAAATTTAAAATAATATCATTAAAATATGAAATAATTACTGATCTATTTGACAAAAGATGTATAAAATCTGCACACTGAAGGCTGCAAAACACTGAGGGGTGGAGTTAAATACTTAAAAAAAATGAAGATATTACATGTTCATGGATTGGGAAATGCAATATTGTTAAGATGTCAATTTTGGCTGGGCGTGGTGGCTCATGCCTATAATCCCAGTACTTTGGGAGGCTGAGGCGGGTGAGTCACCTGAGGTCAGGAGTTTGAGACCAACCTGGCCAACATGGTGAAACCTGAGCTCTACTAAAAATACAAAATTAGCCGGGTGTAGTGGCACAAGCCTGTAATCCCAGCTACTTGGGAGGCTGAGGCAGGAGAATTGCTTGAACCCAGGAGGTGGAGGTTGCAGTGAGCCAAGATTGCACCACTGCATTCCAGCATGGGTGACATTAGCGAAACCCTACCTCAAAAAAAAAAAAAAAAAAAAAAAAAAGATGTCAATTATCCCCAAATCGATATATAGATTCAATGCAATCCCAGTAATTATCCTAGCATAGCTTTGGGGATTAGAAATTGAAAGGCTGATCTAACTTTAAAATCCATAAGGAGTGAAAAGGATCTAAAATAGTCAAAACAACTTTGAAAAAGAAAAGTAAAGTTGGAAGACTTACACTTACTGACTTTAAGATTTATTATAAAACATGACAATCAAGATAGTATGTTACTGGTGTCAAAACAGAAAAACAGGTAAATGGAACACAATAGCCAAACCCAGGAACAACTCAAATGTCTACCAAGAGGTGAATGAATAAACAAACTGCAGTATATCCATACAATGGAATACTATTCAGCAATAAGAAGGAATAAACTATTGATATACAAAAGAATAAGGATGAAACTCAAATATATTGTGTCAAGACAGAATCCCCTGCCCCTATGCCCCCCAAAAAACTATGTAGTATATGATTAATAATAATAGCTATGTACTACATGATTCCATTCATATCAAATTCTAAAAAATGTAAACTTATGTACAGTAATAGATAAGTTACTACAAAAAGCAGGTCAGTAGTTGCTTGGGGATGAGGTAGCATGGAGGGGCAAAAGAGAGGGAACCGAGAGGGGCACAAGGAAGCTTTTGAAAGTGATGAATGTATTTGCTATCCTGATTGTGGTGATGTTTCATAGGAATACACATATGTCAAAACTAAAATTGTACATTTCAAACAGGTGTCATTTATTTTATGTCAATTATACCTCAATAAAATAAAAAAGACATATGACAACACTATGATTTATGGAATGGCACTATGTGTAAATTACCATACTTTGACTATGCTATTGAGTTCATTCCTTGTTTGGGCCTTGTTGGGTAGACACAATCAATTTCACTTTAAAGAAAAGATAATTATCTCTTAAGGTTCAGAAATTTACCCCAGGTTCCACAGCTTGAGAATTGTGAGACTGGGATGTGAACCCAGGTATCCCTGGTTCTAGAAGTCTGTACTCAGTGACTCATCTTCCTTCTGCTCAGACTATTTGATTGTATAGAGAAAATACACCTGAGGTTTTTGGTTATAATTACAATATCAGTAAGTATACTTGAATTCATCAGTTGATAACTAAGGTTCATACTTTTTTACCTTTCTCTTAACTATGCCTTGACTTAAAAATGCAAATCTAGTTAGTAGAAATCCATTCATCTCTTTTCCATCTCTTAGTTTTTCCATATCATATTCACATTGTCTCCATTACAGCTACTAGATTAATTTTCCTAAGACATTTACTTCAACACACAATCCTGTGAATAGTGAAATATGCTGAAGTGGGAAAAATGACATATTATTTGCAAATTTAGTAGTAACAAGAAATATTATGCAATAAGGAATAGACTTTCATCTTAAGCCTTTACAGTCAATATACATAGGGGAACAACCTGTTTGAATCCAGATTTATGATTTTGTCATATCTGACTTATGCCCATTGCAATAACTTATAATCATGACATATAATCCCTTGGGCATTTATGATGATTATTGTCAATCCCAACATCTACTCTACAATGTCATTTATTCACTTATGCTGTTTAGGAACTCCAACCACATTCAACTCTGTTAGGAGGCCTAGATGTCCAATTACTAATGTATATTTTATCCATAATGTAATTTTTTTGCTCTATTTCTTAAACTTAAATTTTAATTAATTTTTTAAATTTTTTATTTCCATAGGTTTTTGGGGAAACAGGTGGTATTTGGTTACATGAGTAAGTCTTTTAGCGGTGACTTCCAATTACTAATGTATATTTTATCCATAATGTAATTTTCTTTGTTTTTAAGATATTTTAAGAATGTATCTGTATGAAAATCCTAGACTCATAATTTATTAAAAAGAAATAAAAAGCCATCAGTGGCCAAGATGTACTTAGCTGCAGTGTGAAACTTTCTTTTGTATAAATCACCTTGAAAACTCTGTAGTCTTCAGTGGCCATTTTATGTATAGATTGAGTATAATGGGAATTTCTACAAATGACTGTGTATAGCAAGGGTATTGGATGGCTACAACTGTCTTCACGAAACCTATTATACACATACATTATTTTTTTCCACATATTTCTTACAGAATTAACCCAGGCCCATTTCCATACCCCACCACAAACCGACATCACATGAAAATTTTAGATAAACACATCAGAGTAGCTGTCTTAGACCTGGCCTATGCCCAGAAGAATCACATGCTCCGTAAATGTTATTTAACAGAGTTACGAACGAGTAAGCATTTATAAATTGTAAGGAACTCTGGAGCTCCATTAGTCGAGAATGCAAGGCAAGTGGTCATTCATACTGCTTTATAAAATCTGCTTCTACCTATAATTAGACTTTTGAAAGGAACTGATCACAATGGTGCTTTTTTGTTTTTTTTTTCTAGCTAGGGAAAGCATTTTAAAGTTCAAAAAACAGTCGGTGGAAAAACAAAAAGTACAATCCTTTTAAATTTTAAAAATAAGGCCTCTGTTATCTGGAACTATGATACAGCAGACGCCAGTGCTCATGCTGGTGTGGCTGGGAGGCTGGGTAACAATCATGGTGCTTACAGAGCACTGGAAGAATTCACAATGGCACATTGTGGGATCTGCGTTTACTCACAGTGTGTCTACTTGTCATGGGCACTTTTCCATATGTGTCTGCACAGACTGAAAAGGTGCTCAATGTAGTACTGCCATGTGAAGACTCCCTATTCAGAAAGCCTGTTCTCTGTGAGAAAATGATAAAGAAATTCAACAGATCTTCAGTCTCCAGAGAATGGATTTTGTGAAAGACAAGACCAGGGCATATTTCTCGCCATAGAATTATTATAACAACAACAATACCTGAAGCACGTCTGCAACAATCATGATATGACTGTGACTTCTGCTGCTACCACAATGACTAACGGTCAGCATTTATTGAGTATCAGACCAGATACTGTTTAAACACCTTTACAGATTTGATGAAATCCTCACACTAACTTTGAGATAAGTACAACTATTTTCTCTGATTTATTTATTTATTTATTTATTTATTTATGAGACAGGGTCTCACTCTGTCACCTAGGCTGGAGTGCAGTGGTATGATCTCGGCTCACTGCAACCTCCATCTCCTGGGTTCAAGCCATTTTTGGGCCTCAGTCTCCTGAGTAGCTGGGGTTACAGGTACCCACCAACAGGCCTGGCTAATTTTTTTGTATTTTTAGTGGGGGTTTCAAGATGTTGGCCAGGCTGGTCTCAAACCTCTGCCTCAAGCAATACGCCCGCCTTGGCCTCCCAAAATGCTGGGATTACAGGCATAAGACACCGCGCCTGGCCTATTTTCTCTGTTTTAAAGAAACAGAGGCTTAGAGACATTAGTAACTTGACCAACATCACAGAGTCAGTGCAATGACAGAGAAGGAATCAAGCTAGGTCTGTCTGAGTACTCTTAAAAAAAAAAGTCTTAAAGCATAAAAGCAAAGATGTCAAATAATTTATGTGTGTGTTTCATGGAAAATTTCACCCCACACACCTGGACAGTCTGGTTTCTCACACAGCAAGGGGTACCACAGAGCTATGCAGGAAGGATTCTCTTCATGTGATTTTCTTATAATTTAGTACACAGGACAATCACTCTGCCTGCCCTACCCCACCTCCACCCACAGACCTGATTCACTGACTTCCTGAAGTCTCGTAATTGGCATTACTTATTACACTGTATGGCCTGAAGACCACATGTATCCCATAGAGATTTGGTGCACAACAACCTTGTACGCTCTGCACGTCGATAGAAAGCAGTTTAAAAAGTGTTTTAGCTTCTGATCTCAGGCAATCTTTAACTATGCCCAGCATTTGCTATGACTTTGTTTGCTTGCCATTATAACTTTCAAACTATGTAAGTTATATTGCCAGGAAGCAATTAAAATGTCACCATCAAAACCACAGTGAAGGAGACATCCTTCCTCTTCCACGTTGAAAGTGTAGCCATACTTCTCCCCTATTCCTCCTGCTAAGTACAACTAAAAACCTGAACATCAAATATAAAACAAACAGAAAAAGACTCTGACAGGAGGGGAGAGAGGGCAGACTGGCCAAGAACCTCCTTGGGACCTGAGCAAGGGCACGGTGTAGATTTCTTTGGATTTTCTTTTTTGCCTCGTATATTTCAAAGATGGGGCTGAAGAGGCCAGCAACTGTGAAAGACCAATAGTTGGTAGACAAAAGAAAAAGTCCCAAAAAACCTTATTTCTCCAGCCAAAGGACTAGGAAAGGGCAGCCCTGCAGGGCAATGCTTTTAGCCGCAGTTGCTCTATTCTAGCTGAACACCACAGAAAACTTTGTCCTCAGTCACCTGTTCACTGCAAAGGCTGAGTGAGGAGCCTAGACTTCCACCCTCATGAGGATGTAGTGAGGTGTCCCAACATCTCTCCTAGAGTGGAGCCAGAGAAGGTCAAACAGGGAGCAGGTACTTTCATACCCACGAGTCAGTGTTGGTGAAAACAATGGGAGGAGCCTGGGCTTCCACCCACAACTGGCAGTAACAAGTCACATTTTTTCCCTCCCCACTGGGGTGGTGTCAAAGAGGCCTAGTAGAGAGTCAGGACGGTCACCATGGCCCAGCAGTAACAAAGCCACTCCCACCACACTGGCAGTAGAGACCACATGCAGAG
Source organism: Homo sapiens (assembly GCF_000001405.40). Taxonomy (NCBI): domain Eukaryota; kingdom Metazoa; phylum Chordata; class Mammalia; order Primates; family Hominidae; genus Homo; species Homo sapiens. The sequence goes on from NC_000007.14 coordinate 111,842,795, forward strand.
CCAGAACTTCCACCTCACCCAGCAGTAACAAGAAGCCCTCTTGCCTCAGCTGTCAAAGGAAACCAAGTGGCGAACCTGGATTTCTATCACTGTCTCACCATAACATGTAGGCACTGTTCCCCTGATGAGTGGTATCACACAAAGCCAGCTAAAACAGAAGGTTTATGTAAGATCCAGAGCTTTATAATATAGAAATGTCTTGGTCATAAGAGAAAATAACACATCCTATCAAGAACTAAGAAAACCTCAAATTGAATGAAAAAGACAATCAATAGATGTCCACACTGCAACGTCAGATTGTTAGAATTATCTGACACATACAAAATGGTTAAGGGACTTACATGTAAAATATAAAACTATACTACTTTTAGGAAAGAAACTAGGAGATAACATTTAAGATACAGGGCTAGGCAAAAAGAGTCAAAAGCTTGAACTATAAAAGGAAATTAATAAACTGGACTTAAATGAAATTAAAAATTTTTGCTCTGCAAAGCTTGTTAAGAGGATGAAAAAACAAGCTACAGAGTAGGAGAAGATACCTGCAAACCACATATTATAAAAAGAAATAAAAACTCAACAGTGAAAAAACAATCCAGTGTAAAAAATGGCAAAAAGACATGAAAAGACATTTCACTGAAGAGGATATATAGATGGCAAATAAGTATGTGAAAAGTTGCTCAGCATCATTAGTCATTAGGGACATGCAAATTAAAACTACAATAAGATATCACTACATAGCTATCAGAATGCTCTCCACTCCAAAAAAACGGGTAACACCAAATGATGATGAGAGTATTGAGAAAGTGGACGATTCATAACTTGTATATATAGTAGAGCTACTATTTTCCATAGTGGCTATACCATTTTATATTCCTGTATATATATAAATAGATACACATATATAAACTGCCAGATGTATTATTTCTTAATATTATTTTCTTAATGTTTTACATGAATATAAAATACAGATATAATATTAGACTCAAAATGCTTCAGTCACGTTGCAGGTGGCTTGATGTTATAATCTGGAAAATCTGGCCTTAGGAGAGTAACCCATCAGCATTTCAAAATCATATGAGGTTACCTTAATTTTACAAGGAAACCAAGATATAAAACATGTTTGTTAAAGGAACTTGGAATAAGCAGTTTTTAATTGCAGAAAGCCAGCTTCAAAGCACTTTAAAATTTGCCAATTCCAGGCTAGGCATGGTGGTTCACACCTGTAATCCCAATACTTTGGGAGGCCAAGGCAAGTGGATCATCTGAGGTCAGGAGCTCGAGATCAGCCTGACCAACATGGTGAAACTCTGTCTGTATTAAAAATACAAAAATTAGCCGGGTGTGGTGGCGGGCATCTGTAATCCCAGCTACTCAAGAGGCTGAGGCACGGAGAATTACTTGAACCCGGGAGATGGAGGTTGTAGTAAGCCAAGATCACACACTCGCACTCCAACCTGGGAGACAGAGCGAGACTCCGTCTCAAAAAAAGAAAAAAAACTTTGCCAATTCCAACCTTCTCATTTCCTAGCTAAGAAAACTGAGGCCTAGAAAAGTTACGATTCTGACTAGTCAGAGTGAAAAATTTGGAATGAAAACTCAGGGCCCTGACTCCTATTACTCTGTTTCACTCTTCTCGTTTCCTCAAGCAATTTGATGGATGATAAGAGAATAAAAAGTCATCAAGTTGACTTGGAATATAAAATCTTGGGTTAATTTAAACCGGGCATGGTATGACTAATATCAAAGCTGGCTTTCTGCAATTAAAAACTGCTTATTCCAAGTTCCTTTAACAAACATGTTTTATATCTTGGTTTCCTTGTAAAATTAAGGTAACCTCATATGATTTTGAAATGCTGATGGGTTACTCTCCTAAGGCCACATTTTCCAGATTATAACATCAAGCCACCTGCAACGTGACTGAAGCATAACCAGGCCCTGTTCCACGTGCCATCTGCTCTATGATCTTACAGTGACATCCTGGAACTGGAACCGCATTGCTGAGCTGGATGGCTGAGGTCGGCTGGTGATCTCCAATATGGTCCTCAGCAGAATATCCAGCAAGCTGGCCACTATCACATCTATTTCCTCCAGCACAGATTTTTCCTTAAGAGAAAAAAAATAATATGTTCAGGAAACTGGGGTTTAACATGCATTTCAATCTAACAGAAAAGGGGAAATCAAAGAGTCAGAGAACTTGAGGCATGGATTTCACCTAAGTGAATGATCTCCTTTTACAGTAAACAAAGGCACAGAGAAGTTAATGGCTTACCCAAGAGTACACAACTCAGTGGTGCAATGGATACCTGAGATACAAGTAAAAAGGTGGGTGATATCATGAAGGCACACCAGACTAACTCAGAACACCAGCGAGGCTCCCAACAGGGTGTGTGACCTCAGGCAAGTCAGTCTGCCTCTCTGAGCCTGAATCTTCACTGAGAGTCCATCCTTGTTCTTGGTCTATGATTCCTTGGTTCCAGACTGTGCTTATATTTACTTTTCTCAATATTAGAGTTACATCAGTCATTTTCCGAAACTTTAAGTACAAATGACTATTCCTATAAAAAATGATTTTTAAAAATCTTTGCATGTAAATATTAGGAAATGGTGTTTGGCCCAGACAAATACCCTTAGCTACAGAGTGGATCTAAGGTCAGTGGCCATGTGGAAACTGCTTTCCTGATGCAAAGTTAATAGTATCCACGCCCCAGGACTTGCAAGAGAAACCCAAATTGCTCTGCACTGACTGTATGTGGAGTTGGGTTCTTATTACACCTGCACAAAACAAAACTCTATGTACAAATGCTTCTAACCAAGGAGATCACTCTTTGTAAAAAATACTTTTAGAAAGTACGAGTTTGAAAGAGCTTTTTGGCTAGGATTTTATGATAAATTTTCTTACACTTGCAAGAAAACTACCAAGATTTTCCCTCCAGTGACTTGGTTTCTGCTCTGAATGTCTTACAGAGCAGAAGTTGTGGAGGTGATTTCTTTTTATTTCTCTTCTGCTGTTTTTGGTTCTGTGCAGTGAACTATCTAACTTACATTTTACTCTCAGCAATTATAATTTGGAAAACGATTCTAACTAGGCATAGCATAGTTATTCTTTATATAATTTTATAGAGGCGGGTTTAAAACTGAATTCATGCCTTCTGTCACCACTGTTCTATTCAGTTCCAGATCACCTTTGGGGCCTGGATCATGGGGGTGGGAAAAAGTCAACTGCTTTGTTCCATGCAGGTTCCTCTTATTACACTTCCAGAGGCAGAATTTCTAGCTTTTTTCTCTCAACTGCCAACTCTGTTCCCACGCTACTGGGGCTCTATCTCCAACAACTCCACTGAGGTCCCATCCCACCTCACTGATCTTCAGAAGCTGATCGTAAGTGACAAATTGGGGAAACTGTAGCATAAAGGTAATAGGGAAGCAGAGGAACAGGATTCTTGGCACTCATTGCCAAACTCCGCTCCATAAAACCTGTTACCGATGAGCAAAATGGTTAACAGTTGCATATTGGCAGAAGTGGAACAGGATATTCTCCATATGTGGATTTCACACCAGACCCCTGAGCCATGAACACAAATACTCTGAGTTGTCCCATTTATAAGCAAGCATGTGATTCTTCTCATTTTGCAGTGCATTCTCTAATGCAATTGCATTGCATCAAGAGTCAGGCACGTTGATAGGAATCCCCAAATCCATAACAATTTGGAGATCACTGGTGGGGCCAAGTAATGGTTATACTGTAAGATACCCCTAATCTCCTGGGGCTGTCCTTTGCTTCTGCAATTTCCAGGGGACCCGGCCCAAGGACCACAGCCAAGTTCTGAGTATCATGAAGTAGCCTTTCACAGAATGGATCAAAAACGACTTCATGTTGCAAGCAGTAATTTATTCTTGCCACAGAGCAGTCATCATATCAAGATTAAAGACACACGTGGGAGGCTTTGAGATTTCTCATTTTTCTCACTCAGTATGCAGTTCTTCCTTGAAATACAAGTTTGGGGAACCCAGGTTATTTGGGGTTACAGAATCCCACAAGGTTAAAAAAATTCCTTCCAAAGAGAAGCAAAAAGTCCAGCCCAGCTGGAAATAAAAGTGGGTCTCAGAGGCTTCCTCTTTAGTGCGGTTTCTTTGTAGACTATTACAAGTTTATTTCCAGAAGCCATTTGAAGGGAGCTATATACTATGACCTGTATTTACTTACTGAGCTATTTTTCTTGATAAGACAAAATACGTTGCTAAGGATACGTGCACACATGATCAGGTCCTTCTGTTCTTGCAAGTGAATGTGGAGGTGATGTAACACGACAGGCAGAAGAATGTATCGGGAATCTGAAGAGAGAAGAGTCATTAGTGTCACATCTGTTGGAGTCCCACGCAATACCTAGGGCAAATCCTTATCTACTTTTAATTCAATTTTGGTTGCTAAATTATTAACACATGTAGTTACAAAGGTATTAGTTCTACAAGGTTTATATTGAAAAACAGCAGTTCCTTTCCCTAATGCACAATTCCTACCTCAGGAGGCCTTTGACACTTTTAGGTGAAATAGATATCTTTCTAAAATTATTTGTTTTACCTCTAAATTTCTAAATTACATGCTTCTCTTGCTGTTTCCTGAATTTTCGTTAAGATAGATCGCCTACTGACTTTCTACTACGGTAGAAGAGGACTTGGTTGTTTTTTTTTTTCCCCCTTGATATAGTTTGGCTGTGTCCCCACCCAAATTTCATCTTGAATTGTTCCCATCATTCCCATAACTCCCTGTGGGAGGGACTTGGTGGGAGATAATTGAATCATGGGGGTAGTTCCCCCTATACTGTCCTTGTGGTAGTGAATATGTCTCACAAGATCTGATGGTTTTTTAAGGGGTTTCCCTTTTCACTTGGCTTCATTCTCTCTTCTCTGCCACCATGTAAGATGTGCCTTTCACCTTCCGCCATGATTGTGAGGCCTTCTCATCCACATGGAACTGTGAGTCCATTAAACCACTTTTTCTTTATAACTTACCCAGTCTTCAGTATGTCTTTATCAGCAGCACGAAAATGGACTAATACACTCCCTTTTCTCCCCAAGCCTCTCAAAATGGTTATATCACAATTTCTGGCTAAGTTAACATTATGTTTTTGCTGCTGTTCTGATTTCCAAACCTTTGTACATGAATGGATTTTTGCTTGGTTTTTTCTCTCTTTGAAAGCTTTTGGGAAATTATCCCTGGTAATTCAAAATTTCATGATTATGTAACTCGCCTTGACCCTTTCAATCTATACACTTGTGTTCTTCAGATCTGGGAATTTGCCTTGAATTATTTCTAGGATTATTTTCTTCTATCCTTTGTCTGTAAATTCAACTACATTTACATTGAATCTCTTGAGCTATCTTCTGCTTTTCTAGGATGTTTCCCCTCTTTTTGTTCAACTTCCTGGTAATTCCCATACCTTATCTTCCAAATCATGTATTCAGTTTTATTATTTATGCTATCAGATATTTTATTTCCAAGAGCTTTCTCCCTCCCAGGGCCAGTGTTGTGGCTGTGTAACCTGAGAAGCCACACAGGTCCCTGTGCTCAGAAGGACCCCACGCTTGGTGAAAGCGATGCTACTGCCACCTTGAAATTCTTAACTTTTGAACAACAGGTCTTGTATTTTCATTATGCAGCCATTCCTGTTTATTTCTCTGAATGTTCTCTTTTCAGAGCTTCCCACTCTTGTTTCACAGATGCATTCTCTTCTCTCCCTGAGGAAATCAGATATTTTTTAAAATTTGTTTTGAGGCAGGAAAATAGGGTCTGGAAGCAGGAAATCTAAGGCCAATTTGTGCTGACTTCCTAAAGCTGAATCGATGAAAAACACCATGGTCTGGGGCGGGGACTCTAAGGCCAATTCATGCTGACTTCCCAAAGCTGGATAAAAAGGGAAAACACCTGAGTCTGGGGGCAGGGAACTTAAGGCCTATTAATGCAAACTTCCAAAAGCTGAACCAAAAGGAAAAACCCCCCTCTCCCAAAGTCTGAGTAACAAGTATCAAAGGCTCCTCTCCCTACAACCCTCCCCTTCCACCACCTCTTAGATGGAAAGGTAAAGTGCTCTGGATTGGCCACAGGCCAACCAGGGACCATTGACCATCCCTTTATCTGCACAGGGCACCAATTCACCTCAGCCTTTAATTAGCCACAGATCAAATCCTTCATCCAGATAAAGGACTTCAAAAGAAGTACTTCAAACCCAGAAGACTTTGTAACCGGGCCCTAGAGCTGCTTGCCTGGGCTGACTCCCATCCTGTGGAGTGCTTTCTCGCTTTAATAAATTCCCATTTTTGCTGCTTGGTTCTTGTGTTTCATTCCTTTGTTACTTTGTGAGTTTTGCCGAATTCTTTGTTCAGAATGCCAAGGACCTGAACATCTCACACTCAAGACCCTTATTCTGGTAACAGTTTTGCTCCCTGAACTATCTTTTTCTTCCTAGTTACTTTTTTTTTTTTTTTTTTGAGACGGAGTCTTGCTCTGTTGCCCAGGCTGGAGTGCAGTGGTGCAATCTTGGCTCACTGCAACCTCTGCCTCCCGGGTTCAAGTGTTTCTCCTGCCTCAACCTCCCCAGTAGCTGGGACTACATGCACGTGCCATCACGCCCAGCTAGTTTTTGTATTTTTAGTAGAGACAGGGTTTTACCATGTTGGCCAGGCTGGTCTTGAACTCCTGACCTCAGGTGATCCACCCTCCTCGGCCTCCCAAAGTGCTGGGATTACTTTTTTCTTTATTTATTTTGGCTTCTGCTTTTCACATGAGGGGCTTTTCTCCAATATCTGATGATCCTTCATTGTCCATTCATCTTCACAAGTAAGGCACCAAAATGCTAACTGGAAATCACAAAATCTCTGTATGCCTAGGCAAGCTTGTGAACTAATGAAGCATCACTGCAGGATGGGGAAGCTAGGTGTTCCACTGGAGCAGGGGTCCCCAGAGTTCAGTATCTGAGATGGTTTCTCTTGGGCTGATCAGTTTCTCTGAAGATGAAGGGTGCAACACATATGAAAATGAATCAATTTCATCTTCAGAGCTACCTGATATTTTCGATTCCTGATCCTTTCTGAAGCCTACCTGAGTCTTCTGAGGTTCTGTGGAATAAATTAGTTTGCTCCTTGGCCCTACCCTAACTCCACACACACCGTGCCCACATTTCAGCTTTCTCTTGTCTGCAAGTCAACTGCCACCCAGCCTTGTAAAAATTGCTGCTATTTCTTATGCATTGTATCTCTTCTTCCATTCTCTTAAACCTGTGAGCTTATACGTTAAAAAAATTTCTTTTTGTATCTGTAAGTACAGATACAAAAACCCTTTTCAAAACTTTAGCAAGTCAATTCCAACAATATATTAATATAAAGTTGATAACACCCTTGATATCTGATTGGGTTCCTCATCCTCCACCATCCCCAGGTGATGTCTGATCACCTTGCCCTGTCCTCAGCGAGAATCCTGTTAGGTCACTTTAACCAGAATCTGCACACTCCCTGCCCCCACCTCCCACCCTTATCTTTGATGTTTCCTGTCTACCCACCCGACTCTGTTCCTTGGCTATGAAGTCCCACTTACCCATGCTACATTAGAAATTCAGCCCAATCTTTCTCCCTTATTGCAAAATCCTTTTGCAGCCACCCCCACACCTATCACCATGACCCTCACCTTGAAAAAAGCCTGACGTACTGTCCTCAGAGCCCAAGCTAACCCATCATACCCCCTGTGACCTGCACATATATAAACAGATGGCCTGAAGCAACTGAAGAACCACAAAATAAGTGAAATTAGTCAGTTCCTGCCTTAACTGATGACATTCCACCACTGTGATTTGTTCCTGCCCCACCCTAACTGATCAATTGACCTTGTGACATTCCTTCTCCTGGACAATGAGTCTCAGAAGCTTCCCACCCAGCACCTTGTGACCCCCACCCCTGCCCTCAAGAGAACAACCCCCTTTAACTGTAATTTTCCATTATCTACCCAAATCCCATAAAACTGCCCCACCCATCTCCCTTTGCTGACTCCTTTTTCGGACTCAGTCCACCTACACCGAAGTGATTAAAAAGCTTTATTGCTCACACAAAGCCTGTTTGGTGGTCTCTTCACACGGACGCGTGTAACACTTACCATCCTCAGCAAATGTCATTAATTATTTTTTACTTTAACAGATGCCGAGGTAATTCAATGGAGAAACAATAGTTTTCTTCAACAAATGATGCTAGAACAATTGGATACACATATGTTAAAAACAAAAACAAAAACCCTCTATCCTTACCTTACACCAAATGCAAAATTTAACTTGGTATAGATCATAGACCTAAAATGCAAAGGCTAAAGGTATAAAAGTTCTGAAAAAGCCGGGTGCGGTGGCTCACACCTGTAATCCCAGCACTTTGGGAGGCTGAGACGGGTGGATCACGAGGTCAGGAGATTGAGCCCATGCTGGCTAACACAATGAAACCCCGTCTCTACTAAAAATACAAAAAATTAGCTGGGCGTGGCGGCACGCGCCTGTAAGTCCCAGCTACTAGGGAGGCTGAGGCAGGAGAATCGCTTGAACCTGGGAGGCAGAGGTTGCAGTGAGCCAAGATTGCACCACTGCACTCCAGCCTGGGAGACAGAGCAAGACTCCATCTCAAAAAAAAAAAAAAAAAAAAAATTTCTGAAAGAAAACATAGAAGAAAATCCTAGTGACTCTGAGTTAGATACAGATTTCTTAAACAGGTACAAAACCTCAAACTATCAAAGGTAAGTGATAAATTACATTTGATCAAAATTAAAAATTCTACTTGACTTGCACCACTGACCCTGTTTAAGATCCCTATTTGTTGCCTTCTTTCTACTTGAGGACCCAAGAATTAGACTGCTTAGATTAGAGTTCCAGTTCCGTGAAATACTAGCCTCAGTCTTTTCATCTGTAAAACGAGGCTAGCAATGGTAACTCCTCCTGGGATTGTTTTACGGATCATATTAGCTAGCAGTGCTTGGAATGCAATGAGTGCTATGTAAGTGTTATTCTCCTTTCTTCCTCTTTCAATTTTATCCTATATCTATAGATAAAAGTGATTCTGTATGCTACTAAAAGTGATAAGGAGTGCAAATAAAGCATCCACAACTGTGAAAGTGCCTCTCTCTCTCTCTCTCTCCTTCCTTTTTTTTTTTTTTTTTTTTCTTGAGACAGAGTCTCACTCTGTCATCCAGGCTGGAGTGCAATGGCACGATCTCGGCTCACTGCAACTTCCGCCTCCTGGGTTCAGTGATTCTCCTGTCTCAGCCTCCTGAGTAGCTGGGATTACAGGCATTCGCCGCCATGCCCGGCTAATGTTTTGTATTTTTAGTAGAGACGGGGTTTCACCATATTCCCCAGGCTGGTCTTGAACTCCTCCGCTCAGGCAATTCATCCTTCTTGGCCTTCCAAAGTGCTAGGATTACAGGCGTGAGCCACCATACTCAGCCGGAGTCTCCTATTTCTTTTGATGCCTGCCACTGGGTTACCAAAATAACCAGGTCTGGCCTCAGGTTTAGCATCAAAACAGACAACATAAGGCACAGGCATTCTATACATTAAGAAAACAAATACAGAATATTCAAATCCAAACTTGTAAAATAATTCATTGCAAGCCTTCTTTAAACAGTAAGCCTCACCAGGGAACTTAAATACTTATTTACAAATCAATTACTTAACAAAAAGAACCAGAAAAAAAAAAAAAAACCCTGAAAATTTAAGTGCCAGTAGTCATTGCCTAGTAATGTTTAATTAGAAAGGAAGATAAAGCTTATCTGATATGTTCCTTCAGCTAGGGGGATTTGATTTCTAAAAATTCAATTTGCAGCCAATTGTTAAGAAAATATCAACTGCAAAAAAGTAAGTAAGGTGGACAAATAATTTGTGTGTGGCATGTATACAAAGAAATACATAACAACCCAGCTTGCAGATTTGCTTTTTCTCCATTACTTGGGCAATGCCAGCCAGTGCAATTGATAGACTGGGTGGGTAAATGCCAAACAAGCTGACTGGTTGATATGCTAATTCTTACCTTTAAAAGAAAACAACCAGGCCCATCAAATAAGACCCCCCATAAAACAATCCAAGTTGAACATTCACTAACTTTCCATGCATTTAACAACAGAATCTGCCGTGCAGGTTCTCTCCTTGAGAGGGCCGATACACTCATATTCCACATCTCAGATAAAGCTCACTGTGTTGTATGTCTCCTTGAGTGTATAAGGAGTGACTCTCATTTACTTTTTTGGTCTACACTTGAGTGGATATACAGCCAGCTCCCATCAGTAATCCCCACTGGACACGGGACTAGGAAGGAACAAGGGAAGCTGGGTAGATTTCCTCCTTTAGGTTAATTTTGAGGAGTCATACTTTTGCCTCCTCTATCAACAAGCTTTAGACAGGGATCCTTGAAGTCAGCATCAGTCACCAAGAGCGCGAGGTCTGTGAGTTCCATGGCAGCACACAAGGGTTGGCCGTTACATTCCACAAACTGGGCTCTAGCATGGGCTGGACGTGGGCACTGCTGAGGGGCGGCCTCAGTACGGGGAGATTGTAAACAAGGGAGGCAGAAGGACATGTGGCAGCACAGCTTTGCATGTAGCAGAGCTGCTGACTACAGAAAGCCTGACATCAGAGCTGGGATGGGCCTCTGTGATCAAAGCCACCAGGAATTGAACTGCCAAAGTCAGAGCCAGTCGCAAAACCTGCAAACAAGCCTTTCAGACACTGGAATACAGACAACAAGAACTCAGAGAGGAAAGGACTGCAGATTCAGTGGGCTACGTTCTCATGCAGACAATGTCAGGATCACAGAGGAAAGCAACAGTGGAGGGCTACGGATGATCCCTGTATTAAGCTCCCAGATCCCACCCACTGGCTTTAATCCCACCCTGAATGCCTCCACCTCAGGCATCCTTCCTAAAGCAAGACACATGTACTGTGTACATCTTACTTTTGGTAGTTACGCCACCTCCTGGCCTGGGACTCCTACATAGCCACCCTGCCACACACTGTTTTATTGTCATATTCATGCTCATCCTGAGCTCAAAAAGTTGCTTTTCCAATAAGATTTTTTTAAATACACATCATTTATTCAGTAGCTTTTTGTTGTTGTTGTTGTTTGGTTTTTTTTTTGCTTTAGATGGAGTCTTGCTCTGTTGCCCAGGCTGGAGTGCAGTGGCATGATCTCGGCTCACTGCAACCTCCTCACAGGTGCAAGTGATTCTCCTGCCTCAGCCTCGGGACTAGCTGGGGCTTCAGGTGCAGTCCACTGCACCTGGCTAATTTTTATATTTTTAGTAAGGGAGGAGACCACCCCTCATATTGTCTTATGCCCAATTTCTGCCTCCAAAGAAAGAAGAAATGAAAATTAAAAGGCAGAAATGAAATTCACAGGCAGACAGCCTGGTGCCACACCCTGGGCCTGGTAGTTAAAGATCAACCCCTGACCTAATCGGTTATGTTATCTATAGATTACAGACATTGTATGGAAAAGCACTGTGAAAATCCCTGTCCTGTTCTGTTCCATTCTAATTACCAGTGCATGCAGCCCCCTGCCTGCTCAATCGATCACGACCCTCTCACACGGACCCCCTTAGAGTTGTAACCCTCAAGAGGGACAGGAATTGCTCACTCGGGGAGCTCAGTTTTTGAGACGTGGGTCTTGCCGATGCTCCCAGCCGAATAAAGCCCTTCCTTCTTTAACTCGGTGTCTGAGGAGTTCTGTCTGTGGCTCATCTTGCTACATTAGTAGAGACAGGGTTCCACCATGTTGGCCAGGCTAGTCTCAAACTCCTGACCTCAGGTGATCCACCTGCCTTGGCCTCCCAAAGTGCTGGGATTACAGGCGTGAGCGACCGCACCCAGCTATTCAGTAGCTTTTGCTACTGTATCCCGATCCCTAACCCATGATTCAGTCAGTACCTAGTGTTCATGAAACATCTATTAAGCACCTACTTTGCACCAGGCACTATTAGGGAAGCTAAAGATATCATTGTGATCAAGGCAAATAAAGTCCCTGGCCTCTGGGGTTTCCCTTCTGGGGTGGAGGAGGGAAACAGACGTTAATCAATGAAATACCCAATTCTCTATTTCATTATAATTGTGCTAGGTGATTCAAGAAGCAAAACACAGTGTACTATAAAAGTGATAATTGAGTGGGTGGGGCACCAAAATTTCTTGAGAAAATGAGAGACTAAACCATGAAGGATAAATGGGAATTAACTCTGTTGGGCAGGAGCTGAAGAAAGTGGATTCCAAACAGAGAAAAGTAGCAAGGAGATGAGATGAGGCAGGTGGACGGGGCCACATCACAGGGCATGGAAGATCAATTCTGGAGAGTGCCCCCCAATAAAACAGAACTGGGATGTGAGTAGGAGCTGGGAGTGACATCATCTGGTATGTTTCTGAAGGTAACTTTGGCTAATAGATGGGTGGTGAAAGGAAATACAGGAAACAAGGAGAGAAAAGACAGAGGCAGCTCAGAGCAAGTGCAGCTGGACTAGAGAGGAGGCAGTGGGGGTGTGGAGAAGCTACAGAGGCACGTGAGGTTTCTTGGCCACAGACAGAGACAAAGGGCAAAAGGGAGAAGGAATGACTCTGAGGCTTCTAGGTGGATGGTGCTGCCACCTACTGAGCCAGGAAAGACTAAGCTCAGAGAGAAAAAAGTTGAGATTTTCATTTTAGACATGCTGAGTTTAAGGAGCCTGTGAGATATCCACCAGAGATGTTAAGAGCACAGTTGGATACTCAAGTTTGGAGCTCCGAGGAGAGATCTGGCCTAGAAATATAAATGTGAGAGTTAGGTCAGCACATGGATGGCACTAACTGAGGCTAAGCAGGTGGAATGAGCCCCAAGATTTGCTCAGATTTCCCTGCTACATGGCACCCTGGAAACTTGCCCCATCACATACGCTGCTGTACTTTATCATATTATAATTATTTGTTCGACATCTACTTTTGTGCTTTACTGTAAACAGACAGAGAGCAGGGACTCTATTGGTTCAATTTGTTATAGTATTTCCATCCTAATATATTTCTAATATAATACTGTGGAGTCTGTCCATAATAAATATTTGTTGAATGAATGGACTCCATCATGAGTTCTACTGGATATTACAGGCTACTCAAATAGAGCCTGGCATTTCTGTCTTCAGGTTTAAACACAGCTTAAACAGGAAGAGTGAGGAGGCCCGTTATCAGTCTGGTTTACAATGACTCCATCTGCTGGTGCTTGCTCTGAGCACGGGGAGACAGCAATTCCCACTACCTTGCAAGCCACGGCAGCTGCCTGTGACACACATGCTCCCCATCCCTCTGAAAATCTGTGCAAATGTGGATGAGTGACGTGTAAGAAATGAAATGATACAGGTGTCACCCTTTCCCCAGTAATGTGCTTGTTATACTGTCAATCCGCATTGAGAAGTTCAGAAACATAGTAAGAGAACTAAGTTGAAAGGGAGTCTTGTGACTCCCAAAATATGTGAGTTTACATTTGTTTTCAAAACCCACAGTTAAAACCTAGGGGCAACTATGATTTCAGTGAGGTATATTTTTCATCTTAAGTTCTATGTGCAGGGTGAGGTGTTACCTAAAACTATTAATTTTATCTTTGCCCTGTCTAGAGACAGATGTAGAAACTGTTTTTCAAAGATACATCTTTCTAGGTTCTTGGTTAAGAACATCCACTTAAACATGGTTATAGCTGTTTAGCCTTTAACAACAACAACAAAAACAGAAAACCCAAAATCATTATGTGGGCAAATCTTTCATAAAATCCAAGAAAAGAGCCTGAAAAACTGTGGAAACTGTTAAACTTTCAGCAAGTGCTTTCAGAGCTCCCTGATGGTGAACACCTGGAAAGGGCTTCACCCTAGAGTTTTTTCCCTTTGGAAAAGCCTGGGGAGAGGGAACCAGAGGGGAATACGGGTAAGCGGGAAGAGGAGGGGTGAGATAAAGGGATTGAGACTGAAGGAACAAAACACTAATGATTTTTAGCCAAAGGCTTTCTTGAGGTCCCAGGTAGTTTTTGAAAATATACTTTTACATTAGATCATCATCACAAATTCCATATTTAAAAAAACTAAGGTCTGTACATTTTTTGCAATGGTCCTGCATTATTACTCTGCTTCTAGAGAAAAAAGAAGCCCTTATTTCTGCAACTTTATTCTTTCTAAGGACTCTCTATTTTGCAAGCCCTGGCTAGCAGAAAAGTTCTAAACAAATGTCATTTTTAAGAATAAAAGAAATGTAATCACTTGCAATGCAATAAAACCCAACACTAAACTACACTTTATAGTTCTAAGAAATAAAAGCTACTAGGCACTCATCAACTGTAGTAAGATTTTATTCCTGAAGTTATCAAATTAATAGAAAAACCTATCAAACATCCTTTCTTTATATTATGGCCTAAAATGTTGGAGAGCATTAATTCTTAGAGTATACTTTAAAAATAGTCTAATAGTCTACCTTTCTCTATCTTTCCATTAATTTTTTATTGCAGTTTTGTATAAAATCCACAAAATCCTTAATGGGGACTGGGGAGTTTCTGCCAAAAAGAAAAACAATTACTCTTGACTACTTAAAAAAATTCCTACCCTAAAACACTTGATTTTTTAGTCTGTAGGCAAAAGCAAGTCGTACCAGCAAGCTTCTCACCAGTGGTACATGATCAGTGCCTTTAGGTCTTTATATTTACTTCTATTATCTGTGCTGGGATTTGCCTGATAAACTGTTCAATTCTTCCAAAGTAGAAACATATATAGCTATTTTTTAGCAAGAAAATAGCTCAGCATTAACTCCAGCCATCTGTTAAACAAATCATCAAGTACCAAGCAATGGTGACAAACGCAAAGTGAATGTAAAACCCACAGCTCTAGCAGATCTGACCTCGCGAAGTCCGGCAGACCCTGTTCCTGACCTCTCGCTATCACGCCCTAAACTATGTCTCTGCTACCCGCTACACTTCCTCCTTCCCCAACAACCTCTCTGCATCAAATCTACCCTTTTGTCATTGCCAAAGCTGTCTTCTCCAAAACCATTTAGACTCTTCTATTCATGGCCTTCAGCAAATAGGAAGAATAAAATCTGGGGGAGAAAGGGAAAAATGAGTTGCTGATTTTTAATGCTTTAAATAAGTCCACCTGGATCCCAGATTATTTAGACATTAAATACCAATCTATTTAGATTCCAAAAGTTATCTGTGTCCTTTAGGTTTGGTCAGATGTTCTAGAATTTGACCTTGGGGGTGTGACTAAGGGGGTGATTCAGTCCTCCTGCCTGCTCTGTCCAGCTGTGAGGCTGCCCAGAGACCCTTAATGCAACCTGGCTTGAATCTTCCCATGACAACATTTCAGACAACATTTCATTCCCTTCTTTGGTGCTGACATTCACATATGTCCTTCTTTCTGTCTTCTCTATGTGTTAATTTCTACTCTAAGCTCAACCATGACTATTCTGCAGCCATGCTTCTTCCTTTGCATGCCTCCTCTGCTTTTTTCTCCTTGGGATTTGTGATGGTTAATTTTAATGTGTCAACTTGTCTGGGCCATGGGGTGTCCAGAGAGTTGGTTAAACATTTTTCTGGGTGTGTCTGTGAGGAAGTTTCTGCAGGAGAATAACCCTGGAATTGCTAGACAGAGTTAAGTAAACTGTCCTCCCCAATGTGGTGAGCCTCATCCACTCTGTTGAAGGCCTGAATAGAAGAAAACGCTGAGTAATGGAGAATATGCTCCCTCTTCCTGATGGTCTTCGAGCTAGGACAATGGTCTTCTCTTGCATTTGGACTTGGACTTGAACTGTAACTTATACCATTGTCTCTCCTGCTTCTCAGGCCTTTGGTCTCAGACTGAAACTATATCATCAGTTCTTATGGGTCTCCAGCGTACTGACTGCAGATATGAGATTTCTCAGCCTCTATAATCACGTAAACCATTTCCTTATGACTCCTTTCCTTCCGTCTTTCCTCCTTCCTTCCCTTCCTTTCCTTCCTTCCCTCCCTTCCTTCCTTCCCTCCCTTCCTTCCTTCCTCCATGTATAGACACATACACCCTATTGGTTCTGTTTCTCTGGAGAAATCTGACTAATACAGGATTCTAATAAAATGTCAACTTTTAGAACTTCCCAGATGTCTTGATGGGCTTGTAACATCTAAGGTCTGAAAAGGTTTTGAAATTCATCTTCTTAAAATGTGAGCCAACTGTACTCTTTGCTCCCCCCTTTTTTTGAGACAGGGTCTCCATCTGTCAGACAGGTGGGAGTGCAGTGGTGCGATCATGGCTTACTGTATTCTCAACCCCCTGGGCTCAAGTGATCCTCCCACCTCAGCCTGCTGAGTAGCGGGGACCACAGGTATGCACCACCACACCTGACTATTTTTTGTTTATTTTTTGTAGAGATGCTGGTAATACCTTAATTTCAGCCCATTGAGAACAATTTTGGACTTCCACCCTGTGGACCAGTAGGATAAGAAGTTTGTGTTGTTTTAAGCCACTAAGTTTGCGATTACTGTCACAGCAGCAATGGGAAATGACTCCATCATAACTGTATCTAAAATGAGTCTTATTTCCATATTTTGGTGATGCTATTGTTTTATGTTTATAATAAAAGAATTTTTTTTTACCCATCCCTTGTCATTTGGATACAGTTATCTCTGGGAAAATAAGATATAAAACTAGGGCATTCAATTCCAAGTTCCCCATCCCCTCAAAAAATCCTTTTGCTGTTGTAAAAATTGTGTACGTGTGTGTTAATTTTTTTTTTTTTTTTTTTTTTTGAGGCGGAGTCTCGCTCTGTCGCCCAGGCTGGAGTGCAGTGGCGGGATCTCGGCTCACTGCAAGCTCCGCCTCCCGGGTTCACGCCATTCTCCTGCCTCAGCCTCCCAAGTAGCTGGGACTACAGGCGCCCGCCACTACGCCCGGCTAATTTTTTGTATTTTTAGTAGAGACGGGGTTTCACCGTTTTAGCCGGGATGGTCTCGATCTTCTGACCTCGTGATCCGCCCGCCTCGGCCTCCCAAAGTGCTGGGATTACAGGCGTGAGCCACCGCGCCCGGCCGTGTGTTAATTTTTTAAATGAAAGGTCAGAAGTGTTAGGCTTAACCCTTTTACCTTTTGTTTTGAGTGGACAACTGGGCCCTCTTTTATTATAGATCTTTAGTTATACAGTTTTATATTGTCCCTCTTCTTTCCCCTCCAGTCAGACAGAATCAGCCTATTTTTGTGAGATGTACCAAGGCCCTTGTGAGGATCACACTCTCCAGTTAACCACAACTCAAGATATCACGTCCTGTTCTCTGACACTGTCTGTGGAGCCTGCTGTTTGCATTTCACATCTTCTTTTCCTTCCGACATCTCCTCTTTCAACTAGACAACATAAATATGCCCATCAGTCCCCTAAGTCCACAGTTTCTGATTTAGAATGCCAAAGTCACTAGAAGCACTTTCCACGTTTCCCTAGCAGTATTGTGTAGTCACATGTAATTTAAACAGAAGGTACTCTGAGCCCTGGAAGGCTCTCAGGGACACTTCCTAGTTTTCCCCATGAAGATGGGCTCCTTCTTGATGTGTTCTGCCCAGCCCATCTTATACATCACAGTCTCTGTTTTCTTCAATGACGAGTTAGGAAGCAGCAAGCCACATCCTGCTGCGGCAGTGACAGAAGCCTTTTCTCTGTTGAACATCTGCACGTGCTAAGGATTCTGTTGATCGTGAGCCACTGTTGCTTCTCCATAATCATTCTCCATGTGTGGGACCTTCCCACACAACATGAGCAGACAGGGTTTCCTCTTCTTCTCTTCCTTTTCCACGCCACCATATTCACAATTACCAGCTTCCCTACGCTGGCCCTGAGCCTCTCTTCCAGGGCACTGGCACAGACCCTGCAGGGTCAACATTTCTTGGGTCTCATGAGTCCTTCCATCCCTTACCATAGTACATACTCTCATCAATTCCCACGGGACCCAACATTCTTTATCCCGCATCACAGCAGGTTCTTCTCTGTGTATCTTTCTAGTCCTGATTTCTCTATTATCTATGGAGCATCAGGAACCAACAAGGAACTGGGCCCAAGGACAGATTACATTGCTCAGAGGCAATGAACACAAACCCCTATAATATTTTCCTTACATTTGAAAACAATTTTGATGACTGTCTTGCTCTTTTAGTGCAAGACTTTAACTTAACAAAGAATTATCTGGTCAGTGTGGGAGAAATATGGCAGAAATCAGCAATTCCTCTGAGACAGGAGTGAACTTTTCCTAGTGTGGTGAAAGCAGGGTTGGTGTTTGAGTTAAAGCAGGGTGCTCCGTTGGGACCTACATCTCCTGCACAGTACCTGTTCCCAACCCCGGAGAGATTCCTGAGTCACTGCACAGAACCCTTAGGACTGAGCAGCAGAGTTGGAAAACCACTACAAGAAATATCTTTTCTCCAGGATATGTTTTTATTGGGAGAAATCGGAAGGTTGAACTTTCTTTTACATTGTTTGAAGTGCTATTTCAGAAAAAAAAATAAGAAATATCTCAAAAGTCCTTCAACAGGAGAAAAAATAAATTAACTGTGATATGTTCATACAGTGGAATATCATACAACAGTAAAAAATAATGAAGTAGAGCTATATCTAGTGGCATGGAAAAATATAAAAGTATAATATTAGGCCGGGTGTGGTGGCTCACGCCTGTAATCCTAGCCCTTTGGGAGGCTGAGGTGGGTGGATCACCTGAGGTCAGAAGTTCAAGACCAGCCTGGCCAACATGGTGAAACCCCATCTCTACCAAAATACAAAAATTAGCCAGGCATGATGGTGGGTGCCTATAATCCCAGCTACTCAGGAGGCTGAGACGGGAGAATCATCTGAACCCAGGAGACGGTAGTTGCAGTGAGCTAAGATCATGCCACTGCACTCCAGCCTGGGTGGCTGAGCAAGACTCAGTCTCAAAAAAAAAAAAAAATAATAATAATAATATTAATAAAAAAAACACTCCAAAGAGTGACATACAATGTACTGTTATCATTTAAAGATGAAATGATTTAAAAATTTGTAAAGAAGAAAAAACCATACTATATATTTTTAAAGCTATGTAATAAAGGAATAGAAAATAGGAACCATAATCTCTGATAGTGGAAATTTCTATGAAGGAAATGGGAGCCTAGACAGGAGGACCTTGAGTATATCTGTGATGAATTTCTTATTAAAAAATCTAAAGCAAGGCCGGGTGCGGTGACTCATGCCTGTAATTCCAGCACTTTGGGAGGCCAAGGTGGACGGATTGCAAGGTCAGGAGTTCGACAGCAGCCTGAACAACATGGTGAAACCCTGCCTCTACTAAAAATACAAAAATTAGCTGGGTGTGGTGGTGTGTGCCTATAATCCCAGCTACTCAGGAGGCTAAGGCAGGACAATCGCTTGAACCTGGGAGGCAGAAGTTGCAGTGAGCCAAGATCATGCCTCTGCACTCCAGCCTGGGCAACAGAGCAAGACTCTGTCTCAAAAAAAGCTAAAGCAAATAAGTGGTAATGTTAAGATTTGTTAATGATTTGCCATTATTATGCTCTATCCTTAAATGTATGTATAAAATATTTTACAAGAAAATATGTAAAAAATTGTTTACTATATATAAAACTATTTCAAAAAAATCATACATACACACACATTCATATGGGAAAATCATTCTTTTTTTTTTTTTTTTTTTTTTTTTTGAGACAGAGTCTTGCTCTGTTGCCCAGGCTGGAGTGCAGTGGCGCCATCTCAGCTCACTGCAACCTCTGTCTTCCAGGTTCAAGCAACTCTCCCGCCTCAGCCTCCCGAGTAGATGGGATTACAGGCACCTCTCAACACACTCGGGTAATTTTTTTGTATTTTGGTAGAGATGGGGTTTCACCATGTTGGCCAGGCTGGTCTTGAACTCCTGACCTCAAGTGATCTGGCCGCCTTGGCCTCCCAAAGTGCTGGGATTACAGGTGTGAGCCACCGTGCCTGTCAGGGAAAATAATTATTAATGGAATCTATTTTAAGAACTTTTTTACTTGGGAGGCTGATTAAAATTTCTTAAAATAAGCTTTAAGATAAGGTTAGTACTCACTCTGTTATTTATTCGGGAAAAAAAAACAGAAGAAAACAAGAGGCAATGGAACTTACTAACAGTTATTATAACAAAATTAATTTGAGTCACTGACCACTTGCTCTTGGGGTAAAGTAAAAAACAACAATAATGCAAAGTTTCATATAGCTTCAGAACATAAATTGATGAAAAACTTTTAAAAACAAAAGAGAAAAATAAGGATCCTATCAGGTACCTGTAAGCATCTCTGAAGGAGTGTTAAATCCCATTAAACATAAAAAACAATAATGTAATCATTAGTTTTCATTCTTTCCAGAAATAAAGTTTTAATTGCCATACTTTTGTATTTGACTACTAAATACATTTACCATCCAAATAAACAATGGTTTTGAGAAAATGCCTTTTAGTGTTTTGTTTTTAATTGCATCTGCTGACCAATGGCTACAAAATATACAAAATGGCTTTTCAGAGGCACAATTTCCTCCAAGAGACTCACCCTACCTGGGTTGGTATAAAGCTGGCTTTCCACGGTTTTGCCAATGCACTGCAGTTTGATGGCCTGCAGGGAATCATCCACATGCAGGATGGTCGGCAGACTGCCCAGGGTGTCCTGGACCAAGTTGGCTACTTCCCGGACATCAAAGAGCTTCAACAGTTCTGAGTACACGGCAGGGAAAGAGCTCAGAAACACAGCCTTAAAAAGAAGAAGACATTTAAATCAACTCCCAGATACGCCATGAGAAATATGCTGCAAAACGTCAGTGAGTTTAAGGACCGTGGCAAGTGTTTTTGAATGGTAGGAATAGAAGTATGAAATGTTTCTGTTACCTAAAGCTAAAAGGTAAATTTTTAAAAAGTGCAGCAGAATAGGACAGTTTTTGAAAAGTACGAAGCAGCAGCATAATAAAAACTGGGAAATTTTGGAAAATCACTGACATTAGCAAAAGGATTGACAAAAACCTCACAGAATCAGTGAAGTGCATCAAAACTGAATAGAAAGAATGCTCAACCAAGACCTGGATTGTAGTCAGTTATATTCATTCCTTTTGGAAGAAGCTTTCTGAAATGCTCACTTAAATCTCATTCACATTTAAGAAACCAAACACATTAATTCCTCCAAAGCACTCCATTTCTGATTTAAGAAAAAACACAGGACAGGGCATCAGAAGATCTAAGTTACACATAGTATTAGCTTTGCTTCCAATAACTCTGTGACTTTGGAAAGTTATTTGAGCACCCTTTAGTTTCATCATTTAGGCTTTAGTTTCATCTCCTGTAAAACAAAAAGATCATTACAAGAACCCTCTGGGTTGCTTCAAGATCTATTTTAAACCAAGAACTGTGTGTACAGACTAAGAACAATATTTTTATGTAAAAAAAAAAAAAACCCGATCATCATTTTTTATGGGGAAAAAAGATGCTCACATCAAATCTCAAAGGGCATACTTAAAAAATTGGGCTAGGATTGTACACCAAAACAAACCAAATCAGCCTTTTAAAATTCCATAAAAGGAGGGCAATGGAAGAAGAGTCGACTAGCTTCAACTGTACCTAGTCAGGGAAGGAGGCACGAGTTTCTAACATGCTAAAATTCAAGTGCTAGTTGGCGTACCAATGAGATCTGACTCCATCAGAAAATAGGTCGCGTCTACATGTGCTGATGATTCAAACACAGACTCACTCAAACTCAAATTTAAGAATTTTAGTATTTATTTATACAGCAGCAGCAAAAATATCTAGAAGAGCCAAGATCTGTTTTTGATGCCAGCGCCATCAAAATACTCCAGATGCTATAAGTCAACAGCAATGGCCCTTGGCTCTTAAAAATTATAGATTTACTTGAATATATTTAAAGTTAATAACTTGATATTCTCCGTTACAGCCTGCATTTATATAACCTTCACGTCACCCTGCAGAGCTGAGTCATACTGATGAAGTTAAATAAAATGAGCCCAGCTTTCTGATTACTGAAAAGTCAACTAAGTTGATTTTCCTCAGGTATCCCTTAATTTATCCATTATTTCTTTATTTATATGTCTTGACTTCAAAAAGGCATCTGAATGTGCCTACAGTGTAAGATACACATATAATAGGATGATTAAAAAGGATAAAGAACAAGTATCTTGTGATGAGGGGAGGAAGACGGCTGTGCCAGGGCAAGCTGAGAGTTTTTACTGCAAGTGAAAATAAAAGTACAATTTAGTTTTGACCTTCCTAGTAGCCAGGACACACAGGGAAAGATAACTATTGGGAATTGTCTAGCAGGGTTTGGGGCCTCTATTCCTTCTGACATTCTTCTTCTTTTAGGGATCATGGGTTAGCAGGTGTGTGTCCATGAAATAGAAAGCTAAGAACCACTGCTGTACCAGGTGGGTTAGCCCTTAGTCCTTCCAGGACAGGGCTAACAAGAACAGTCATTAGCAAGTTGCATTTGGGGCAGGAGGACTAAATGAACCTACCCAGTAGGACCAGGATGCATACATCTGTGGGGCAGCTTCCCATCAATCCAACCCAAAGGACTGTGGTGATGGCCTCTAGAAGACAGGGTTTGCCCTGAGTTGTAGCCCACATGGAAAAAATGCAAAATGGAGCAAGAAAACCAGGTTTCTGCCTATAAGGCAGCCTAATAGTAAAGCTTGGACAAATTCAGAGCCAAATTTTATTTGGCTGTAAATGTGGCAGGCAGGACTCTAAGACGACTCCCATGACCCTGTTCCCTGGTGGTGTTCCTGTGATTACATAATGTCACATGACAAAAGAGATTTTGCAGATGTAATTAAGATTACTCATCAGTTGACCTTAAAATATGGAGATTTATCCAGGTGGGCCTCACCCAATCACATGAGCTCTTAAAACAGTTTTCTCTGGCTGGTAGCAGGAGAAGTAGTCAGAGAGATTCAAAGCATGAGGAGGATCTGACATATTGTTGCTGGATTTGAGGAAGGAGCAGCCATGTGCCAAGGACTGCAAGTGGCCTCTGGCAGCTGACAGCACCTCCCCCCACCGGCTGACTGCCATCAAGGAAATGCAGACATTAGTCTTCTGAAAACAAAGAAACATTTCTGCCAATAGCATTAAAAGATCATGAAAGCAAATTCATTTCCAGACCTCCAGATAACACATGAAAGCTTACACTTTGATTTTGGCTTTAGGAGATCCTAAGGAAAGGACCCAACCAAGCCTGCCTGGAATTCTGACCTATAGAACTGTGGGCTAATAAATGAGTGTTGTTTAAAGCCATTAAGCTTATGGTCATTTGTTACACAGCAATAGAAAACTAACACATCGGATCCATTGAATTAGTGGTACTGCCTCTGCAAAGAGAGCATGGGATCAAAAGGGAACCTGGTACAGGCAGAGGTGTGTGGCATTTCTTGTCTTCCCCAAATACACAGAGGCAAAGTTCTCATTGCTTAATAAAGAAAACTAACCATTTTATCATTTTATATGGATTTTTTCTTAGCATCAAAAGAAACATCAATTATCACATCAAAATATATAGGTAAGTGATACTGCACAAAATAACAGAATGACTTCAGTAGAGTTTACAAAGATATTCAGAAACCTTATGGACACATTTACATATTATCTCTTGATTAAAAGCTGAGAGCAAAAAATATCAAATATGATTCTTTGAAGGTGCTAAAGTTGTTTCTAAAATTTGCTGTGGGATAGAGCTCAGAGAATCAAGAGCAGTGGGAGTCAGTGTGTTGAAGAGGTGAGAGCAGAGCTGCTCCACTCTGCTGTACCCCGGTGGCCCAAGCCACCTTAGGGGGACCTCCAGGATCCAGTGGTACAACTAAGGTAAAAAAAAAAGTCTCCTGAATCCCTAAGAAGAAACCATGCCTTACGGTTACTCTTAAGAGTAAGAAAATATTTTTCAGGTGTGAATTAGGCAAGTTTCATCTCTGTAACTGATAAAGGGTAAAAAGAAAAATCTCAGGACGAAAACTCAAATTCTGAATTACTTTTGTAGAGACAGTAAACTTCTAAGAACTCTGATCTGAAGGAATGCATGGTTAGCCTGGTGGATTATCCTGCTCAAATATCAAGTGCTGTCAGCAGGGTTTAGCTAGTAGTGGGCAACTTGACACTGAGGTCTCTGGCAAGTTCCCATAGTGCAGTGATTGTACTCTTGACTGCAAAGGCCAAAATGACATTTAAAAGAGCCTGAGTTATATCCTTGCCCAGATGGAAGATGAGTCCACCTCTATAAAGAAGAGAGGAACAAGAATAGACCTCTCAACAGTCAGAAAAAATACAGCACATTATCAGAGGGCTGGTGCATTCCCGGTGTTTTGCTTTCTGAACATCACATAGTACCAAATCATAACAATACTGTTAAGGATCTAATTTTGTCTCCTAATCTCCCTTTTTATGTCCCAGTTCTCAATGATTACAAGTTTCTCTAACCTCTAGGGCATGGTAAGAGGCTGCTTCTCCTTCTGACAGGTTTTTAACCAAGTCATTAGAATTAAAAGTATACAAGAAGAATCAAGAAAGTATAGGGAAAATATTCAGAATTACCTCATGGAACATATTCAAGGCCATGCTATTTGGGAAGTAGATGGATCCTGTTCTTAAAAAAAACATGTGGGGCTACTTCCGGTAATGGAGTTTGGCGGCAGCAGCAGCTCTGCACTGGTCTTAAAAGATCAGTCCCAGGATGATTAGGGTCAAGTTCAATAAAACAAAACAACATGCAGCTTAGCTGAGTCCAATATAATGATTCTCAAGTTGACAGATTAAAATGCAGTGAGAAGCTTGGGGAAAAGAACTGCAAGAGATTGGCCCTAGTGAAATTCCTTCCCCAGGGCTGGTGGTGACAGCATGTCCAGTCGTCAGTATGTGTTCTGGTAACCGGAAATGAAGCTGATGCAAACCAATAGCCTCTCCATGCAGAGAGAGAAGGGAAAGGCAACCCACTTCTGCTCAGCTGGTACACAGAAGGTAGGGGAATTTTAAAAGTCTACTCATAAAGTTGGTTAAGCTACAAATATAAACTGGAGCAATTGACTTCTGATGGAGAAAACATTTGATTACGCTGCTGTGTAAAAATAAATAAACTGCACTTATCGTTTTCTTCTATTCAGCATAGATGAAAAGAAATTACCTGTGACTGAGATAATGCTCCAGACCCTTTGCTCTCTTGCGAAAGAAAGAAACGGACTGACATGAGAAGCTCCTGAATGCAGCAGCGGAACTCCTCTTCGTTTTGCCCACCAGTGGCAAGGGAAAACAGCCTTCGAGATTGAACTATATACTTAAAAATGTATTCTTGTGCCTTAAAAATACAATTTTTAAAAGTTAGCTTCAAAGGAGACAAAGAGTATTTATTTAGCAATGACACGGCATAAAAACCATGGTATGGCATTAAACTTTTACATTATTCATGTAGACACCAAGGCCTTGTGAGGCTTTTTTGAACAGTATTTACTTTAAGGGGGAACAGCCACTTTTCTCTGATGCCTAATGAGAGAAAAAAAATTTAAAAACACTTTAAATTTAAAAGAAATTTAAAAGAAATAGAATTTTAATAGAAAATTTAAAAACACTTTAGCCGGGCACGGTGGCTCACGCCTGTAATCCCAGCACTTTGGGAGGCCGAGGCGGGTGGATCACCTGAAGTCAGGAGCTCGAGACCAGCCTGACCAACATGGAGAAACCACATCTCTACCAAAAATACAAAACTGGCCAGGCATGGTGGCCCATGCCTGTAATCCCAGCTACTTGGGAGGCTGAGGCAGGAGAATTGCTTGAACCTGGCAGGCGGAGGTTGCAGTGAGCAGAGAATGCACCATTGCCCTCCAGCCTGGCCAACAAGAGCAAAATTCCGTCTAAAAAAAAAATTAAAAAAAAAAAAATTTTATCATTCTGGAGTATGATGAACACTAAGTGTTTTTGACCCTCAGATGTTTTTTAAATTTAGTCAACAAAAAGATAACTGTTTTTTAAAAAATAATTTTGTTTTGACAGGTAGTACTCTTGCCACTTAGCATTTTACCTTCAATCAGCCCAAATTACAAATGAATAATTCACAAAATGCTATTTTATAAAATGTATACATTGTCTACTTAAAGCTACTGACACCAAATAGGATGGTCCTCAACAACAGGAATCAGAAGACTACCAGGGCTGTTACTGGACAATTCCTTTAAGAATTTGTACTCTTTTTCAACATGTTTGCAAGTAAGGGATTAGTATCTCCACAGACAACTGAGCATATGGTGCCCAGCGATGTGGGCAGCGTTAAGCCACAAGACCCGGTAAAGCCTCAGGTTTCCTCATTATAATCCCCGCTAAGCCACCCTATTTGCTCTTAAAATTTAACATAAATGGTTCTCCGATGGTCTCTGTCAGGTTGGTGGAAGCAAGAGCCAGGAACTTCTAAGCTTAACTGCCCCATATAGACTTCTCTCATAAACCCTCCCTCTCTCCTGCTCATCTTAGACTTCACTTCAAGTACTCTCCAGCCCAGAGGAACAAGGATTCAATCCTGAACAGTTTCCAGTAGACTACCCTGGCAAAGTCCCCTTCAAATTTCATCAGCTCTCAAGCAGTCACAAACTGATTAAGATCCTTGAATTGGAATGTCAGTAATACATCATCACCCATTACTGTCTGTGTAGAGGAACCAATTAGTTTAAGCATCAGCATGCAACAGCTTTGTTAGACTCTGCTGTTATCAACAGCATGTTATCACCTTCAGCACCTCCTGGATATGCTCTTGCCGCTCTGCTTCTGTGATCCGGTCCACGTACCATTTGAGCACTTTGATGAGATCTCTAAAATACAGGGGAAAATGTGCAGAATGTAAAATTGGTCTAATTCTCAATTAAATGCCAACAAATCCAACTCTTAACTATATCATGAGGAGGTTTCTTTTCCCATCAGTTCTCACATTTTCCTGTCAATCTGCTGTATAATAATTTTACTAAATCTGCAGATCAACACTGCCACCCTTTTCAAAGCTTAAGGGAGAAACAACACTCAATCTGGACATATTCCATAGCCCTGCTGTTTCTGGTAATGCCTCCAAATGGGTGAACACAAATATTGGAGAAAAGGACTGTGCCCAACCAAGTGCCTGGCAGTGTGAGTGCCATGGTCAATACTGTAAAACTGCTCATTGGGATTTCTTTCCCAGTGACCACGTAAACAGCTGGATGCAATATCATTAGGCTGCAGGCAAAACGGGGTGGGAAGGAGGGATGGAGACAATGCCTCCCCACTGCTATGCACACCTTATGGATTTATCAAGCCAATTTTCTGACCCATGAGAAGAACCTGGCTTATGTCAATATGTGCCTTAGGAGAATTTCTAGAAAGGCCAAGGTAATTTTTTTTCCTGTTTTGAAAAAATGTAAAAACAACAGCCCACAACTCTCAAGATGACAGTCTTACACCTTGAACTTTGGTCAGTTCTTGGTTTCTCTTTTTTCTTTTTCTTTTCTTTTTTTTTTTTTTTTTTGAGACAGAGTCTTGCTTTGTCACCCAGGCTGGTGTGCAGTGGCTTGGCTCACCGCAACCTCTGCCGCCCTCCTGGGTTCAAGCAGATTCTTCTGCCTCAGCCTCCCAAGCAGCTGGGATTCAAGTATGCACCACCACGCCCAGCTAATTTTTGTATTTTTAGTAGAGGCCCGGTTTCACCATGTTGGTCAGGCTGGTCTTGAACTCCTGACCTCAAATGATCTGTCCACCTTGGCCTCCCAAAGTGCTGGGATTACAGGCATGAGCCACTGTGCCCAGCCAGTTCTTGGTTTCTAGGAAACAGTTTACCCAGCAATGTTTCTCTGGGTCAGGGGAGAATACTTGGATGTGCCAGTAGGTAGATGTTGGTGGAGTGCTATTTTTTAAGATAACATGCTAGTGAGTTTCTGATCACCCCCAGCCTAAGAGGATTCCACAAGCCTTATTTGTCTTTTTAAGATCCTGCTTTCCTGGCCAACCGGAAGTGTGAGAAATTATACTCTTGTTTTCTAGCTTCCAAAGACAATTTAACTTGGAAGCAGTAACCTCCTCACACTAGGGCCCAAATTGTTAGGCTGAGTGGGCCGATGTTTCAAAACTATTCCTGCGGTTGCATTTCACTCTCAGCAAAAAATCACACTGATGAAGTGTCAAGTCTAACAAAAATACCTTCATTCATTTCGATGTTGGAGACGTCGATCTTAACCTGTCATGGCTGGGAATATCCAAGTAAACAGGATCAAATGCTTATCTGATAACCTATTAACCTTTATATATTACATAGATGGGGGAAGGATATCAACCTGATTTCATGCTTTTTAAACTCACCTCAGGGAACAGTCAGGCATGTGCATGCCCACAGGTGCTTAAGGTATAAGGTAGAAATATGGGAGAACAGCAAGGACCATATTGGACTGGGAGACAGACGATGGGGTACACTCCAAGGCTATTTAAGCAGTTATTTGTCGAACTAAAAGAGAGAAGCTGTGGCCTCTGGCAATTATCAACTATGTTGAGAGGAGGCAGGCACTAGCCAAAGCATAATATTATTCATAACTTTTCAGCACCACCTGAGCCAGTAGAAAAGGAGGAGCAGTTAAAATAGCAGCTCCTATCAAAGAGTAGATCCCAATGACTAAATTGCCTGAGGCCAGGGACCAGGTCTTCACATCATCAGCATAAAGTACAGTGCCTGGCAAGCAGCTGGCACTCAGTAAATCCTAACATAAATGAATGGATGACTTTCAGCAGGTGTGAAGGAAAAGGTTGTTTTCCATTCATATTTCTTTCTTATGAACATTTATAATCATCAGGGAGTACAGTGATGAAGTGGGACTCTTAACAGCCGAAGTGAGATAACCAGACATTTTAGACCAAAGAATATCCAGTGAAACAGAGACAAGAAGGAAAGACTTTATATTTTAGGGCTCAGGAATAGAATTCAGGAGGTTTTTTTCCCTTTTTAATCAAAATAAGTTCTACCCATTTAAAAAGGGTGTGTTAGCAGGGAAGAGACTATCTCAAGAGACACTTCAGTAGTGCTCCATTTCTTCCTACACTCCCTTTTAAATTTTCCTATATCGCCTCTTCTGCTGAGAAAAGCTTGAAAGGAACCACTTCTAAACTAATTACAAGATACAGGGCCTTACCTGTATGCAAGTGCCCCAGCAAAATGACTCTCAATGTAAGTGTCCATTACAGGTTTAAAATGATGAAATTTGCTATCTTGCAGCAAATTTATTATGTGAACCTAAAAAAAGAAAATTGAGCTTTATAAAACTAAATGCAAATCAAGGTTTTCCTTTTTTTTTTGCTTCTTTTTAAAATGAACTCTTACATTATTAAGCACATGTTTCTGAACCAGCCTCATGAAAGTCAAGATTGAGAGACAAAACAGTTAAAATACAATTAAGGGAATTTGAACTTACCAAAGAATCAAACACTTTAGACCCATATTTTTGGGAATTTTCATCTAAAATTCCAAATAAGGTATCCAGTGTATCCTGCAGAAACTGTTAGATAAAGAAGTAGCAAATGAGTAAATAAGATACTATCTGTCTTTTTCCTCCAAATGTTCTTTATTCTATGAATCTCTGCAAGGAAAATAGTAATGAAATACTATATACCTTTACTATCTCTGAGCCATCAATTTCTTTTAATTTAGAGAGACAGCCAGTGATCTTGTCTGGGTGGGTTCTCCATTTCAAAAGATCAAGCATATCACCTTTCAAAATAGAAAAGGAAGATTAATTGCCTTAATAGAGAACAGGTCCTCACATGAAAGCGTTCTGCTAGTAAAAGTAAAATTCTTAACACATGTGGCTCCCCTCTCCTAGCCACTCAAGTTGCAGGCTCCCACAAACTATGACTAGCCCTCTCTAGGATGGCATTTATTTCACTGTATTCTGTTTCCTCTCCACTGCTCTTGACTTACAAACTCCTACCCATCCTTTAGTCCTCAGATCGGATGTTGCTTCATTTTGGAAGCCTTTCCTGAAATCTCGAGCTAACTGTCCCTTCTACATGCTTCCACATCACAGTAGCACTTACAAATCCTTACAAATCAGGCAGGTGACAAATATTTGTTGATTAATTTTTCTGCCTCCTCCTGGAAAGATGAGAGTTTCTTGAGGGCTGGGAACCTGCTTTATTCCCGTTTGGGTGCCCAGCACATAGCACTCTGCCTAGCAACCAACTCCACCCAGGAACAAAGGTCTTCTTGGCAATGTGACCCAAATCTTGCAGACTAAAAGAATGGTAACAGGCCCAGTGATTTCTTAGATCATCCAGGGAGCTCTCAACCTGAGAAGAGCAGCTCCTGGACTCCACAGGCCATCTTTCATCCCAGAGTCCAGATAAGCACAGGGCCCAGCTCTTTAACCCTTTCCTAAACAGACATGAGGGCTTTGGTCCAGCAGGTCCTTAGAGAACCTCTTCACCTGGGGAGGGAATAAATTTATCTTTCTTGGGCAGAAGTTACAAAGGCTGTGGGAGATGGTCTCCATGCATTATTAGTCTCCAACGCATGCAGGGAGAGGTGGCATCTGGAGGCCAATGAATGCAGTGAGAACTGAAGGCTCGCGTGTGCCGAGCACGCGCAGGGCAGCGGGACCTGGTAGAACTGGCCTCAGGGCTCAGTGGAGTTGCCAGACTAGACTGGCCGAGAGAGGAGCCAGGACAGAATTTCCAGGCAGGGAAGCAGGAAATTTACTTCAAATCACTTGTTTTAGCAGAAACCCAAAAGGGACTTTCTGAGAAACAGAAAGATGATGAGGGAACAAAAACTCCAAACCCCCCAAACCAAGGAAGTAGGTAAGATGAGAAAGAAAAAGAGAATATAGAGAACACCAGTGAGAAAAAGCATTAAGAATCTCAAGGAGAAAGAGAAGCAAGCTCCACCAAAGCCAGATTCAAGAGAAAAACCTCACAAAGGATTTACTATTAATAGTAAGGAATTCAGTACCAAACAGGAATGTTTATCTGCAACAAACACGGGTAAGAGGAGGAGGAGGAATTAGAATGAGAAAAATAAAGTGATTTTAAAAATACTGACTTTGAAAAAGAGATTTATGATGTTTTCATAACCAAAAACCCTGAAAATGTTGACTATTCAGATGTAATTCAGACATCCTGGGGTATGACTGAAACCTTTTAAAACTGATTGGTTATATTTGGCATATCAGATATTTCCACAGAGTGAGACTCAGGGCGACAAAGGCAAAGCTCTATTGTTCTCCCCAGTTTGCTGCTTCCCTCCTACCTACTTCCTACTTCCTGCATCTCACTTCAGGAGGCCTCCCCTCCCTGGCATCTTCTCTTTCATAATCCCTCGTGCATTTCCCCTGCCATTCACTCCTCACTTCCCACTCCACCCCCATCCCAGCTCTCACTCCTCCTTTGTGTTCTCTTTCCCTTCCTTTAAAGTGAGGCAGTTGCAGGGGCCATCAGGACCCTGCTCAATGTGAGGAGTGTGGGGAGGAAGGAGGTGGCTATGCTGGCTACCAAGTGGCAGCAGTGGAGAATGAGGACTAGGGCCCATTTAAGTAGGGCTGGAAAACAGATTACAGGGGTCCAGAAAATGAGTCAGGATGAGCCTGCCCATCCTCCCTGCAAGAAGGCTGATGAATCTCTACACTGCTCATGATGGAGCATGTGGAAAAGCCCAGTAGTTATGTCCATCTGGATGTAATTAATCATGTATGCAAAATACTTCAAGTTCAGGCAAAATTGCTGTATCCTAGCTTTTTACTTTTGCCATCTGAGGATGTTAGTTGCAAATTAGGAGCTATAACCTATCACAGAAAATACCAATTTCTACATTCCATTCAACAGGCATTTACTAGGTGTATATTATGTACCTAACCTATCAAGAGCTATAAAATAGGAGGATGCCATGACCCCTAATCCTCTGAACCTTAAAATCTCTACCTGTTCTGGCAGTCACAGGTGCCCAGCATAGTGCTCTGACCTTGGTACACTGTCCATGTTGGACAACGCAAAGCGTGTGCAGACAGACACACTTTGGGAATTCTGAAATGCAAATTTGCTCTATGAAACTGCTCCTAGAGACCATATCACTTAGTAAATGCTGAATTGTAGTAGAAATAAGATTTGTATATTTTCCACGTCAAGAAAAATGAATACATAGCAATTTAATTCCAATTTGGAACTAGATTACTTCGACACAAAGATGTGTGTTTAGCATGTAAATTTCAGAAAGACCAACTAACTTCCTTCCTCCTTCCCATCTCTTGAAACATGCATTTCCTGGCTCATTTGAGCCAATTCTCATTGACAAGGTTAATCAAAGCCAAAATAATAATGAAACACTTATCCGTCTCCAAAGATGAGCCAATCATTGCATGGAATTCCGATCCCACTTTCCACATAGTGAGATGTTTAATATAATTATTTCATAAGTTGTTTTTTACTCATATTTACCTGAAAATGTTCTCTACTTTTAAAAAGTAGCAACTTCTAATTTTCAGGATTTGTTTCTGTCTTATTTTCATAATTGTGTCTAACATCCTAAACTCTACAACTAGCACAAATTCAGTACATAGGACCAAATATTTTGATGGAAGAGAATCTATTGTTAGGTTTACCTGTGTGGTAGGCAGAATAATGGCCTCAAGAACCTGTTCCAAGAATTAGGAGGGATTATGTTTCCCTCACACAGCAAAAGAAGACTGTACAGATCTGATTAAAGATCTTAAAATAGGGAGATTACACTGGATTATCCAGCTCAATGTAATCACAAGCATCCTTAAAAGATGTAAGATGGTCATAGTCAGAGAGATGTGAAGATGCTATGCTTCTGACTTTGAAGATGGAGGAAGGGGCCATAGGCCAAGGAATGCAGGTGGCTTCTAAAGCTAGGAAGGGTAAGAAAATGGATTCTCTCCATTCCAGGGGGAATGCAGCCCTGCTGGCACCTTGATTTTAGCCCAGTGGAACTGATTTTGTATATTTGACCTCCAGAACTGCAATATAATAAATCTGTATTGTTTTAAGCCAGTAAGTTTGTGGTAGCTGTTACAGCTGCAATAAATAAGTAATACAACCCCAAAATATTCTATTGGGGAAATTCAGTTAAACATGAATGCAAACTCTACTACCCACACACACCTAATCCACATAGAATAAATAAAAATTTCTGTTTAAGGATCTCAATAAGAGGTTGATTTTATTATCTTCATAACTTCTATGGGGGTAAACTGGCCCCATAAAAAAATACTTGAGGTTTGGTAAATGCTTTATAATCATTTATTGAGTTATGCCAATGGAGGTTTTATTTAAGTAAAATTAACTACTGAATGCTGATAAAACCTGGTATAACATATCTTAACTTGGTGTCCTATATAAATACAGTAGCAATGCATGTTGAAATTGAGAGGTGTTTTAAAAGTGGTCAAAATTTTGATGTTACATTTTCTTTTTTTCTGAGACTATGATCTAAAAGAAGAAATATTTCCTTCTACAAATGCTGTTCTCTGACACAGAAGAAGGAACTAAGAAAGAACGAATAACAAGCACACCTGTTTAGGCACAGGTTTTTATGAGACACAATACCTCATTATAAAGTGATTCTTCTCAACATAATGAATATAACTTATTTAATATAGCATTCGGGGTGCTAGCCAGAAGTCTTATATGACAACGATAAAAAACTCAAAAATGTTTAATTTACTTCCTTCATTACAGAAGATGTTTTCATAGCAATTTGCCAAGGAGAAGAGCTTGCTTTATTAATCATAACTTGCTAAACAATCACTGACATAAAAAGTAATGCTAGAACTGAAAAGCAATATGCATCTAATTAAACAAAAAACAGCCTTTATTCTAAAGCCTGCAATTAGCACTGTTTATGGAGCTATAAAACACGAGATTAAGGTGTTGGTATTTTCGTTTTTTTTTTTTTTTTCAAAGCATCTGGGTTTTGATGGTTTATTTAAAAAGTTGTGTACTTGTTTTTCAATACTGG
The DNA here is from genome assembly GCF_000001405.40 of Homo sapiens. Lineage (NCBI taxonomy): Eukaryota > Metazoa > Chordata > Mammalia > Primates > Hominidae > Homo > Homo sapiens. The sequence goes on from NC_000007.14 coordinate 111,876,825, forward strand.
GATAATTCTGAAGTCCTTCTTAAATGACATGCATTCAACAGGTCACTGGGTCACATTTGCTTCCATTTTACTAGAAATCACAAATGGAAGGATCAATAATTTTTCTAAAGTTCTTAACTATCACTTTGGTGTTTACTGAATATGCTTACCAAAATATACATGATTATTAGGTACTAGGGCTTTCAAATAAAACATTATACATTACCATTTTGTGTGAGTTTTGTGGAACAGAGAAAAGATGTAATACAAAAGGACTCCTTTGTGGCCTTCATGGCTTGATTATTATTCCCAAGGAAAATGCCCTTGGAAAAGGGAAGTTTGAGGTAGCGGGTAGTATCCTGAAGATTTGTGTTTTCTTCACACTGTTAAAAATATTTAAAAAAACATAAGGGAAGGGGAAGAGATCTCATAAGAATTATTAAGCATAATTTATATTACTAGTGTTTATAAACTGGGAAACATTCCAAACAGTATTACAAGTAGAATTTGGTTTTTAAATAAAATGCAAAAAAACTGTATAAAATAATTAAGCATAGATTTTTGGACTAAGATTAATTTGAGTTTGCATCCCAGCTTTGTAACTTCCCATGTGAGTGACCATATCAAATCAAATTATTTAACTACACACTGTTTCCGTTATCTTCTCTAAAATCTCATTGTGTTGTCATAAGAATTAGGTTATATAAAGCCTTTAACACAGTCCTGATACCTTGAAAATGATCAATAAATCATATTTGCAGTGACCATAGTATTTTTTTCAAAAACACTTAAATTCTTCCAACATCTCATCTGAGGCAGCTGTTAAACACTCCCTTACTTTGAAAACTGGCAATTAAAAGAGAAGATATTTCAGGTATTATAATTTGAGAGTCCTACTATGTGAGGGAAATCTCTACTTTCATAGAAAACGCCAGCTAACACATGTAAAAGCAATTACAGACTTAGAAAATATAATTTCATATCCCTACTGTAATTATTTTAGTCAAGGATTGTTGCTTAGTGCTAAAACCAGCAGAATTGTTGAAGAGGAATCGGATGTTCATATGATGCCAATGTAGCGACATACAGATTACTTCCTACTGGCAAGAAGACAAATATAACTGCATGTGGGGGAATCGAGCTGTCATTACACCAATGCAGGGCAATGCAAAGACACGTATCATCATCTACAATGCATTCTTACCAAAAGTGCTGAACCCCAGTCCATCACATCTAGATTCAACTTCCATATCACAGGAAACACAAGAGATAGAGCAACATGTTGAGCAACACTACAGGGAAGAAACCAGAGAATCCAAAAGATGGGGGTTTGCTGTAAGATGCCTGGTCTTATCTCTTTAAGTCAGTGTTGCCAAAAAAGGGATTGTTCTAGATTAAACAACACTTAAGAAATAGATAGCCAGATGCAACATATGGTCCCAGATTTGAACAAACCTGCTGATGTGTCCGACTTTTTAAAAATCTGTACATTGACTAAATTCCACATGAGATAAAAAACGTAGTGATCAGAAAATCATTAACTGAAAATTGGTGGATTAAAAATAAATATGAAGCAGACCAAGATGATGGAATAGAAGCCTACACTGCTCATTCTCCTGCGCCAACCCCAGAACACCAAATTTTCACAACAATCTGCACAAAGAAAAGCACTATCACAAGAACCAAAAATCAGGTGAGCAATCACAGTACCTGGTTTTAACTTCATATCCCTGAAAAAGGTATTGAGGAGGGCAGAAGAGACAGTTCTGAATCTCCAACGTCCTCTCCCATCTCCCACCCCTCCCCCATCCCCCGGCAGTAGCTATGCAGCATGGAGAAAGAATCTGTGCAAGTTTGTAGGATAATGCAGTGACTTGGGGACTTTACATTGAACTCACTGCTGCCCTGCCATTGAGTAGAAAATAAAGCTGTTCTGGGCTCACAGTGGCCATGCAAGGAGGGAGCATTGAGACCAGCCCTAGCCAGAAGAGACTCACCATCTCAGCAGCTGGAACTTGAGTTTCTTGGCAAGCCTTGCTACCATGGGCTGAAGTGCTCTGGGTCCTAGGTAAACTTAAAAGGCAGTCTAGGAGACAAGGACAGTAATTCCTAGACAACTCCTAGTGCTAGGCTGGGCTTAGAGTCCATGGACAAGGGTAGCATGTGACCTAGGGAGACACCTGCTGGGGTGAGTAAGGGAATAGTAAATCTGGCACAATCCCTCCCCCAACCCCAGGCAGTGCAGCTTGCAGCAACAAAAGTGACTCCTTCTTTCTGCTTGAGGAGAGAAGAGTGAAAAGTAAAGAGGACTTTGTTTTGCATCCTGGTTACCAGCTCAGCCACAGTAAGATAGGGCACTGGGCAGAGTCATGAGGCCTCCATTCTAGGCTTAGATGACATTTCTACACCCATCCTGGGCCAAAAGGGAGCCAACTTCCTTGAAGGGAAGGACTCAATCCTGGCAGGATTCATCCCTTGCTAACTAAAGACCCCTTGGGCCCTAAATAACCAGCAGTGTTACCCAGGGAGTATGCTGCAGGGCTTGGGCTCTGAGACGTCCTGGCTTCATGTGTGACCCAGCACATTCCCAGCTGTGATGATTACAGTGAAAGACTCCTTCTGTTTGAGAGAAGCAGAGGGAAAAGCAAAGGGGGCTTTGCCTTGTACCTTAGGTACCAGCTCAGTCACAGTGGGGTAGAGCACCAAGTAGGCTCTTGGGGTCCCCCAGTACAGGCCTAGGCTCTTGGACAGCATTTCTGGACCTGCCCTGGATGAGAGGGGAGCAGGGTAAGTCCCAGGTCTGGCAGCATTCACCACAAGCTCAAACAGATAATTCAAAATAGCTGTTTTGAGGAAACTCCGAGAAATTCAAGATAATACAGAGAAGGAATTCAGAATTCTATGAGATAAATTTAACAAAGAGATTGAAATAATTAAAAAGAAGCAGAAATTCTAGAGTTGAAAAATGCAACTGACATGCTGACGAATGCATCAGAGTCTCTTAATAGCAGAATTGATAAAGCAGAAGAAAGAATTGGGAAGCTTGAAGACAGGCTATTTGAAAATACACAGTCAGAGGAGACAAAAGAAAAAAGAATAGAAAACAATGACGCACTTCTACAATATCTAGAAAATAGCTTCAAAAGTGCAAATCTAAGAGTTATTGGTCTTAAAGAGGAGGTAGAGAAAGAGATAGTGCTAGAAAGTTTCTTTGAAGGGATAATAACAGAGAAATTCCCAAACCTAGAGAAAGATATCAGCATTCAAGTACAAGAAGGTTACAGAACACCAAGCAGATTTAACCCAAAGAAGACTACCTCAAAGCATTTAATAATCAAACTCCGAAAGGTCAAGGATGAAGAAAGGATCCTAAAAGCAGCAAAAGAAAAGAAACAAGTAACACAATGGAGCTCCAATACATCTGGCAGCAGACTATTCGGTGGAAATCTTACAGGCAAAGAGAGTGTGGCATGACACCTTTAAAGTGCTAAAGGGGAAAGAAAAACAAACAAAACAAAACCTTTACCCTAGAATAGTATATCCAGGGGAAAAATATCCTTCAGGCATGAAGGAGAAATAAAAATCTTCTCAGACTAACAAAAGCTGAGGGATTTCATCAACACCAGACTTGTCCTTCAAGAAATGCTAAAGGGAGCTCTTCAATCCGAAAGAAAAGGATGCTAATGAGGAAGAAGAAATCATCTGAAGGTACAAAACTCACTGGTAATAGTAAACACACAGAAAAACACAGAATAGTATAATGCCGTAATTGTGGTGTGTAAAATACTCTTTACTTAAGCAGAAAGACTAAATGATGAACCAATCAAAAAGAACAAAACTGGAGGAATCACATTACGTTACTTTGAATTCTACTACAGAGCTATAGTAACCAAAACAGCATGGTACTGAAATAAAAGCAGACACAAAGACCAATGGAACAGAACAGAGAACCCAGAAACAAATCCACACACCTCCAGTGAACTCTTTTTCGACAAAGGTGCCAAGAATATACATTGAGGAAAAGAGTCTCTTCAATAAACGGTGCTGGGAAAACTGGATATCCATATGCAGAAGAATGAAACTTGCTAACTTGCTCCTATCTCTCACTATATACAAAAATCAAATCAAAATGGATTAAAAATTAAATCTAAGACCTCAAACTATGAAACTACTGTAAGAAAACATCAGAGAAACTCTCCAGGACAGCGGTCTGGGCAAAAATTTCTTGAGCATCCCCACGAGCAGAGGCAACAAAGGCAAAAATGGATAAATGGGATCACATCAAGTCAAAAAGCTGCACAGCAAAGGAAATAATCACCAAAGTGAAGAGACAACCCACATAATGGGAGAAAATACTTGCAAACTACCTATTTGATGAGGGATTAATAACAGAATATATAAAGAGCTCAAACAACTCTCTAGGGAAAAATCTAATAATCCGATTGAGAAATGGACAAAATATTTGAATAGACATTTCTCAAAAGGAGATACACACATGGCAAACAGGCATATAAAAAGGTGCTCAACATCACTGATCATCAGAGAAATGCAAATCAAAACTACAACGAGATATCATCTCACCCCAGGTAAAATGGCTTTTATCCAAAAGACAGGCAGTAACAAATGCTGGTGAAGATGTGGAGAAAAGGGAACCCTCATACACTTTTGATGGGAATGTCAATTAGTATAACCACTATGGAGAAGAGTTTGGAGGTTCCTCAAACAACTATAAAGAGAGCTACCATGTGATTTGGCCATCCCCCTACTGGATATATATTGAAAAGAAAGGAAATCAATATATCAAAGAGACATCTGCACTTCCATGTTTGTTGTGTAGCACTGTTCACAATAGCTAAGACTTGGAAGCAACCTAAGTGTCCATCAACAGATGAATGGATAAAGAAAATGTGGTACATGGATACAGTGGAGTACTATTCAGCCATAAAAAAGAATGAGATCCTGTCATTTGCAACAAC